>NC_000005.10:58234807-58859807 GCF_000001405.40 Homo sapiens | reverse complement strand
CCCTTGCCTCGGGCTATGCCAGTAGGGTGCTAAGTGATCATCAAACCTTAGACTTTTCATTTAGGGACACATGGTCTTCAAGTTGCAGACCTGAAGACCTTTATCTCCCTTAGCAGCTATTCTTGATCCTACAGCTAAGCTTTGTAACTCTGGAACCCAGTCAGTTGGGTCAGTTAGAAAGTTATCGACCTTGAAAGATTACAAGTATTAGAATTCATTCCTGTGCCTAAGTCCAAATTCATGTGTGAGATACTCAAAGCCCTAAATGTGTTCACTCTTCATCTTCAGTTCAAACTCAGTGTTGTACCTAAGATTATAGAAGTGGGAGAAGAAATGGAAATAAGCATCCTAGGATGAAAAATAATATGAATTGAAAGGAGATGAAAAACATTAATCAGACTAAGGCTAAGAAATTCAGGAATATAGTCTCTTAGATATTTATTGTAATCTTCAAGAAATAAAACAAACTCAAAGAACAAAAACCACTTTCTTTATAGAATTCACATACAAACTGAATACCTAATAGAGCACATACCATTTTTACACAATTAATTTCAATAAAGATAATTAAAACTTCACAATGTGAATACACTTCATAGCTTTAAACCCACACAAGAGCTCCTGTGGACACATGAAGAGTCACAATATTTGCTATGCAGCAGTAGTTTTCAACTAAATGTCGGTCACTATATGAAAGCATTAAGCTGTTTTCAATATTTTCTTAAGAAGAGTTCCACAGTGCAGTCACTGAGAAGGGGCCAAATGTGCCTGGTTCCAAAGGAAGATCTTCATCTGTGCATTTCCAATGCCCTTTATGGGAAACATGGAGCTACAGAAAAATCTCTGGGTACACATCTGCCAGGTGGCATTAGGTCGGACAATCTCTCATGGTTTGGTGCACTGGCAAATGTCTAAATCAACTGCCGTAATATGGCATTAAAGCAATTTGCATATTGTGGCTGAGTCTTGAGCTGCTCAGCACAGAGGAATATGATAATGCAACAGCTTGTCTTCCTCACGGAGACTAAAAGGTAGGGAGCTAAACTGGGGTAATTTGAATGGTTTCAAAGGGCCAGTTTGGCTGTCTTAAGAAAACAATGATCTATAGCTGATAGCTTTGTCTCTCTTCCATTCAAAGGAAACATAACTGTGGCCTTTCCCACTTATTTTCCTGGCACAATCTCCTCACTACCTAATTCTTTCCGGAATTATGTTTGACCTCTTCAATGGAGCCCTCTCTGACTCTTCCAGTTCTTACAGGTCCCCCATTCTCTGTGTTCCTATACCCTGACATAACCTAGCATTTAGATTATATCTGGATTTTTCCCCCTTGTTCTCATTAGGGGCAGGAGCCATACCTCTTCCATGTTTGATTCCCACAGCACTGAGCATATGAGGTTCAATAACTATGTGACAACTAACTAAAATTCAACCACACCCTTAAATTATCATTCTAATATTGGCTACCTGCTTCCATTTTTTAAAAAATTTGGCACAAAGTTGTCACTAATCTCCCTATTTTACCCACCTTCACTTGACTTCTTCAGTGGATTTTGAGAGCTAAGAACAAATTTCAGTCTATCACAGTTACATTCAGGCCACATATCACCCACATAGACCAAATCCATTTAATATGATTGGCACATCCTCACATGTCAATCTCCAGCCAAGCACCATAGAGAGAACTGAAGGTTTTATATGATGAACACATGGCCATGGTCATCTAGAACCAACTGTCTTGCATCAATTTTAGTGAATAAGTCATAACTTGTTTTTCTTCCTAAGGGTTTCATGACTTACTCCACTAACTGAATGAAAAGGCAAAGTACAATATTAAAATGAATGCTTTGCCTTAGAAATGGCAAGTAGGAGTTTAAGACGGTTATTCTAATTTAAAATTCACATACATAAACATTTATAGCTTTTCGTTATCTAGCAACTAGGCTTCAGTTCTTGATTTTGCATCTCAGTGAAGTTCCAGGCCACCAATTAGCATTAAACAAGGGAGTTTGAGGATGAATATATGAGTTTATGATGGCATTACAAAGTATTTAATGATTCTGATTTGTTCCTCTTATATCACCAGTGTGGACAACTGAGAATTGAAAGTGAATACAACATTAGCTACAACCTAAAAATACATTGGTATTTTAGAATTCCCAGGGTTGACAGTGTTGAATTTGTAAATAAAATACAAGATTGAGTAACAATAAAATATACATACAAGTACAGAGGTGAAAATTCTTAGTAGACATGTCATGTGATCAACCTTTCTGAGAAGAAAAACATGACTTTTCCTAATGCACATAGTTTTTCTTAGGTATCTAAATTAGTTGCTTAAAAGTAAAATGTACACTTTTATATGACACTTAAAGAAAATTTTGAGTTATAGAAGGAGATGCTTTTATAAAATAAATGAACAGCCATTCTGTCTTGACAATAAAATCCACAATTCTAAGAGATAAAATTGACACATATTTCCAGATACTAAATGTTTGGTTTTATAAGAAAAAAGTATTTTGAAGTAGGCACAGAGGGGTTTTACATGACACCAATAAGATATTTACTGTATAAATTGCACCACTAGACAAATACAGCTACAAGAAAATCATTTGAATAAGTCACACAGCTATCAAAGCATCTCACACATTCATTATAATTCACTCTTTCATACTAGTTTATATACACTGAGTGAGTCATTAAATATTGCACTTATTGGCCCATGAACCCTCAATTCTGAGGTGTTGAAAATAGAAAACAAATCTATTTTTATAACATATTTCATGCAACATTTAAGACATATCAGTTCTACAAACACCATTAAATTGTTGTACATTTGGACAGTCTAACGGTATCACATCACGTCTGACATTAACAATATATTAACAGGAATTACAGGACAGTTTTCCTTTAGCACGTATCCTAGGGATAATGAGACAATGCATGGAAAGCCATCATATTGATACAGCAAACAATACCCAAACTTTACTTTTACAAGAAGTATGGAACCACTTGACAGATGTAAGTCATGCTCACGTCCCTGAAAGGGCAGGTGTCTGAGGGGCTCAGGTACCATCTGTGTCTGTAAGAACAGCATTCACGAACCTAAGCAATACCTAGCCCCAAATAACATGAATGCAAAATAATTTGCCTCAAGAAATAAAGCCACAGCCAACTCTCACTTGTCCACGATGAAGGAAATATTAACACAGGTGAATGAAATACACAGGTAACCTCAAACCTCATTTCAGCAAGTAATGACTGTTTGAAACTCCACCAGTAATGGTTGCTGATGGGAAGTAAATGGTGAAATTTGAGTCTCATTTTCTATTCTTGGTCCTGTCATTCCATGAGGATAGTGTTTTGAAAAACTGCAGTAATTTAAAAGAAAGTCAGAAAGTAAAAGAGAACTGCAAATAGAAAGTTCAATTTGTCCACTAGCTAGATGGTCTGATCTTAACACTCGAGCTCTGAGTGAGGTTTTAAAATGACTCATTTCTGTTATCTAGAATGCTTGCAAAATTTATTTCCCCTCCACTCTCTCTGTTTGGAGGAAATTAATTACATGCACAGACTAATCAAACGAAATCAGTGTGAAGAACCGATTTTATGGACCTTATAAGTAAGATGTGAGTTATAGCTGGAACATAGTAAAAGCTCCCTTTTCCCTAGCACTGAGAAAGCACCATAGATGGAATTTTGCCTTCTTAAAAAAAAGTATCAGTGTTTGCCTGATACCTTTGTACAGGCGAGTGAGCGTGTGAGTGACTGTTGAGAAGGGCAGCACTGTATGTGTAATCTAAAAGCAAATATTTCAATCTATCAAAGGGAAATATTATTTGACCGGAGTGTCAAGCATTTCTGTAAATATTTTTAAGAAAAAAATTATTTGTGAAATACCAGTAACAATAGGTAGATACATTTTAGATAAATCCCCCAACTTGGTTTTTCCCTGTTAGGGGGTACTATATTTCTACAACCTAGAGCCCTTTAGATACAGTGCTGTGCAGGGGTAAAGGCTTTTTTATTCTGGTCATAAACTTCATCTTTTACTTAATTTGGCCCAGTAAATTCCATGATATAAAACAGGTTTATGTCTTTAATTGACTTTGGTCAAAAATTCACCTAAAATATGAAGAACTCCCAAAAGCTGGCTCAAAGGTTCAGCATATCAGAAAGACTTCACCATTTTACAGGCAAACTACTAAAGCGAAGGTAATCAATGCACACAGGCAGAGCTGAGCAGAGCTGTAGAGGTTGCATTTTCCAGGGAGTGACAGAAAGGCCACATGGGTGTAGTTGCTCATGTGGCACCCGGACAGCACACTAAGTGACTATACACGCAAAGGAACAGAGTTCCGGGTTCTAGTCATGCAAACTGTAATTGTGAGAGAAAGGGTTCTTCAGACGGACAGGCCAGCTCTGAAGTATGCCACACCAAAAATAACTGATTGAGCATTCCAGTAGTACTATGAAGATTATTAACAAACACACAGTAACTTTTTGGTCTAGAAGGGTTTTAGTTATGACTTTTTTATAAATAAGATTCATATCACAGTTTTTCACATGCAGGTGTTACCTACCTCAGCTTGGTATAGCTTGGTAGTTTGGATATGCTTTTAATATAGTCCCACAAATGCCACACTGTTAACTAAAATATCACATAGTACATCCTCAACCATGCACTAAGATACATGTTGGATAAAGCACATCACAATGAACCACTGATTATGGACTACCATGCTCTAAAATTAATGTTGCTTCATGGAAGTTCAGTTAATAGTGGAATGTATTTAACTTTTAAAAGAGAAGAAGAAGGTTGTATATACCCGAAAGTCTATCGTCAGCATAGATGTATTTAAAATTGAAAGTTTAAATTGGTTCCTTAAAAAATAACCAGTGTACTAAACAAAAGGCCTATAATTAATATGAATAAGATTTAAGTAGGTGAAATATATATATTTGTTTACTGAGTGTTTTGATGTCTTGTATAATTTGGGTTGTAACTTTGTAGATTTTGTTTATTATCACAATGCCACAACTTTCTGCTACAACTGAAGGCATTGTCATAGTTTTCTTTCCAAGTAAAAATCTTAGCACTTAGTTACCAGGCAGCAAAAAAATACTGAACTTCAAGTGACCCTAAGGAGGAACTAGAAGAACCTCCTAGCTTTCACAGTCATTAGAAGTTCATCAAGGCAGTTGGAGCTGTTCACTGGGGGCAGCAACAATGAACTGATTCATTGTCCTGAAGCAATTCCTCTTATGAGCATGTAGATGCGATGCTAACATTCAAACTGCCATCTTAGGACGCTTTGTGCACCTTCTACTTCCATCCCCATCTCCAAAAACTGAAATGCTGATTCACTCTGAGGATGGCTATTTAAGTCAAATAATTTTCAGTCTAATTTTTCAGTTGCATTAGGAAAAGAAAGGAAGGTACCAACACCAAAGCTCTTGGAAGAATCGATTTGGAACAGTTCAGGTTTATTCCTAAGGGTATCTAGAGGAGTGAAAGTGGTCAGGTAATGAGTAGCAAAGGAAAATAAATTCATACTTAAAACACTAATTTAATTAAATCAAAGACAAGAGATAAATGTGTATAACTTACAAACCAACAGGAGTATGTACTTTTTAAAAGTCTTGTTCTTTTAAATATAAATTTAGTTAGGCCATTGATAAAAATGACCTGCATTTATTTATGTATTTAGACTATTGATAGATGATGGTATAGTGTGTGTGTGTGTGTGTGTGTGTGTGTGTGTGTGTGTTGGCCAAAAGGCTGAAAAACCTTGGAACTATAGTGTTATAATTTATAAGTAACATAGCTCAATGCCAATGAAAGCCCACTTAGTTAACCTTGGGTTGGTCCCACCATTTGCCAAATTTGATGTTAAAACCCGGATTTTTTGATGCAATTACAGCAGGAGCATTTAAGTGTTCTTTCTCTTGAGCTCTGTGACTGTTTCTCTGGAAACCTCTCATTGAATTATTTGGAATGGAAATCCTAACAGGGTGGGAGTTTCAGAACTGAGAATCAATGAAAAAGGCCTCACTTCCATTGGGGTTTAGAAATTAGAAAGTATCAGATGTTTCTTGGCAATGACATTTGGGCTATTGTTGCCTGTCTCTCCCCTGACTGGCATAAAATGTTTCCACTTCGGGATGTTTGACACTGTGTAAGTGGGAGCTTGGCTTAGGGCTTCCCATCTAAGGGCCAATTAACTTCAACAGCAATCAGTTCTTCAGGGAAGGGGTTTTCAGCAGAGCAAAACTCTGCTCTTTCACTTTTAAATACTGTCTCATTTTGCTTTTCATTTTACCACAATACACACATCAAGGTCCTTCCTTCTGAAAAAGCCATCAGAATATTCTTTCTAAGCTTTTTACATCTATGTGTGGGATGAGGGCTGTGAAGGAGGATGAGAAGGGTTTCCTGGCTTTATTAGTTCCTTTTAGATTGTAAAAGTGAGCTTAATAGCTATATCATTTAACATGGCCACATTCTGGCCCAAGTTACAGAAATATTATAACATTGTACAAACAGACTACTGCTACAAACAAATCTGTTTTTATGCCTCCTGCTTCTTTCTCTCCCGTCACTGTAATTCCTGTGATTTTGAAGTTGGTTGCCCCATTAAAAACTAATAAAACATTAATGTTTTCTTGTCTTTACTATGCTAAGGTTTGCTTTGTAGGGCACCAAAGTAGAAATGTACTACTGATTAGTGGATCTTCAACTAGGAAGGTGAGAAATAACATGGAAATGCTTAAAGCATTCCAAATGCTCTCTCCCCTAATTTCCAACTTTTGACTTACTAATGTGTGTGACCTAGTTCTGTGACTTGTAAGGATTTATTCTCCAAAGATATCTTTAGATGTATGCCTGTTTCATTTGCATCCAATACTTTCATGGGAAGCCTCTCTATTTTTGAGAAGAGGAAAAAAATTCTTTGACATAACCACCAAAAAAGTAGAAAGTTCACTTAACGAAACTATCCTTCCAAATCTGCCAAATAATTCCTGCTTCCTTCCTAAATCCTAGCTTTAAATAATGCTGGACAGTGATACAGAGGCCAAATTTCCCTGTTGCTCTCTGTACAGCTGGTAGGATTTGTTGTTTTCTCTTTATTCATATAGGTCCTTTAGGAAGTTTGTGATACAAAATTAGAATGCTCCAGTGGTTTCCTCCCTCTTTTAAATTGCTATGGATCCTAAATATTTCTGAAATTGAAATACTACAGTTATAGAATGTTTCCTGTGTAACTTAAGCATTCACGTAATAGGAATATGCTTTAGAATTTATGAACATCTGGACTTAAAAAGATGATTAAAGATTAAAATTTTCCTTTTTCTCAACTGGGGACCCTTTGAAATCTGATTTAAATAGCATCTAAACAGGTAAAAGAACTTAGCTGAGGTTTGAGAAGATGGCCGTGTTTGGGGAGGCAAGTCTACATCCTACGGAAAGAGGAGCCCTAACAAGCTTCAACATAAGCTCTAGTCCAAGAGTTGGTGATGGTTCCAGAAAGTGATGGTGGTGGTGGTGTGCATTATGGGGGTTGGGGAAGGCAAGTCATTGAAAAATAAGGGGGCTTGGACCTTGGAATTCCATAGCTACTCATACCCTTCTTGGTTAAAATGCTTGTTGCATAACTGGCATTCAGTAGATATGTCTCAATCTGTTCAATGATGTTGAATATTCACAGAATTGGGAAGGATCAGTGGAAAAAGCAGTCCTGGGTAGATACTTGCTTATTTAAATGTGTAAACGAAGATTATTGTTAAATAGCCCCAGTCAGGTAATATTAATGACTTAGGAAAATTGCAAGGACCTTAAAAACAACATTTCAATTTCTTTATAGGCCAATGATCTCAGTTATTAATAACAGTGAAATAAAGACACAGTTCCCAACAGTAAACTGACCAGACTCGTGACAGCGTCCCTAATCATGAGAAAAACTTCCATTTGATTTTCAACTAAGAGTAAAGCAAATGAAGTCTTGTGACTTCTTCCTCTGCACGCATGCGGGCATGCGTGCACACACACACACACACACACACACACAAGCAATTCCTTGGTCATCATTCCTACAAGTGAATAGCATAATTTGAATCAATGGGACAAAAGCCAGTTGTAGTGAGATTATAGTCTGATGTCCCAGAAGTAGTCTGAGAACAAATTTGAAACAAAAAGAGCCTAGCAGACAAATAAATAACAAGTCACATGCAGGTACCAGATGTTTATAGATGGATAGTCCTTATAAATTTAAGATCACATATTTGCCACATATTAAACAGGAAAGCTCCCAAGAATTGAATGCGTACGAGCCATTGACATCAATTTATTCCTTCAAATAATTGTTAGGCAGTATAAATGAAGGCTAATAGACCATTTACAAATGCTGTTTGTTGGCAACCAGAGCCCCCTGGAGCTGCCTGTGTGCACGGGGACACTAGCAGGCACAGTTGGGCTGCGGTGGAGGAGGAGTTTCCTTGAGTCTCGTGTTCTGCTTTGCAGCAGTGATGGCAGGATCAGTCTCCAAACTCTCTGACATTTTGTCGCAGATGATATCCACAAGGCGCTCAAATGTCTGCTTGACATTAATGTTGTCCTTGGCACTTGTTTCAAAAAACTCAAACCCTGGAAGAAACACACAGAAACACATCTTGGTTATTTTGCATTTCTGAAATTAAATGGGACTTGATTATGGCTTTCAATAGTGATGAGGTGATGGTGAGACATCAGTGGGTGGTAGGTTTGGGGTAGGTAAGAGATTAGAGGTGGGCATGAGGTACCATTTAAGCAAATGCTACCATCTCTTACTCCATTAACCATGAACAAAAGAGTTATAAAGTGGAATTGGTGATGTTCACATTTTATTTTTCTCTGTTGATTCATTTGCATTATCAGCATGACTGAATAGATTAAAAATATTCTATTGCAAGAGTTAGTAATGACAACAGTAAGAATCCTCAATACCAAATCTATCTGTAAGAATCTTCAACACTAAATCTAGATTTTCCATCCCTTCCCTCAACCCCTAGCGCACCATGTAGACTCTTGCAATCTTTTCATGGCATTATTTGGCATCTTATTCTGTTTTTATTTCCAGATTCTACCAAAATTTTTAATTTCAATTTTTTAAATCAATTTAAAGCTCAGAAGGCTTGGTGTGCATATTCTGCTGTAAAAGGGAATACCAAGCTCCAATATAATCCAGCTCTAACTTTTCCATGTCTGCCCTGCTGCTGCCTAATGATCGGTCTGAGAGTGGGCTTCTAGTAAATTGTCAGTATCTAAAAGGACACAAGATGGCACTGAAGAGTCATAAGATTTACCTTAAACCTGCTTCAACCTCCTTCAGAAAATTTTTGAGTAGTGTTATTCCAACAGCCCTCCAGGGCTTTGTATACCTCTGCACCTATCAGCTGGGTGCTGATTTTTCCATAGCTTCTGTTATCTATCAGCAGGAATGTTTTTACCAACATCTGGGAAAGGGCACTTGGTAAATTTCAAATGAGCTGCCAGAGATTGTTAAGAAGTTACAAAATGCAGCAACAGTTTCACACTTTCACCTATGTGCCACTGTACCTGGGCAGAAGCAGCCTTAGTATGCTGCTCTGTACACAGTCTTATCACTCTATTGTTTGCATTCACATTCCACTGGCTGAGCTTGCCAGTCAGTTGCCATGACAACCTCCCCACTAGGCCAGCCAGAGATTGCTCTGGTCCATTCAGGGGACGTTGATTTAGGATGTGTTGGGCTGAACATAGAAAGGCTTTTCTAATCCATTCTGAATTTTACACCCTATAAATCCTTCTGGTTACATCTGGCCCTATCTCAGAGGAGCCGCATGGATTCAAAATGATGAAATCATGTGATTTCATCCCAGCTCCTGGGGCCAAAGGAAAAAGAACAGATTAATATTTTGCATCCATGTCAAAATCCCTCAAATAACCTAGAAATACTTATTTTCTTAAATAGTATTGAAGCTAGACAACAAAAGGCAAGTGTCGTGAGTTAAAATCTCCAACTTAGTCGTTATACTATTTGGTTCAATGACTACATCTGAGCTTGAATTTCACTAGCTACTCTCGTTAAAATCCACATGAATAACTGCAGGATTGGGGTTGAAGAACATCAGTAGAGTCAAGGTTCTATAAAATAGAGCTGGATATTTCAAACCATTGTGGCTTGTATTTTTCTTTCCTTTTGTCTCTCTGGACAATGCTTATATGGCTCTCTTATAGTCTACATTTTAAAAATCTGCAGATAAGGCCATCTGGTGTTAACAGAGCTCTCTTTTATAATGTTTGTGCAGTCTTTAGAGCTAGATCGTTCAACTTCCAGTAATTCAATCCAGATTTGGGGAAAGGCAAGCATGGATCTAAGCAAGATCCTTGTTGCTAAGATATCAGAACTATTGGCATGCTTGTGGTGATTTTCCCAGACCTAATGGGAGGATGCTTTATGTCATAAGATACCAAGAACCCACTGAAGAATTCAAGATCCCTGAATGAGCCTTTGAAGAAAAAACATCCAAGAATTTGGTACAAAGGTCTCATTTACAAGT
This sequence comes from Homo sapiens, assembly GCF_000001405.40. Taxonomy (NCBI): domain Eukaryota; kingdom Metazoa; phylum Chordata; class Mammalia; order Primates; family Hominidae; genus Homo; species Homo sapiens. The sequence continues at coordinate 58,849,229 of NC_000005.10, read as the reverse complement.
TCAATTTTTTCATCTCTTTTGCTAACACTTCTTGTACTTATTAGTATGATTTGGGAAGTCACTGAGCTTGAACGGTATCATAAAAGATTTAGCCATTATGAAAAGATGATAATCCACACAAGGTTTTATCAAATGTGACTCCTTTACCCTGGGCATCTCAACACCCTATCATCATATTGGTATACAATTTGAGGTCAGTAAAATTATCTTTGATCTCAGAAGCCAACATGATCTCAGCTTCTCAACCTTAACTGGAACCCTAAGAATATGTGGCTATTAAAGAGACAATGTGCCAGAAATAATGGCACCTATTTATTCAGCATGCTGAGAAGGAGACATCATGATATGGTGAGAGATAGATTATCAGTCAAAAGATGTGGGATCTAGCCCCACTTAGCAACACTTCTAGCTTTGGGACCATGAACAAGTCACTTTAAAAAAAATCCTTAATTTCCTTATTTATGACATTTGCCTTACTTAACTTACAGGGTTATCATGAGGCTAAAATGAGAAAAGATAGGCATAAGTGCCAAGCAAACTAGAAAATGCTATGATAACAACAATAGCAATAATAAACTAACATTTGTTGAATGATTACTATATAATAGGTACTATTCAGAGCATTTTATACATTTTAACTCATTTTATCCATTAGTAGGTACCATTATTTTCTCCAATTTACTGATGAAATAGAGGCAGAAAATGGCTCCGTAATTTGCTCAAGTATTTCGTTGCTCAGCTAGTAAATGGCAAAGCTGGAACATGAACTACTAACTTGTACACTCTCCTGCTTCTCCAGATACACTGAAAAAGTAAGCTACCATTTTGTTTTGGCTAAATTGTAAGTCCTATGTTAATTAACAATCACAATATACCATAAACTTTCATCAAGTTAAATAATCAGAAAATAATTAACTAGATTTAACACTGCCAGTAAACCAAATGAAACAATCTTTCTTGGTGATTCCAAAAGTACTCTGATATCTTACACTGCTCAAGATTCATCAAGATGGTCATCATGACAGCTGTATTTCTATACAGAATTCTAGATTTATAGATATAAAAATTTATGGAGGCTGGGTGTGGTGGCTCATGCCTGTAATCCCAGCACTTTTGGAGGCTGAGGCAGGTGGATCACCGAGGTCAGGAGTTCGAGACCAGCCTGGCCAACATGGCGAAACCCTGCCTCTACTAAAAATACAAAAATTAGCCAGGCGTTGTGGCATGTGCCTGTAGTCCCAGCTACTCAGGAGGCTGAGCCAGGAGAATCGCTTGAACCTGAGATGTGGAGGTTGCAGTGAGCTGAGATCGCACCACTGGCACTCCAGCCTGGGTGACAGAGCGAGACTCCATCTCAAATAAATAAATAAATAAAGGTTCTGGAAATTAAAGTGCTTCTCATTGACCAGATATGCTGGGATCTCTTGTCATAAGTTTGTCATAAAATAAGATATTCAGGATCAAAATCAATATCATTAGTATTTTAGCATTTAGTAGTTTAGATTTGGGGTACAGGGATGTTTAGAAAATCAAGTGGGGCTTGATTTTCTATCCAAGCGAATCAGTCTTTTCATTCAATCACCTGTGTATGAGGATGCTCATGCCCTCAACTGTGTGTGCCCATGGGTGCTTAAAGCTCATGGCCTAAGTTATAACCACTAATGCAACCACTACAGCCTTTGTTCTTTCACTAACTCAGATTTTATGGCTGTTACCTCCCAGTATCTCTGTATTTTGAGATCAGTTCTCAGTATTTTGAGCTTGTTCTGAGAAATCTTTAATCTCCCATTCGTACACACCAACGTCAGTGGGAAGCTGGATCAATGATACTTCAGAAACAGAGTCTTATAACTTTGAAGATCACTTCCAATCTACTGGGTAGAAGAGTGTGGTTCAGCAAGATCAAATAAGTAGCCCAAAGTCACACAGCAAGCCGATTGTGAAGTCTGACAAAGACCTCCTGATAAATAAGTTACTGATTTAGCTTACAGCCTTGAACACCTGTCTCTCAGACTACATCATCCAGAATTAGTATTTTCAGCTCATGTAGGTTTCTTCATCAGCAAATCAGTGAAGCCTTTCACTTAACTGTAGAAACTCTGATCATTCTTTCTCATCCTTCCCTTAACAAAGCCTTTCTAATCTCTTTGGCAGAGGCAGGCGGCACTGTTCGTGAGATGCATGAGCTTTGCACTGTGGTCCAGCACATCTCTGTTGTAGGCTTCCTCATGCCTGATCCTGAAAGGGTCACTCCTACCCTTTCCAAAAACCACTACAGGTACAGCGGGACACTAATCCCTTCAGGTTCACCTGATGTTAGGGACCAAATAAAAGCTTGGAAAGGTTTTGTTTGATAAAACATGTTAGCTATGCTGAGGAAAGAGGAGCAGAAGCAAAAGCCAACCTGTGTCCTCTTCATGGTGGACACTGAAAGAGCAAGCAGAGAGAGGCAGTGTAAGCCAGACTACACTCTAGTGACAAACGGCTGTGATTCTACACCCTGACTTCATAGGATTGGAGGTTCACCCTCATTAGAATCACCTAAATTATGGGCTGGGTGCCATAGCTCACACCTGTAATCCCAGCACTTTGGGAGGCCACGGTGGGAGGATCGCTTGAGCTCAGGAGTTCAAGACCAACCTGGCCTACATAGTAAGACGCCACCTCTACAAAATATACAAAGATTAGCTGAGTGTGGTGCCACAATCCTGTAATCCCAGCTACTCGGGAGGCTGAGGTGGGAGGACCACTGAGCCTGGGAGGTCAAGGCTGCAGTGAGCAGTGTTCACGTCACTGCACTCCAGCCTGGGTGACAGAGCAAATCACCTGAAGTGCTTAAAAGTTTCTGAACTCCACTCTACACATACTGAACAATGGGAATCAAGAGGGGTGTATGGGGCTTCAGAATATGCATTTTTAACAGGCTCCTTGGGAGGTTTCTTACGCACATTTAAGGTTAAGATTTACCCTCCTCTGTACACCCATGTTCAGAGCAGCATTATTCACGATAGCCAAAAGGTAGAACTAATCCAAGTGCCTATCAACCTATGAATGGATAAACAAAATGTGTTATACATAAACAATGGAATATTATTCAATTTTAAAAGAAAGGAAATTTTCACACGTTATAACATGAATGAACCTTGAGGACATTATGCTAAGTGTAATAAGCTAGTCACAAAAAGACAAATACTGATTCATGCTACAACATGGATGAACAGTGAAAATAGTATTCCAAGTGAAAAAAGCCTGACATAAAGGACCATATCTCATATGAGACCATTTTATAAAAAATGCCCAGAATAGGTAAATCTATAAGACAGGAAGCAGATTAGTAGCTTCCTAGGCTGGGGTAGAGAGTGAGGGAAAAGGCAGAGTGAATGCTGATGGGCAGGGGGCTTCTTTCTGGGGTTATGAAAATATTCCAAAATTGACTGTGATGAAGGTGGCACAGTCCTGTGAACATACTAAAAACCACTGAATTGTACACTTCAAATGGGTGAATTTTATGGTATATGAATTATACCTCTATAAAACTATATATACACATATATACATATATGTATACCTATATGTATATATATGTATATATACATATACACACACACACACACACATATATATATATATATATAGTAAGAATCACTGTCCTAAATGAATGAGAATGTACGTTGCCCTTAGAGATTTTTCTGAGAAACCCCATGGCCGATTGGGGAAACCATTCTGGTGACTGGCAGAATCCCCTACCACAAAATGGTTCCCATGCTCAACAAGAACCCTTCTTACAGGTGTTTAAATCTAATCCTTTTTGCTCTGGTCTCAATGGAGATGAAAGAGCAGCTGCTTTTCAAGGAGGGCATTCTAATACCTTCCGGTGCACGTGAAGAACATGAACCCACACTTCCTGGCTGTGGCGCAGGCCTGATTTGCCGACACTCTTCTGTCCACTTTGCTCCCAGGAGGTCCTTAGAGCAAAGGAAGCCTCAGAGAAGGCTGAGGCCTTTTCACATTGATACCCACAGGGCAGCAAGCAGGGCCTTAGGCCAGAAGTGTGCTGCTCACTGAGGTGGCAGGCTCCAGGATGTCACTCTGGCGCTTGAAGAGTACTGGAACGTCAGAGCACCCTAGGGGACTCCATTCCACATGTGACTGCATTGTGTTAATGGTAATAATCACAATCACAGTATTGCACACTTAACCACCTCTTCCCCCGCTTTCTCCAGTGCATTACAACAATCTTACAGGAAACACTTGATTCATTTCCACCCATCAATAGCTACACCATATTGTGAAATGCCATTTGTTTTTATGAGATGTTCTGCGGCACTGTTGCTCCTTTTTTAACCCCAGGGAAACATCGCTTGGGGCACTCTGATCTTTTAAACTTTACTTTGAAAGAAAAATCACAAGTGATATTTTTTTTTCTGTAGAGAGGAAATAGCCACTAAAGTCACACTGCAATAAATTATTTTCATCTCCAATTGTTAAAAATCTGTGATTTGTTCTTAAGTTTCTATTCCCAAGCTCCTAAATGAGAAAATCTTCTTTTTCCAGATTCTAGTTACAGTTGCAATGTCTTGTCTCCCCTTTCCTGTGGAACTGGATGGGCCAGAACTGCAAGGAAAGGTCATTCTGCTACCGGGTGGGTGACATTTGAGCCAGAAGTAGGGATTGCTGAGCAGCAGGACAAACTGGCATATTAGCTCGTCCTCTACTGGGCCCCAGCCCAGAGACAGGCTTTAGGAAGAGAAGTGGGAGGTAAGGCTTTTGATCAATTTGCCTGAAGAAGGGCCAAAATTGCAGACCAAAGCTGTAGAAAAGCAAGAATAGGAGCTCAACCAAAGGCTAGTGCTACTAAAAAAATGGTATTTCAGCCCCTGAGTCTGTGTCTTTAGCCAGGCATGACCAGATGGTAGCATTTTCCTACTTCTGTTAGAATTCTGAAACTATGCAATGGTCAGTCTATGGCCTTAACAAATCCTGGTCCATAATATAAGAAGATGGACATTAGGGATGTACAAAGGTTAATCACCATGATCTAATTTCAGAACATTGTCATCACCCCCCAGAAAGAAACTTTGCATCCAAAAGCAAACACCCCTCATTCCTTGACCACCTCCATACTACGTGTGTTTTGCTCCGCAATTAGAATGTACATTCCACTGTGCTTCTCCATATCTCTAGAGATAGTAACATAGTGCCCAGCATGAGCAGGTGTCCAGTAGATGTTGGCTAATTAAAAGGTTTTTTTTAACTTTTGAAATTTTTGTGGGTATATAGTAGGTGTATATATTTATAGGGTTAATTAAAGAATAGATTTCTGTTAATTGGCTGGGAGAAGTAGTGGGGTTAATGGGGAAATGGAGAGAAAGAGAATCACTTTTCCTTTGTTTTTAGTTATGACGTGACTAAACCAGTGAACAATTCTGTCAGCCATATCATTTTTAGATGGAGTTTACCAAGCATGGAATTTCACAAAATATCGTTTTGGTTTTGCCCTGTGGGAAATTTATGATATAAAACAAATTAAACCAGCTCTATTTACTCACAAGGAAAGACATATTTCTGAAAAAATTTGAAGAAATGCAAGATCGTTACACTTCAACACCTGAACTAAGAACTATTAAAGTGCTGAGAAGTCAATGTTCTGTCATATTGGTTTTAATAAAGAGATAAGGATCATTTATGATTGGCAGAGTGGCTGCTTATATGCAAAGAGTGCTAAGTGTTTTAAAAGAGTTTTTTCTCTGAAATGGGTTAAATATAACCTTGTAACTTCTTAACATTTCAATAGGCTTTCAATGATAAAGGAGACAATTTCCAGCTCAGCCTATTTATGAATTGTCAACAAAAACATTGATAACTTCTGTCTGTTTAGGATTTTCAGGTTACAATAACATATGCATTATCAATTAGGAAGTTATTTTTGCTGTGGAGGATACATATGAAATAGAGCAAATAGTGTAATACATTTTTAATTACTAGGGCCCAAATGAATGAAATTTCATTGTGATATCAAAGGATATGGAATCTTAAATGTAACTAACATTTATTAAGTACATACTATATGCACATACTACGCTAGGCCTTTTTGCATTTATTTTCTAATCCTGTAACCAGCCCCATGAAGTAGATGACTTTACAAGGCTCATTTTACAGTTGCGAAAATGGTTGAGTCACACACTTGGTAAACCAGGACAAGATCTAAAATCTGACTCTAAAGTCCACACTCTTAACCTTTGTACATCCCTAATGTCCATCTTCTTATATTTTGGCAGTGTTCCACTAGCTGTTGGCTTCATTTACAAGTTCTTGGGATTTCTTATCCTTTCTAATATGTACTAATATCTGCCAATTCTTAAAATCAAGAAATTCTTCTCGAGGTCTATATCTACCTCCTTTCAATAGTAACACAGCCTAGACACAGAACACTATGTGAAGCTTCATACAAATGATTTTACTTTATATAGTGACAAATTCTGAAAGTCGTAATTAAATCATCCCTTGTCTTGATGAAGTTTGAATATGGAAAAGGAACTCTCTCCAGAAGCAGCTAGCTTTTTCACTGAACTCTCAAGGCAGAGGATGAGATGATGATGAATCTTTCTTAGGATGGCTACTTCCTTGTCAAATAAAGCCAAGCCATGCAAATGCCAGTTAAGTAAAGTTAAGGGTAAAATAGAGACAATAGGGCATAGTACCAAGATTTAGTGGAGAAAACTATTCTAATGGCTTACACGGATGAAATATCATGGGTCAGTCTGTACACAGCTGAAAGCAGGTGCCTACAGGCATCAAAGAGAGTATATCTTTGGGATTTGGGATTGAGACAAGAAAAAGTCATCCACTGAGAATAAAGTTATTAAGTAAGTGCCACAAAGTCCATGAGATTAGCCATCTGCAGAAGGAATTCACTCCAAGATAGGATGAACAAACGATTTTCTGGTGAGAACAGCACACTTCTCAAAATCCATCAAGGGACTAGAGTGTCTTCCAAATTTCTCAGATGGAGGGTAAGACTTCTCTTTTATCAGTAGTCTAATAAATGATAAAAATTTCAAGGTAAAACCATTAAAAGAAAATGGAGTTGATTTGTGTGAAGTCAAGGAAAAAAAGAGTCAAGGATTGAGATTATTTACTGCCCAGTATGGTCAATGGGGAAATGAGAGGATGCCTGCATTGAGTTGGCTGAGTATACAGGTTTACTTGCTCTGTATCCCAATAAAGAGCATTGTACTTACTCAATGGTATCCCTTAACATCACATGCCTGGCACATAGTGAGAGCTCAATAGGATAAGAAATACATGAGTAGAAAAGGACCAAGGCAAGGAACAGACAGCTACGATTTGTCAAAGGGAGAATGCTAAGTGCAGCAAGAGACTGCAGACACACATAGGGTGATTTGAAATCACCATAGGGCTGTGTAGAAGCACCCAATCTCTGCAGACTTGTCTATCCAAACTGGATCAGATCTGCCTGGAGTTAGGAAGGACTTTCCACTGAAGAGAAAATGTAAAATGATCCCCACCAGCCCCCACTGCCACCACAAACACCTACAGTCCTTATAAGAGGAGAATCCCAAAGCTCTTGCAAACCCTAAGCCCATTTTGGAGAGCCGCTAGGAATTCATGCAGCTGTATTGCCCTGTAGCAGGAGCACAAGGTTTGCACTCCCCATACCTCACACCCCTGTGAGCCAAGCTTCTGCAGCATAGCACCATCTTGAGACCAGAGCTACCTCTGGGGTCCACCCTTCTCTGGGGGCCAGTATCTACTGCACCTCTCCAGCACTGGGACTCCATTTTATTTCCAACAAGCTGATACAGGTAGCTGAATGCCACAACCCCAGCTGTGCAGAGCCTGGGCCCAGAATCAGCTATGACTCTGGTCCTGCACAGCAGGGAAAACAACTCCTGTCACTACACTTTCAGCTGGGGGAAGAGTATAGCAATCTTGCCCAGGGCAACTCTACTCTTGAGCCAGCCAAACTGCTACATGCCCTCCCCTAAATGGGAGAGGACCTGAGTCTCTGAGCAGCTGATCTGCCCCTGGCCAGCAAAGTCGCTATGTGACCGTGCTCAGGACCTGAGAAATAGCCCTGCAGTGCCCCTGCCCCCTGCCCCCTGCAGACATGGCTGTGGCCTACCCAATGGTCCTGTACTCTCCATCAGTGCCTAAGAAACAGCCTTGCAGGTTGCCCCTGGTGGGCATACCCCCAGGCCAACTGAAGAGCCTTGCACCTGCATGTAGACCTGAGAAATAGTTCCACGGACCACTCCTGGCAGGCACAATTCTAGGTCAGACAAGCAATTGCATGCTTGTGCCTGTGGCAAGAGTAACAGTACCATAGCTCCAACCCCAGTGACTCCAAGTTAGCTAGCACACTGTGTGCATATATATGCCTCCAACCTGAGAAACAGCCCAGCAACCCCAATCCTACAAAGCCACACCACTGGTGCCACAGACTCTCTCAGCCTAGACCACTGAGAAACTTGCTTATGCTACTAGTATGGATTATAGCTGAAGAAACTACATGGAGAGTACACTGTTGCATCCACCTAGAAGCAAAGCCAATGTACTCTACCAAACCAATACCCTAAAACTCATTCATATGAAACCTACTTCATAAAATTGGAAGAAGTGACTTTACCACGTGCATAGAAATCAGTGTAGGGACACATCAAACATGAGAAAGCAAGGAAACAAGACACTGTCAATGAAAAACAGCAATTCTCAAGTAACAGACCTCAATGATAAGAAAATGTGTGAAATCCCAGAAAAAGAATTCAAAACAATAAACTTAAGAAAACTGAGATACAAGAGAATATAGGCAATTCAATGAATTCAGAAAGACAATTCATGATTTGAATGAGAAATTCGACAAAGAGATGGGTATCATTAAAAAGAACAAGACAGAAACCTTAAAGCTGAAGAATCCAATGACTAAAATAAAAAAATTACCATTGAGAGCTTCAACAACAGACTAGACCAAGAAGAAAAAAGAATTTCTGAAGTTGAAGACAGGGCTTTTGAAATAATATAAGCAGAAAAAAAAAGAAAAAAGATAAATAAATAAAGCCTACAGGACTTATGGGACACTACTAAGTGAACAAATATTTATATTTTCAGTGTTTTGGGAAGCAGAAAAGAAGGGAAAAGATGAGGATAGCATAATTAATAAAATCATAGCAGACAGAGAAAGCATCAAGTCACATATAAAGTAACCCTCATTAGATTAATAGTGAAATTCTCACAGAACCCCTATAGGACAGGAGGGAATGGAATAATATATTTAAAGTACCAAAAGAAAAAAAAAAACCTCCCAACCACAAATATTATACCCAGCAAAGCCATCCTTTAGAAATGATGGAGAAATAAAATCTTTCACATAAAAGCAAAAACCAAGGAAATTCATCATTACCAGACTGGCCTTACAAGAAGTGTTCAAGGAAGTCTTACATTTGGAAGTAAAAAGATGATAAATGACATAATAAAAACTTGTGAAACTATAAAACTCCCTAGTAGAGGCAATATATGAAGGAAAAAAGAGAAAGGAATCAGGCTGGGTGCAGTGGCTCATGTCTGTAATCCCAGCAGTTTGGGAGGCCGAGGCGGGTGGATCACCTGAGGTTGGGAGTTCTTGACCAACCTAACCAACATGGAGAAACCCCATCTCTACTAAAAATACAAAATTAGCCGGGCATGGTGGTGCATGCCTGTAATCCTAGCTACTTGGGAGTTTGAGGCAGGAGAATATCTTGAACCTGGGAGGCGGATGTTGTGGTGAGCCAAGATTGTGCCATTGCACTCCAGCCTGGGCAACAACAGCAAAACTCTGTCTCAAAAAATAAATAAATAAATAAATAAATAAATAAATAAAATAAAAACTTATCATTACAGATAGGGACCCAGCCACAAAAATAAATAATAAAAGAGGAAATAAGAAACAAAAGATATATAAAACAACCAGGAAACAATCAGTAAAATGACAGGAGTAATTCCTCACCTATGAAATAATAACCTTGAATGTAAATGGCTTAAATTCTCCATTTAAAAGACATAGACAGGCTGAATAGATTAAAAAAAAATCAAGGCCCAATTATATGCTACCTACAAAAAACTCACTTCATTTGTAAAGACACACATAGACAAAAAGTGAAGGATTGGAAAAAGATGTTCCATTCAAGCAGAAACCAAAAGTAAGCAGGGATAGCTATACTTGCAGCAGTTAAAAAAAAATGCTTCAAGTCAAAAGCTATAAAAAGAGACAGAGGATACAATATAATAATAAAAAGATTGAGTCAGCAAAATAATATAACACTTATAAATATATATGCACCTGACACCACAGCACCCAGATACATAAAGCAAGTATTAGATGTAAAGGGAAAGATAGACCCCAGTGATATAATAGTTCAATAATATAATAGTTGGGAATTTCAACAATCCACCATCAGCATTGGGTCATCCAGACAGGAAATTAACAAAGAAACATCAGATTTAAACTATGCCACAAACCAGATGGACCTAACAGACATTGATAGAACATCTCACACAACAGCTGCAGAATACATATTTTTTTCATCAGCATGTAGAACATTCTCCAGGATTGACCATATATTAGAACACAAAACAAGTCTTAACAAATTTTTAAAAACTAAAATTATATTAAGTATCTTACCTGACCACAATAAAACAAAATTAGATATTAATAACAAGAAGATCATTTGAAACAACACAAATACATGGAAATTAAACAATATGCTACTGAATGACAAGTGGGTGAAGAAAGAAATTAAGAATAAAAGATTAATAAAAGATGAATGAAACAAAAAGTTTTTTTTTTTTTTTGAGAGGGAGTCTCACTCTGTCCCCAGGCTGGAGTGCAGTGGTGCAATCTCAGCTCACTGCAAGCTCTGCCTCCCAGGTTCATGCCATTCTCCTGCCTCAGCCTCCCGAGTAGCTGGGACTACAGGCGCCCGCCACCACGCCTGGCTAATTTTTTGTATTTTTAGTAGAGACGGGGTTTCACTGTGTTAACCAGGATGGTCTCGGTCTACTGACCTCGTGATCTGCCTGCCTTGGCCTCCCAAAGTACTGGGATTACAGGCGTGAGCCCACCGCACCTGGCCAAAAAGTTGTTTTTATAACACAATAAGCAAAATTGGCAAATCATTAGCTAGACGAAGAAAAAACGAGATAAGACCTAAATAAATAAAGTCAGAGACAAAAAGGAGACATCAAAATGTATACCACAGAAATATAAAGGATCATAAGAGACTACTATGGACAACTATATGCCAATACATTTGAAGAACTAGAGGAAATGAATGAATTCCTGCACACATACAACCAACAAAGATTGAACCAAGGCTGGGTGTGGTCACTCATGCCTGTAATCCCAGCACTTTGGGAAGCCAAGGTGGGTGGATCACTTGAGTTCAGGAGTTCGAGATCAGCCTGGCCAGCATGGTGATACCCCATCTCTACTAAATACTTAAAAATTATCTGGGTGTGGTGGTGGGCACCTGTACTTCCAGCTACTTGGGAGGCTAAGGCAGAAGAATCACTTGAACCTTGGAGGTGGAGGTTGCAGTGATCCTACATTGTGCCACTGCACTCCAGCCTGGGTGACAGAGTAAGACCTTGTTTCAAAAAAAAAAAAAAAAAAAGAGAGACTGAAACAAGAAGAAATAGAAAACTCGATCAGACCAATAACAGGCATTTCTCAAAAGAAGACATAAAAATGGCTGGGCACGGTGGCTCATGCCTGTAATCCCAGCACTTTGGGAGGCCAAGAGGGGCGGGTCACTTGAGGTCAGGAGTTCGAGACCAGCCTGGCAAACATGGCAAAACCCCATCTCTACTAAAAATATAAAAATTAGCCAGGAGTGATGGTGCACGCCTGTAATCCCAGCTACTTGGGAGACTGAGGCTGGAGAATTGCTTGAACCTGGGAGGCAGAGGCTGCAGTGAGCCGATATCACACCCACTCCACTCCAGCCTGGGTGACAGAGTAAGACTCTGCCTCAAGAAAAAAAGAAAAAAGACATAAAAATGGCCAGTGAATGTATCAAAAAATGTTCAACATCACCAATCATCAGAGAAATGTGAATCAAAACCACAGTGAGGTATCATCTATCTCACCGTAGTTAGGATGGCTATTATCAAAACACAAAAAATAACAAATGTTGGTGAGGATGCAGAGAAAAGAAAACTCTTATACACTGTTGGTAAGAATGTAAACTAGTATAACCACTATGGAGAACAGTATGAAGGTGTCTCAAAAAAACTGGAAATAGAACTACCATAGGCTCTAACAAACTCACTACTTAGCATTTATTCAAATAAAAGAAAATCAGTATATCAAAGAGACATCTGCACCCCCGTGCTTATTGCAGCATACTCACAATTGCCAAGATATGGAATCAACCTAAGTGTCCAAAAACAGATGAATAGATTAAAAAATGTGGTGTATATACACAATGAAATATGCCCAACTATAAAAAAATGAAAGCCTGTCATTCACAGCAATATGGGTAGAACTGGAGGGACGTTATATTAAGTGAAAAAAGCCAGGAACAGAAAGTTAAGCAGTGCATATTTTCAATCACATGGGGAAGCTAAAAAAAGTTGATCTTATAGTAGTAAAAAGTAGTCAGAAGATACTAGACATTGAGAAGGGTGTGGGGGAAGGGAGGCACAAGGAAGTATTTGTTAAAGGATACAAAATTACAGCCAGATAAGGGATGTAAGTTCTAGTGTTCTGTACCACTGTAGGATAACTGTAGTTAACAATAATACATTGTATAGTTTCAAATAGCGAGAAGGAGAATACTGAACGTTCCCAACACAGAAATGATAAATGTATGTTAATTACCCTGATCTGACCACAATACATTATATGTATCAAAAATTCACTATGTATTCTATGAATATGAAACATCATAATTTGTAAAAAAAATTAATTTAATTTTAAAAATAAAGAAATATATGAGTGAACATCATTGGATTCCCTTTTCTTTGATCTAGAACCACTAAGAAACCATAATAAATTGATAGCCTTTCTAAGGGTATTTTTTCTATTGATAAAAGGATACACTGATTGTCTAACAGGAATATTACCAACTGTGTGACATTTACATTTCGCAGAGCATGATAAAAGGCATTTTAAATTAGAAATCTGTCCCCTGTGAGTTTGGTTAGTGTGATTTGTTTCTCTACTGTTCCCCGCCCTAATAATTTTACCCTGGGAGAAAGGAAATAACACTGGCCAGTGTGCAAAGCTGATGAACAGAGATGGTTTCTGCCAGCTGCATCCAAGCACAGATTCCACAATTTAGTGTGAGAAAGCCATCCTTGATTTAATCTTTTTCAGCTCTCAACACTTAGCAGATTAATTAAATCCAAATCCAAATACTGCAGTTTATATTTCTTATATCTGACTTTAATTTTGGTAAGTAATACTGCTATTTATGCTTTTTTTTGTTAAAAAAGAAAAACAAATAAAAAATGAAGCTGGCAGTTTATACAGATTTCGGTTACATGGACCTGGATTAATTTTTAAACATTTCACCAAATGTGTTTGCAAGTTTGTGTGAATGAGAAAAGGGCACAGCTTGGAAGATCATTCTAAGAGAAGGAGCAAAGGTGAAGTTCTGAGCCAAATCCAGGTAGAAAAATGAGGGCTAGACAATTTTGTCTGTCGAGATGGGACAGGAGACATGTAAACATAACGTTTGTTAGAGGATAAGCTTTGATCCACAAGTAACAGATAGACAGTGGGGCTTTGGAAGCTCTTCATAATGAAGAAGGGCACTTTGCATATTGATGTCCCTTGGAGCTGTCAGAATCATGAGAATGGGGAAACTCAGGGGTCAAAGGTTGGTAAGATCTGGATTAGTAAGAAGGAGTATAGGAAAGAACACCTAGATTAGTGGAGTTGGTTAAGGAAGGCAATTAGTAAAATAGCGATGTGCCAGAGTCTCAGTAAAATAGGGATTTGCCAGAGTCTTGAGAGTTTATTCACTGGGGAATGTGAGAAAAAATAAGTAGAGGTTTAGAAGAAGGGCAGCATAAAAAACAAAGAGGAAGTGGAGTTTATCACTCAAAGATGCTGCATGGGTGGGGTTTCATGGATTGGATAACCATACCATTTGTTCTCCAAACTGAGTCACTTTTGAGATTGAAAGGGGATGCTATTAATACTTACACTGGGAAATGAACATAAACAGGACTGTCCTGAGCAAACTGGGATGCATGGTCACTTTATTCATAAGGAACAGACAGTTTCTGAGGAGTGAATTTCAGCTGCCAGAAGGGAGAGTGGAGATCCATAAGATTATGAAATAAAGATCAGGTTAACAGGAACTGGGAAGCACAAAAGAGACAAGAACCAGGGCAAACAAACAGCAGTCCCTTCCCTTCCCAGCCCATGGATATGACCACACCTAAACCAACCCAAACACATTAAAATGTACAATGTTGGTTTAGTTTATACCTCCTGGGAATACTTAGCCAAAAAGAAAGTGAGCCTGGGGATATAATGGTAGGGTGGCAGTGCTTCTCCTCAGAGGTGTGTGCAGATAGGTACTTAGAACATTTTAGTAGCATCACTGGGATTCCCTGCTGAACCCAGAGGTTGGCAATTTTCATTCTTTGAGAAATACTTCAATTGAGAGTTAAATAAATCTTTAAAAGCTGCTGAAGAACAGAGCTAATGCATATTTGGAACAGGTGGTTTGAGTTTTAAAAATAGGCTTTAGGGCAATGTTAACCTCATTAGAGTTTCTGGCTGCACAACCTGGCTTTATTACATAATTGTTTTTGCAGGGGTAAGAGGGAAAGGATTAAAACTGAAGGAAAAAACCATCATCCTTCATTAAAGTGAAGTGGCTGGAGGCAACATTGCAGGTCTGAGCTCAACAGAAAAGCTTTAAGATAGCCAAGGTGGGTGCATGCCCACCACTAGGGCTGTCCATGTTTCTCTGGCTTTGGTGCCCAGCTTACTAAATGATCCTTGGCAAGCTGGACTGAAACTGTAACGATAGGCTGAAATCTATGACATGAAATTAGCTATAAATGTGTGTGAACCACCAAACCATTAAATCAGCCATGGTCTTTTGCTAAAAAGAAGGTTAACAATGCAGACATAGGTAGCTACAATGGCCAGTTCTTAATGATGTTATTTACTTTTTTGAACTAATTTCTTGTGTTATCAAAAAGACATTGAATGAAGGCAACTCTTAGAAATCTATTTCGATTTCATTAAAAAGAAAGGGGTGGTCACCTCTCTATGCAATATGCAATGTTGTCTTTTTCTTCCTAAAGAGCCTCCAAATTCCCACTGTCCTCCTATGTGTATCACCTCATGGATCATTTGTGGATCAATGCTTATCAAAGCATTTAAATAGTAATTTACTGTCATATTTAAAATTATGGATTGCATTGCTTAGATTTAAGACTAGTTCTTTCAATGTATTTTCTAGATCTTGTCCCATTTGCCTTCATGACTGACCACCTAAGTATCTCCACTATCCTGACTCTCTACTCTCTGACTTTTCTGGATGTCTTCCCTTCTGCCTGTTAGTGTGTTGATTTTACTCCGAAATTCTCCCTCCACAATGATTTTAATCTGTTACTCAGGCCAGGTACCTCCATCATCTTTTATGCCTCTAATTCCTTGTTTGTATCCCCAGTGCCACTGCTTGGTTTAGGTCTGTGGTCCTCAACTTTAACACAATTGGGTGAGACATGGTGAGGGCCTAAATCAAGGGTTCTCAACCATGGCTGTACATTAGAATCACCTAAGGAGCTAAAAACACTCATGTTTGTACCTCAGCTTCAGATATTCTGATTTACTTAATATGTGTGTGTGTGTGTGTGTGTGTGTGTGTGTGTGTGTGATGGGGTCCGTGCCATGGTTTTTAAAATGCTACCTAGGTGGTTCGAATGTACAGCCAGGGTGGGGAACCCCTGCTTTAGGCCTCGCCATAATTTACCCAATAGCATCAGCTTCTTATTGGAATCTCTGCTTCCTGTCCTTACCCTCCAGTCTATCCTTTAGCCAGTGGTCTCCAAACATATGTTGTTTTATAATTCTTAGTTTCAAAAAACAGTACTGCCCTAATACATGAATATTTCATAAATTATATAATGTACTATTCCAGTAGTACCTTATAAAACATACCCAATAACTGAAAAAAAAATTGAGGTACGAATAAATAGAGCTATTAATATTTTCCTTTTGTACTCCTGCTGATCTTAAACACCCTAATTTCTGGAATATTGCCAGTGTAATTGGTCCAAAATGAAATCTGATCTTGTCACTCCAGTGTTTAAAACTTAGGATCCTCAGCATGTATAGGACAAAGCCCGAGTTTTTGATTCTTTCAAACAAGGTTCTCCATGATATATGATGTCAACTTTTCCAGGCTTAGATCCCTCCAGAATACTATTTATTATGCCTAGGGAGACCATCACCTGTTTGTCTAACTATCAAAATCCTATTCATACTTCAAGACATGGTTCAGACATTGTCTCCACAGTGTGACCTTTCTCAGAGCCTCCAAACAGGGACATTCTTAATCTTTTAAGCTCCTCTAGCACTGAGTCCATGCCTCTATTACAACAATTATATGCTGTCTTTTGAAAGTCTTTATGTGTCTCTCAGACTCTCCTTTGGGGTGACAGAAATTTGGTCTTATTGTTTCCTAACTCCTAGTGCCTTGACCAATAGTTGGTGCTCAATAATACTGAATAAATGAATACATTAGTAAATGAATAAAGTCCCGTAATATATTCATGAGTTCTATTTTGAAGTGTCTATCTCCTGCCCCCCAAAAGAAATAAACTCCTAGTGTGACCCCACTGTAGTTTAAGAAAAGAATCTTTGGCTCATTTATTTCAGCTCAGTGGTTGTTATGCAATTACAAGTGGACTTTGCTAAATTTACATTGGTCCTAATAATTACGTTCTGTTGTATAACCTCATACTCCTCTTCTGATCCCCAATAGCCTTCTGTAAAATCCATGCACCTATTGGCCACATGGGGACTAGACTAGGGTGCATGAAAGCTTCAGCATGAATCCATCCTGGAAGACCAGCTCCCTGTGGCCGGGCAGCACGAGCCCCACCATGAAGGGTGGAACCAATTACAGCTTCCTTCTGCTGGCTCTCTGGGCTAATCTGCCCCTTGTTTTTTCTGTAAATCAGTGGTTCTCAATCATGTCTACACATTGGAATAACCTGGGACTTAAAAAACATACTGTTGTCTGGGTCCCAGCCCAGAGATTCCAATTTAGTTGGCTTGGGATGCAGCTTGGTCACTAGGATTTTTAAAAGCTTCCCAACCTACTGAAATGTGTAGCCAAGATCGAGAACCTTTCTCTATATCTAGTCTTCCTTCTAGATTTGTTTCCTTGTCCCCGCCTTGGGTTTTCCTTATTTTATTATTATTATTTTTTTGAGAAATAAGCAAGGTCCCCTCAATGTGCTGAGGCCTAGCAGTGACTCCTGATATCCCTGCTATTCCCAATATCAGCAGTCTCAATGTAACAAACAAGCAAATAAAATAGCACACTCTCTAACACCTTGGTTTTTAGTTATTCAGATGAGAACCGCCTTAAGTAGTTCTGATTATAGCTTCCCTAAAGTGGTGCTCTAAAGGTACTGAAAAATTGCTGTACAATTTAGTGGTAATCATCTCAGTGTAATTTGGACATAGAGTGAGATACCAAGAATTTCCAGAGGTTTCTTATAAATCACAGCACACTTGGCTAAGGAGTTTTTCAGTTTATTAGTTGGGGAAGTTCCAGAAAGGTGAGCACATTTTGAAAAGAGAAATTATGAATTTGAGTATGGTTGATTTAGGATAATTTATCCTTTGTAATCATCTAGTTATTTTCTAGCATCTTCCATTGGATTGTGTGGATCACTGAAAGATTGTGGGGTCCAAGGTCGGAGTTTAAATAGGTTTACCAGCTACATATGCCCTACCTTCCTCCTGGACTTTAAGATAGAAAACTAAATTCAGTTAAGTCCTATTGTGGGCTAGGCACAGTGGCTCATGACTGTAACCCCAGTCATGGGAGGCTAAAGTAGAGTGGGAGGATTGCTTGAACCCAAGAGTTCCAGATCAGCCTGGGTGACATAGTGAAGACCCTATCTCTCAAAAAATAAAAAAGAATTAGCCAGGCATGGTGGTGCATGCCTATAGTTCCAGTTGCTTGGGAGGCTTGGATGGGAAGATTGCTTGAGTCCAAGAGGTCAAGGCTGCAGTGAGCTATGATCATGCTACTATTGCACTCCAGCCTGGGCAACAGAGCAAGATCCCATCTCTAAAAAAAAAAGACCTATTGCGTGACTCAAGATTGTCCCAAGGGTATGATGACTGAAGTGGAGCTTGGTGGTTATGGAAGGTATGATGATGCTGCTATTACAATTTTTCCTGGTGGAAATTGTATAAATAGAAATTGGTTGCTTATGGCCAGAGCACATGGATCCAAGTTCAGGGCTTCCACCACCGTATGATTTCACAGTGTAGTCAATGCCTTTCTCTCCCTTACCTGGGTTGGCAGTGAGAGACAAGGGTGATTTAAACTGAAAAGTTCATAGGAGTGAATCAGAGAATCTTAGAGTTCCCAAATCAGGCATGCTGGGGTCATTCAGGCTCAGTAGAAATCAAGAGCATGGTTCTTAAAATCCACTTTTCTGGCTAGGTTATAATGTTTCAGTCACTTCAGTCATCTTGTCTCTGAGAGTGGTACCACAACATATGATGTAGCATGGTCAATACACCCAAACTCTTATGCTTGGTGACACAGAAATATCCCACAGAATGCAAACTCCCCCCATTAGCCATGGTAGATCTGCCTGCATTGATTTATCTAGACCTTTTGGGAAGTAATTATATGTCCCGCCTGCACTACCTTCCACTTCCAGAGATAATTGGTTCCATTAGTATATTCTTTGTTAGGTGAAAGAATATCCTTTTTCATTTGTCTTAAATGTATCTCTTTCTACTTCAAGAGACTATTTCCTTGAAGAAATTGTTTAATTAAGCCAGTATTTATCAAATCAATATGTTTCGGAGTATATAGACATAGAATGTATCTTTTTGTCATTCTTCATTTTCCAAAAAGAGAAGTAACTACCCATTCATAGAACTTCATGCCCTTCCTTTATCCTCTGAGTTACACTCAGCCCTGTTTACGTGTTCATAATATTTGAGTCTATTTCTGAAACACAGTCCACACTTTAAGCTCCGTGAGAGGGAAGATACACGTTTTATGACTCCGCAGTATTATTATAGATATTTGTCAGATGAATAATCAAAAGAGCCATTAAATGGGAAAAGAAGGGAAGAAAAATTATAGAGCTTGGTAAAATGGCAAAATATAAGAATATTTTGTACTTTCAGAAATTCTCATGGGGTTCAGTGCTGGACAAGAAGGAAGGGTACAGGGGATGAATCTGGAATTTGGTAATACGTATGTTCAGAGGCTATTAAGATAATTGTTTGAGTGGAGAGAATTGGGAATATTATCTGTTACTTGTTTTAGGAAGAAATATTAATGCAAATTGAAAACGCTTTAAAATTGGCTCCTTACAAATTATTAATAATGACTTCTCCTCAGAAGCAATTATAGTTTCTCTGCAGTCTTTGGTTCTCTGACTACATTTTTGGAAAACAGGAGTTTCTGCATTTTCTGCCCTTTCCGAGCTTATAATAATGGTTCAAGTATTCTTTCACCTGTGGTTTCAAGGCAATACAAATCCATCCTCCTCTATAAATTTCTTTCTTTGTTCTTATTCCCAGATAAATTATTCTATTTTAGGAAAATCTATCTTTAATTGTATCTCCAAATTTTTTTCTCATTTAAAACAGTAGTTGTACATTTAAAACTTAAATTATGAGATTGTACATATATAAGTACCATACTATAAATTTAATATAGAATTTAAAAACATTCTTATATATTGTTATAGGTACATACATATAGACTAACTGTTAAAACACTCATGGAGGCCGGGTGCCATGGCTCACACCTGTAATCTCAGCACTTTGGGAGGCAGAGGTGGGCAGATCATGGGGTTAGGAGATTGAGACCATCCTGGCTAACACGGTGAAAGCCCATCTCTACTAAAAATACAAAAAAGTAGCCGGGCGTGGTGGCACGTGCCAGTAGTCCCAGCTACTTGGGAGGCTGAGGCAGGAGAATCGCTTGAACCCAGGAGGCAGGGGTTGCAGTGAGCTGAGATCACGCCACTGCACTCCAGCCTGGGTGACAGAACGAGACTCCATCCAAAAAAAAAAAAAAAAAAAAAGCATGGTAAAATAACACCAGCTATAGGGTAATGTTCAGCTCTGGCAGCAATAATTCCCTACCCTCTCCAAACACTCGCTTCCCACAAAAGCCAGTGTTCTGGAAATTTAGTCGTATAAAAGTCACAAAAATGCTTGTTAAAAATGTAGAGTCTAGCCTTCAACTTCAAAAACTCTGATGCAGCAGGTCTGAGTTGGGTTGATGAATGTGCGTTTGAAAATGAACCCCAGCCAATTCAGCTGCAGATGATTAGACCACTACTCTAAATCAGAAGTACTGAATATGCACAGCTGGCAGGTGGATGTTGGCGCCTGAAGCGCCAGTGTGAGGTCAGGCCTGGGACATGATTTGGCAGTCATTAGTCTGGAGGTGCAGTTAAAACCTTGGAGTGGATGGAAACATCCAAGGGAGGGTGTAGAGAGAGAGGAGTGGTGGACTGAGGATAGAAAGCCAGAGTGCAGGAGATGGATAAAGGAGGAGGAGTCTACCAAGGAAACTAAATGCAAGTCTGGAGAGGGAGGAGATGAACAGAGAGCACCACGTCATAAATGCTGACGAAGCAGCATTCAGTAAGGAGGGGTGCTCAAAGGATCAAATGAAACAAAATGGCTGAGAAAGGGAAAGCCAGAAAAATATTCTTTGTCTGTGTAGTCTATCTCAGGCATTACAATGTTTGCTCCTAGAAGGTAGGGTTATTTGTCATTGCATTCCCAGTAACTGGCATATTGTAAACACTTAATAAATGCTTGATGAACTAAACTGGATTGCGACCGACAGCTGCCATACAAGAATTTTTAAAGAGCTCCATTACAACTTGGTTCCATCAAGGACCCTCATTAGGATGAGCAAATGTTGTACAGAAAAAACAATCCACAATGGAGAATTAATTGCTACCAGATCGATAAAGCAGTTATTTCGAGCCATCTGCCAAGATGTGGTAATGACTTTTAAAAAACAATGTGCAACTTTTGTGTGTATGTGATGGTATTCTGAAGAATAAAATGTACAAGTAATTAAAAAACAAAGCAAAGACCTTTAAAATCTTTAAATTTAAATTGTGAGAGCATTTTTTAAAAATACAAATTGTCCCTCAGGATCATTTGTAGAAGCATGTGTAGCCATGAGGAGAACAAGCCACATTAAACGAGGTAAATGACTCTCCAAGAATGCACATGTGTTGGTTGCTATGACAACAGCTGGGTTTTTATTGAATAGAGAGCAAAAAATCAATTAGAAACCACTGGAAGAACTTGAACAGGAACATAAAACATTCTGCTTCACAATTTCAGGAACTTTGCTACATCTGTCTACTGAATGGAAAGGGTTTGTGTGTGTGCCAGTCGATGGAGCAGTGGGAAAGTCACCCTATTGATGCATTTCCATCATCCTAACATCCCTTTTCACAACCTGGTCTTCTCAATATCCAAGTAATTTATTAGAGTGTTAAAAAATTTAGCCAGTTGCCTGCCTCCTATGTATCAATGACATTAAACAATTCTTGGCTTGGAGATACATATATATATTTTTTAACCAAACAGTTTTCATTTTTATTCATAGAGACAGCCTACATCTGTGTAGCAGTTTCTTCCCCATCCTGGCATGTGCCCAGCTAGTTAAGAAAACACAGGAAGACAGGGAAGAGACCATCTTGGGAAGCCAACCTGCCAACCCTCTCCCAGGTTTCCTCCCTCTCTTTCTTTGGGGATCTATTATTTCCCATTCTTATCTTTCTGAGGTCCTAAGAGGATTAAGAAAAAAAATTATCATTTTTTCAGACTCTTCATATTGTTTAATCGGTAGAGTGGGAAGAGGCCCTGTGGCAGAGATGGTAACTTCAAAAGCTGCCACAGGAGACCGTACACCAGCCAGGTAACTTTCTCCTGGGTGGCTCTAAGAATATTTGGTGGAAGGGTTCTTGTGGCCATCCAGGGATAGATTTTAGTCTAAGGAACTCATTAAGCTCATGAGAAATGGTCAAACTTTCAGAGTGAACTGTATTTAGATTAGTTATGAGATGATCAAGAGGAAGAGTGACCCAATGAGAGGGACTTTGCTTTTCTGACTCATGTTGCACAACACCAGCAGATTAATCCCAAATCATCCCCTTTATAACAGTGTTTTTCAAATTATAGATTGAGACACATTACTGCTTCTGGGGATCAACTTAGTGGGTTGGGACCACCATTTAAGAAAAAAGAAGAAAGAAAAGTAAGACAGAAAACAGAGTGAATCTCATCAAGTAAAGTTAAAATGTGTTTTGTAAAACTTTTGTTTTACAGAAGTTTTATATATGTATGTATTGGGTTGCTAAATTGAAAGTATTTCTTACTGCAGGTCCTGGCCAAAAAGGTTAAAAGTCAAACTCTTCTTTGCTAAGAATGCCTCAATATTCTCAGTGGTCTACCAAAAACAAACAAAAAACAAAAAGAATTCCAACTCCTTCACCTCTAGGACTGGAGTTGTTCCCCAAATCCACAACTCAGTTCTGCAACTTTCTGCTAGGTTCTCACTTTTCTATTCACTGTCCTCTCACCTTATGCTCATCTCAATGTCCATGCATGACTGTGCCCTTTACTCATAATGCCTCATCTCCTTTGTAGTTGCAAATTCTACTCTCCTTCAGAGACCATTCAAGCTGTATCTTGCCATTTCACCCATATGATCTCCATCTCCCCTCATCACTCATCTCTTCCTCTTGGTGTATTCATTTCCACACCTGATCTCCCCGGGGGCCCTCTCTGCATTGCTCTTTATCTTCCTCCCATCACACTCCACTCCTACATCTCCTTCCGGCAATGTTTTTCCCCTTCCTGTGTCTGCCTCCCTCTCCCTGTTGCTTTCCTGTTGGCATCTGCCTTGCAGCTTATCTCCTCATTGACCTGTTTTTGTTGACTTGTATTTCTGCTTCCTTATGTATATCTCCAGTCTTCAGTGTCCACTCGATTGGGAGCAACTTGAGCCTAGGGACTGTGAATTACTTTTTTGTATACCCCATGATGTTTGGCATAATATAAAGCATACAACGAGTACCCAGTAAAAATTTCTTGGCTCAATCAATCAATCATCAATCATCAATCCCTCCTTTGTATTAAATCTCTACCCTTCTCACTCCAGCATTTTTCTCTTTAGATACAATGTTTTGTGTTTGAAATGGCTTTGCCATTTCTGAAACTTTCTCATATCTATTATCTCATTTGATCTTATCTACAAGGACTTGGTTAAATAGGCACGGGCTATGATACTCATTCTGGAGAGATGGGGTGACTAAGTCTCAAAAGGATTTGTAACAGTAACATGGCTTATCAGTGATGTCACTAGAATCAGAATCTAGGATGTGACCTATTCTGTGCCATTATCCTCCTCCAATGGAAACTTGAGAACAATAATCACACAATAAAATAAAGAGCTCACTGAATGCAAAATAGAGTATGGGGGAAAAAAACCAAAAATAACGGACAAGGCATAACCTGTGTTTCTCATGGAATAAGAATTTAAATACCTTGTACTAAGACCAAAATTCTGAGTATCATTTTTGCTTCTGTAATTGCGCTTGAGCTCTCATGATGCCATAGTAAGTGGGAGAAAATATATTGTCCACTTAGGGAGGATTATGTTGCTTTCCACTCTTAGATTGACAAACATTTCATTAACTCCACCCTGACAATTAGCTCGGACTCTGTACAGAGTTACATATAATAAGCAAATTATCTTTCTTTTTAACTTATTAATTTGTTTCTTACCAAGCTGTTCTCCTAAATGTTGACCTCGCTCAGTTGAGATGACCCGCTCGTCTTCCATGTCACACTTGTTCCCAACCAGAATAACTTGGGCATTGTCCCAAGAGTATGTTTTGATTTGAGTTGACCTAAAAGAAAAAGAAGAAGCATGACACAATCAGAGGAAAGCAGAACAGCATAAAATGAAGGAGAAGAAATACATTCCACAGATGATGATGGTAGCAAAAGGAAAAAAAAAACACGATGTCCAAATGCCTGACATTTAGAGTTAATTAGTTGAGTGCAATTTTACCCTTCAGATACTCATCAGAGATTGCATGAGTCAAAAATCAAGGGAACAGTGGTGTACTAATAATTCTTTTGTATTTAATGAGATTAATACCACTACTGATTCTTCCTTTCCTCTTTTACCCCACCTTATGTAATAGCTTTACAGTAGGATAGCCAACCATCCTGGTTTCCCCAAGACTTTCCCAGTTTAAGCAGTAACAGTCCCATGTCCTGAGAAACCCCTCCGTTTCAGGCAAACTGAGATGGCTGCCCAACCTATTTACAGCACATCACACGAAAACAATATTTTCCCTTATCACAGTAACAACTTAAAGAGCTAAAGAAATGGGGCTTAGGAAATCTGGGAGAAGTAATAATTTTTTAAAAAAAGAATCATGAGAGCTAATATGTTCATGCCTTACCTTTATAAAAGAAAAATGTCAGGTTGATTAATGTCAAAATTATAATACAATGAGCTGGCATTTTAAGTTGCTATAAACAGGATATTTAGAATTTAGAATAAGCCTCCAGTATGATTCATGACACAAATTAACCAACTTTTGATTTTGGAACTTAGATAATAAATGTAATAATTTGCTTCTGCAGGGTATTTTTTTTTTAAACCTGCTTAGCCAATAAGTTTATTGTTTTTGCAGGGTATATACCCAAAGGACTATAAATCATGCTGCTATAAAGACACACGCACACGTATGTTTATTGCGACACTATTCACAATAGCAAAGACTTGGAACCAACCCAAATGTCCAACAATGATAGACTGGATTAAGAAAATGTGGCACATATACACCATGGAATACTATGCAGCCATAAAAAATGATGAGTTCATGTCCTCTGTAGGGACATGGATGAAATTGGAAATCATCATTCTCAGTAAACTATTGCAAGGACAAAAAACCAAACACCGCATGTTCTCACTCACAGGTGGGAATTGAACAATGAGAACACATGGACACAGGAAGGGGAACATCACACTCTAGGGACTGTTGTGGGGTGGGGGGTGGGGGAGGGATAGCATTAGGAGATATACCTAATGCTAAATGACGAGTTAATGGGTGCAGCACACCAGCATGGCACATGTATACATATGTAACTAAGTGTAATAATAATAAAATAAAAAAAGTTTATTGTTTTTGTCTGAAAAATCATCCTAGAACATTGTTTTAGCTCTCAGAGCCTGCTCCTGAGGTCTGAGGAAGCTTCCCTTCTTTTGAGCTACCTGATCTTTCTTCTGGGCATGGGACATTTTGGGATGTTTCCACCTGCTGTTTTTAACTTCTTTCTTGGGCTTCTCATAGTTTGGATTCTCTTGTATAGCAACATGAGCTTTTTTGTTTTATTTATTTATTTATTTGAGATAAGGTCTCGCTCTGTCACCCAGGCTGGAGTGCAGTGGCATGATCTTGGCTCACTGCAGCCTCGACCTCCTGGGCTCAAGCAATCGTCCCGCCTCAGCCCCCTGAGTAGCTGGAACAACAGGTGCACACCACCATGCCTGGGTAATTTTTATAAATTGTTTTTGCAGAAACAGGGTTTTGCCATGTTGTCCAGGCTGGTCTCGAACTCCTGGGCTCAAGCAATCCACCCACCTCAGCCTCCCAAAGTGCTGGGACTGTGAGCCACCGTGCCCAGCCAATATGAGCTTTATTGTATATCTCCTCCATCAGGTCTGAAGTTTCGCTGTTCTTTATGAACGGAAAGAACCGTTTCTTGTAAGCATCTTCATCTGCTTCCATTAGGTAATGCATGTAATCTGCATCATTCTGACCCATGATGTGTTTCCCATGCGCTTCTGCATTAAATTCCTTGCTTTCAGAATCACAAGCAGGGAATCATCTGGTACTGTGAGGGACAGAACAGCCTTTATCAACAGCTCCCTTCAAGGCCCCAAAAACTTTATTGCCAGTGATGGTTCTGGCAAGGCCTACATCCAAATAGCAGGTGAAGGCACCAGGCTGACCATCAATGCTTTCCACATCACATTAATCTCCAGTCATCTCCACTTGGCCTTCATAGATCCTGTCCATGCCAAACCTACCGAGAAGCCCGTGGGCCAGTGGCAGGCCAGTATAATGTGCTGCAGCATAATTTGTCAGGCCAACCTTCACACCTTATTTTGGTAGTTCATGTACCATGTACATATGCTGCGCAGACTACCGTATCCCCTTCTATATGGGCATAAGTAATCTGACAAATCATATCTCTGTTTGTTACACAGACTATCACCCTGTATTTGAGTGTGTTGTATTTATTTTTATCCTGTATCACAGAGTGTTTCTGAGTATAGTAATCAGTTCTACCCTCTTGTCATTTCCTAAATTTCACTTGGTATCTCTTAAATAGGCCTCATTCTTAACAACTTTAACAAACCCCATTCTGCAGAACAAAGACCCTCATCCATGGCTTGACACAGACCTGCAGGCCCAGCAATGCCAGGCAGAGAAAAAGCGCAGGTATTTTTCTAAACACTTAATATCTGTTGCATTAATTTAATCCTTAGAATAACTTAAGGAGAATATTATTATGCCCATTTTACAGTTGAGGAAAATGAGGCATAGAGTGGTTAATTGCCCAAGATCACTCAGCCAGTAAAGTGGCAAATGTGGGAGTCACGTTCTGGCAGTATGGCTCTCAAGCCTGTGCTTTAAAACATATTTCCATGATACTCATTAAAAGTTCAAAAACTGAAGTTCTAGTGCATTTATTGTTATCTACAGGAAGCTGAGAGGAAGCTATGTTTTTTAATTCTCCCTTTATATCAGCCACATTTTTATTTAAGAACAGTCTAAGATAGGTGGGAAAGACATATTACCTGGTGGTGGTCAGGAGAGAAATATTGAAATGTTGAAACGTAAACAAATGATTAAAGTTTGAAAAAAAACAGATTTGTAACATGTCAAAAAGTAAAGCTTGGGAATGGTGTTACAAACAATAGTCAAGTGAAGGATCATTGAATAGAAAGTGGCAATGAGCTGTTCTCAACTTGAAGAGGGAATAAAAAGCAAATATTATAGCTTTTTAAACTACAGCAGGAGAGTTTTCAATGAGCTATGATCACTGTTTCTCCTTCCTGAGAAGAAAGGAAAGAGTGAAGAGGCAGATAGGGTTTTATTTCAGCATATTCCCCTGAACCAAGTACATCTAAGTTTTCAAATGAGATTAAATTATCTGGGGAAATATATTCTTGATTCCACCTGGACATCTCAGAGTCATAGCATATTTTATCAGAACAATACGACCTTTCTAATTCTGATACCTAAGTTAATAATATATTCCCTTAGCAACAGTGAGATTTGGCAGGACTGGAGAAATAAAGACAGAACTTCTAAACTCTATTCTTTTTCCTCACTTAATCTTATGTACACAGAATATGAAAAATGATGCATTCATAATGAATTAGGGTGTAAAATAAATTCCACTCTTGGAAACACTTTAAGTAACAAATGCTAATATATTTTTACAAACGAAGTCAAAAGTTTCTTTTAAAGGATCTCACATCCGATCAGATTTCTTCATGTAATTAAAAGAAATGATCTCTTGTTCCTATAGGTCTTGTAAGCCAGGGGCTTGGAAAGGCCCTGGGTAGAGAACACTTATGTTAACAGAAAAAGTTCTCATCCTGGTAGTAAAGCTAGAAATCAGATACCCAGAGTGAGATTAGTGACAAGGGGTTCACCAGAGAGTGTCACAGTTGTGTAAGGAAGGACCTGGGGCCAGGGTGTTAATGACCCAGCTTCTGAGTTTCCTGAGGACAAATGAGTCCTTGAGGAAATTTGGCACTCTTCTGACCTGGGCCAGTACATCCTACTGCACCCCTGACTGTATAAACCCAAGTCAGGGTGTCCTTTTGTGAAGGTCAGGAAGGTACATAACTCACAACCTACTAGCTGATTCATGTCCCTTAACCAAATTAATGGAATGCTTGCTTCTACCACTAAACACATCCGAGTATCTCAGTTCTGCTGACATAATAATAACCCATGGGGTCTCAGGCTGCTGTAATAGGTTATACATTTATGCACATACAACATTCCCTGCTCCTCAATGATTTATAAAAATATATGACCAAGAAGAATATACTTATTTGGCCATGATTATATGAGATCCATCCTCTTCATTTGCTCTTATATAAGAAATATTTCAATGTAACCTCAAATGTTCTAAATTGTCGGGAAATAATGTAAAATGAATATTTTCTACAATTGCTAGGGAATTACAAAGAATCGTTATTTTGAAATCTTAGAGAGCCAAAGGAGACCAGTTTTCTTTTTAATGAAATAAAAATTGTGGTCTAGAGCATTTGTGCTACGATGAACAAAAGACTGATTTGCCATTAGAGTTGGTTAATTTTATGATTGAAATTGGGGTTGCAAATGTTCAATGTTTGGCTTTGGTTTTGACTACTTGGACTTCCTGATGTTGTTCTGCACCAGCAGAGCAGGGAAGGGAGCTTTAGGCACAGTCCCACCATCAGCAAGAGGAGATCAATGCCATGTTGGGTGATTTGTGAATTACCACCTATCATAAAACCTAATATAAATGATAGGATCAAAACTATTTTACAATGGCCAAGAACAAAAGGATGTAGCAAATTAAATTATGTCAGCTTCTTGTTGCTTTGAAATTCCTTTCATGCATTCTGAAAGATTTAGCTTTTTTTTTTTTTTAAGTTTCAGTGCTTAGTGCATGGTAGGTTAACATACAAGATCTGTTTGTATCTTCCCTTCTTAGGTCCTGTAGAACACTATGTTGTTGCTTTGCAAGAAAATGTAAAATGATGGTCATTACTCCAAAATGAGTATTCATGTCACTAAAATGAAATTTATACCTCTTTCTGCATACACAATAACTTTCTATGCACGTACCAATAACTGTATGACTTTGGCAATATAAGCAGCTATGACCAAGTTAGTGCATGTACGAGCAATGAAATCTACATTTGGTCTTGCTGCATAGTGATCATAAGAAGCCATTGATGAAAAGGCATATCTCAATGTCACAGTTTTTTTTGAGGTGGAGTCTTGCTGTGTTGCCCAGGTTGGAGTACAGTGGCTCACTGCAACCTTCGCCTTCCAGTTTCAAGCAATTCTCACGCCACAGCCTCCCCAGTAGGTAGGATTACAGGCATGCACCACAACACCCCGCTAATTTTTTTATTTTTTTTAAGTAGAGACAGGATTTCACCATGTTGGCTAGGCTGGTCTTGAACTCCTGACCTTAAGTGATCTGCCTGCCTCGGCCTCCCAAAGTGTTGGGATTACAGGCGCAAGCCACCGTGCCCAGCCGTAGATGGGTAAGTAAGAAAAATTGTGCATCTTAGAATTCGTAAAATGCTATTGTGTTCTTGATATTTCTTTTATGTAGGAAGGTCTAGGTTGAAATAAGAGCTCGGAGTATTCCTTTAACCAAGGAAAACTTAGAGATGAGGAAGTATAAACTCCATGAGTTGAGAAAGACCCACAGTTATGCATATTTTGTCTACACTGTAATAGGAATTAGCATCAGAAGAATGCTGGGATAGTAATTCAGTTCCCATCCCTTCCAACTCAGACTCAACAATTTATTCCGCCAGTTTGAGAAAGCTCTAATACTTAGTGAGTATGGGGAAGTCACTCTGAATTGTTTAGTTCAGTATCTTCATCTGTAAAATGAGGCTATTATTTTACATGCTCTGGGGCTGTTGTAGGCCAAATATGGTTTTAGGTAGGGCCACACTGTACTTTTTAAGTTGCAACATCTCGTTACACATAGAACACATTATTAGTCTCCTCTTGGGCAGCCAGCTGCTCCTCTTCCCAAATCCAGCTTAATTCATCATTTCTAATTCCTATAATTGAAATAATAATTGGATTTTTTTCATTAAAGAGTCTCAAATTTTGTTTCCATTCCATATCTCCAGGCTGAGGTTCTATACAAATAAATTTTTAACTGGGAGTAAATGACCTTCCCCTTATGTGTCTATCAGGGGTATGACAAATGTTTGTTGAATAAATCCTCCTTTCACATGGTATTTATATGTATTTACCTTTTCACCATTGGATGTATTTTGTGAAATTTCTTATTTGAGGGACACATTTCCAATCATCTCATGAGAGAGACTGTCTTATTTCTTTGTTGGGTAGAGACACACACTGAAAGCGAGTGGCTGTCACCAAACAGTATACATGTGAAAAGATGATTTATTTCTGAATCACTGCAAAAGATCCTTTGGGATTTACTGTTAATCTCAACAAGATTAATGGAATCAGAAGCCATATGCTGGTCACCATGGTTACTCTGCAAATGGCAGTTAACTCAGACCTTACCAGTGCCAGATCATAGTTACTAAAAAGCCTGTTATTTACTTGCCATTTAGCTAAAACAAAACAAAACAAAACAAATACCTCAAGCTTTCTCTCAACATTTATGTATAAACGTAAAAAAGAAAGAGGAGGAAAGCATAATTTATCCCTATTTTGGTTCTTATCAAATATTAAAGAGGAGTCTCAAAAAAGCTGGGATGAGACATCAAGATAAAAGAGCTTTTGATATTTTATGATGTTTCACACATAAACAACTGAACTCTGCACAGAATAAAATAATTTAAGTCTGAAGAGCTATAAACAAGTGAACAAACCACATTTCTACAATATTTCTAGTATTCCTTCTCTCCTGTTCTGGGTGTGTAAGTAATCGCCTATGAGTTCAGCCTCTTCTCATGGAGAATGACAGACTTTTGCTTAATCACAATGTTCTGAAAAACAGTCCACAAAATGCACCTCAGTGACCCACAAAAACAATTGTCGATTAGGGTCTGATTTGGGATGTATGTGGGAATATGAGGTATCAGAGAGAATATGACTCACTCTTCCTCACCCAGCGAAGCTCGAACAGATCTTAATAGCAGGCCCTTTCTAATTCTGGAAGCTAATATTGCTCTACTGCATCCATTTCCCTTATTCTTTTTAATATTTGGGAGCTTTGGCTTTTTAGTATCACAGCCTACTTCAAGTTTGTAAAGAAACTTCCCAACCTGCTTTTGCTCTTCACATATAATTGGCCCTTTTGTTATTTTTTTCACTTAATTTAATCATTTATTTATTCAATTTTTCTCAACCTTCAGAGAGCTTTTAAAAATTAGCCCAATTCAGAAACATTAAATTAGAACCTCTAGAGTCTCCATCAGAGGTATTAAAAAGAAATCTCCAGGTGATTTGTATATGCTATCAGGGCTGCGTATTATTAGGATGATTCCCTCCAACTACTTTTCTTTCTAGTTTCTAAATAATCTATTTCTTTATTTCCTAGCTAACATCACAAAGTACTTCCAGGTGATTTACAAAGACATATACAAAATAAAAAAATTTAATGAGAGTAATACTAAGAAACCAGAAACAGGAACATAATAAAGTCTGATTAGTTACACATGCTATAAATGCTAATAGGTAGTTTTAGGAAGTTTAGGGGGTAGGCCTTTTATATGTATATTAATTCATTTATAAATAACACATTAAAAAAGGAAAAATTTAAAAAGATATCCTTAAAAATGCTCTTCAATATTTGATATAATCTTTTATTATTTAGAAGAATAGGTTCATATTTTTTGGTACAATTGCTACATTCTTATTACAAATTCTAACAATAGTGAAAAGCTAAAGGAAAAATGATCAGAAATCTCGCTATCTCCACTATTAACATTTTGGTGAAAATCCAGTAGTAGGCTGTATTACAGTTCTTACTTAGTCATTATGTCCTTCCCTGCAGGTGTACCTTGCCCTACTAACTTTGGATCTGGCCAATGGAATATAAGGAGATTTGACCTGTGCTGCTGTGATTAACAGACATCAGAGGCATGGTGAGCTTCCATCAGCCCTCTTGGGTTCTTATTCTTCATCTTGGGAAGAGCCCATCCCAGAAAGGGGTTGCTCTGTCAGTTTGTCCCAGAAATGAGATGCCCCAAGGAACCCAGCTGAGTTCTGCAGACACCAACAAATGTCAGCCAAATCTAGAAAAGCCCAGTTTAACATAGCACCCTTCATAGGGCCTTGGCTTACCTTTCTAGCTTCTAGCTTCAACTTTCTAGCTTCTAGTTTCATCTCTTGCTACCCTCCGTCTTCCTTCCAATTCTGATACGGGCTTTTAAATTTCTTTGATTTTCCCATACACTCTGTATTTTCAGCAAGTTAGGCCTGTCACTATAGGTGGTTTCAGGTTTTGTGAGGTCTAAAATTCATAAAAATTTGAGGGCCCAATTTAAGTAAAACGCAAATTACAAATACATAATTAAGTATGGGATAATCTGTACCAGATACTGTCTATATCCCCCAGGCCTTACCACTTCTGTGCTTGTTGGCTGACTTCCAACTGTCAGTATCTGCATCTCTTTGCTTTACAGCTTTCGTGAAAGCAACGGAAGGTCACTCCCCCTGTCAGGGAAGGTAAAATATGAAAGGAAAATAACACACTCAGGAGCAGACCTGAGCCAATGACTGACAGAAGTTGGAGTATAGATACCCCAGCTCCCTTTCTCCTCAGGTTGTTACCATACTGATTCTCAGAATTTTAAAGAAAGATTAAGCTCTGGTAACCCATAATGGTAGGTGGCTTGAACACAGACCTTTTATTGGCTGTCTTGCCTTTCACAGCCCACTTACCCTCTTGCTATGGGTATTTCTTTCACTTCCCACATAAACTACTTATGCGCAAACTCCTGTCTCAGAGCCTGCTCTAGGGGAATTACTAAGACACTAAGAGGGGATTTGTCTTAGTAAGGGGCCCAAAGTTTAGCTGTGTTCTGGAGCTGGCAGTATGGCTCAAAAGCACTGATTATTAAATAATTTCATCCTTTTTTCAAAGAGCCAGTTTATGGGTACACCACTAAACTTAAGCTTCATTAGTTTTGCAAGAAATCACCTGTAGCCATCACATGTACCATCTGTCTAAAACACATTTATGGCTTCTGTGTCAGGCCCTCTTAGTCTCTTCCATCTTCCTCTGGGTTAGTTGCCACTCATGCAGGCCCACATATGCCTTGTACATCACTCACTATAACTTTTTCACTTATTCACATCCCCCCTTGACTATAGGTACCATGAGGACAGAGACCTCAACTGTGTGTTCATCATTAAGTCTCCAGAATTCAGCAAAATATATGGCACATAGAAGGTACTCAAACAGTAATGTAGAATTAGAGATTGAATGAATGAGTGAATGACAAACTGAATACGGCAAAAATGCCTGACTCAGAATATAAGCACAAAATAAATTACCATCTTATGTGATGCCAGTGCCCCAATGCATCCCTTTTAGGGTGTGTTGCTGGCAGCTTCTTCCACAGAACCTTTTATACCCTGACACTGTCTGCAGTAAGGGAAGGCAAGTGTTCACCCCATCACAGTCTGCAAAGGACATCTGTGTGACTGGCTATTCATCCCCAGGCTGGAGAAGTCACATTTTCCTTTCTGATCTAGCACAGACAGATAGGATGAGGATATCTTAGGAGTTACTTAGCACTTTGACATTGTGGAAGAGCTGCTTTGAAGAACCCCAGTCCAGCACCTTCATTTTGGAGATGACAAAGCTGAAACTCCAAATGTGAGTGCCTGAGATAGCTCAACTACTTTGTGGCCAGTGTGGGTCTATATCCCAAGGCTCCTGTGAATGCTTGTCTTCAATGTGCTGTCTGCTTGCACAGGAGGGAAAGTGCCTACATTGTGTTGAATGTGGAACTTGGTAAGAAATTCATATGCTTGATTATCTTTTAAAGTAGAAAATAATATATCTCCTGGAAAAACCAAAAATGCTTCAATATGCATAGATCTAGGAGTGTCAATTCAGCTGCATGTGGAAGCAAGCAGAACTGGATGTTCTGGAAGGATCTGTTTGATCCACCTCTCTGTGGTAAGTCTGTTGCAGAGAGCCAGTACTGAGAACATATTTCGAGAGCTCAAGAAGCAGTGTTCTTGATCCACCTAGTCCTGGAACTACCTTGCACCACATCCAATTCTCCCTTAGTCTAAATCTAAACTTAGACCTATTTCCATCATGCCTGTCTTACAACTTCTGATCTCCTAATTTTATAAAATGTCAAATTCTATTTTTTAAACCACATGTGTGGTAGAAACAACTGGACATTTCTTTTCTTCTATGCAAGGAAGAAAAACAACAGTAACTAGATGAAGCAAGGACCACCCTTCTGGACAACAAAGGGAGAGGAATGAAAGTCTGACCTAGGAAAAGGTAAGACGTTCCTCAGCTCAAGAATGACTGGGTTATGCTTTCACAGGGCAAGGCCAAAGTCATGTTGTTAGAAATAAATATCCTTCTCTCAAATTAGACAAGATTTATATTGTCCTGGGGGAATTAGTGATCTTTGGCAAGATATGCTTCCTTCTTAGGTTAGTGGGAAGGCAATCAGGCTTGTTGAAGGGGAAGCTAAACTTAGAACCCAGTACTTACTTGCCCTCACTTAGGTACCAGAACCTTCTCTTCCCACTTTGTATTCCTGGTGGCTGAGAAAAGAAGCTTCACAGACATTCAGCCAAAGCCTGAACACCGAGGTTTGTGAGATATTAAGACAGGACCAAGGGAGTCCTATGGGAGAGTTGGGATTTCCAAGGAGAAGGAGTGGGACTTTGAGTTTGTGGATTTTGTAGAACTTTGAGATGAAATCTTCAGGAAAAGGGGAAGAGGGTATTAAGAGAAGAAGAGAACCAAAGAAGAAAACTCGCTCGGGCCTTTTGAAGACCAGGACTGTGAAGCCTCTTTTCTAGGCAGGGAACTGGATATAGTGATACCTTCTCTTCCTCCAACACTAAACTACTCTTTTGAGATCCCACTGTCAGGAAAGATTGCGAAAGACTTCAAAGTGGGCAGAAAAGATGACTGGGGGCCCTGTTCAGCACAGCTTTCCAGGTTATCTCTGCTTTTGTCATCTTTGAGCTATTTTATAGCTCTGTAGGTGGTGGAAAACCAATAATAATACAAGTTCTTGCAAATAGAAAGAAATGCCAATAAATTGTGTTTGGTGGCATGCATCTGATTCTTGCTCCATGGGTGTTAACCCATTTTGTAACTTGGTAAATTCATTTCTGCATTCCTGATTGCCTGTATGTGTGCATTCACTGAATATCCCCTTGAGCCTATGCAACATCTTACTGGTCCCTTCTTTAAGTCCAGAATTAAATAATATCTTTGACATGTGTTTATTTTATATTTGGATAAAAGCTGTGGTTCTACCATATGTATATGTGTGTGTGTGTGTGTATATATATATATATATATATATATATATATATATATATATAAATATAAATATAAATTAACCATAACAACTTAACAATACAATGGCTAAGGAAGGCATGTGCTTGGAATGACTAGGCAACCTGTCTATGAGAAAGGGTGGTAAGCACTGTGACCACAGAAGATACCCAACCTGCAGCGTGCATAAAGATCCATTGGGGAGCAGCAGTGAGAAACACTCCTGGCATGAAAGGCAGACTGGAGGCCTAAATGTCCTGTTAAGTTAGCAAGGAACACCTTCTGAAACGAGGAAGACCCCAGCCTTGCTAAACCATGTATGGAATATTGGTCACTCTAGTGGGAGTCAGTGTGGTGCAATAATCATAAATATATAATGATTGTATGAATAATATGTAAATTCAGACATATAACAATAAAGAAATCTTTGTGCCAGCCCTATGCTGAGTGCTTTACCTTTATCATTTCATTTAATTCTTACAACAACCTTTTAAAATAGGAACCATTGTTTTCCCATTTTGCAGATGAAGAAACTGCAAAATAAAGACTTACAAGGGTAAGTTACTAGAAACAATCCGATAACATATAACAGAACTGGAATACAAACCTTTCCAATGGAGTAGGAGCTCAAAGTCCTGGGTTCCAGTTTTTGTACCTAATTAGGAAAACCAAGACTATTTTCTCAGCTTTTCTGAACTTCTGCTTCCTCTTCTATGAGAGGAAAGAAAGAAACCTATACATTTTCCTGCC
This sequence comes from Homo sapiens, assembly GCF_000001405.40. Classification (NCBI taxonomy): domain Eukaryota; kingdom Metazoa; phylum Chordata; class Mammalia; order Primates; family Hominidae; genus Homo; species Homo sapiens. The sequence continues at coordinate 58,812,889 of NC_000005.10, read as the reverse complement.
AAAATTTCTTGAGGATCAAATGAAAAATGTTCATGGAAGAGTTTTCAAAACCACAGAGCCACTATATGACTGGAAGGTATTAATATTACTGGTAAACTGATGTTATTAATTATTCACATGGTATTGATATATTATCTCAAAACCATTCTCTAAACAACACTCACTGTGATTTTCCTTGCTGTTTTGAAACTTTTAATTAGAAAAGGTTAAAGTGGAAAACAAAAACAAAAGCAAAATACTATCTGATTCTATTTCCCTTCAACAAATGCATTGTCAGGCATGAAGAAAGATATGGTCTCTGCTCTCAGGGAGCTTGCAGTCTGGGCCACACCAAGACCTTGCAAATATACTTAAATTAGCAAGTGTTTGTTTATTAAACAACAGTGCACAAGACACTGGTGTCTGCACCATATGGTGTTGCTTTTCAACTTTAGCAGGCATTAGAATCACCTGGAAAGTTTGCTAAAACCTACTCCTGTGCTCCACCCCTAGATCATCTGATTCAGGAGGTCTGGGGTGGGGCCTGAGATCCTGCTTTTCCAACAAGCACCAGGAATGGCATCGGGAGGAATGAGGAGCAGGGACTGGACCTCTGGGAAGTGGAGAGGTGGGAGTGAAGGCTTATACAACTCTTTCCACCCCCTTTTATGACCTTGGGCTGTGTCCTTTGTCATCTGCCCTCCTGCCTCCACCAGCCCCCATCTCTTTCTTTTTTCCTGAACACACAGTCACATCCAGGTTTTGTGAGAAGTAGGTTTGTTTTTCTTTTTTCTTACTTGCCACAAAAGAAAGATGAAAGGTGAGCAAAGCATTTTCTTTATGACTCCCTTACTATTTGTTGATGATGTTGGGCTCAGAAAGTCAGTAGCCTTCAAGGATTAAAAAAATCATGAGTCTTTAAATATTCATAAGTGAGCTTGAGCCTCCATGTCAGGAAAATGCCTAGACTGAAGCAGAGGACCATGGGTACTTGAATGGGGCTGGGGTCTCTGGGGTGAAGAGCTGGGGGGCTTTCAGAAGGGCTGAGGAGTGAAGGCTGGTCAGGGGGCACCATGCTCGGTAATGGCAGTGGGAACCTGTGGTGCAGTGGAGGGAGGGTGGGTCTGGGGATTGGTCCTGGGGCCTGTATCAGTGCTTCACCTTTGTGAGTTTAGCTCTGACTGTCCTGGGGCAAAGTGAGAGAAAGGGGGTGGGACATGGTTAAGCTGGCCTCCCAGCCAGCTCTGTATCTTGGGGAAAGGGGAGGGGAGAGAGGAGGAAAGGAAAATGATATGCAGGAAGGTAAGGAAAGATTATTCTCAGGGCCCAGTAATGGACTTCATCGAGGACTGTTGTCCCTTTCCTAGGCCTTGGGTTCTGGTAAAACAGATTTGGAAGAGCCAGAACTATCTGTTTCCTTTCAACACGACATTTACCTTTGTGACCCCTCTCAATAAATGTTTCCAAAGCATTTTTTTAATTGATTGTCATAAAAATCACTATAAAATCCTCTCTCTATCTTACACACACAGACACACACACACATACACACACATACACACACACGCAAAATCTAACCTTTAAAATGACATTGCTTTTCAAATGAGCCAGAGCAAAGAGGTTTTGTCATTGTAGAGAACTCTGACCTCAGGAAACCAAGAAATGAGAAAAGGCCAAGCTCCACAGTTGCCATTTGCCCTTGGTTGTAGAGAGTAATTGCTCTTCAGTCTTTCAGACCTCCTATCAAATAATGCATCCTGTAATGGGTTCAGCTGCAGGCTGTGCATACAAACCATAGCAGTTTTGCTAGTATACTTTATCACAGTGGAGAAGTGGTTCATTAAACCCTATGCTCAGTTCAGAGGCTCAAATTAAGTCCTGGTCTTACTGTGCCTCCGTATGGTTAGAATGATCCATGTTCACACCACATTCCTTGGAGGCTGACAAGGCCATGGTTGTGCCGTTTTGGTGGGAGCAAATTTCAGAAGTGCACCATTAAAATGAGTGAATAAGGGGCTGGGCACGGTGGCTCATGCCTGTAATCCCAGCACTTTGGGATGCCAAGGCGGGTGGATCACTTGAAGTCAGGAGTTCGAGACCAGCCTGGCCAACATGGCGAAACCCCGTCTCTACTAAACATACAAAAAATAGCTGGGCATGGTGATGCATGCCTGTAGTCCCAGTTACTGAGGAGGCTGAGGCAGGAGAATCGCTTGAACCTCGGAGGTGGGGGTTGCAGTGAGTGGAAATCATGCCACTATACTCCAGCCTGGGTGACACAGTGAGGCAAGCTACAACTGATGCCTAAGAGCAATACATGAACTAAAAGATATATCTCATGCATATATTACCATCCATTCTTGAAGTATACCAGTATCCTTCTATCACTGCTTTAGAAGGAAGTGTCCAATATTACCGGGCTTCTTGAGAAGATCATATTAAATAGTAATGATCATATCTCAAAACAAAACAAAACAAAGTAACTTCTAAGAAAACACACACACACACACACACACACACACACAGAGAGAGAGAGAGAGAGAGAGCACACAGAGTACTTTTGTACCAGTAGAAGCACTTTTGTCTCTTGACCACTATTTTCAAGGTGTGCCTGTCATTTGTTTGCTCTTGAATATGTTTCTTGCCCTCCCTGTGCTGTGTCCTGTATGCTAAGAGGCTGATCCTTGCAGTCTGTGTTTTCCTGGCTGCCTTGCCAGCTGGTTTCTGATGGGAGACACTGGCAGGAGACTGGACTGAAGGAGGAGGGGTGAAGCTTTGAGTGTTTCTCCCCGGCTTTCAGCAGCTTCTCTAGGAGGGGCAACAGCTCTATTGTTCCACTTCTGCTGGGTGGCTGCCCCAGCCTGTGGGTCAAGGAACACCACAAATACCTGGGCTGCTTTATTGCTCCAACTGTTCTGCAAGCTTCATCTGCCACAAACAATGTGAAACGGAAGAACAGTAAATAATAAAGTTAATATAACTATCAGCTTTCCTAGCTGTCTACTAGTTTGCAGTATGTCTTAGCACAGGCTGCTATAACAAAATGCTATAGACTGGGTGGCTTAAGCAACAGACGTTTATTTCTCTCAGTTTGGAGTCTGGGAATTCCAAGCTCAAAGTAAGACTGATTCAGTTCCTGGTGAGGGATCTCTCTCTGGTGCAGAGAGATTTCTCTTGTGTCTGTTCCTACAAGGGCACTAATCCCACAGTGGTGTGTGTCAGGGGGGCACCCACATGACCGTGTTTAAAACTAATTACCTCTCAGAGGCTTGACCTCCAAATACCATCACATTGGGTACTGGGGCTTCAACGTGTGAACTTGATGGGTGGGGACACATAAATCTGCATTCATTTTCAAGTTTCAAGGCCAGTAAGAGGGAAATATGAATTTGAGGAGTTTCCTGTAGTGTCTGAAATTCTTCCATTGCTTTTCTTGCCTAGCACTAACTTTTAAAAAGATTCAATGATCATATATTGTACATTTTTCAATTTGTGCCTCTGCTAAGGTTTTTTTTTTTTTTTTTTCTGAGAAAAAGAGCTTTCAAAACCAGAAATCCTTTTTTCTTTCATCAAAAGTGTGCCTTCAAGGAGGCTTCTGGCACAAATTCTTCAGTGACATTTTGAAGTCAAAAGTACCTTTTCCAGAGACAGCCACAGTTCTCCAGGATGTCCTTCTATTTTTATATGAAAAGAAACAATTTTTTGGTCACAATTAAGTATTTCAAACTCAAAATAAGTATTTTACACGAGAATTTGATATTCCTTTTCATTCATACATAGTTTTTCAGCTACACTGAATATTAGCATTCTCTGGGTATGTCACATCCTTGAATTTTGCTGGGCTTTTGCCCTTGCTGTGGCTTATGCTAGAATGTTATTTGGTAGAGAAGCTAGCAACATTATCATCTTATGTTAATGCAAATGCACTGGAGATAAAGAAATCCATGGCTACCAAATTTGGTACATGAAATTGGAGTTAGATGTTTGCTCTACAAATAGGATTTTTATGAACCTCACTTTTGAAATGCTAAGTCAAGAGAGTAGAAGAGTTATGTTGCTGATATTAAAAGCTGTAAGAAACTCTGTGGTTATGGCTAGACATGTTATTAAATACCATAATATTTCAAATAAAAGCAGACCATGGTGAACAAATAAGAAAGAGCATCCACCACGTAGCAGAAAATAACTCAGTCAGCACAAAGCTTTTCAAAGTGATTAGGTTTCAGTTTAAATCAAATACAAATGAGATATGATAATATCCCTTCTAAGTAATTCTATTTTTCACCTCATTATAAATTTCTTAATTGTGTTATAAGTCAAAGAAATTGGAAATTGAAAAGAATTCTTGGGCCACTTAATTTAGCTACCTGCCTGCATAAGATTTGCCCAATGGGTTTACTTAGCAGATCAACCTAAAATAATAAGGTTGGGGGATACTTCAATAATCTGATTTAAAATGTTAGTTTTATTTCCTGAAACAGATATCCAATTTTCTTGTCTTTAATTTTATCTCTGAGCAGTACCTTTTCTCATTTGGAGTCAGGAAAGAATATTTATTCTTTCTGCAACTTTTCTCTGTGTACTGTGTCAAATTCTCCAGAAATCCTGTATCATGTTTTGTCATTTCACAAATCATTTGTTTTGCCTATAGCCAACTAAAGTTATTTCTTTTTTTTTTTTTTTTTTGAGACGGAGTCTTGCTCTGTCACCCAGGCTGGAGTGCAGTGGAGCGATCTCTGCTCACTGCAAGCTCTGCCTCCCAGGTTCACGACATTCTCCTGCCTCAGCCTCTCGAGTAACTGGGACTACAGGCGCCCACCACTACGCCTGGCTAATTTTTTGTATTTTTAGTAGAGATGGGGTTTCACTGTGTTAGGCAGGATGGTCTCGATCTCCTGACCTTGTGATCCACCTGCCTTGGCCTCCCAAAGCACTGGGATTACAGGTGTGAGCCACCGCACCTGGCAAGTTATTTCAAATATCTCAGTAAACACTAGAGTTTTAGAATTTTGAATACATTGGTTTTGCTGAACAGAGTCTGTATTTTTCTACATTTACTATATTTCTTCTTAAATTTTTTTTTTTATTCTACTGGAGAGTACCCACTGTGCTATGGACTGAATTTTGTGTCTTCCCCCAAATTCATATGTTGAAGCCCTAATAATACCCAATGTGATGGTATATGGAGGTCAACCCTCTGGGATGTAATTAGATTTAGACAAGGTCATATGTTTTGCCCCCCCACCATTGTAGTTTTAATCCCTTTATAAGAAGAGACATAAATCTCCTACTCTCTCTCTACCATGTGAGAATGCAAGAAGGCATTTCTCTGCAAACCAGGAAGACAGCTCGTGCCAGGAACTCACTCAGCAGGCACCTTGATCTTGGACTTCCCAGACTCCAAACTCAGAGAAATAAATGTCTGTTGCTTAAGCCACCCAGTCTATGGTATTTTGTTACAGCAGCCTGAGATGACTAAGACCTACTGCATAGTAGCTGCAACTTAGCATGGGGCTTTCAATGTTCTCAGAGCTCACAACATATATCCATTTAGCTGAAATTAATCTTTCTAAAGTTGATACATTATGATGGGAAAAACTCTGGCTATATTAACTCTCTAGGCAGAGACAGATCACCTTCAGTCAGAAAGGTCTTGCTTCCCATCTGCAGAGACCATCCAGGCCATGATGTTTTTTTGTCTGATATGCTGCCTGCTGCTTTAAAAAGCAAATCATCCCAGGAAAAGCAAGAAGCAGCAAGTGTCTAATGGATTCACATGAGATACAGATTAAAGCAACCCTTTCTTGTTTGTTATTTTTATTTTCCCATTCTACAGAAGCACAGAGGTGATTATATTACTCAGGCGATTCTGGTTGCTTAGAAAATACCACTATTCAAATCTTGCTAAGTCACCAACGCATTTCCAATTCCTCCTCCCTGTTGGTACCTCTGCATTCTACCACTTACCTTCCTTTGACACTGGCATATGGGATGGGTGGTTTCTGCTCAGTGAGGTCCATTGTGATGAAAGCTGTCTGGTTTATTTGAGTGGGTGTAGGCTAAAGGTACCAGTATTGATTTTGGCTACATTCTTGTGTTTGAAAAACTCAAGCAATGGGTTTCCATCTGATTATTCTAACACAGTAGTTCTTGAGTGGGGGTGATTTTGTTCCCCAGTGACATCTGGGGAACAAAACTGTCTGGAAACATTTTTGGTTGTGATGACTGAGGGAAGGAGAGGCTACTGGCATGTCATAGATAGAGGCCAGAGATGCTATTAAATATCCTTCCATGCACAGGACATCTGCCTTTCTTTCCCAACAAACGTCCATAGTGTCACAGTTGAGAAACTCAGTTCTAACAGAACCAAGGGTTTTCTTTTCTTAAATAATCACGTATCCAGGGAGCTTGTGGTTCATCTTGGTATGAAGTAGTACAGTTTGATGAGCACTGTTTAATACTAAATGTATCCAAGAAAATCAGATTTTTATTCAGTTTCTTCTTCCTCCTCTCACCCTAAAATTGATGTATTGGTTGCCTGAGTTCCTTCTTCCTCATTAGAATAACAATAGCTACCATTTATTCAGCAGCACTTACTATGTACTAGGAACTTTTCTAAGAATTTTACATATTTGGTCTCAATATTCAGCCCTATGAGATGGGACTAACGTTATCATCATTTTACTGTTTAGTAAAATAAGGAACAAAAAGTTTAAACATCTTGTGTAAACTTGCAAGCCAGTGAATGGAAGTGTGGGGCACAAACCTAGGGAATCTGGTTTCAATGTCAGCACCCTTCACTTCTAGGCTAATGTTCAGTTCAGAGAATTAGATTCTCCTCCTCTTTCTCTTTTACATATTTTTTCCACCTTCCCTTACAAAATTTCTCTTGGCTACAAAGAATCTGTCTACCCATCAGAATGCTTAAAGGAACAGAAAAACAAAAAGAAGGGTGCTAGATACCCATTTACTAGAAATTAAAATAATTATGTTAGAAACCTGGTTATGTATACAGACTTCATATATATACTCCCTGCCCCACACCCCTTCCCTCCTATACTTTCTTCATGGTGGAGTCAGTTTTCAGGGTGATATACTTTGTAGCACACCACTTATACCTCCTCACCTTTGCCAACTCAGGCTGAACACACACTACCTTCCTAGGAATATTTCATGCTACTCCTCTGCTTTTTATGTTAATCACACTTCTTCATACAATCCCAACTCATCATCTGGGAACATTTTTCTATGTTCTCTGCCTTGAATACTATCTCTTTCTTTCCTTTTCTTTTTTTCTCTCTCTCTCTTTTTTTTTTTTTTTCAGATGGAGTCTTGCTTTGTCACCCAGGCTGGAGTGGAGTGCAGTGGCGCGATCTCAGCTCACTGCAACGTCTGCCTCCCAGGTTTAAGAGATTCTCATGCTTCAGCCCCCTGTGTAGATGGGATTATAGGCGCGCACTACCACACCTGGCTAATTTTTGTATTTTTAGTAGGGATGAGGTTTCATCATGTTGGCCAGGCTGGTTCTTTCTTTTCTACAAATTCACAATCTGTCCATCTTTCAACTCCCAGCTCAAGTTCCACCTTGTTCAAGTGCTATTTCCCATCTTCTTGGTATCTATACTGCCCATTTGGCTCTTAATTCTAAAGAATATTATTTTGTATTGCTATAAAAGCATTATATATGAGTATTTTTTTAAATTTCTGAGTTATGGAGTTAGATTCTTCAAAATAGGGAGACTTGCTTGTAGTCTCTCAAGTATTTAACAGTGCCTAATAAGTATTTAGTTTATAATTGAATAAATGAATGAATGAATGAGTACACTTTGGTGAAAATGAACCATTCTAGCTCTGAAATAAAATTTACATATCTGAATAAATTAAAGCTTAAATAAATTTAAAAATACCTTTGCCTCTCCCCAGTTTTGATCTTTTTACTACTGCAATATCTAGTATGTACAAACAACATGGAACATTCAGTATAGGTCAATGGATGTTGTGTTAAAAAAATAAGGAAAGTGACCACACAAAAACATTATCTTTAGGCATTTACTAGCACAAACTATTGATTAAATTTATTTTTATTTTATGTTTCTCATAGAGGAGTCATGGTTCCTATATGTGGGTGTTCTTTTTGCAAGAAAGGATGTTAGTTTAATGGTGTGTATGAACATTGCTCTGGAGAGAAGCTGCTGTTATTTTAATGATACATACATACATACACACACACACACACACACACATATGCACCCCACTGTGTACTGTGACTTTCTCTCCCTGGCATTCAGGCCAAACCAGCTTTATATTAACATTCTTTCCTAAACTTGCCTGTATTGCAAATAAGGTGCTAAAGATGTGTTAGCAATGGTGCTAAATAAGACAAAAGCCTCTCTGGGTGTAAGAAAGCAACTGTGAACTTGTGATTTAATGCTCAGTCCTGAGTGGCTTGCTCATGTCCCTCCCTGGGTTGAGAGTGTGCCTGTGAAGGAAGAAATCTGAATGGAACAATTCATTCCTGAATGGAGCAATTTCTGGGGACTCTGCAAGATTAGAGGCCTGGGGGAGGCAATAGGAATGCACAACACACAAGAAAGAAAACAGCCTGCTTCTAAAACCTGATTAAAATCCATGGGGCTCCTGGCATTTGAATGTGGAGACAATTAAAAAATATAGCTGGTCACTACTTATTGCCAGCTATCCTAGAAAGGAAAGGAAAAGAAAGTTGGTGATCTTAAGACATGCCACCAGTGATTTCTATTGAATAAATCTACCTACAGATAAAGGGATTTAGAGAAAGAATAATTAGCTAAAGATCCTGATAGTTTTTAAGAATTTCATTTTTTTTTTTTTTAAGATAGAGTCTCGCACTGTCACCTGGGCTGGAGTGCAATGGCACGATCTCGGCTCACTGCAACCTCCGCCTCCCAGGTTCAAGTGACTGTCCTGCCTCAGCCTCCCGAGTAGCTGGGATTATAGGTGCCTGCCACCAAGCCTGGCTAATTTTTTGTATTTTTAGTAGAGACGGGGTTTCACTATGTTGGCCAGGCTGGTCTCGAACTCCTGACCTTGTGATCCACCCGCCTCAGCCTCCCAAAGTGTTGGGATTACAGGCATGAGCCACTGTGCCCGGCCAAGAATTTCATATTTTTAAGAAGCCCAGAGAACAGACTGAGTTCTTTTAAAGTTCATTGTTCCAGATGCCTTTATCTTCCTGATCCCCTAGCCATCTTCTGTCAAGGATTGGTCCTTTTCAACCTGACTGCACAATCAATCACCCACCTCAAGCTGTGCAGCAGATATGACACTAACAAAGTCCCGGATGATTTGCAGAACAAGCTGTTCATGAGAAAATGGACTGGCATAGAAAAATCAGAATTTATTTTTATTTTTACAGACATAGAGCTGGTTTTCTAAGAAAATTAATTTATTTCTGGTAGTGAGCAGTATAAGTATAGTTGTAAGTTTGTTGAATACCTCAATGGAAGTCTAACTGATTCTCATATATCAAAAGCTACCTTTCACTTTTGACAGTCTCTGAAATAAAAATAAAAAAGCATTTTTAAGCTCATCAGTAAAAACCACAAACCTAAAATTTTAGCCTAGTGCAGCAAATCTATCTCACTTCATTAACAGCTTTTCCCAGAAATGGAGCTTGCCAGTTTAGTGCTTCTGACATCAGAAGCCCAGTTGAAAATAATACTGACTCAATAGTGAAAAGTCCAAGTCTGACAGTAGACTGCTATTTGTCTCTTCCAAACTAGTTTTATTCTTCTTAGGGGCATGGTCACCAGCCAGACACCATTTCCCAGCCTCTACATAGCTCAATATGGCTATATGACTAAGCTCTGGTCAATGGAATGAGAGCAGAATAGATGGGTACTACCTTTGTCTTACTACCCTCAAAGGCAAGTGTTTGCCCTGGACTGCCTCTGTGCCCTAGCCTTGTAGCTAAGGCTACAAGCCAGCTTTCGCCATGCAGATGATGTTAATATCCCAGTGAAGACTTCAGTAGCAAGCTGGAAAGAACTTGTGTCCCTGAATGATCTTGTGGACAATCTCCTAGCTTAGTCCAGTTGTCCTATGAAGTGAAATAGAAGGCAATGTCTTGTGTCATTTAGCCTTGTATTGTAGGGTCTTTTTATTATTGTAGCTTAGACTTTAAATCACCTAATTCAGGATTCTTATCTAAACCTGTGTGAATTCAGTACATACCCTTATGTGATCTCACCTATTGCTATATTTCACACCTAGAGCAATCCTCCGTACAGATTCTTAGCCCATCAAAAAAGGCTAGAAAATACTTTTTAGACCCATCTCTTAGTAGATGATGAAATCAAGCCATTAATTAAATACCTACTTCTAAGAACGGTTGCAACTTCTAATATGTACCAGTCTAATTATTGTCATTCTTATGTCAGCAGCCGTGGCCGTTAGGTATGAGTTGACATTTCTTTCTGCAAACTCTGCATGTGAAGTTTCTGCATGATTTCTCTGTCCTTTGGGAGTGTGCACACAGAGTCACTGCACTATAAATGCATTTTCTCAGATGCACAAACAATAAAGAACCCTGAAGAGGGTCTTTGTCTTCCTTTGAACCTGGAATTAATGTGTGCTCGCCCATTAGCCAGCCAGGAATACCAGTTCCATTATAAATAATATAACAATAAGAAGCTCTCTAATTCAAAATGAAGGTAAAGGGGGTTTGTGAGGATGAGTGAAAGTCAGATTGATTTAGTATAACTAAATGCAGTTTTCTAACTTTCAAATACAGTATTTTCTCATGCTTTAGATTAAAAAAAACTTCTAAATGTATATAATATTCTCTTAGTTATATTACTCTAATGATTCATTGAGAAAATATTTTGTCTAATGCTTTCCTCAGTAAGAACAATGTATGTCAGTGCTAAATGTTCACACATCCATATTAACGCAGTTTGGATGCTGGTTTTATGGAGAATGGAAAAGAATGCAGCTCCATATTTTTGTTCTTGTTGTTGTGGCATGAAGTCAGTAGCAGTTGCTAAAGGAGCCATAGCTAGAAAGCTGAAAGCTTGGAGGACATTAAATTTCTCAGGATTTACTTGAGGAGCAGATTCACTATATCCCTAAGCAGCCTTTGCTGGTTGCTGACAAAGTGGTCCTGGTATTACAAGTTATTTACATTGCAACATTTCAAGAGCTCTGCTTCAAGCAAACCAATGAGGGTCTCATAATCTGTTGGCTTTGTTACATCTCCAGAGAGTTGGCCTCTGGCCAGAAAATAGAAGATCCCCTTTCTGGGATTAAATTATAAATTTCAAATCTCATAATTTTCATACTTATCCATAACCATGGGTACGGGATGATGCCATGCTGTAGTCCAATGATAAAGAACTTCAGGATTTTAAAAATTCAAAGTCTGCATAGGAACCTAGTCTTTAGTGATTGGCTGGATTTTAATTTTACCTTTGGCTCTGAGATGCCCCAGATGCTCATATGCTTCCATCAGTTCTCATGTCATACAGGTCCTATGTAGTCTAGTGCCTCATGCTTCACCCTGCCACGTGTCAGTAGCTTCATGGATTACACTATGATGAAATACTGCATGTTGTCATTTCCTCATCCCATCGTTCATCGTTTCATGCAAACATGGCCTTGCTCAGGACTGTAGAGGTAATCCTTGGAACCCTGCTTGAGACTTCTGGTCCTAGCCTTTCTGCTTCTTATCTCAGTTCCTCAATGGCTTGTATCTTTGCTAGAAACTGTCTAGAGTCCAAGAAAGAAAGCAACCCAGCTGGTAAGAAGGAAGAGGTCTGGGGAGAAGAGAGGCACAGCCACATTCCTCATGAAGAGCGTAATATTTCCAAGTCTCTTTTGGGGCGGGGGCTTTTGCAGCCCCAGTGATATCCTGTTGTGTATCTTGACTCAGGAATGTACCCAAAGGCAAATGAGGGTATATGCTGCTGCATACACTGACTATGAGAAAAATGGTAATCATTCCAGGTGGGAAGAAAGTGACTCAGAATTGATGTGGGAAGTCCATATTTTCACTAAGAATGACTGGGGAAAGCCTAAGAAATCACTTAGTTGCATTTAGTTCCACATGGAGATGAAGCGATTCACCAATGGTCACTCTGAGCTACACTTGGCACCCTGGGGACCCTGACTCTGTCCAGTCTCCCACATTATTTTTTTCCTTTTCCTCAAGTTTGCCAAAGAATTCCATTCAGAAGAATGTCGACAGTCCCCCACAAAATGTGATTTTCCCTGCCCTTCACCCTCCACGTGTGGCAGCTGACAGGCAGCACAAAGCTATACCTGGATGCCCTGATGCGCGCGCCACAGGCAGCACAGAAGCACAGCGTTTCTATTATACTTACAGAGACAAAGGCATGGCAGGGATTTGCTTAAACATTAAAAAACACCCATCTTCAGGGGTGGAGAAAATAAGCATTTCCTAGTGGGAGGGAAGTACTAGCCTATAGAATTAATAGCTTAAAAACACTGATTATAGTTTCCTGTTCTATAAAGAACAAAATTGCTAATGACACCACTAGCTTACTGTGAGCGTTTCCCTCCTGCCTGCCTAAATCACTTTCCAAAAAAAGATCTGGCTGTTGTCAGCAATTTATAAAATTCAAAAACTAAATGTAGGGTGCAAACAAAGAGAGAAGTGAGGCTGCTTCTCATAACCACCAAAGAATGAGTTTGCTTTATGACTAGTTATATTGACTGAAGACATTTAAATAAGAATCTGGCTCAAATGCCAAAGAATTGTATTAGGTAGCAACATAAGGTGTAAAAATTTAAACTTCCAAACACCACTCACTGGGAAGTCTAGGCAGCTTAGTTGAAATTCATGGACGTGGAGCACGTATTACCTAAGATGGATACTGTAAGGTTATATGATTAATCACTTCATATATACCAGGTAAAATAAATCATTGTTTGCATAAATAGCTGATAATGTCTTTGAAGAAAGGGAGTCAACTGATTTGAAGAAATGCCCTTTTTCTCACTCTTTTTTTGTTCAGGTGTTATCAGTGTAACTACAACTGTATATTACATTGACTTCTATTAAAGCTATCTTTAAAGTTGTCTTCTCTTATCTCCTAGGTTTTGTGTTCTGAGATGATGAAAAGTCAGGATTCATTTAGATCCCAGCATGCTACAAGAGTTTACATTAGGCCTTAATGATTGACATGGAATGAATTCAGTAATATTCATATAAGAGGGAAGTGCCTTTCTCCTTCCCTGAGTGAGGAGACTGAGAGTGTGGGGGTGTGGAGGGGAGCACAGCACAACTGCAAACCAAACCCAATTCCTTGTTTGTTTCAGTCATGAGGGACTTAGAGAAATGAATGGCGTACATTTTAAAGACCATTTCACGTTGATTGTGTTCACATTGATTATTCTAAGGCCAAAATGTATTGAAGGGGTTAGTAGAGTCAGAAAGACCTGGACTTGAATATCAGCTCTAGCATGTACTAGCTGGGACACCTCAAGCTTGGTTTACATTTTGAAAAAGTAGGACCAATAATACTACCCTTTCTTCCCCAACTCTTCATTAAAAAAAAAAATTAAAGCCTGTAGACAAGTAGAAGTTGCCATACATCTAGTTTTCACTTCAGTTCCTCAGCTGTGGACATTTTGCCACATTTGCTTTGTCTCTTTTCATATAACACTTCGCAGTGGTTGTTGATCTATTTCAAAGTAAGTTGCAGACTTGATGACCCTTAAACACTTCACAGACATCTCCTAAGAATAGAAAACCATCTCCTCCATAACTTCAGTTGCACTAAATCAACCAGGAAACTCTGACTCTGAATACTGTAACATGAATATGTACCCCATATTCAAATTTCCCCAATTATCCCAGTAATGTCTTCATACCTAATGTTTCTTCCCCCCAGGATCCAGTTAAGGAGCACACATTATTACATTTAGCTATTGTCTCAGCAGTCTTTCAGTTTAGACTCCTCCCGAACTTTTTCATTTTTTATTATGTTAATATTTTTGGATAGTCCAAGCTAGTTGTGGCAAGTTGTAGAATGTCCCCAAATCTGAATTTGTCTGTTTCCTCACAACTGGATTCAGGTTAAACATTTCAATAAGAATACTACAGGTTTAGTATACCTTATCTAAACTGCTGGGGACAAGAAGTGTTTATGATTTCAAATGTTTTTCCAGATTTTGAAATATTTGCATAACTATAATGAGATACTTTCAGGATGGGACCCAAGTGTAAACATGAAATTCATTTACGTTTCATACTCAACTTATACACATAGCCTGAAGGTAATTTTATACAATATTTTAAATACTTTTTGTTCATGAAACAAAGTTTGAATCAGTTTTGATTATGACCAATCAAATGAGGTCAGGTGTGGAATTTTCTACCTGTGATGTCATGTTGGTCCTCTTTTGGATTTCAGAGCATTTTGAATCTTGGATTTTTGGTTTAGGGATGCTCAACCTGTATATATGATGATGTTGAGCACTTCCCATGACAAACCATCACGAGGCATATCAGGTCAGTTTGTCTCATTACTGCTGAGGTTAACTCTGCTCACTTGGTTAGTATATCATCAGCTAGATTTTTCTATTGTAAAAGTATCTTTTTTTCCCTTTGTAATTAAAAACTAACCTGTGGCATGACGCTTTGAGACTGTACCTCTTATAGTCTATCCTCTAGCAACTTTTAACCAGGATGTTTTAGCATCCATTGATGACCTCTGCCTGAATCAATGACTACAATCATGGTTGAAAAATTGTGATTTTCTATGTGTCATTTTCCCTATATTAGCTGGCATTCTTCTGTAAAGAGGAGGCCCCCCCGCCAAGTATGTTCTGAATGATTACTCTTTAAGTTTAATGTGTTATAATCTAATAGTCTAATATAATAACCTAATAGTATCTGCCATAAGACTTGTGAGAATTAGGACAAAAAAACTCTTGACACATGCCTGGACTACACCAGGCATTTGACAAGTGCTCTCTATTATTTATAATGCTAATTATTATTTTATCCTGTGCACCAGAAGTTAAAATGTCAATTTAATGTTGTTGTAGTCGAGCACAAATTAGTCGCCAAATCTTATCTTGCCTATGGGAGAAACCATAATGGGGATACCTTGACCATAGAATTTCCAGATGTCCTGTAGGCCTGTGGTTAAAAGATTTCCCTCTTTCTTGGAGCTCTAAATGATACTTCAAGACTGACCAAATGATTCACAGCGCTTGTTTTCCAGTTATGCCTCTGCTTCCATCTCAAGACCCACAGCATGAATAGCTTCTTTGCTGGTCCCTGCTATAGGCTCACAAGGTCCAGACATCTCCACCAATCTGACTCTTCTCTATCTCTATGGAGGGAAGGAGGACGTTTATCTTTTCCAACGGGAGGCAGCTCCAGTTGCTGAGAAGCCATTACCTAAAGAAGGAGTCCTGGGGAAGAACAGTGAGTGGGAAGTGGAGGCAGCAGCACTACACACTGAGCTCCTTGCTAATTTTTAAATTTCTCTCTCTCTCTCTGTGTATATATATATATATATATATATATATATTATATATATACATATTTTTTTTTTTTTTTGTCTTCCAGGGAGTCTGATATCCTTGGTGCTGAATTCACTCACTGCCAGTCAGTTAGTAAGGTCTTTAGGGAAGCACATTAACTCTCTCAGTGAGCTAGAGGATATTTATGTATCCAAAAAACTGGATTTGAGTCCAAGAGTTAATATGTCTTGCCAAGTACACATAGCCACTAATGGCCCTGAACTTTGGGAGAAGAAACAATATTTAGCTTGAATTCATTACTGGACTTAGCAAATAAACATTAGTGGAATTATTAGTTAAATACCACCTGCTTCTCACAATACTACATATGCAGTTTTGTTTGGAAATATGAGGGAAGGTAGGTGTGTGTGTGTGTGTCTGTGTGTGTGTGTAGTGGGTCAGAAATGAAAGGTAGAAATGACTTTATTGAATAACCCCTCTGCACCTCCTCCTTCCCATCCATTCCATGCCTATCTCTGTGCCCAGGGAAGATGACTGCTATGAACTCTACCATCTAGGCTTCTTTCTCATGTGCCTTCCAGTTGAGTTTGGCCATAGGAACCTCCAGCAGCAGCTCATACGCTGGGAAGAGGAAAAGGTCTCTTGCTCCTGCTTCTCTGGCAGTAGCTGGGTTTCTCCAGGCTATAGCTCTTACAGGCTTCTCCTCCACAGCTCCTGCACTCACCGGAGATAGATACTCTTTCTATCTTCTTTGCCTTCAGCTATGAGTAGTAATGGTTTCCTGCATGACAGTCTCCAGGTGCCTCGCCATCCCATTTTTATATTCCTGCCAACACTTTTGTAAATAATCTCTTTACAATTCTCTTCCATTGACTCATGTGGGATGGCTTCTGTTTCCTGCCAGGACCCTGTTACATCCTGATATACCTTCTATCTGTCAGGTTCTGTATTAAATAATTATTCACTTAGTCTTCTCCACCACTCTGGGTGGTGGATTATAACCTCCATGTTATAGCTGGGTAAACTGAAGGACAGAAAAATTACATGACATGCCAAGTGTCATGTATCTGCCATGGGTGTTAAAGCCCAACTTAGCATTTCTCTAATGCTACATATAGTGTTTCTACATACCGTGTTTCTGTAACCTGTGTAACACTTTCTTCAAAGATGGTCCAAGAAGTTTCTAATTTCATAGGTGAGGAGATTCCTAAAGGTATTTATACCACTTGGAGCAAACACCATAAAATCTAACACTAAAAGGCTTTGGAGAACCCCAGACCCTGTTAGATTTTTATTTCCCACCTTCCAATCACTTTATCTCAAAATCACAGGGAAAGGTCATCTGTTGGGAAAAGCTATGATATCAGTGAACCTGATTGGAGGAGATGCAGATCTGAGAGGAGTAATTTTCCTGGAGCTAGTAATTTGCAGTTGTCCTAGGAATTATAGAGAATACAGTCAAACCTTTGGTGGTCTGAACAATGTGCTGTTAACCTTAACCATGTTTCACTCTATTAACAAGATCCCCCCATCTACACAGCCACTGCCTTTTTTTCACTTCTTTTTTCCTGCTTTTTTCTCTTTCTCTATATCTTATGCCCACACTTCTGCCCTACCTCCTATCTTTCTTTCTACCACCACTGTAGAATTTCTTTGCATCAGCTCCCAGTGAGTGAGTGTGCTGCTGTTTAATGGAAATCACCATTAGAAGGGAATGGAAGGCCTATGGGTTGGGAGGCCCAGTGAGACAGATAAAGTTATACCTGTCTTCTTTTCTCCTGAGCCTCTTCTGTCAGCTCCCACTCTGTCAATAATTTTCACAACTCTTGGCCCTTCACCCAGAATGAAGTACAACATGCAGTTTCAGTAACCACTTTTTAAGTTACACAACTATAGTTAAGAAAACTTTTGGTTGAAAGTTACACAGCAGGCCAGGATGGGTAGGCTGGAGTGTGGCTTCCTATGGCCTGAGTTCTGAGGGGACAAATGCCAGGTGATAGAATGGAAATGGAACAGGGTGAGGACTTCCTTCATGTCCTGAACTCTGAGCTGTCTTTCAGAGTGGGAAACCCATAGTATTCTATAAGTATATTAGTCCGTTCTTATACTGCTAATAAAGACATACCCGAAACTGGGTAATTTATAAAGGAAAGAGGTTTAATTGACTAACAGTTCCACATGGCTGGGGAGGCCCCACAATCATGGCAAAAGGCAAAGGAGGAGCAAAATCACATCTTACATGGTGACAGGCAAAGAGAGCATGTGTAGGGGAACTCCCCTTTACAAAACCATCAGATCTCAGGAGACTTACTCACTATCCTGAGAATAGCATGGGAAAAACCCGCCCCCATGGTTCAAATACCTCCCACCGGGTGTCTCCCACAACACATGGGAGTTATGGGAACTACGATTCAAGATGAGATTAGGGCGGGGACACAGCCAAACCATATCAATAATCTTTTTCTAAATGAACTATCTGCATCAGGTTCACCTGGTGCTTGTTAGCAATGCAGATTCCTGGGCTCCACAGAACCTACTGAAGGGGAATCCCTAGGAGTAATCAGCATTTTAAATAAGTTCCCAGTGGTGATACATCCATACATCAAAATACAAGAAATACATTAGCTGAATCATTTGAGAAAGTAACTGAACTCCTCTGCGCCTCACTTTCTCCATCTGTAAAATGGGGGGAAAACCACTTTCATAGAGACGTTACGAGAATTAAAGCATCATTTAGTCCTTTGTCTATAATACTTAACACTTAATAAATGTTTTTTTAATAAATAATTAAAAACAGTGATTCTTACATGATGAAACTGAATAGATTGGTGAATATTCACACCGACTGGCATTTGAGGTTTAGTAAAGACACAGACAACAGAAGAATGTTTTTTTTTTTTAAAGCATAACTGGTTAGACAATCTGGACCACAACGAGCTTGGTCATGCCTGCTTCGGGGGGAAACTGGAAGTGTTATATATTGCTATTTTTTGTTTCATACAATCTTGCAGCCAGAAAAATCAGTAAGTTATCATGGTTCCCACAAGCTTCTGTGTTTTGTTTTGTGTCATGCCAGCTTTTTTTCTACTTTTCTTCCTCTGTTTTCTTTTAAATTGTAAATTCTGTCTGAAGAACCACAAAAAAAAAAGGAAAGAAAAGAAAAAGAAAAAAATGGGGGGCATTATTTAAGTAGAGAAAACAGTTTTATACACTTCTAAGGGAGAATCTAGTAATATATGAGGGTGTAAAAAGCACTGTGAATTTTCATTGCATTTGCTGGTATAACTTTAGTGACCTGCTGTAAGAATAGAAGGCCTTCCATTTTAATATACACCCTGCTGAGAAACTTGCTGCTGATTTATGACCTCTCAAACCGGAGGCTTCACATTCTGCATTTATACTTGGGAGAAATCATGGTTTCAGGAAAGGAGAAAGAGGATTTTATTCTCCTAACAATTAAATTCCAATTCTATATTAAGGTGATCTCCAAGATAAAATAAGAAGATAGACAATAAACTCACACAATAGAAATGTATAATCAGGACCATAGATATTTAATTGAAGTGGAATATTACAAGCATAGAGCTAGAAAAATGCAAATTCATCACCAATGATTCCTCCACCTAGATGACCATCAGAAATACACAGATGCTTTTAAAATGTAGATTCTTGGTCCTCATCCCAGACTTAGTGAGTCTCTCCAGAGATAAGGTTCAGAAATCAGACTTTTAAAAGCTCCCCACACTGGGACTACAAACTATATGTATGTGTGCATGTGTATATGTGTGTGTACATTTACTTATTCTGTACTCTGCCAAAGCAAAAAAAAAAAAAGTGGCAAAATGAAGTCTGTAACACTTAGGAATTTTTTTTTTTTTTTTTTTGAGGTGGAGTGCAGCGGCACGATCTTGGCTCACTGCAACCTCCGCCTCCTGGATTCAAGCGATTCTCCTGCCTCAGCCTCCTGAGTAGCTGGGACTACAGGCGTGTGCCACCACGCCCAGCTAATTTTTGTATTTTTAGTAGAGACAGGGTTTCACCATGTTGGCCAGGATAGTCTCGATCTCTTGACCTCGTGATCTGCCTGCCTCGGCCCCCCAAAGTGCTGGGATTACAGGCACGAGCCACCGCGCCCGGCCAGGAATTCTTAAAGTAGGAAACATAAGAGAAGCTTTTCCTCTGAGGGAATTCTGAAGAAATTTCTCTTTTGGTATTGTATCCACAGGCTGTACAGTTCAGCAAAGCCCTTAGGGCCCACTGAGAGGTTTGAGGCTGTGTGTCCCTTCTCTGCAGAGTGAACCAAATATTTTTCTGTTTGGGCTGCTGACTCCCCTCCATTTGTGACAGGGTTCTCCCTCAGGTACAAGCAATAAGAATGTGCATTGGACATACAGAATTTTAGAACAATAATATAACACTCTAAATATTTTTCTATTATTGCCATGTGCTAGCAAACATGAGAATCAAAACAATGTCAATGATAAAATACTCCTGCCCTCAAAAAATCTTTTCTTAGTGTAAATTCTAACAATTACTAACAATTAATTACATATATAATGATTATATATATATAAATCTTTTATTAAACTTTGTGTGTGTGTATATATACACAAGGTTTTATATATACACATACACACACACACACAAAGTTCAGTAAAAGAAGATTTTTACTGTGTTTGTTTCAGGCTATTATTATTCATTCCACATCACAATTATTAACGAAAATAGCTTGGCCATCTATAGGAAGGGTTGTTGGGAAACATTCTGCTCTGGAGTCGAATCTAGTAGGTATACTATCACTCCCCTTCATCTCCCCCCTCCCTCACCAAAATCAATGTTTCCATGTGTGGTTCACAGCTTCCGCCTCTGGCTCTAATTTCCACTGCACTGTACTAGTCCCTTGCATTTGCATCTGTTGCTCTCCTCTCTTTTGTTTCCACTTTCCCCTTTCCTTTGTAAAATTTCTTGCTTTTTTCCGTGCACTTGGTTCCTTCTTCAGATGGTTGGTTTGGACCATTTCTGCTAGCCTATGAGTAATCCCCATTACTGCATGAGGAAAAGGTTTTGCCCCCATAGCCATAGGGCTGTTATTGTTAGGTGCCTGGAAGCTGCTCCCTTCACCTTTTCCTTAATTCCTGGAAGTATTCCAGATATAGAAGCCACCAGGTTTATATATTTCCAAAGTAAACACTAACACAATTTTACCCATAATGCTAAATTATTATAATAAGCTCTGGTGGTGAATTTAATGAAGATAAAATGGAGATGGCTTGCCATGCAAAGAAACAAACCCTCCCATTATCAACTAATTTCCTCATATAAGATATTACTTTGAAAACTGTACAATGACACCATCTCACACTTATTTGTATAGTACTTGCTATTTCATTTGCATTATTTCCTTTGCCATTTACAACAACTTTATTATCAGTCATTGTTATTACTGGCCAATATCATCTCCATTTTAGAAATAAGTAAACCACTTAAATGACTTGCCTACAGTTACATGGAAGGCCAGTGCCAAAAATAAATATTTTCCCAACATCAAACTGCTTCTAAGTATCATAAATTCTCACTTTTTAGAGTTTCATGAAAATACTGGAATGCTCATGTGAGGAAATAATTACTAAAGTTTGGGAGGCTCTCACTTTAAAAGATATCATTATACCTGATGGTAGAGACCTGCTTATCTGAGTATCTGAATGATACAGTCTCTTTTATTATAAACAAAATCTTTATTTATGAAATCAAAACATTTTTATTTAAGCACCAAATAGATTAAGTAGCTTCTTAGATTCATAACTATGGAGGAGGTCCTGGAGGACATGAATTATGTTTCAACAAAATTAAATTTATTTTATATCTCCTCTTAACTAGCCAATCCTCCAAGACTCATCCCTAATCATACCTTCTTGAAAATCCTCTTATATCCCCAGATGGATGAGATCTCTTTCTCTCTGCACCTGCAGAGTTTGCACTGGGGATTCCTTACTTTGTCCAGCCCAACATCTAACTCTTCATGTTGTAACGGAGCCCACATTTCTCCTGTGTATTCACCCTTCTCCCATTGTGAGTCCCAGGTGGTTTGAGCACGCCAACTCTCTCTTGATTCCTTGGAAGGGCCCATGGTAAAGGCCTAGTCAAGGAAATCCCCCTGGCTACTGAACTTAGTTCAAGCCTGGGTCCAGTAAGCCTCAATCACAAGGCTTTTTGTGAGACTGCTGTAAGAAAGAAAATGACTTTGGTGGACTAAGAACTGGAGGGACAGAAATCGAGATTTGTGGAAGCTGCCATGGGTAAAGGGCTTGACTGAGAGTAAGCTTCTTCTTCATATATGTTTTTTTTTTTAATGTCAAAAATTATATGTAGCCAGACTTATTACTCATAACTTTGATCTCAGCTCTGAAATCAAAATAAAGCCAAATTTGAGGCAGAGCAGGACCAGACAGAGTGAGAAAGGAGGAACAAGAGAATGGAAGGGGGAAACTGATCCAGCGAGACAGACCTGTGTTGTCACCACGGGCCTTCTGGATTTATTTATGCCTGATGCTAGATCACCTCTGAACCCTTCAGTTATGTGGGCCAATGGCTTCTTGATTTTTTTTCCTTCAGGAAAATTGAGTTGGGTTTTTATCAAATAATTATAATAGAAATGATCACAGTTACTATAGAGACATCATTTTTTCTTCTCTTAGGCCATGTACCATTCTTTGCCATGTAGAGTGTGAACCTCTGAAAAAGTGCAATACCCTTGCATCAACGGGGAAGCAGAGAGTAGGCTCTAGTGGTCCTTGTTTGTTTTTTTCCCGCATAATATATTAGATTTGATTTTTATTGTAGAGCCTGCATATCAGGGCTAGTGGTCCTTGTTTCCCTGTGGAACCTGGCATTCCTTGCGGGTTTAAATGCTCCACACTCACTTTCTTATGGACAATAAGGCTCACATGCTCATTTAAATTAACTTCCTGATGTAGAGCATTTAATTTGAGCATTGTCTTCCTTTGGCATTCAGGAGGGAGCTATTACAACATTTCTAAAACTAATCAGGGTTTGAATTTGCTACTCTTTTGAAATCCCACAGATGCAAATATTTATGAATTTATATAGCAGCCATCTAGTGGTCAGGCATGCCTATTTTAATTTCAGAACTCAGATAAAAATATGACTAACTTAGAATAATAAGTCTAGTGATAGTGTTTGGCATTAAAAAATATCATATAGGAAGATGAGGGTCAGGTTTAAGTGAAAAGATGTAAAGCCCTATTTTGGACATGCTGAGTTTGAGATGCCTATGGGATATTAAAGCAGAGATAGCTAAGAGTTAGCTGAATTAATGGGTCTAGACTTTAGGAGAGGCCGTTAAGGGGAAAATACTTATTTGGCTACATATTAGGATCACCTGGGGAGCTTTTAAAACCCATAATGTCCAAGCCACATCTCAGACCAATTTAATCAGAAGCTCTGGGAGTGGAGATTAGACGTAACTATTTTTTAAAGCTCTTCAGGTTGGTAAAATGTGCAACCAACATAGAGAAATAATGCCCTGGTGTGTCTGGCTAATGTTTCAACTACTGGAAAATTCAGCCAACAAATCAAAACACTTCAGGATAGAATTATTTACTTAAGCTGTGGTTCCAATATTCCCAAGAAAATGGTTTTATTTGTATGTTCCTTTTCTCACTTATTCCTATCTTATAATTCTATGAATTTTTCCAATTAAATAAAGAGGCTGCTTAAAAGTGGAAAGAACATAAACTTTCCCAGGTATATGGATCTGAGTTCAAATCCTGTCTCCTCCACTCATTAACTGTGTGGCCCTGGCTGAGATACTTAACTTCCTTGAGCCCTAACATTTTTCTTATTTGTAAAAATGGGAATAGTATTGACTTTCAGAAGACTCTAGATAAATGAGATACTTCCAATAAAACAGAAAACACAGGGCCAGCTATTTTGTAGCTGTTTAATATACTGATAATAACTGTTGAAATAAGGTACACAGTTCACATGTATAATGATAGGAGCAAATGTCTGTTATTCTGCGGATAATAGGCTTAAGGGTATCTGGTTTGGGGTCTACAGCCATGCCTGAGTAGATATACGCACTATATCTCAAGCTTCTGTCATTCACTGTCAGGGTTTAATAATATTTTCACCTTGGTTAATGTTGTGAGAAGAACGGGCTCTAAATGAGGCAGCTGGTACCCCAAGCAGAACAGCGGTGATAAGGCATAACCAAATAAGAGTGGTTCCATTTTTCTCCCCACCAAGGCCTGGCTTAGCATCTAAATTTTATTTTCCCAATTTTGTATTTATAATGCATTTTCCTTCTCTCATGGCTTTTAATGACTATTTCTTTCCCCTGGCTGCATGCACGCATGCACCCCCATTCCCAGATTCACGTGCCCATGTTCCTTAGCATAGACTCCTAAAGCTAGCCTCTATTTTTAAATCTCCTCACTCTTCCCTTCGTCTGAGTGGTATCATCTGGTTTTGCAGATATTTCACAAAACCTTGACAGGCATTAAGCCATGGAAACCACTTAGGAAAGAAGGAATATGATATATTTACATACCATTATCCAAAATGTGAGATTTCTGTAGCAAATATTGCTTATTTATGATAACAACAAAATGGAGCCACCTACTTAACCTTTCAATAAAATTGTGATTATACATAGACTTTACCAGTATTTACTTAGAAAAGAACATTATACACAAGTGAGAAAATGTCCCTCCTTTCTCTCCCACCCACTGTTCAATTCTACACACTTTATTAGTGCATTTGAAATGCATATTTTACTCAGAAGTGTGCCTAAAGCTTTCACCAAATCTGCCTTAAGGTGCACTAAAGCAGGGTCCAGCAACATTTTCATGAACAGGAAATTATACACACATAAATGCATTTGTTTCTGATATAATCTATCAGACAGGCAAAATTAAAACTGACTTTCTTTCCCTTCATTTACATAAAAAAGTCTCAAAATAATAGAATTCAGCAGGTTCTCATTTGAGGATGAGATGGAAATGGACCACACAGGACTTACCTGGCAGGAGTAGGGGGCAAGGTGGTGGCAGTGCAGCTGGGGCTTTCAGCCTACAGCAAGTGCATTAAACACAAAGCCATCTTTGGCTGTTTTTCAAGACAGAGGTAGGGGTGCTGCAGAAAGATACGGTGAACTCCTTATATGGAAAGAAGCCAGACTGAAGCAGCATGCAGAGAGAGCTGAATTAAGTGTGCAGATTAAATGAACAGCTTGCTTTACGTACATCAGTTAAGTTCAAAGCTTTCAGACCTACTGCTAATAGCAGGCTTGGTGAAGAAATAAACAGTGAACTGGTGACATGGGCCTGGCAGAAGGCAGGCAAGAACTGCACCTGCCCTCTCGCTCTCTGTTCCTCCAACCTGCATTTCTGTGGTAAGGTTTTCTCTGTATTTTGGGCTTTATCTGCAGCACCTATTCTTGAAAAAAAGAAAAGTCTTGATGTCTGTTTAGTTTGGAATCCCTAGCCAACAACAGTGGAGGGAGGGGAGTGTTCCGCACCCAGGAAAAGGAGTTAGGACAGCTGAGAATCTAACAGCACTGACTTGAACGTCAGAACCTGAAGAATGAGGGTGTCATTCCCGCCGACCTAGGCACAGAGCTCTCCACAGTCCTTAGATGCAAATGGGACCGTGCACACCAAAGAACACAGACATCATCTGGTGTCATTAGTGTTACTTTTACTGTGCTTATTATTCATGGTATCTAAAGGTGATTCTAGTCCCAGCCCAGTGAGGCTGGCAGATATATCTCTCTAAGGTCTGTATGTAGGGGAAATAGCCTTCTCCAAACTGTTACCCTCTCCAATTCAAGCCAAAGAGCGTAAACTCTCCATAATTCTTCTTAAGTAATTAAAAACTTATTTTTCAAAGTATATAGACAAAACACATTCTTCTAGAAAGTGAGAAAATACAGAAAAACATAAAGAAAAAAATTACCCACAATTCTACTCCCAAATTAATCCCTTAACATTTTTCTGTATGTTCTTCTCAAGAGATTTCTTGAGTCTCAATCTCTTAATAAAACTGGATTTTATTACAACTTATGAGGTAGTCATCGACAACTGAAATCTACAGAGAAAATGCTTACAATTTACATAGAGAGTATTTCTTTGCCGTGGAAATCGTAAGGAACTCCGTGGTCAGGTTCAGAAAGGAAGCCAGCCTAGCGGCAGCTCCACGCAAAACTATTTTCAGCTCTGAGCTCCCGGGGCTTCCCATGGGGCAGGTGTGTATCATCCGGAGATGTGTGGGGCTCAGGCCTGTTGCCCAATGCGTGCTGTTGTGGGGCTGCCAGTAGTGGCCACTCATTTCACCTTTAAGATCTGAGAAGGAGTCTAGTTTCCAAGACATCGAATCTTGAAATGATGCATTGAACTTTCTGGCCCTGGTCGTCTTATCTCGGAGCCTCTTGTGCTCCTTTCAACTGGCCGCGGATATCCTTAGGAAGCCCGATGCCTTTCTACTTCTGGACGCGCTGGGCAGATGCGGCACATGTACCGCAGTAGGAACTTTCCTATGCGGGGGGCTGGCGGGGGGTGAGGGGGCGTATAAAAGAAACTTAATTGTGCTCACTTCTCACACATAAGTAGATTTTTTTTTTTGACAAACTGAATCATGTTCTTTACTTCCTAGATTGGGTCTGTTCCCTTTTTCCCCTACTTTGCGGTGGAGCCAGCTGGGCTCAGTGTCTCAGGCAAGCCGTGCGGTCCGAAAGAAAATAAAAATAACCTGCACATTTTCCTGAACTTTGTTTTCCAAAGCTCAAACATTTGGGATAATTTAGAGAATTCATAGAGATATACACAGAGCATGGAAGAACCAGGGCAGGAGAAGAGCTGAGACAAGCCACATTCTCCTGGGCTGTGCTGAAGGGGCGGGGAGGAGAGGCCAAGGAAAGAGAGTGGGAGGGAACTGTGCGTCCCTCCTGTCTGTCTGGAGTCGCCTGTTCCACCACAGGCAGCCCCCCACCAAGATTGCACCTATAAGTGTGCCACTGGGGAAAAGGATGATGGACCAGCCAGCTGCCTCCAATGCATCCCTAAACGCTGGACTCAAGAACTATAGCCAAATTTGAAGGTAGGGGTGGTGGAGTTTCAAAACCCCAGGAAGGGCTGAGGTTCAGGTCTGGGAGAATGACTCAGAGTGAGAAACTGGCTTAATGAACAATGAAACTGTGTTTACTGCTCTCCTGAGTTGTGGATTAATATCATACTTGTATTACTTTCCTATTGCTGCTGTTCCAAATAACAATAAAGACCTTGAAATGTTGCAAGTCTATTATCTTACAGTTCTGTAGGTCTAAAAGTCTGACAGAAGCTTCACTGGGCAAACATCAGTGTGTCCTTAGCAGGGCCAAGTTCCTTTCTGGAGGCTCTAGGAGAAAATCTGTTTCTTTGCAATTTCCAGCATCTAGAAGCTTCACAAATTTCTTACCTCTGGGTTCCCTTCTATCTTCAAAGCCAGCAATGGCTGGCTTCCTCGTATTGCAGCACTCTGAAACTGATTATTCTACATCATTTCCCCTGCTTCACGGACCCTTGTGATCATATTAGATTTACCTGAATAATCCAGGGTAATCTATTTTGAAGTCAGTTGATCTATTTTGAAGTCAGCTGATTAGCAACTGTAATTCCATCTGCAACCTTAATCCCCCTTTTCAAATAACATAACACATTCACAGGTCCTAGAGATTAGGATGTGAACACCTTGTGTGGAGGCATTATTTTGCCTACCACAAACTCAATTACACACTGGACCAACAGCAACAGCATCACTTGGGATCTTGTTAGAAATGTGAGTTCTCTAGCCACCTCTCATACCTACTGAATCAGCATCTTCACTGAACAAGATCCTTAGGTGATTGATTCCTATGCACTGATTCAGAACATTCCAAATAGTAGAAGCTTGAATATTTGTACAGAGGTAATATGCAAAGAAGTAGGGCAAATTTTTACCAAAAGAAAAATAGGCTCAGAGAGGTTAAATAATTTAGCAAAATCACTTAGTGCAGGGGTTGCCAATCTGTCCTGCACATTATAATTAGCTGGGGATCTTGAGGAGCTTTAAGAACTCCCAAGGGCCAGGCTGCATCCCAGACCAATGAAGTCAGATTTTATGGGGGGTGGGACACCCACATCAGTTGCTTTTAAAATGCCGTAGACGTTTCCATCGTGCAGATAATTTTGAAAGTATGGGTTCTAGAAGACTTCAATGATGAAGAGAACCTAAATCCTAGGTTTTCAGAATGACCAATTGTCTGGGTTTGGTCAGGAATGTTCTGGTTTTAAAACTATAAAATGCTGTGTCTTAGAAATTTCCCTCAGTCCTGTGCAAACTGGGACAGTTAGGCACCCTTGTTCCCAGGTGTAAAATCCAGCCTACCACAACTGCTGCATGATGTTGAGTTTAGCTTTTCATCCTTACCTTCTCCACTGCTTTCCTGTGGGATACACACCAGACACATGGATAAGCCATAAGGAGACAATGCTTTGACTGTGTGGGTGAGATAGATAATGCCGTGCTTTCCTTTAGATCTGAGGTCTGCTCTTAGACCTGCATCTCACACAGCCTATGGAAGTATGCTAATGATCCTGAAAAGCTCATTGACTCTTTTCAAGCATGGTGATGAGGTCGTGGGAAGAAGAGCAAAGGTAGATGATTTCTCTTTCTTTACACTTACCCTTTAGTCTTTTTGACTCCTCCCTCCCTTCCAGCATTCCCTACTTAGGAAACATATTTGGTAATAAGAGCAAGATCATTTATTGGTTATTAGTTGGCTTGTAACACATTTTTTTCTTTAATGAAAAAGCAGCAATACATGTAAACCGAGTGATATGGCTTGGCTGTGTTCCCAAATCTCATCTTGATTTGTAGCTTCCACAATTTCCACGTGTCATAGGAGGGACCCATAGGAGGTAAAGATCCATGGGCGTGGATCTTTCCCATGTTGTTCTTGTGATAATGAATATGTCTCACAAGATCTGATGGTTTTACAAAGGGGAGTTCTGACTTTGCTTCTCATTCGTCTTCCGCCATGATTGTGAGGCCTTCCCAGCCATGTGGAACTGTGAGTCAATTAAACCTCTTTCCTTTATAAATTACCCAGTCTCAGGTATGTATTAGCAGCATGAGAACAGACTAATACACCCAGGGTCTCCAAAATGAAAATGTGGAGGACTATATATTATATTCCTCACTTTTCATTGGGTGAGGCTTTCTGACCCATTTATTTTTAAGCCATGTTTTCAAACAGGAGAGGGGAAGGTGGGCCTTCAACCAATCAAGAATATCACTCTGGATTCTATGCATCCTTCATCCCTTATCTCAGGATGAGAACCAGGCACAATATACCAGGGCTGCTAATAAAAGTGCCTTCCCATATGCTCACCCACAGATTCCTGGCTCACAACAGAATATAGTTACCATTTCAACTTCTGGGTCTCCCAACGGACTTTTATATGGTTATAGGGGCAGGAAAATGCTTGTTTACCATGAAACAATTTAAGTCAGCCAACATTTAAGTCAAAAACAATAACTTCTCAAGGTTCCTGGTTTGCTTAGGAAATCTTAAAAACAATGTTGTTTGTGGATAAAGGGGAAGGAAAGAAGAAGGGAGAATGTTTGATGTTTAATACCTCAGTGCATTCTCAGGTCACGACTGGCCATGTGCCCAAAACTGCCTGTAGGATAAGCACCTTCATGGGATCCAAGCTTATTAGTGCATTTACTTTAAAAGTATTTGATCCAGAGCAAGTACTATATGGAAAATACTTGGTCTTTGCTCCCTCGGTGCAAAGTGAGACAACTACTTAAAATACAAATAATGGTTTTCTGTGTCATGTCCCCTTCAGCAGAAACACAAATTACTTACCTAGAATATATCCTAATAAAAGATTATAATTCTTTGGAAGAAAATACAATCTATTTTTGGTTTACCAGTTACAGAGGAAAAGCTTTCTGTTCTAAATGATACACACATGTTGTCTTTATTCCTGCACTTCAGATATTCATTATTTTGAATGATTGAAATGTCAATTTAAATTTTCTCACCATACATGAATAAGAAAATAAACGTTTTACTCAGCTGAGCTTGATGTAAAGATATCTTTTAGCCTTTAATCTAAAAAAATGTCCCTTGATCAGTATCTCATGGGGCATTTTCTTTATGATTGGGGAGCATTTGTGCTTTATAAGCGTATATTTATGTGGGTTGAGCTCTCACTAAATTAACTCCTAGCAAAGGGAGGATGGAATAAGGTTAGGAAAACACATTCAGACCTGCCAGTACTATATTAATGACAAAAATATATCCAAAGCAAAAAGGAAGAGTTATGAAAATGCAGTGTTACAGATCTGCATTCCACATCTCTCGGAAATCAAAAGGGGTTACATGGTAGTCTCCTACCAGGAAAGAATAGAAGCAATTAAAAAAAAAATAACATTATGGGACATAGTACAATCAAAGGCTGTGAAAATGAAAAGCCTTCATATTTTAAATCTGAAAGGTAAATGTGGTCCTAGATCCTGGCTCTTGAGAAATTATTCTTATCCTATCTTTTTTTCAGGTGGCAAAGGCTGTTAAGTGCTTTCTGGGTATAAAGCTAATATTCCTACTGAAGTGCTGACTGATTCATACCTTTGCATGACTTATGTTCCAACAATTCTGTAGAATTCTCAAATACAGTGTACTTTAGAAATGCAAAGTTTTAACACTATTATCATTGAAATTATTTCTGAGCAGAAAAAAATGCTTAATTTTCATGTTTCGGCTGATTTAGAAAAAAGTAACTCATTAGCAGTCACTAAAAAGGAATCCTGTGCATTATGTTTAAGTATAGGAATAAATATTTAACATTTACTGTCAAAGATGAGTAATTATATATATAATGGTGGGCATAATGAGTATTCACATTTGGAGATACTACTTAAATACTGTGTACAAGGTGTTAAAGCATGCGGTGAGAAATTCTGGAGGACAACCTAAGAGAAAAGATTTGGTTTAAGGCTCTTAGAGGAAGTAGGGGGGCATGTAGATTTTTGACGGGAGTTTAAGGCATCATACCATGTCATGTAACACACAAGCATGTAGAGAGAGAAAGCTCACTTATGTCAAGGATGCTTTCTCTTCCAAGCCTCGCCTGCTTAACCTGTTGAAGTCTGAACCTGTGGTATACCAGTAGACAAGTGCCAATGTATTCCGCTTCCCATTCATTCATTCATTCTTTCTCTCTCCAAAGCTTTATTGACCTTACATCTTTTAGTCATGGGGATAAGGGGTAAAAGAGGATGCAAATACACGTAAAACACAGTTTTACTCAGAGGACTTTCAGGCTGGAGCAGTTGATAAGATATGCACTCAAAAGATAGTGAAAAGTATTACAAAAATTTTTAAAAAGTAAAATGTGGTAGAGATTCGGTAGAAGGGAGAATCAAAAAAAAATTTATGTAGAATATAAAATCTAAGCTTGACCTTGAAAAATGAGTAAAATGAGACATACAGAGATGAAAGTCAGGGACTGGGGTAGTGGAGAGGGAGGAGGAAGTTGGAAGAGTACATTCTGGTTTGGTTCAGGGTGGGATGGAGAACTAGAGTGAAGCCCAGTGGCCCAGATAAAGAGAGAGAAGAGATACAGTGTAGGTTGAGTCCAGATTATAGGGAGCTCTACATGCTAAGGGTTTAAACCTAATTGTATAGGTACCAGGGAGCCACTGGTAGATTCTGCGCAGGCTGATGATGTGAAACATGAACAAAAGAGTAATCTAAGAAGATTAACATAGAGTTTCCATCCCAACCCTACTTTTTTTTTTCAACTAAGAATTAAGCCTTAATGCTTTCAAAGTATATATTTTACATAATAAATTAACTTGTTCCCTGTGCATCTAGAATGGTGCTACTGTAGTTAGGAACCATGCTTAGGAGAACTAAGAAAATAGTTACTTAAGTCATATTCAGATGAAGAACTCTGGTTAAGAAAGGAAATGCTCAGAAATACAGAAGCCAAATTAGAAGACTTTTACAAGTTTTAATAAAAGAAACTAAAGTAATAGTAGGGAAATACATATACAAGTATTAATTTTAACCAATCATATCTACCTAGCAGCAGATCATTCTCTCACCCAAAGGTTATATGCAAACATGAAATCCTAGAGGGCCATACTGTGTGGAGTCAGGTGGGACACTGATGAGCATCTATGAGTATTTTTGCTGGAGGTCTTAACTTTTTTTTTATTTGACTGATTTCCCATTTATTCATTCATTTTTAGAGGGGTTTCTTCTTGCCTTGAGAAATGATGCAGTTCTAGTTACTATTCAGAGATAGGGCTAGAGTCTAATTCAGGAAAAACAAAACACATATGGAATCCTAGACAGAAGCAAAGAGGATCTGAATGAAATTATAGCTGGTACATAGTTACAGACTACAAGATAGGTAATTAATAATAAAATACTAAATATATCATAGTAGTCACAAGTTCTTTACAATGGAGAAAGAAATTGTGACTACTATGATATATTTAATATTTTTTATTAGCCCCATCATTAAGGAAGAAGCCATACTTCCTTCAAAGGAGGGTTTGAAAACCTCCACCTAAGATCTCAGGATATTCCAGAACACTGATTATGCCAGCAACAAGTTGGCCACAAAGGGTCGTGAAACAGACATAGGCTCACCCTGTCTAGGGAGACAGAGTGGCAGCATCACACAGCCACAGTCTGAATTTTGCTGAATGCATTGTAAGCACTCAGTTCATAAGGTAATACCTGGAGCCAGTGCATAAGCAAATGACAAAACTTAGGTACTAAGGTCCCTGGAGTAAGAAACAAGATATCTAGACTTAGATGATTTGGGGACAAAGACTGCATGTAAGTTAGAAAGAAGGATCCAGACCAATATTTTTCTTTAGAAAGGAGAACCAGAAGAGATATTGGTAACCAAGGAGTGCTTTTAATAATTTGTTATACTTAAATACATAAACTATTAAGCCCCGGGCCACTCCTATTATCTTTCAGCGTTGCGAGGCACAATGCTTTGATTTTCAGGAAACCAAATTTAGAAGCTTTGTAAAAATTATTCACTCTAAAAATTCATTCTCCCTCCAGGAGAGGGGATGTCTCATTTAATTGGAGCTCATACTTCCACTTCTGCAGTCTCATCTTTTTGGAGTCTACAGGCCTTACCAATACAGGCCTTGCTATTTGACCACTGTTGCTGTGCCACCCACAATTTGCTGCCAATAGCATGCCCACGACACTGCTAACCTCTTTTATTCCTCTGCCCTCCAATGCTTTTCAGTTTTAGACCAGTAGGAAATACCTTTCTGATGTTCATGACCATCATGAAGATGGGGTCCCTGTGCCCGAAGCTTTTGGGCCAACTAACACAGTCCTTTCCATTTTTCCACAGCATCTCCCTTCCTCTGTGCAAAATGCTCCCAGGTGAGCCTCTTTAGATATTTGACCCTAACTGTGGATTAGGCTCAAGTTTTTGTCCACATTGCTTGCTGGCACTATATATCTCAAGAAATGTGGCTAAGTACCTTTTTTAGTGTTTCCCAAATGTTTTATAACCCTTCAATTCTCCCAAACACATTGTATAATTAGGAAGCTGGATAGCCCAGTACACAAAGACCATCTACCAGTGTTCAGTTCTGGCTCCTCTAATATCCCTTTAAAATCTTATATCGTAAAGGCTGGGAAGAGTGGTTCATGTCTGTAATCCTAGCAGTTTGGGAGGCCAAGATGGGAGGATATCCTGAAGCCAGGAGTTCAAGACCAGCCTAGGCAACATGATAAGGCCCCATCTCTACAACGAAATTTTAAAAAATAAGCTGAGTGTTGTGGTGAGTGCCTGTAGTCCTAGCTACTTGGAAGACTGTGACAGGAGGATCCCTTGAGCCCTAGAGTTTGAAGTTATAGTGAGCCATGACTGTGCCACTGCACTCCTGCCTGGGCAACAGAGTGAGCCACTGCCTGAAAAAAATCATATATATATACATAAAATCATATATATATATAAATCATATTTTATATATATATAAATTATATATGTATATATTTCCAACCATCTATAATGAGTTCATTCTTGAAAAGTCTACAAGTTCCTTTTTTGGAGTTGTTACAGATACTTAGAGCTGACAGTTAAGACAGTCAGGGGTGAAAAGCCAGAGTGAGAACTTGGATGGGATCAGTTTGTTGCTGTGATTCTGTCTTGTTGGCACTAGACTGGACTCTCCTTTTTGAGGCTGACATTATGAGTGTTCAGCTCTGGGCTGCCGGTAGTTGAAGAGGTTTCTCTAAAAAGAGTAACATGAATCTTACCATAAGTGAGTTAGCAGAGACAGAATGAACGTGGCTTACTAAGTGATTGTTGATGGGATATATAAGCTGTCAAAGATGACTTTGTGTTTTTAATCCTGTCCCACTTGGAGAATGACGCTATTATTAATTGAGCAAGGAAAGAGAGAAGTTGCAGTAGGCTTAGAAGTGAAGGTGATTCAGTTTTTGACATGCTGAATTAGAGATTCTTGTGGGTCATCTGAGTGGAAATGGCAAGAGTCAGTCAGATACAGTGCACATGGAAGAGGAGTCTAAACTTAAGACATATATGTGGGACTCATTTACATAGGCATGATAGATGAGGCCATGGCATAAATAATTTTAATTCACTACCTTCACACTCCATTTGGGTATGAGAGGTAGAGAAGCTGGTAAGCAAAATAGTGTTCTTGGCATATCTAATTCAATGATGGGCTCATTCCTAATGCTTCATGATAAGTAGGACAAGAAAAGCAAGGAAGTCTGAAATTACTAGGCAGTGCCAGAACCCATTCTATCCTTTATCCACTGTTTCAACTCATGCAGCACTGGATTAGTTGAGATTCACAGCTTTTCCCTGCCTTTGTTCCCTTTCTTATTGGGCATGGGCATGACTCTACATAAGATGAAGTGGAAGAAACAACCAGCTCCCAGATAACCAACAAAATGGTTCCTCTCTTTTAGGAGGCTCTAAAGGATTTTAAGATTGACAATTTGTAAAACTGATTAGACCAAGAGGTTAAAATCCTAGAAAACCCTGCCTCTTGTTGAAATGTAGCTGAGGATTTATTGTAAGATTCTATATAATCTTCAGAGAAAAATCTGCTAACTTGGCTAATGAAGAGTGCTGCTTTTGATAATGTTTCCTCCTAAATCCAATGATATTTAGAGCTAAAAACTCCTATAGGACAAATGATAAAACTCTGAAGTACAGAAAAATGATGGGTTAAGTTTTTTTCCAAAAATAAAAATATAGTGTTCTAATTTCCATTATAGTGATACATGTATTCATCAAACATCAAATGAGCACCCACAATGTACAAGCTTTGAACAGGACTCAGGGATTACAAATCTGGTCAGTAGAACTGTATACAAAACATGTTCTTTGGAATACTATGCAGCCATAAAAAGGGATGAGTTCATGTCCTTTGCAGGGACATGGATGAAGCTGGAAATCATCATTCTCAGAAAACTATCGCAAGGACAAAAAACCAAACACCACATGTTCTCACTTAGAGGTGGGAATTGAACAATGAGAACCTTGGACACAGGAAGGGGAACATCACACACCAGGGCTTGTCATGGGGTGGGGGGAGGGGAGAAGGATAGCATTCGGAGATATACCTAATGTAAATAACGAGTTAATGGGTACAGCACACCAACATGGCTCATGTATACATATGTAACAAACCTGCACGTTGTGCACATGTACCCTATAACTTAAAGTACAAAAAAAAAAAAAAAAACATGGTCTTTCCTTTCAAGAAATTCCCAGTCTTATGGGAGATATAGACATATAAAATTATCTATAACTAAATGTGCCAAGATGTTATAGTGCTATATGAACTGCTATGGACATTAATCCTAAGGGATTTGGTAAAGCTTCTTAAAAAAAGTAATATTTGAGGTGGATCTTGATGCTCAAAGAAGGTTTTTGAAGTGACCAAGGCAGGACTAGGCGTTCTAGAACACAGAACACCCTGGCATACACACAGAGCTTGGAAGCAAATTGTTTGAAGAAAGAAGGAAGTTTGGTGCATAGCATACAGTGAGTTGCAGGAGGGATTGAAGGAGAGAACTGAAAAGGCCAGAGCTGGCTTGGGCAAACTTGGACTTTCTCCTGGATGCAAGCAGTAGGAATCCAGTGAAGAGAGGAAAGCTGTGTCAAAAGTGCCAGTGAGAAGTGACAAGGATAGGGATTGCAAAGAGAATATGCTGAACTTTTCTGAGGTAGAACTACTAAGACCCAAACCTAAAGTTGAGGTTATCCTCAGGTTTCTATTTTGGAAGACTCAGTAGCATAGCTGAGAATCCTAGTAGTGTCCAATATTCTTATTTCTTCTTTTCTTTCTGAACATAGAGCTAAACTTGATTTCCCAAACTTTTGCAATTAGTTGGGATTATGTATCTGAGTTTTGCTCAATAGAATGTGGGCAGA
Source organism: Homo sapiens (assembly GCF_000001405.40). Taxonomy (NCBI): domain Eukaryota; kingdom Metazoa; phylum Chordata; class Mammalia; order Primates; family Hominidae; genus Homo; species Homo sapiens. Next base: position 58,776,902 of record NC_000005.10, on the reverse strand, counting down.
AGTTATATACATACTGCTTCTGGCCCTATTCATTCTCTCTTCCCCATCTGCACTAAACTTCCGGGTAAGGTATTGACAATGGCCACATCACAGGATGGAAGGAATTTGACCCTAAAATGTGTATAGAGCGGAACCTCCCCAACCCCTGTGGGACTGCAATGGACTGTGATATCCAGTGGAGTGGGAGCAAGCAGTCAGGTTTTATTGTGCTAAGCCATTAAGATTTGTGGTTTATCTGTTTAAGCAGCGCGGGTTACTACTGTGAGCAATATCGCAGAGAAAAAAGGGGAGTGGTATAAATAAGATGGAAGATTAAGAAGAAAATAATAGGCTTAGTTTTATCTATGTTGAATTTGAGGTAAAACAGGGGCACCCAGGTGGTCAAGAGATCATTAGAAAAAGGAGTTTGAAGCTTAACAAACAGGCTAAGACTAGCTTTGTTGTAAGACCTCGGAATGGAGATATTATTTGAAGTTAAAAAAGTAAAAGAACCACCCTTGATGCATAGGCTCAGATGAGAACATAAAGGCAGAACTCTGGGGGAAACACCAATATTTAAGGTGTAGAAAGAAGAAGTTTCATCAAAAGAGTTTGGAAAAGAGTGGTATGTGGGGGTAGCGGGGAGGGAAAGGTGGGTGGAGGAAAAATCCAATTTATGATCTAGAAAATTGAGGCATGAGGAAGTTGTATGACATCCTTAAGCTTAGAATGTCTATTAAGCAAGTCAGCAGGGATTTGAATCTGGACCTATCTGCTCCAGGAAACTAGAAATGACCTAAACAGTGGCTGAGAGAGTGAGTTCCTGCAGAGAGAACCAGGAAGGAATCTGGTATGTCTGGTGAGAGGTGGAGTGAGCAGAAGAAAAGTGTGGTAGATTCACAGCCAGGGAGTGATGGGCCAAAAGGTCAGTATGTGATTGAAAATGCAAGTTTGTGGGACAGGCAACAGGAACTCAAAAAGAAAATGTGAGCAATAGAATGTCAAAACCTAGAGTTGCCTGCAGGAGTGTAAGGCTGAGAATTGGGGAAATGATGAGTAACACTTACCATCAGCATATCCACAGCATTTACAGAGCACCAGACCGAAGCCCGGAGGCTTCACCACTGCACTTAGCAATTCCTCTGTGAGGATTTGAAAACTGGTGGTCTGCAGTTTTATATGACTCACAGACAGGTTCTATTTGGTCTATAGGTATTTTAAAAAAAAATTTAGTTATCAATTTTTACAAATGGAGAAACTTCACTAAAACTTCAGATTTCAGGATTCTTTTGAAAAATTCCAAAGCCTGGCTACCCTGAGCCACTTTTTCACCTGGTACGTATCATGTGTAAGTGAGAAGCATTTACCACCTTAGAGGGGTCATCCCATTTCCATCCACCTTCACTCACGCCCATTACCTGTCAGCCTTTGTCAGATTTCAGTCTGCAAACCCTGCTTGAAGGAAATTAGAAAGGGAAATTCAAGTCTCTGTGGCTGTCATGATTTCATTAAACCTGCCAGGTGGGATCTTCTTACGTGGTGTTACTTTTATAGGTCAAGACACAGTTGGGCTTGCTTTGGCCCTGAGGTTTTATAAAGGAGCCTCAGATACTGAAGAGAAGCCCCTGGGTTTGACATTTGGTACTTAGGTCATTTGTGATCTCAGCCAAGAGTATTTTCAGAAGAGCACTGGGGGCATGAACCAGATGGGACTAGATGAGGACAGAAAGTATGGAGGCGATGAGTGAAACAGTCCTTTTGACAAATGTGGTGGCAAATGAGGATGCAATCGTGCACAGCACTTCTCTCTCAGATGATTGCAATCACTTCCTAACCAGGGTTCCCACTTCTTCCTCCACCCCACTCTACTCAATTCATAACACAGAAGCTGGAGGGATCCTCTTAAATATATTGGACCATGCCACTCCTCTACTCAAAACCTTCCCACCAGCTTCCCATTTTCCCCAGAGCAAAAGCCAAAGTCCTTAGTCACGATGCTTCACAAGGCCCTCAAGATCTGGTCCCCTGACCTGTATCCTACTAAAGTTCCACCTCTCGCTCAGCTCCTGCCACACAGTCTCCTTTGCTTCTTGATTTGTGCTAAGGACACTCTGCCCTGACACAGGACGTTCACATGGCTGTTTCCTCTGCTTTGAATGCAGAGTCTTCACTTGGCTTCTTTACCTCCTTCATATCATGGCTTGAATGTCACCTATATCTAGCTGCTTTATTTAAAGTAGCATCCCTACTCCCTCTCCCTCCCTAGTAGACTCTGCCCCCATTCCCTGTTTGTATTTTTTCTAAGAAATTTATAAACATCTATTTTAAATTCATTTATTTGTATCCCTCATTACCTTATTATCTGCATCCACCCACCTCCATTAAAGGGCAGATGTTCTATATGTTTTTCCCCACTAATATCTCTGTAGTGCTAGAAACAGTGCCTGGCACATAAAAGTTGCTCAGGACATACTAGTTGTAGGAGACAGAGACAGAGACTTAAGCATGTTTGTGGGCTAAAAGGTAGAAGATGGAAAGAGAGGTACAGAAGAAAGGGTATATAAATGATCCCAGAGGAGAGGGGAGCAGATATTAATAGAATCAAGAGCTTAGGTGGAAGCACTGGCCTTGGAAAGGCAGAGAATTCTCCCTCCCTCCCAGGTATGTGTACAGGAAGCAAGGATAGATCTGATACCAGGTAAGAGAGAAAGAGAAACTGGTGCTTACCAGTTACATTCATGAGTGAATTAATTTATTCATTCATTGATCCATTTCAACATACTATGTCTCAGGTGCTACACTAGGGAGTAGGGGTACAGAGTTGATGCCCTCTATTTTCTCAGTGATGTCAGAGCAAGGCCAGTAGCTGAGAATGCAAAGGGAGGAGAGCTCCAGGAAGCATGTGAAGAGTGTAGAGTTTGGAACAGCTGCTCTGGGCACTGTTAATGGAAGGTAGTTAGGACACGTGAAAAGACTGCTGAGCAGCATGGAGAGCCCAGCTGAGGTTGTCCTGGTGCCAGCTGGCAGAGGTATCCGATTTTCTCCAGCAGCATTTGCAACTTGGGAGCAGAAGCAGAAAAAAAGCAGATGGTTGGAATAAATTGGTCCTGGGAATTGCTAGAAGAGGATGTTGTAGGGGGACTAGGGAGTGATGGGATCAACTGATCAGCCCCTAAACCTAATGGTTCACTGCGTCTTCATCTTGATGCTGTTCACTTGATTTTGAGGAATGCCACTGATTGACAGCTGTGCCTCCTTTCCCCCAGAGCTCTTGAATCAGTACCAGCCTCAATCAAGGTACCCAGTGTGAACTGCTGCACAAACTCTGAATAACCAAAATGTTGGTATTTACTCATTAGAGCTCTTCTGACTCCTCACAAATTATTCAAGGGGAGTAGCCACCTACTTTCCACACAAACACACCTTGAAAGCTGACTCTTTGCTATCCGTTAGACATTTCTGGCCCACTCCTTGGTGAATTCTTACTTATTTTCCTTCTGAAACAGGTAGTTGCAGTCCTATGATGGGGAGTGACTTGAATGCTATTCCAAGTTCATTTAGGACAGTCCCTTATTTGGGTTCTCAGAAACATGCTTTTACTAATAGGGGTTCTTCCTTGCACCTCTTTCTGTGTATGAGTCTCTGCTGCCTTAACAATGAATACTAAGTAGGAGCAGTATGTACTCCATTCTAAGCCACATCTATAGTGGTTAGTCCCCTGGCCCTAGGCTTATAACTTGCCTTTATCTCTTCATGTGACTGGTTTACAAAATGCCACTAAGCTGAGCTAGGTTGGCTTATCCCACTGTTGGCCTAGCCCTCTTAGGACTTTATCTGAAATCTTTATGACTACTTTCCCAGATACATAGTGTGTGTCTATTGCTCTCCTGGGAGAATCTATGTAGGCTTCTAGGTCAGGTTGGTCAGACGATGCATGAAAAGCATAAAATGCCTGCTTCTTTTGGGTTGTTCTTCCTTCCTACCTAAAACCTGACACTTTCACCCTTGGCTTCATGGTCCTGTGAATGCAACATGATTTTTCTTTGTTACTGAAAAAGATTTTACTTCTCCACTCTTATGATTCTCTATACAATAGACCTATAATTTCCTTACCTGATATATAATCTTTAAGCAATTTAAGATTTTTGGCATATGAATGCTGAAAATTAGAAGAATGCAAAGATTTAGATTATTATGCTGAAATGCAGTCATCTGGAATAGTTAGAAATTTAGAATTCAAGGAAATAAGTTGAAGTGTGCTTTCATGGGATGCCCAGAAATAAGATAAAAATCAAAAGACAAGCACGATGAGCCTTCTCTCTCGTCTTCTTTGTTCTCATGACAATGAAAAGATTTATTCAACCTTGGAGAACATTCTCCAGGGACTTGGCTAAGGCTGTCCACCTCTGTCCATAGTGGTCTGAGAGAGCTGCTGCATCACTGTGGTGCATTAGTCTTTCTTCCCTGAAGTCCTTTCTTAACACACAGACTATTTCCAGTATTGATTTTCTGCCCTTCTATTCTAATGGAGAGACTCACTTAAAGAACAATAATCTCACAAATGTTCACCCTACCAGGATCTCCAAACACCCCATCCCATGTGACTTTATTTTAATACCATCATCAGGTTCATAGTCTTGAAGCACTACATTGGTCCTGTCAGTCCCTTGCTGAAAAACCTTCACTAGTTCCCTATTGTTAACCAAGTACAGTCAATTCTCCTGGTTCTGCCATTCAAGACTGCACTTATCAAGCCTCTGCTCACATCCATGTCGCATTAGCCCATGCATTTCATATAGCCAAGCCCAGAGTCAGCTTGAGAGGACTATAGAAGTGTATGGATACCTAGAGGTGTGCTTTTATTGGGAGTTACCAGTGCAACCACCTAGCATATTTCTGCTTTACTCAGTAGTATTTCAACGTTGCTCTTTTCTATTTCCATTTTATACACTTTGAGTTTACCAAGCCTTCTCTTATCTCTTGGTGCTAACAAATGAGATTGTAGTGCTTAGCCTTGAGAGGTGGACTTTGCCATTAACCTCTGCCAGGAAAAAGAATCTCAAAAAAAAAAAAAGAAAAAGAAAAAGAAAAAAGAAAGAAAAAAAAAGATGTTTTCACTTCTGCAAAAACAGATATTCAGATTTTATTTTGTAAAGAAAAATTTTGAACTTGAGACATTCACAACAGTCTAGATCTTAACTCTGGAGACTTGTGTAACTATAACCATTCTTTTCTGATTTCTGCTACTTTAAAACTTGTCCTTGCAACTGTTACAAAAAAGTTATTGACAATACCTAGACTCTGAAAATTATTGCTATGTCCTAAAAATTTTAACTTTTAACTTCTGAAACTTTAAATGTCTAATTGCTTCTCTTGCCTATTAATTTGTTGCTAAATAATACAAAATTTATAAATATATGTGAGTTTTTTAAGCAACCTAGAAAACAAGCTTCTTGAATTTTCCATTTTTCCTTTCATGCATTAAAGTACAATAAGCCCATGATTTTGATGGATTCTTTATGTTAACTAAGAGTTTAAAGAGGTTTTTTTAATCTCATTTAAATTACTAGTATTTAGCTAAATACTTATTCCTTGACAAAACAGAATCTCTTTTAAAGCAGGACTTCTTACATATGTATACCCATATTTATATAAATTATTTATTCATATTCTTCATCATAATTATTCATCTGGTATCTAGCATTGTCCCTTCTCCAACAAGCAATTGCTAAGTAAAATTTTAGGTAGCTTACTCATGGTTTTCCTACTTCTAAAGACATTTGTTCATTGTCTAATTGATCTTGGTAGAGCAGGAGCTGGTGATGCTAAAGTTGGGCGTTTGGCCTCTATATGTTCAGATATAATAGGGAAACATTTATTGCTCTATGGGCCAAATTACAAATATAGTGAAGCATTCTTAGTCTTTTCTGAAACACTTGAAGTATTCTTTAAATATTTTTAAACCATTCTTATTTAATTCAAAAGTGTAAATTTATTAAGTATTCTGTAATGTACATGTTTTTACGTGTGTGAGTATATATGAGTGTGTGTTTCAGAATCCAATCTCTTCCTATTGAGTTTTGTCCTGTTTCCTGTGAATTTTATGTAAATAAGAAGGTATAAAATAACACATGTAAAGTAAAAAAGATTATGACTAATTATGATAATTAATATTAATTATTGGCCCAGACTGTGTTGTTTGGTAAAATTCATGTTAGCCCTTCAAATTTCACTTCCTGTTTTAGGTTTAAAGAGATCCCAAGGTTTTTAAAGAAGGCAAAGTATAACAAGATGCCATTTATTAAACATATTTTCTTATAACAAGTTCAGGGAAGTTTATATTTTAGAAACTCTCAAAAATAAGAAACATAGAGGGGAAAAATTAGACCAAACTATAACAAGATGCTAGACATTAGAGACATTTTCTTATAACAGGTTCTTGGAAGTTTATCTTTTAGAAACTCTCAAAGATAAGAAGCATCTGAGGGGAAGAGGTAGGCCATCTCAAGGAAAACCCGAACTGGACTCAGGCTTGCATCAAGCCTGAAAAACCATATTTCCCCGTTGCATTTTGTCAGTCGTCCAGAATGAACACTATTTCAAGCTGTTTCAGTGATTATTCAGTTTCTCTGCCAATATCATTTCTGGGTTATAGATAGTAACTCCTTTTCTACTCTAGTTGAGAAAATGATGTGGATAACCCATTAGCAGGAGAGAATACCTAACAACCTGCTGTACTGCAACATCACTGAGCCATTCATAAAGTAAGAAAGAGGGTGGTTCATTAATTAAGCATCCTACTCTCACCCTGGGGCAGAACATATTAATAATTACCCTCCTTATTCTTTAATAATACTATTCTGTATTGAAGTGAATAATTAAATTACATAGAAACAACCCAGCAAAGATAATTACAATGATCATGATGGAATGGATTGCAGCACCATTGTCTGGACTACACTTTTCTAAACCAGATGCAACTAGATTTATTCCCATGGAATGTGATTTTAAGGTTTAGGAACGTTTTCGCATGTGACTTAGTTACTGTTTTTCAGTAACACTCTTCAGAGCTTCATATTTTATCAGAAAGAATCTGATCAAAATACTGTATATTGCCAATATTCCCTGGTGTAGAATATTAAATGTAAATTTATATCTTGAAGAATCTTGCAGATGATTACATTTCTCTTAAAGAAACATGCATAAACTATTTCACCTCCTGGTAGCAGTTATATATGAGGATGCAGTTGAATAGCAGGTTCATAAAATCAGAAAGACATGAAAAGTCCAAATCTAATAAAATTATACACTAAAAGACTGTCAGAATTTCAGAACTTTCCTCAGATCAAGTCAAACTCTGTCAGTGCTTCTATTCTTTTGTTAAAGATATGGTTGTCAGGATTCTCTTTATTTTTTCAAGCAGATGTAACGTTCCCAGTATCATCTACTGTCCCAGAGAAGGACATAACATAAGGAAAGAACAAACACATGTTCAGTGCACACTGCCCCATTACCCAAGTCTATGCTAAGAAGGAAGCACCAATGTACACATACTTTAATACTTTAATGCCAATGACTCCTTGCATCCTATCTTTAACTCTCTCTCTTTCCTGAACTACATACTCAAATATCTAACTGCCAACTCAAATATCTGCTTGGACATCCAATGGAAATTTCAAATGTGAGCTGTCCAGGATATACCCTGCACACTGCTATCTCTACCTTCACCCCTGGACTCTTCCTGCCATCCAAAGCTGCTCCTCCCTCAGTTACTGCTGCCATCATCTACCGAGAAGCTCAGGGCCCAAAACTAACGGCCATCCTCGGTTCTTCTTGGTCTCCCCTGTCATCAAACCCTGCCCAGTTTACTTTCAATATGTAGCCTGATTCTGACCACTTCTCCCTTCTTCCAAGGCTGCTGCTTTGGGCCAGCTACCATCACCACATCTTGTGTAGGTTCAAGTCGCAGCCTCTTAGTTGGTTTCCAGCTTTTCTTTCTTAGATTCCCCATCTAATCTCCACATAGCAGTGGGAGTGAATTTATTGAAATGCAAGTATTAAAATATGACACTCCTTGAGCTTCCCATCACACACAGAATAGCCGTGGCTCAAAGGGACCCCATGATCTAGCCCTGGTTACCTCTGACATTTACACCCTTACTTACTGTGTTCCAGCCACTCTGGCCTTTTTGCTGCTGCTTGGACTCAGCAAGCTTCTGGGGCAGTTCTTGCTGTTCCCTTCACCTGAGATGCTCCTCCCATCTCCCATAATCTTCATATGATCCCCTCTTTCATATGGCACCCTCCTTCTCATCATTCAGGTCTCTGCTCAAGTGTCACTTCCCAGATCCCTGATCTAAAATAGTCCTTGGGCTGTACTCCTTTATTCAGCCTTATTTTCTTCAAAGCACATATCACCATCTGATACTGCATATTTTATCTGTTGTTTGTACCCTTCTTATTTGTTGTCTGCCTCCCAGCTACACCTGTTTGTGGCTGGTACGTATTAGGCACTCAACAATATTTGTTAAATGAGTGATTAACTGATCCACTCAACTACATAAGAAATATGGCAAAGAAATTTATAAAATAAGCTTCAAAGCAGGATTTTAACTTTTCTCAGTGGTGCCATTGTGATTGCTATGGGGGAAAGCAGTGCTGGGATCAAGAGTCACTTCTTTTGTTTTGAGCACCTAGGTGATTGAGGATGCTCCCTGCCCATTCTCTAGCTTGGTGCTGCATGATCCTGTAGGCATTTCAAAGTCAGCATGTTCAAGACAGGTCTCTGCCTTCCACTCTGACCTGTCTTCTTCCACCCTTCTACTCCAGCCCCATTCCTCTTCTTGCTGTTCTGGAGGTTCACTACATATGGCCTAGCCTTGGAAGTCTTATACAAATGTGAGCTGGACTCCACTGTGTCAGGGGCTGGCTTTTTCTCACCCTTTAGAGTTCAGTTTAGATGTCAGAGAGGCCATCATGACCACTTAATCTACAGCTGCCTCTTGGACACTCTATCACATCATTATCATTTTAATTTTCTGCATAGCTCTTATCACCCATATTTTTCTTGCCTATTCTCTTTTCCTACTAGTAGGCTATAAGCCTCCATGTCTCTCGTGTTCTCTATTTTATCCCCTGAGCCTAGAACAATGCGTGACATAATAGTAGGTGATTAGTAAATATTTGGTGAATATGAATATGACCGTTGTCTAGCTTAGTGCTTCCAATCCACTGAGTACCTAACGAATGCTAGTAGCAATATCAGAAGAATGCTTATCTCTCCTCACCAAGTCTTCAACTGATTTGTAAAATGAGGTGAATCTTTGCCAAAAAAAGAGGAAATGTTTATCTTTTACCCCAAATACCTCTGCAGCCTCTTTTTCTTGCATTTATGGTACAGTATTATTTCTCTTCTTTTTGAATTCAGCAAGGACTGTGATTTATTTAACCCTCTGCAGTACACAGCAGAGTATCTGACACAGAGCAGGTGCTCAATAAATATTTATTCAAAGAATGAATGAATGAAATGAGTGTGTAGAATAAAGCTAAGAATCTGGTGGCTGGGTGGCTGCCAGAAATGCATAATGGAAGAAAACTAGAGTGCCTGTTTTCAGCCCACCTTTCAGAGCTGAGAATTATCAAGTGAATTACTTTGGCCAAATTTCTGAGGTTTGGCTGCCTGCATCACTTCAACTCACTAGAAAACTGCTTACCCTCTTTACAAAGTGTTGGCCTGTTGTAGAAACTGTGAAGACTCCACAGATAACTCAGTTTTTGTCTGAAATTAACAGCACCAGCAGAATTTTGCTTTCCCTGGGTGCCAGACCACATGTACTGGCACTGATCTGTCCACAGGGTGATGATTTTCACGGCAGAGGTTTGACAGCCCCTGTCTGAGTCCCCCCCGCTGGCTATATGACTATGTGGGTATACACTTGTGCTTTAGATTCAGAGATGCTGTTCTCAGTCTCTTGAAGTCTATTTCTCACTTCTTTCCTCTAACTTCGTGGTACTTAGACTCCTCACCTGTATGTTTGGAATCAGCTTCTGCCAGATGTCTCCTGGCTGGGGTGGCTTTGGTATATCAGATTCTACATGCTAGCCTGTGTTACTCTCTAAACCCTAACAGGTATTTCTTGTGCCTTTGTGCCCCTGCACCATGCCTTTATCTAACGAAGGCTCCGATTAAACCTTTAGCTGAGCTCTATCTACCTACCAGACTCTGAACCCCACCAGCGACCTCTGGTCACACCTGAGCTTCACTAACATAGTCATGGTGGCAATACACCCCATCTTCTAGAAACACCAGGACCTCTGGTGATTTCACCTCCTCATTTGGCCATTTGCTGACTTGAAAGGGCTTAATTATTCTTTCTCAAATTTCAAGAAATTTCAGGTGCTACGAGGCAGCTTTGTCTCTGAACTTCTGTCGTGGACATACAGCCTTATTTCTGGACTTTATTTCCGTATGTATTAATCTGTTCTCACATTGCTACAAAGAACTACTCGGCTAGGTGCGGTGGCTCATGCCTGTAATCCCAGCACTTTGGGGGGCCGAGGTGGGTGGATCACGAGGTCAGGAGTTCAAGAACAGCTTGGCCAAGATGGTGAAACCCCATCTCTACTAAAAATACAAAAAATTAGCTGAATGTGGTGGCACACGCCTGTAATCCCAGCTACTCTGGAGGCTGAGGCAGAGAATTGCTTAAAGCTGGGAGGTGGAGGTTGCAGTGAGGTGAGATCGTGCCACTGCACTCCAGCCTGGGTGACAGAGCGAGACTACATCTCAAAAAAAAAAAAAAAAGAATTACCTGAAACTGGGTAATTTGTAAAGAGGTTTAATTGACTCACAGTTCCACAAGCCATACAGCAAGCATGGCTGGGGAGCATCATGCGGAGGAAATGCATAATTATGGCAGAAGGTGAAAAGGAAGGAGGCACATCTTACGTGGCCGGAGCAGGAGGAAGAAGAGTGGGCAGGGGGAGGTGCTACACACTTTTAAACAACCAGATCTCACGAGAACTCACTCGCTCTCATGAGAACAGCAAGAGGAAATCTGCCCCCATGATCCAATCACCTCCCACCAGGCCCCTCCTGTAACTCTGGGGATTATAATTTGACATGAAATTTGGGCGGGGACACAAATCCAAACCATATCACCATATTATGTCTTGATATCATATATCAATGTGACGGATTAGATAAATGATGGATGATGCATCCACACAGTGGAATATTTTATGTCCATTAAAAGGATGATGTATGACTATATTGACATGGAAACATTTCCATGATATAACTTTCATAACAATATAAGGTTACAAAACAATATGCTTAATATGATTCCATTCACATGTGATTATATATTTACTTATAAAAAGAGGAGTGGAAGGTTGCACAGCAAATATTGATGGTGGTTAGATTAGGAGTATTTGGACTTTCCTCTTTACACATGATGCGTTTGTTACATTTCTAAAATGAGCGAGTTTTATTTTCATAAATAGGCAACAGAATTAAATAGAGAAAAGAAAGATAAGTCTTGTGGTAAGGACTCATTACATGACTGTTTCTTCTCTTATCTGTCATAAAGCAAGTCAAAAGAAAATGTAAGCTGAGGGAGGTGAAAATGGAAAAAACTGGGCCAGTCATAGCTCAATTTTTAATTGATTTAGACTACCAAAGGCACAATGGGACTCTGGGCCTGTCCTCACCTTGGGAGCAGGAGGTGCTGGCTAGAAAGTTAGGGGTATATTAATTATTAACCTTACTTTTCCCAAGCAATGCATGATCCTCAGTTGTTCGATCTGATTCTGTTTCTATTTTTAATTTTTTGTAAGAAGTTTCCTGCTTTCTAGTTGATTTTCTTGACAGTTTTGAAGAAAGACAATAGAATATTAAGATATATTTCACAAATACATCAGTCTTTTAAAAAAGCAAGTGCCTGAAAATAATAACTATCATATGCATGCAAAAAAAAGTCTTAAGGCCAGTATTCTCCTTAATGTTTCCTTCTGTTATAAGAAAGATCATAATAGATAACAGGAGGTGGTATTATGAGAATAAAGATCATTGATGTAACCAGTTCATGAAAATAGTTCAGTTCTTCGTGAAAGTATACAAATTGATGGCTTCAGATATAAGCTACTCGCCTCAGGTGTGGAAGCAAAAATAGCTCAAATGTGCCAAGTTATTATCGGCAGATTTTTTTTTAACCAAGAGAGCAGTCCAATAGAACTGCTATTTTATAGTGAGTGCTATCAAAATTGACAAACTAAATTTTATGCTCATTTAAAGTGAGAAGTTTCTGCCTTTTAACTGAAGATTTTCCTAGTCTAAGTGAATCTTCAACATTAAATGTTAGAGAGTATTCTGGATACTACATTATTTGCTTAATTGAAAATGGCTTGTGGACTGGCAGTGAAGTGTCTCTCAGTGAGTCAGAACCACTCATTCTGAAGAAAGAAAGTCCTCAGGTGGCTTCCAGTAGTTACCTCCCAAACAGAGGACTGGGAATTGCACAAGTGATCATGTGGGTTCCTTGCCTCTAGAACAAAGCACTGTTCATACTGCTTTCTAAATGTCTTGGCCCAGCTGAGTACATCGTCATGCATTAGGATTTAAAGGCCATAGCCGTGGGCACAAGGAATGGAGGCTAGATTAAGAAACATGCTCAGGTTAGTCTTTTTAAATTTACACAAAGGTGACGCATGTAGACCTCAGGATAAAAGAGTAACTGAAATTGTCCCCCTCTCTGAAGTTTGATACTGTACTTCTGCATCCTTACAGCACAGATTCGTGTGTTGAGTTCCACAAAAAGATATCAAAATTTGATATATGATACCAAATTAGGCTTGTTTTATGCTACCTGAATGTTTTTCTTCTATTTTTTAAAGAAAATAATTAAAAGTAAACCTTATTCAATGAGAAGAACATGATAACCTTCATTTAGGACAAGTTGAAAGGCTTCCCAGAAGTGGGTGCAGACCCTGAGATCCTGACTTCTAATCCATTGCCCTTCTATATATCACCCTCTCCTGCAAGGAATTTCTCAATAGTCCAGTGCATCCTATTATGATGCCATCAGCCATTCTCTCTGTGTTATAATATCCATATCACTCTATTACCTTTTCTGCTTTGCTAGAGTGAAAGTAAATAACTTTCTTACTCTAAATCACCATGCTTTTCTTTTCTAAGTTGTGGGGAAGGCAAATTTTATTATATATCTATCTTGCAAACCAGGGAAGGGGGAACTGCTTCTTTTCTGGGAGTGGAAAGAGTGGTAAGCACTAGGATGTGTGAGAACTTGGTCATCCTGTTTCCTTTTGACAACATGCAAACTTTTATAATGTGCATTTGATGACATCATCAGCAGGTGAGGAGACTGCCTCAGAAGAACCAGATCTACTCACTCAGTGTAGGGAGACTGATTTCTGAATGGGACCTTCTCTGCTTACTCTCTGTATATCCATGGGGAAAAGTGTTCAGATAAAAAGCATTTTTGGAGATCTTCCTTTTAAAAAGTCATATTACTGGAAAGAAGCTTAGAGAACATGTAATACCACTCCTTGGTTTATCAGCAGACATGAAGCATAATCTCTCTGACCTGCCCATGATTACTCTAAAATTCTGGGACAAAGCTTAAACTAGATGCTTATATGGCTCTAAATTGATTATCAGATTATGTACAAAATATTTTGTGTTCCAATGGAAAACCATGCATCATATATAGTATACCCTTTTGGATTATAGGATTCTAGCTCTACTCACTGTTTTTGAGCTATTTTGTAATTCATTGTAAGTTGTAGGTAACTGGTAGCTCTGTAAGTTCTGCCTTACCTGGTTGTAATTTAATTTACTTTTTCCCTCTTGTAGAAAAAAGTTTTGTTCCCATTTGGAATTCATCTCAACATTGCTCTACTCCATGTAAATTTATACTGTTTTGACTTTTCTTTTGAACCGGTTATAACAGCTACCTAGTTCTCTCATATCACGAGTAAAGAAAATTCTGTAACATATATTCATTTTATATTTGTATGAGAGTCATGATTTTACCTTTTTCCGAAAATTATCTTTTAGGAAATATTGAGTAAAAAACATATTGTAGTTTCCTCAGATGGCTAGTTATTAGTAGGAAAACTCTGTAAAAAGGATAAATGGACACCTATGAAAAGTGAAAATAAAATATTTTCAATTAAGCAAGTCAATTTAATAAGTTATTTATTTATATTTTTGAGACGGAGTTTCACTCTTGTCGCCCAGGCTGGAGGGCAATGGCGCTGTCAGCTCACTGTAACCTCTGCCTCCCAGGTTCAAAGGATTCTTCTGCCTCAGCTTCCCAAGTAGCTGGGATTACAGGCACCAGCCACGACGCCCAGCTAATTTTTGTATTTTTAGTAGAGATGGGGTTTCTCCATGTTGGCCAGGCTAGTTTTGAACTCCTGACCTCAGGTGATCCACTTGCCTCGGCCTCCCAGAATGCTGGGATTACAGGTGTGAGCCACAGCACCAGGCCCAATTTAATATGTTATTAATTAAATTTCAGGAAGAAAAGAAAATCCTGCAAAATAATACACTACGTCTTTAAATATCCCACTGACGAGATGATACTAACAGGAAGTAACAACCATTGTCTAGATCTTCACTGTCCAATATGGTCACCTTCAGCCACTCATGGCTCCTAAGGGTTTGCACCATGATTTGTCCAAATTGCAATGTGCTGCACATATAAAGTACACACCAGATATTGAAGACTTAGTACAAAAAAGTAGCTCATTAATTTTTATATTGATTATATGTTGAAATGATAGCTTTTTAGATAAACTGAGTTAAATAAAATACATTTAATTTTACCTATTTTTTTTTTTTTTGCTTCTAAAAGTGGCTGCTAGGGAACCAAAAATAACATATGTGGCTCAGATGATGTTTCTATTAGTCAATGCCATACTAGCAAATTAAGTGAAAAAATTTAATATTATTTTACTAAACATTATTGACATATTCTTGGGCTTCATATCTATGCTAGAGAAAAATAAAATAAAGAGAAAAGAATGATCATAAATTGAAGAGCAGGTACCTGGGAATTCATACAAAATTAATATGCTTTCTTTTATGAATAGTCACACAACATTTGACTGTCATCACTTACAGTATATAAAGACAGAAAAGATAATGAAACAGCTGCATTAAACAACTTAAAAATCAATGAGCATTTATTTGGTTTTGTTGTACCTTGTGTCCCTGATGGAAGGCAAGCAAAGTCTGGAGTGAGTGTGTACATGTGTGTGGGTATGTGTGTGTATGTCAAAGTTCAGGGTTTCCAGGAGGACATAAAAAGAGCTGAGCATTCAAAATGAAGAGATACAAGCTTAGCTAAGCTTTCTAGAGATATGATTGGTTACCTTGGAAACAGTTCAAATTCTTACATCAAACAAGATCCTAGAAGTTGACCTAGATTTTTCAGAACCAGTAACATAATGTATTTAAAATGTTTGTTACCCCCAAATTAAATTTAAAAAATATTTGTGGGATAGCAAATGCTTACTTTTATTAATTGTATAATTTTTATTTGTAAAGAAAGAACACATTATATAACTATCAGGTAAAAAGTCATTAATAGAAGATGAATTTAGCTTTCTCAGGGAATTATCTTCAATATATTTTACTAAAATAAATAATTCCATTGTTTTTTCTGATTTAATTGTAAAAAAATTCAATCAATACAAAAGACTGAAGAATAAAATGTGAAAAGTAGCCTTCCATTTGCAGTTCCAATGCTTTTGTCAGAGATATCCACAGTAAACAATGTGGTATATGGTCTTCTAAATGGTTTGTGCTGTGTGTGTGTGTGTGTGTGTGTGTGAGAGAGAGAGAGAGGGAGAGAGAGAGAGAGAGAAGGAATGTGATCATATATAACTCATGTTCTATAAACTGCATTTAAAATGCACAAATATTGTCTTCCTTTGGGAAATTAAAATGTTTAAGTGATGCTCGTTATCTATTTAACTGGAAGTCTTGCCATCAGCAAATAGACTCCACTGCCTACAGTGCTAATCATTTGACCTCCTGTACTGATGACTGATGTTTTTAGACACACGTGTTCCTGACATGTCTCCATTAACTAGACTGTAAGTTCCTTGGAGGCAGAAATGAAGTTGTTTTCAAGTGCACCATAGCATTTAGCACAGAGATCTGACCATCATGGGCTCTCAAAAACACTTTCTCAATAATCAGTATTTTTCATTTTTATCAGAGTACATTAGCTGATCATATAAGATATTCTAGGTCCTAAACATCAGACAAGAAGAAAGAACAGACTAGTTGTTTAATACCAACTGCTTACATGAATTGGCACTTGATTTTGGGGTGATATTCAGTTAAGTGTTTTGGTGATCCCTTTTTTGAGCATCATGATGCCTAAATGAGGCTTACAGTGAGCCGCCATGCTAAGTCCTTTACATAGATGGGCTTGCTTAATTCTCACAACAATCCTATGGTGTAGGCACTTTTAAACTTCCCATTTTACAGTGAAGAATCTGATGCATCCAAATCATTAAGTAGTGGTGTTGGGAAATGAATGCAGGCATCTAACTTCAGAACTCATATTCTCACATTCCATCCGGGAGCTCATATTCCAAAACTTTCATGACTTTTCTATATGGTCATGGTAGACAACAAGTAAGAGGCTAAATTTTTCATACAAACAAACACCCAAATCTGATGGACAAAAAAAAAATCCATTGCACATTTATCCTATGCATTATGTTGCCATTCACTGGGTCATACCCATCATGATCTAGTGAATGGCAATGGTCCCTTAGTGGGAGGGTCTCAAATAAGGGTGGACGGAACTAGGAGTTAGGATTGGGTAAGGTTTCTTATCTAGGTCAGGGAGACAGGAGAGGAAGGAAAGAACACTTGGCTTGATTCTCTCTGTTGCTCCTGTTAGTTCCACTTCGGCAGTGACATTTTTAGTTTCATTTTTAGTAACGAAGAACAACACTTACTCTGTGGCCTAATTTTCGTCCTGTAAATTTGCCATCAGGTAGTTTATGCTCTTATAGGCCAAATGACTCATCACTAATTAATCAATACCCATGATGCTAAATTTTGACCACAGAGTGAACCAAAGCCAAGTCAACCTGGCTTTCAGTTAATTGGAAAAATTAAATGGGTAAGAGAAGCCAGTTCTTCCAGGTATAAATAATGTGCTTTACAACTCATCTAGTTAAAGGCATCAGCAAAAATGTTTTAATACTAGCAGATTCGAAAACCACTCCATCCTCCTTTCTAATATGTAATTAAAGCTACAGTATGAATGCAAACTTGATAGGACAGAAATAATCTCATACATTACATGTTATAAAGAATTTGATATTAAATTTTATCATGGTTATCTTCTCTTCCGAGGACAAAATGTCTCTTTGGCATGTACCTACTCACTTGTTCCAAAATATTCACTGAGTGTAAATTATGTGCCAGACACTGGGGAGGCAGACAGTGGTGAACTAGGGGATCCAGGTATATGTGCCTAACTTCCTTGTGACGTTGCACCTATTGCATGCACCTGGATGCAGGGAACAGCTTGGGGTCTCTGGCTAACTTACATTTCTCTTTAAGTATCAGCTGCAACTCCAGAAAGGCTTTCTGTCCACTTGCCCCAACCCCACCACATCTGGGTTAGAAACTCCTTCTATAATCTCCCTCAGGACCCTGTACTAACCACTGTGATTACACTGACTACAGTATCTTGCCTAATTACTTGTTTGTATCCTTCACTGAAATGTACATTCCAATGACAGGTATTCCAGTGTCCTGGGACACAGTGCATTTTTATGAAATATTTGTTGAATGTTGGAGGGAGGTAATATTTAGTATAAAGCGGTTTGATTTGGCTATGTTATCATTTGTATCCTGGTGCAGAAGTTACTGATAGGTGGTCACTGGTTTGGAAATGTCAAATCTAAAGGCTGGATCCATGCAGGTGGCAACAGCAGACATGTGCCTAGTTATGAGGCTGCTGGAAACCAACTGGTCAAGGACCATGGAAAAGTATCCAAAAAAAAAAAAGTCCAAGGAACATTTACCCAGTGAAGCACCACTCAAACATTCATGAGAGATCACGATGAAGTGATCCTTCCAGATTTCATTTTACTTTAGTAATCACTGGCCTCTATGTTACTTTGGTCGTCATCCTTTATCTTAGCTCTGGTGTTTATGTTTACTTTTTTCCTTTTAAAACACCTTTCAAAACCTGCAATTCTTCTGATAGTGTATTTATTTCTTTATTATCTTCCCCATTTGATTGCAAATTCCCTAAGGATAGGGACCCTGTTTGTGCTCTCAGTTTCCAGAACGGTTCTCAACACACCAGTGTTTGACAGATCTATTGAAGAAATGAATTAAGGGTTTAACATGCGTATTAAAAAATATTCTTTTAGACTCTAGTCCTCAAATCTCTGTACATAACACATAAACAATATGTCTATATATATGAGGAAAAACAGGTTACATCTGTTTTGCCCACAGTTGTATCACCAGAATAGAGTATGTGGCATATTGTAAGTATTCAATAAATATTCACTAAATAAATGAGTAAATAAACCATTTAATTAAAATTTTATTTCCAATTATAAACTATTGGAAAAAATTTATAGGTCTATATCAATAATAAACAAATAAAGGCCGGGCACCGTGGCTCACGTCTGTAATCCCAGCACTTCGGGAGGCTGAGGCAGGCGGATCACAAGGTCAGGAGATCAAGACCATCCTGACTAACACAGTGAAACCCCATCTCTACTAAAAAAAATACAAAAAATTAGCCGGGCGTGGTGGTGGGCACCTGTAGTCCCAGCTACTTGGGAGGCTGAGGCAGGAGAATGGCGTGAACCCGGGAGGTGGAGCTTGCAGTGAGCTGAGATCGCACCACTGCACTCCAGCCTGGGCGACAGAGCGAGACTCCGTCTCAAAAACAAAACAAAACAAAACAAAACAACAACAACAACAAAAACAAATAAGTAGGGGAGCTTTTGCTTGAAGTAGAATTCTGAGAGCTGATGGCAGATGTGAAGAGAGTGCTGACACTGGAACATCATAATATTGCAACTGTTTTATTAAAGATCAGATCAGGCAAGATTCATCAATGGATGCTAAATCTAGAGGGAAATCTTGATGAGAAACTAGATACTAGCATGTTTTAAACTGTCTCTTTCAGACTATTTATTAGTTGCAGGGGAAAAAAATTATACAATAATTACCTAGTAGGGAAATCAGAAAACACTTGTATGGCTGATTAAAGTTAACATCACCAATGAAGGACAGATGGACGTGATGTGCTTTCAGATGTGATAGCCTGAGAAGGACACAACATCTCCTATGCAACATTCCAAAGAAGAATGCATAACTTGAAAGTGATCACGAAAGGCTATCTAAAAAACCCCAAACGGGAAATGTTTCATTAAAAAAAAGTTGGGGGCGGGTGTGGCAGTAATCCATTCTTCCAAAATGTCAATGTCAGAAAAAAAAGTCAATGTCAGAAAATAAAAAGAAAGGTTGTAGAAGTATTCCCTATTGAAAGTGGGTAAAGAGACATGGCACTTAAATGCTATACCTGATGACAGACTGGATCCTGTACCACAGAGGAAAATGCTATAAAGAACATTACTGGATCAAATGACAATACTGATGTATGAAAGGTAGATAAGAAAAAAGTATTCTATCAATGTTAAATATATTGAAGTTGGAGAAATGCAAATCAAAACCACAATGAGATACCATTTCATGCCAGTCAGAATGGCGATTATTAAAAAGTCAAGAAACAATAGATGCTGGTGAGGTGGTGGAGAAACAGGAACACTTTTACACTGTTGGTGGGAGTGTAAATTAGTTCAACCATTGCTGAAGACAGTGTGGTGATTCCTCAAGGATCTAGAATCAGAAATACCATCTGACCCAGCAATCCCATTACTGGGTATATACCCAAAGGATTACAAATCACTCTACTATAAAGACACATGCACACATATGTTTATTGCAGGACTATTTACAATAGCAAAGACATGGAGCCAACCCAAATGCCCATCAATGATAAACTGGATAAAGAAAATGTTGCAAATATACACCATGGAATACTGTGCAGCCATAAAAAGGAATGAGATCATGTCCTTTGCAGGAACATGGAGAAGCTGGAAGCCATCATCCTCAGCAAGCTAACACAGGAACAGAAAACCAAACATCACATATTTGGGTATTCAGACATGAGATTATCAGGCGTGACTTACAGTTTATAATGGTACCCAAAATATGATGTTCTCACTCATAAGTGGGAGTTGAACAATGAGAACACATGGACACAGGGAGGGGAACAACACACCAGTGCCTGTTGGGGGGTGGGGGGCCAGGGGAGGGAACTTAGTTGATGGGTTAATAGGTGGAGCAAACCATCATGGCACACGTATAGCTATGCAACAAACCTGCACGTTCTGCACATGTACCCCAGAACTTAAAGTAAAATTAACATACATATATATATATATATATGTTATATAGTAGTTATATATATATGTTATATATATATATAACATATATATGTTATATATATATATATATAACTACTGGGGCTAAGTAAGAGAATATCTACATTCTTAGGAAATATGCACTGATGTTTGGCGTAAAGGGCCATCATGTATGTGACACCTTCAATTTATTAAGAAAAAAATTAAGTATATAATTATGTGTATGTAACATGTATGGAGAGAGAGAACCATGGGGTGAGGTGGGTGGGGAAAGAAATAAACCAAAAAGCCAATTGTGTGAAATGCTAACAATAAGTCTTTCTGGGAAAAGGGTGTATGGGTATTCTTTACACTCTTTTTATATTTGCAACTTATCTATAAAATTTAAATTTTTTCCAAATAAAAAGTTTTAAAAAGTGTGCAAATGTCAATATGTATAATCACAGCAAATAAAAATTATTTCATTAAAAATACTTGTATGAGTTTTAATATTTCATCTGTTTAAGAATGTGATGTTAATTTGCATGGAAATTTTTTTAAACTGTCTTCTTTTGCATACTTAAAAATTGGTTTAAATTCAAAGGTGAGAGTAGAATAAAGTCAGTGATAATGTAAAAGTTTGCAAACTATTGCCTAGTACTCAGCAGTCCCCACACTTACCAGTTCTTTGGGATCCAAAATGCTGCCCAGTGGGCATTTTTAGAATGAGAGAGACTCTGACCTGCCCCTGCCTGGACAACACCATCATTAAGGAGAAACAGGTTTCTTTCCGCAGTACAAGCCCTGGCAGCAGCCATTCCCCTCCTCCAGTGCTGCAGTCTTGCAGATGCCATCAGCCACCCTTGCCTGGTCCTGCCTGCCCCGAGTCCTGATGTGTAGTCTTGTCTAGCCCCTAGTACTCTCTTGCAGTAGCCTATGGAGGTACACTCACTTCAGTATTCAGACATGAGATTATCAGGCGTGACTTACAGTTTATAATGGTACCCAAAATATGAACACCATTTCACAATACACATTACACAAAGTGTATCCCACTCTAAAGAACAGCAATCTATGTCAAATAAAAACAGATCACCAGATTAAAGGGAAATGATAATTGCAAGTAGACAATTAAGCTTTTATTACATCAGATTAGTTCAGGCTTACAACGGCATTGAATCAGGACATCAAAAGGCATTGCCCTAGAATAAGAAGTCAGAAACCAGCACTGTCTCTCAGTATCTTCTGGAAATTATCCACATTCCACATGTGCCCTTCTGTTATCCTCCTTGGAAATACAGCCCTCTTCGTTACAAGCCTCATGTGGCTGCAATTCTTTTGGAGTTGTTGAATAAGTGATCAGAGAATGATTTCTGGTTGATAACCTGTCAGCTGTCAGCTCCAACTGCATGTCTTAAATTTAGCATCTTAAAGCCAATGTGATTTTTTTTTTCACTTGTTTGTTTCCTTGCCCAAGTTGCTTGGAATTGGAATTTACCTGGGGCTGACAGAAAAGGCTTTATTGATTTGTGCAGAAGAAAAAAAAAAGGAGAATAAGGAGATTTAGATGTAGCTCTCTGGACGATGCTGAAGCCGTGGAGGTGGTCACAAGGGCGTTTGCAGTTAATAAATGGTAGATAGGATGCTGTGTGCAAATACAATTTGTTACTCTTTTTTGTGCCTCAGTTTTCTTTATTTCAAGAAAGCATAAAGTATGAAGAGATTGCGCACGATATAAACATTTGTTTGTGGTTCCTCTTTGGTGCTGTGGTTCTTTGTGGCTGGTATAGTTGTATGAGTTTTTGTCCTGTCTATACTTGGTCTGCGGTAACTGGGTAACTGGGTAATTCGCACTTTCAGTGTGTTGGGGAGTGGATGTTGCCTCCCAAAGGCAAAAGTTACCTCTCTTCCTGTCCTCCTTACTAAACTGGCCCTGGGCTGTATCCATATTCACGCTGAGTATGACGCTGACCTTGACCTCTTTTCATTTTGGCAAGCATTTACCTAATGCCTAATATATGCAAGCTACCTGGGTTAGGAAAGGCTGAACTAGAAACAAAAACAAGACTCAGCCCCCAAAGTAAGGAGCGTGCCCTTCCGACAATGATATCCAGACCACAATCATTATATTGTTTTGGTTACATACATTATTTAGTGACAGTTTCCACAAGACCTTTGTTAATGACATAGGCAGTATAATAATTGTGTTGTAAAGCACAAGTCTCAACCAGGGAGAGAGACAGTGAATTATACAGTTCACTTCACATAACAGAAATGAGGGCTAACCCTGTAAGTGCCAAAATTTAACCCTTTTGTGATGGAAAGCTTTCTAAAATGTATGTACACTTCTCTCCCCTCTCAAATAGAAGAATCTCCCACTTCCACCTATTGCTGTCTCCGACTTCCAACCCCCCGACCCCAAGCTGAAAGCAGCATCTGACACGTCTTGGCCCACTAATGTTGGCAAGCAATTATTCTTCCCTTCCCCTCAACACAGAAAATTAAACCTTTACAAGTTGCAATATTTAAAGGGCTACTGTTTGGAGACATTAGAAGGCAAGGGTCCCACTGCAGCCTAAATGGTTCTTGCCTCCAGGTCTCCTTGTATACAACTGTCCCGTCTGCCCTGAGACAGCCATTTCATCCCAGACACCACCAGCCTATAGAACTGCTGCTTGTCTGCCATTCCCTTGGTTCTGTTCTTGTCTCTTGTAACTTCTCCCATGCTACTTGCCTTTGTATCTTTCATGGACAGGGCTGGTAGGTGGGGGCTCTCCTTTCCCTCCTCTTCCTGTGAAGACAGCTGTGCAACTAACTGCAAGCATTTCTTTCCAGTTGGCCTCTCCTCCTCCTTAACGCTGACCTTTCCAGATGCTCCGGAGTTTCTTTTTGACTCGAAAGACTACTATAATTGAGGGAGGTAGATTATGGTGCAGGATTACTTCTCGATCAAGTTCAGGGAAACTGGAAGTTTTAGAAGTCCAGATTCTGGATAACTGAGGGGTTACTTATGTATTTATAAATGAGGGGGATTTACTTGGCATTTCTTAAAATTTACTTTTAAGAAATAACTGCTTCTTAAGATCTATGATTTGGGAATAAGGAAACAGCATATATCTCATTGAGATCTCTTGGTTTTGGGGGGTCAGAGAAAGTTAATTCAGCTAAATAATGCCTCTACATAGAGAAAGATCAAGCTGATAATCCCCATTAATTTCCTCGACACATTTAAAAATAAATGCAGGCTCCAGACAGGACACCCACCTTAGCAGATAATTATTTTCATTCAGCAGCAAAACATTAAGCTTCAAATAACTAATTGATTCAATGAATATTTATGAATCTTGGAGGAAGTTTAAACAGGCTCAAAACATCCTATTAACCATTTTTCTGATAGCAATGTAGATTTTTTTTTTTAATAATTCCTTTTCATTCTTTAAGGTCTCTGCTAAAATTGACCCTGCCTGGGATCCTGAAAGAATGGCTCTCATTCCAACTGTCATAAAGCAGTCATAAGCCTAATTCATTACAAGTAGTTAGATCATCAATAACTATTTTGAGATTGGGAGTGAATTTCCATAATTTAATCCTTTAGGCAAGCTAGCATATGATTACATTATTCAAATAGCATACTCTATTTTAAACTGATGAAAAAATCTGCATTTTAGGTAGTAGATGAAAAGTAATAAAATTGAGCAAAGTAAAGGAAATTCAGATCTCTATAATTCCCCCAAAGTTGCAATATCTATTTATTTGGTACTTCACTTAATAGCTGGAGAAAGTCCATCAGCAATCAGATTGTCATTTTTAATCAAGCAAAAAGGCCAACTATTAAGAATTTCCATTGACTCAAATCACTGATAATACACCACAAAACCTTGAACCCTAAAGAGTTCAAGATGAACTTATTCAAATGTTTAACACGGAATATGTCTTTCTCTTTGCAGATTTTTTTTTTTTTCTGTCATTGACTCAATAAGCTTTCCGTACTGTAGTTCTTAATCTATTCTGCCCAAAGCAATCCTAGAATTTGTTTTCAAGGATGTTCCTTTGGGACACAGTCTTGCTGGGAGTTTTCATGGTTGGCTGTATTCCTAAATCCCTTATATATAATTAGGGGCTGATAGCTTGGTCTTTTCCAAGCACTGAATTGCAGTTCTATCATTAAATTATAGAAGTAGTATTTTGTGAATTAGGGCCAATATTTCTTCTGGTAGGGGATACTGCTTAGTCAACAGATTTGTTGCCAAATAGTTACAGAGTTCAGGAAATTGAAAATTACTAAATAGTTTCAAGAAGTGATTTCAGTATGTAGTTATCTTGAATTTAGCTTATGTGCCATAGTATAAGTTAAAGAATAATTTTTTTTTGCATCTCTGTAATAATTTTGTTAACAGTTTAGGCAAGTCTGGAATTCTATATTCATTTATCTCCCCAAGTCAGAAAAAAATCCTACTGAGTCTGAAAAGTTGATTTCTGTATCCACTTGCATTCTGTATTGGGCTGAACTCTGCCCTTGCTTTTTTATGTATAGCTTTAAAGGCAGTGTTTGAGAGGCTTCAAATGAAGGAAAATCAACAATTCTCTGACCTACATTTAAGTCATTAATTCACAACTTTATTTAAAACTACTGAAACAGCAGATTTAATTCAGCATTCTGAAAAACAGTGAAATATTTTATCAAATAAAAAGTCAGCTCAGTCAAAATATACTCTTCATTCAAGTAATATGACTAACATGACTAGAAGTCGTTACCACTAAACAGTTATTTTATGATGTCAATGTACTTTCAAAAAATGGACTTTAGCCATATGACAATAGAAATCACAAATATTCTTTGTATCCAATGTGCAGATGTTATCCTGCCAGTCTTTATAAAGCCAAGGAGTCTATCTCCCTCTCCTTCACATATCATGTTCATGGCTTCCGTCCAAGCCTTTGACCCTAATCTATCTATAATCTGCTTTCTGACTTCCTCTCAGCCTCCCTGACTTAGACCCATGATTGCTCCTCAGTGAGCTGCTCTGCTGGCTGTGACTCATGCTTGACTCAACTTCGATCACTTGACAAATGTTTACTAAGTGCCTACTATGTGTCATCAAGCACTGCTCTGGTACTGGAGACATGGCAGTGAACAAAAACAATACTTCTCAATTCTACCTTTGGATTTCTGTCTCAACTGCGATAACTATGATTCAAATCTTTATTTTTTCTTGGTTATGCATGGTTGTAGTAGCAGATGTAAAAACAGAGTAAATGGTCAAGAATAATATATGACGGGTCCGGGCACGGTGGCTCATGCCTGTAATCCCAGCACTTTGGGAGGCTGAGCCGAGTGGATCACTTGAGGCCTGGAGTTCGAGACCAGCCTGGCCAACGTGGTGAAACTCCGTCTCCACTAAAATACAAAAATTAGCTGGGTGTGGTGACGGGCACCTGTAGTCCCAGCTACTCTGGAGGCTGCGGCATGAGAATCTCTTGAACCCGGGAGGTGGAGGTTGCAGAGACCCAAGATCACGCCACTGCATTCCAGCCTGGCTAACAGAGCAAGGCTCCATCTCAAAATGAATAAAAGGAAGGAAGGAAGGAAATGAGGGAGGGAGGAAGGAAGGAAGCAAGGAAGGAAGGAAGGAAAGAAAATACATGATGGCACATCCTTCTTTTAAAATGAAGAAATGAATTACAATAAACAACATAAGGTAAAAAGTGAAACATTTGCAATCTGATTAATACAACTCTATTGACTAGGGGAATCATTTCTACATATATAGAAAGAATCTAGAGTGAAATCTTATACTCAATAGTTTTCAAGAGAGTCAGAGACCTAATTTCTTTTCTTCTATTTCAAAACCTTATCAATCTAAGAGTTTCAATGTTTTCTAATGACTATTTCTTAGAGTTTCTATATCTATTTTAAACAGTGGCTGAATGCAACTCTTCCTCAGCTGATTCTTAAGCAGAGTTACTGCCACTCAAAGAAATGGGCCAAGGCCAGGCAATGATTCAATTCAACACATATATCATGCATTTATTTTCCAAAATCTTAAAGAGAATTAAGAAGAAAAATGAGATAGCTGCCCTTGAAGCACTCACAATAGCAAATAAGAAGTACCAACCATATATCTTACTATTGTCTTATTTTTAAAACCTCTCAAATCCTTCTTGTTTATTTTATTTGTTTTTAAACTTCTGGCTGTTGAGAATTGGTCCCTTGCCAAAGTGAACACTGTATTAGTTGAGAAGAGTCAGAGGGAAGACTAAGACTAAGGAGATTGCCCTGTAATATAGCAAAATATATTATAAAACACTAGTTTCAAAATTGTTTGATACAGGTTAAAAATAGAAGACTAGAATGATGAAAACAAATATACTATACATTTAATAAATTATAATACAGTATGAAATAGAATAATAGATAAAAAAGAAATGGCTAACACATAAATTAATAATGAATGACATCTCATGCTCTAAATAAATACTGGTTTATTTGTAATCACATACAACCATAAATTCTGGATAGACTAAAGAATGATTTTTCAAAAACATTCTCAAACTTAATAAAAATTAGGATGTGATTTAGATCATGTTTTGTTGTTGTTGTTTGTTTTACTAAAATAGCTGCAAGGCTAAAGCATGGTTATTGAAACAAAAAAATTAATAACAAAGTTAATAACTGAAAACTTTATTCAGCAAAAGGCTGAAACAATGGAAAGTTATTTTGATGAATATGACAAATTTTAATATGACAAACCATTACATTTATATTAAAAGTAATATTCTATCTTCTTTGTACAAATATTTAAAAATTGTAAACAGTTATTCATATCCTTTGACAAACCCCATATTTATCCTGTAAGACCTAACTCAATGTCACCTTCCCTGTGAAGGCTTTATCTTCTGCTTCAAGTAAAGACAACAATATTCTCTCCTTGCTCCTACAGACATATTCATATTGTTAACATTTTTATTGCATTCTCTTGTAATTTATCCTTTATATGTCTTTTTCTTTTGTGAATTCATCAGCTAATCAATTTTCATTCCCAAGGCCTAGCAGAATGTGTGCTCCACATAATGGATATTAGATAAATGTTAAGTGAAAATAAAATTCACACAGAACCAACCACATTGAAATTTTTTTAAAAATCACAATTTCTTAATATTAGGACTTTTCTAAACACTATGAAAGAAAGATGGTGAAGGGCAGACTATAAGAATACATAGTCTAAACTACTGCTTCTGGAGATTAGACAATAGAAGAAAAGGGAATAGGTGCAAAGTACAATTCTACTCATAAAATATATTAGGAGTAAGGGCATGATAGAAGTTTACTCCTTGTGTACATAGTGTCCCAAATTAATGTTTATGTTTGATGGCATTGGGGGAGGCTCTCTTTTCAGGGGTGATTCTAGAACTCAAGGTTTTTTTCAATTTTCTGGCTCTACTGTCTTTACTATATGGCCTCATTCTGCACCAAGCTCATTAAAGAGGAAAACAGGGATGGAGAAAGCAAATTCACTTCTTAACTGCCATGGTCTGGAAATAATGGCATACTTACTTTGGCTGGCATTGTTGGTGAGAACTAATCCCATGGCCTACCTATGTGCAAGAGAAGCTGAGAAATGTAGCCACTGACTGCAACCACTTCCCAGTAACTATGTTATAGAAGAAGGAGCATAAACTTGATGGACAGTTAGACATCTCTACCTCATAATGATTTCCTATACTTTGTTCTAAATTCTTCCTAAAGGAATATCTAGGACATATTATTTCATATGTATATATTTCATTTCTGGAAGGGAGATACGCATGTACATACATGCATGCACACACACACACACACCCATGGGACTTCAAGAAATATAAGGTTGGAGCTACAAGCAAGCCAATGAAATTAGAGGTATGATTCTTCCCCAGATTAAAGAGTTGAGTAGTTTTATCTCCCAATTCAATTATATTCTATTTTACAGCAATGGTTCTCAGACTTTTTGAGATAATTACTGCATGCACAATGAATCAGGGAATATGCTAGACAATAGCAACAAACAAAAATGAGCCAAGGTTCTTATGACCTCATGAGAATTTTCAGCCTAGTGGAAAGAAAGACACAAAGGCAGGTACATAATTAAAATATCAAGGATAAACACAATGAGAAAATACGCACAGTTTTAAGCTTTAAAGGGTAAGTTATCTCTCTTGTTCTTGTGTTTTGCCTGTATTTTCTCTAGATTGATAGATCATTTCCCCCCCCTTGAAATTCTTTCTGGGTAATGTGGAATGGCTTATGTGCCTTTTAAGAATTCTTTCATTTCCACTATATGAACAACAAGTATTGAGGATGGGAATAAAAAAGATAGCAGAAAGGTTCTCCACCTCCCAGACACACATTTTGTTATTATTATTACATTCTGCCATTCATACAGCAGATCTCTTCATGGCCACCTGCAGCAACAGCATAGACTCTTTTTTCTTTTCCCCAAAGACGACTCTAAATGTACTATTTAAATGCCTAAAAGAATCAAAGTGTTTATTTAATAAGGAAGGGGATTGGGCAAAGGCAATATAAAATCTCGTTTAGAATCATTTAAACCCCAGGTATTTTTCCCCTTATTTTAAGGTCTTAATTGTAATCCTTGCTGTTATGGAAAATAAATATTGACTGAATATTTACAATATATTACATATATATAACATATATATATAAAATCATATCTCCAGAGAGAGAGACAGAAAGAATAATAATAATATAGGTGGTTTGGCGCCCTGGTATAGATAGCAATGAATCCATATTGTGCAATTTTCTTTGTAAGAGTTTCTCACCACAGCCTTTGGAAGCTCACTTGCTTTTGCCAGAAATAATAAATATTTTGACTAAATAATAGCATGTTTTTGGTTACCATCTGTGACCTGCAGAAAAGGAAAGAGGCAGATGGTAGAAAGAAGTGAAAGGGAAGTTTAACGGAGAAATGTTAGAATGTGAGTGCTTTCACAAATGTTCTACTATTCTCCGGTTGCGTACATCCTAAAAAGTAGGATAACCAAATAAAATAGAGGACACTCAGTATTACATCTGAATTTTAGATGAAATATAAATAATTTTTAGTATATGTCCCACATATAGCATGGGAAACTTATACCAAAAATTTATTCATCATTCATCTGAAATTAACATTTAACTGGACAGTTTATAGTTTTATTTGCTATATCTAGCAACCTTACTAAAAGATCTATTAAAGATCCTTCAAATATTATCATAATCTATGTTTATTGTTGTTTAAAAACTGTATTAAAAAGAGATTTGGTCAGAAATAATGTTAGAAAAAAAACCAGAAGATTTTGTTGTTGGTTCTGGATCAGTAAAAGCTGTCTGTATTCAGGGTATGTTTTAATTCCTGAGAGGAATGAGAGAACTTAAAAGTTTCTGGCAAAATAATTAAGAATGTTAAAAGTCTGTTGCTTCAGTCCTAGTTTCCACAGCCTTCTAGCTAGCTTTGGGATGTGTCTCCTGATGGACAACTTAGCTATCAAGCTCAAGGAACCAATCAAACAATTTTCTTATCTAGAAATATGAATCAATAAAATATCAACAGTAGTTATTAAAATAATAAATATCTTTACATTTGCAAGGTGTTTCAGCTTTAAACATTTTCAGAATATGTCACCACATTTGATTTGCAAAACAACTTTGTGAAACTGTTTCCTATTTCAGAAAGATACACATGAGATTGATTTTAGAAAAATCATGTGAATTCTCTCTGCAGCTGCAGCAGTAGCATGAAATAAATACTGCTTTCCAGTCTAGCTGTCAAACATGCACTTTATGGATGAGTTAATTATTATGCAAGATGGAGCCGAATCACATCGATGTGTAGTGGCTGTTAATGAGAAGTCATAAATCAAAGTCCTTAATGTTAAGCTCAAGCTCCCACATGTAGTTCTCTAGAATATTATAAGGATGGCTACGTGTGTGTGCATATATGTGCAAGACCCTCTCCGTTAGCTGCTGCCTCATTCTCAGTCAAATTATTCAGCATATCACCCATTCTCTCTCCCCTGAGTGATGTTCTTTGTTGTCCTGAAGCCCCAAGTACTGGTAGAGCTCTTTGGAAAGGTGATAAAAAGTGTAGACTGCCTGATAATGCACAGGACAATGTTGGCTCCCTCACAGACTAGTTACAGGGAGGCTCTTGATTTTGCCTGGAGTGAGAGGTAGTTTCCTTTGCTTCAGCAAAGGAACAAAAAGACCCTTCTGTTTATATTCATCATCAATCCTACAGAAATTGGAGATTACTTTGAGGATATAAAACTCCTTTGAAAGAGCAAATGTTCCCATCTACTTTATCAAATAAATTATCAACTTACACATTCTGTGAATTGTCTTAATTTGATTAGTCTCTGGAAAGTATCAAAGCAGTCAGCTAAAAGGGACTGTTTAGATAAGAAGAAAACCCTGTAGGAGGGGTATTTATGTAGGATAAGATTGGGCTTGGGCATTTTCCTCATTCATTCATTCATTTGTCAACTGAATATTAATTAAGTGCCTAAGTATAAGGTTCTTTGAAATATCCTTGGGAAATATGAGGATAAATTTATTTCATATTCAACTATCAAGAACTTTACAGCAAAGTACAATAAAGGAAAAAGTAAACATTGGTAATACAAGGTAGAATATAATAAGTGCTTGTAAGATATATAAGGGACAGTGCTGAGGGAGCCCTGAAGAGGCAATTGATCCTGGCCAGGAGATCAGAAAGAAGGAAAGATAACTAACATTTAATAAATACCTGCCTCGTGGCTGGCCTCCGCCAGGACTTTACTCTCATTATCAAGGAGATGTGTCTGAGGTGAGCTTTAGGGGACAAGGAGGACTATAGAGACCGGCAGTAAGGAAAGGAGCCCTTTGTTCTGATGGAAGAATGGAAGTATCAGGGAGCACCATGCATTTGAATAACAGCTTGTGGTCTGGTGGGTCAGAATGAAGAAAGGTACTTGGGCTTATTATACCCCATCTACTTTCTTTTTTTTTTTTTTTTTTTTTTTTTTTGAAGCAGAGTCTCGCTCAGCCCAGGCTGGAGTGCAGTGGTGCAATCGGCTCAATGCAAGCTCTGCCTCCCGGGTTCACACCATTCTCCTGCCTCAGCCTCCCAAGTAGCTGGGACCACAGGCACCCGCCACTATGCCCGGCTAATTTTTTTGTATTTTTAGTAGAGATGGGGTTTCACCGTGTTAGCCAGGATGGTCTCGATCTCCTGACCTTGTGATCCACCCGTCTTGGCCTCCCAAAGTGCTTGGATTACAGGCGTGAGCCACCGCGCCCGGCCCCCATCTACTTTCTGAACAGTTGGTCTCGGGGAATGGGGGCTTTAAAAATCAGAGGGTGACATGAAAGTCCTGGCAACAAGGAAGGCAGAGAGGAAAGGCAAGGACTGAGAGATAGGCCAAAAAGGCAATCCTAGGGACAAAGGTTGATTCCCCAATAATGGCCTGGTGACCAGGGCACTACGTGTCTTATTTCCCCTGAAAAAAACTGAAATCGGAGAGAATAGGATATAATTCATTTTGACGTCTTTCACAGTGATTGCCGTGGAAAAACCCTTCAATTGCAAGCAAACAAATAAACAAATCCCTTGTTGGTTGAATAGAATCTTTTGTTGTTGTTGTTGTTGTTCTCCAGAGAAACATAACAGAACCTTGTATGCTATCTTCAACATACTGTGGACTTCATATCCATGTTTTTTAAAAAACATAATATTTGAAAAACCACAAACATGACCATTCCCCTGTGCCAATTCAGAAGCTTTCAAAGTTCAGAAACTATGGCCTTGCCTCTTTTCTACGCAGTTATGTCATCAGAGAGAAAAATGAAGCCAGCAGTGGGGCACATATGCACTGCGGTTTCTTTTCAAAAGACCTCTCCAGTTGCTGTTCATGCTCATGAGAAGGTGTCCTAGACTGAATTAGCTGGAGATGTCATACACTGCCGATGAATCGTGTGACGATGACTGCATGTTTGCAGATATATTTACCCCAGGCATGCAGAAGCCTTCTCCCTATCAGTCCTTCCTTGTCTACTTCCATTAATAAGATAGTCAAGGGGTCCCAGGAACCTTTGCAGAGGCAGCACTGATGAGAAATCTTTGATAGAAACAACTTCTCATCATTGCATTTGTTATTTCTTCCAGGGGACACTACTTGATTCAACCCATGAGTTGACGTCTGTCTTTCTCATCTTGAGACAATGTCTACAACAAACCCCTGCCTCAGAAAGCAGCTGGTTCCACTGCAGATCTTGTCCTTGTACATGACCAGGACTTGTTATATGAATCCTTTTGGCCCAAACACTTCAGTTTGAATTCCTGATCCATACACAGACTCTATGCCATGTGTCTATCTGAGTCACAAAATTTCTGAAAACACACTGGTAAACAATTAACATTAAGATCCAGTCCAAATTTTAATGTATTGGCCATAGAGGTAAGGGCATAAGAAAATAGTTCTGAAAATACAGCTATATGAAAGGTTAGGAAGCTATATAAGATCTATTTGTGTATTTTCCAAGAATGTTTTATTAACACTCGACATGAAAGTTCAATTCCAATAATATGTGACCAAAAAATTACTTTGGGAAAAGTTCTCATTTTTCAATGTGACCTCACATTGCAATCCACTTGGAGAGATTTTTTAAAAATCCTGATGCTGTGTCCTTTGCAGGGACATGGATGAAGCTAGAAACTATCATTCTCAGCAAATGAACACAGGAACAGACAATCAAATACTGCATGTTCTCACTCACAAGTGGGAGTTGAATGATGAGAACACACGGACACAGGGAGGGGAACATCACACACTGGGGCCTGTCGGGAGCTGGGGGCCAAGGGGGAGGGAGAGCATTAGGACAAATACCATAAGCATGAGGGCTTAAAACCTAGATGATGGGTTGATGGGTGCAGCAAACCACCATAGCACATGTATACCTATG
Source organism: Homo sapiens (assembly GCF_000001405.40). Classification (NCBI taxonomy): domain Eukaryota; kingdom Metazoa; phylum Chordata; class Mammalia; order Primates; family Hominidae; genus Homo; species Homo sapiens. The sequence goes on along the minus strand of NC_000005.10, from coordinate 58,743,457 downwards.
TAACAAACCTGCACATTCTGCACATGTATCCCAGAACTTAAAGTATGATAATAATAAAAAAAAAATCCTGATGCTGGGGTCACAATGGCAGAGATTGTGACTGAATTGGCATAGAAGATAAATATGCCTTTAAAAGATCTCCAGGAGACTCTAATATATGGTCTGGATTGAGAACTAGTATCTTAAAACAAAAACAAAAACAAAAAACAGTGCCTACCCCATGATGCCAGGTACATTAGATTTTTCTCCTCTTTTCCTCATGGCCACCTTGTAAGTTAGGAATTCTTTTCTCATTTTTAAGATGGTCAATTAAGGCTGAGAAAAGTTAAGTACTGTCAAATTTCCAAGGTTGCACAGTATTTGGGTCTGACAGATTTCTCTAACTTTGAGGCAAAGCATTCTCAGCTCTCCTCATCAGACTCAGAGTCCCCAGCCTGGTGCCACTTTTCCTTCTCAAAATGGAGCTTTAATTAAGAACTCTGCTGTAACATGCACTCCTTTCTTTCTGCCTTTTTCATTCCCTCCCGTATCCCTATCTTTGTTGGCTTTAAATTGAGGGAATTAAAAAAAATTAAAAAAAGAAATTTTCCTCCCAGCTTAAGGAAATTTTTCCTACAAGAAGCTGTCTTATCTGCTACATAAATGAAATCATATTTGGTACTTTTTGATGCATTTTATAGGGTCATAGGATGTAAAACTCTGCTCTGTCAATTCAGAAAGCACTCATTTCCACAGTAGAAAATATGAAGGCAAAGATTTACATAAATTACCATATTGATATACATATTTAAAATTCACAGTTTATAAAAAACAGAATGATAAGGAAATAATTTAAATGATAACAAAGCATCTATGTTTTCAAGTTGCTTAGATATTTGATATGCAATTAGGAAGTGCTGGGTTTGGGGTGGAGAGCACAGCTAGTTTTTATTATACTTAACTCCTTGAATACCAGGCAGCAAATCTATCAAAAACGTCATGATTAGGATCAAATACTGTGAAATTCAGAGAGGGCCTAAAGCTGACCAGAGGAATTTGATCAGAGATAAGGTTATGGACAGAATAGGAGGTCAAAATATTTGTTGCTCTATTTCTTACTAATAAAAAAAGAACATTTTGACATGGGTGTTTTGATGAGGGCTATATAAAAACGACCCTGTCATACTGGCCTTAGCACTACGTTTAACTTCAGTGGCAATGAAGCCACTGATTTGAAAAGCAAAATTTGGGGAGCCAATAAGGGCAAAAGAAGGAAGGAATGTCAAGGGGAAAGTGAGATGCCAATAAAAGTATTGAGAGGGCCAGGGGAGACAGGTAGGCATGGCTTCAGTTGGTGTGCACCATTTTTTGTCAGCTTTACGGGGTATCTGGAGAATTTTCCACTGGTTTTATACAAGGGTGCTGGAAAACAATATTAAAAACTCTATCTTTAACTTATCCTTTTTTTTTTTTTTTAGACGGAGTCTCGCTGTGTTGTCCAGGATGGAGTGCAGTGGTGCTTTCTCAGCTCACTGCAACCTCTGCCTCCCAGTTCAAGCAATTCTTCTGACTCAGCCTCCTGAGTAGCTGGGATTACAGGCACCTGCTACCACACCATGCTAATTTTTGTATTTTTAGTAGAGACGGGGTTTCTCCATGTTGGCCTGGCTGGTCTCGAACTCCTGACCTCAGGTGATCCACCTGCCTCGGCCTCTCAAAATGCTAGGATTACAGGTGTGAGCCACCACACCTGGCCAACTTATCCTTTTTTTAACATCTAGTTTTCTGTGAGTGTTTTCTAATGTGCACTGTAGACGGACATAGTGGTATGTGATTACTATTCATAGATAAATAATAATTTGTTTATTATTGTGTAATAAACATTGTGTGATAAAGAATTTGGCTGACCTTTGTTTCTGGTTCTTGAGAGGTAATCTTTCAACCCATGGAGTTTCCCAAGTGATTGGAGTGTCTTTGTTCTTCAAGGTGGGCCCCATAGAGCATATTTGATGGTTTATGCTAATGTGATGACTCAGGATGGAAGCCGGCCATGTTAGGAAGACCAAAGACATGATGAGATGGTTGGGACTTTGAGCCAGGTGGCATCAGTTCCACTTCCAAGGAGAGAAGATGCATTGGAAATTGAGTTCAACCATTTGGGCAAGGATTCGATCAGTCATGCCTATGTAATGAACCTCCAATAAAACCTCTCTGGACACTAGAGCTTGGGGAAACTTCCCTCGTTGTCAATACTATGCATATTGTCATGCAGCCATGTGCCATTAGGGTAATGTCTCTGAGGACATCAGAAGCTTCTGCTCTGGAACACTGCCAGATCTTGCCCTGCCTATCTATCTTTCCGGCTGGTTCTAATTTGTATATGTTTTTTATAGCAAAACTGTAATCATAACTGTAGTGCTTTCTTGAGTTCTGTGAGTCATTCTAGTGGATTATCAAACCTAAAAGGGGTCACAGAAAACCCCAAATTTGTAGACAGCTGGTCAGAAGTGAGGGTGGCCCTGAGGACTCCCAAATTTGCAGCTGGTGTCAGAATTGAGCCAATCTTGTGGAGAGCTGTGTCCTTAACCTTGAGTTTAGTTAACTTTGAGTAGACACATATTTGATGATTTTTTTTTTCTGTTAAGATATATATTTTTCTGAGATGGAGTCTCACTCTGTTGCCCAGGCTGGAGTGCAGTGGCATGATCTCAGCTCACTGCAATATCCACCTCCTGGGTTCAAGCGATTTTCCTGCCTCAGCCTCCTGAGTAGCTGGGACTATGGGTGCGTGCCACCACATCCAGCTAATTTTTGTATTTTTAGTAGAGACGGGGTTTCATCATGCTGGCCAGGCTGATCTTTATCTCTTGACCTCGTGATCCACCCACCTCAGCCTCCCAAAGTGCTGGGATTACAGGCGTGAGCCACCACGCCTGGCCAAGATATTTTATTTTATAATCAAAATAGTCAATACAAACAAGTTGACATAACAGTTATATAAATAACTGGATATAAACTTTATGAGGAAAATTACCCATGAACATGGTGGCTGAGCTCCCAACACAGGATGGAGACCAACCAGGTGGGTCTGCTTTGAAGACGTAAGAGCCCAGAGGCTGGGATGGCTGGGTGGGGCTGCTCTGAATGGAAGGGATAAGTCACTCCATAAATAAAACACGAACTTGCAAAGACTCTTAAGAAAGGGCCTCATTCAGGCCCAGGCGTGAGGTCCAGGATGCTGCCAACAGCCCAAAACTTAGCAAAAATCCTGTAATAGCTGACTCTGGGCTCCTGAACTGCTTTGTGCTCTCCCATGCCCACACATGGCCCCTGCCTGGCCTGGCTCCTGATCTTGAGGAGGCATGGCTGGCCCAACAACCAGATACTAACAAGTGTGAGATGCTCCCTAAACCAGGAGGCAACAAAAACCAGAGGGCAAAGGGCCTTAAAGCCCAAAAAAGTCTTAATTACTAAGGGTATTTGCTTAAAACAAAGTTTGGAAACCAACTAAAAATACATTCAGGCCTTGTTACATCTCTTTCCTCTCCTACCATCCACTAATGATTGCTTTCAATATGCTGTAGAAAGGAAAAGTACAAAAAAGAATCATTTGGTGTTTATAAATAAAAATTAGGTTGTAGGATACAATAGGCTTTAAATGTGAACCAACTGTTATTCTGTAAGTAGAGACCATAAGATTGAGGCCACAGAAACTGTGACATATGCTTGGGCTGCTTGTAAGTTCTTGTACTTACACTATAATTTTTATCCTTGCTTTGAAAATTGATGGTCTAGAAAGGGAACAGTATGTGAGAATACTTAATATGGGCTCTGTCTAACATGAACAGAATCAGACATCATATACCATGACCTATCTTCTCTGGTGACCTCCCATGTCTAATGTTGTGCTGTTTTTTCTAATTTTTTTTTAATAGTTTCCTTTAATGTCTCTTTATTTTTTTGTTTTTAAGAAGGGGTACATAGGCGAGGTTGGTTCGTAATTGATAACTAGGATAATTATCTTAATTAACTGCACTGCAAAGATAAATTCTAGATAAGGACTCCAGAATTCTCCAGCTATAGAAAGGAATCCCACACTTAGCAAACAATATCAAAGACTTGAAAATACATAGAGAGTAGACTGGGGTCGTATCAATTTAGACTCAGAAGATTTGGCCTTTCTACTCATTCACAATGCAGTGATTGAGTGCATATTTCTTGCTGACTGGGCAAATAGAAAATGAGGGTCAATAACATGTATCATGAGGTACTGAACACATTGGCTGAGGTTAGGAAGCAGACTTGATGGACAGTGTATTCACGATGGTCCTGAAAATAACTGTAAGGTTCAAGTAAGTCACAAATGCAACTGTTATTTTTTAAAGCCCAGAACTCTGTTTTCTAAACAGAATAATCAACAATATTTGCTTTAAAGCAATCATTATAATGCCCACCAAAACCCAGCTGAATATCTAGGACTGGAAAATAGGCTCTTATCAAAACTTCTTCTGAGGAGTTATGTGACAGGTGTAATTATTGTCCTTTAAGACAAATCTACCCTCAAAGGCAAGTAACTAATTTCAAAGAAAAGAGGATATGCATATTGCAATAGAGGGAGACCAAGAAAAATGCTAGAAAATGCTAGTATTTGCAATAAATATTGTAACACATAACTGCATATTAAGAGTTGCGAGGGAGTATATTTTCAGAGTGCAAGTGAAACAGTACAAATAGCAATCATATTTACATAATACCTTTTATTCAAGAGTCTAAGTCTTTTATTTAATCTTCAAATTCCCTATATAGCCTGACTTGGGTAAGGCTGCATCTACATAATTTAGCTTCTAGCCTTCCCTGTAGTGTCAATATTTATGGAAATATTACCACTTCCAAAGTCCAGTGAGGCCAAAGTACAGTTGAGTTGACCAAAACACAAAGTCATAGAGGACAAGTGTCTCTCTCTATTCTCTTAGCTCCTTCTGTACACATAATCAGCACATTAACTGCTAACATGTGTTTCGAACTATTTGCTATTTCCTGAGTTACACGCATGCACACACACATGCACATGCACACACACACACTTTTCTGAAACCAGAATATAAGCCCAGCTTTGTCTGTTTGGTCTGAACAGAAACTTAGCAAAATGCTTAACTAAGACATCTTTAATTCAAGGCTTTACATTTTTTTTTCACATATCTTCATTCTTTAAAGAGCTATTTTCTCTCTCAGTGTTCAGCCTGGGGAATTTATTGAGACAAGCCAGAACCAAGTGCAGCAAATGAAGGTATGAGTGGGAAAAAAACAAGAGAACCCTGACTGGAAACTAAAACAGTAAGAGAAACTTTGAACGGAGGCCGTGAGAAATGAGCAGACATTTCCCATCAGGTTACATGGCATCTTTCGTTCTTTTCAGATGTCTGACATTTGTGCTGTACTTCATTGGCACTAACTTACTGCAAATATACCCCCATCCAAAAAATAAAATGCTGTTTTAGGGAAAGAATGTGCTACAGTAACTAATCAGATAACTTTAAGTCACATTGCTCACTATGTAAGATAAGACATTTTTTTTTTCTTTTCTCTTTATCAGTCCTACCCAGATATTCTCTCCACCTTACTGGGAAGAAGAGTCTCATATAAGCAAAGCTCTGGTAAAACAGGCAGTGCCTCCATATGTGATTTGAATTGAGAGCATTGGTTTGTTTTCATCATAATGATCTGATACTATTCCAGCTCTCAGTCATCATTTTTTTGTTGTTGTTGTAGAAAACATATAATTGATATGTGCCTGGGCCTATGCTAGACTATGGAGATACAATGTGAATAAGATCCAGTCTTATATAATTCTCATTCTGTCATTCATACAGTCATTCATTCAAGAAATATTTATGGAATACCTAGTACATGCCAGGGACTATTCTAGGCACAGAGAATATAATACTGCATAGAAGGGACAGAGATTCTTATCCCAAGAAGCCTGCATTCTTGTTAGGTAGACAGCCAATAAACACAGTAAACAAGTAAATTATATATATATATATATATATATATATATATATATATATATATATATATATATATTTCATAGGGTGATAAATGCTGTGAAAAAGACATAAAACAGAGAAAGGGAATAGAAAGGACTGCAGAAGGTTGCAATATGAAATAGGGTGGGGGAAGAAAAAAAGGCCTTCCTGAGAAGGTGACATTACAGCGAAGACATGAAGGAGGTATGTGGGCTACCATAAGGGTATCTGAGGGAAAAAACTTCCAGGTAGTGGGATAGCAGATGCAAATGTTCTTAGGTACAGGCATGTCTTGAATGTTCTAGGAATAGCAAAGAAGCCGGTGTGGCTAAACTTGGTGGCATGTGGAGAAGATAAGCAGCAGAAGACGAGGGTAGAGAAGCAGTGGGCAAATTGTACGGGGTCTGGTAGGCTATTGTAATGGCTTTGGCATTAATCCAGGAGATGTGGGATGCTGTGAAGTTTTGGAGCAGAGGGGTGACAAGATCTGACTTACAGTTTTAAAAGCTCACTCCAGCTGCTGTCCTGGGAAGATTCTGGGGACTGGACCAGTAGTAAACGCAGGAAGACCAGTTAAGCTGTTCCAACAATGTAGATGAGATGATGGTGGCATAACCAGGTGGCAGCAGTGTATTATGGGTTGAGTTGTGTCCTCCCAAAAGATGTTGACGTTATAACCCCAGGACCGGTGAACGTGACCTTATTTGGAAATAGTCTTTGCAGATGAAGTTAAGACGAGGTTATTAGGGTAGGCCCCAATCCAATATGACTATGTCCTTATAAAAAGAAGAAATTTGGACACAGAGAGAGCCTTTAATATAGAAAAGATAATGTGAAGATGTTTTCAATGGGCTGCACTGGTTCATGTTCTTGACTTCGCCACACAAAAGAATTTGAGAGCAAGTCCAAAGTAAGAGTAGGTGAAGAGGTTTATTGCAAAGCCGAAGTATACTCTGAGGCAGAGCGGGCTGCTCAGAGGGAGAGACAGCAGTGCCTTAGGAGGAATTCGTTTTATGGGAGCTGTATGGACATATTCATAAAATACTGGTGAGGTCAAGTATGCAAAGGTGGACCTGCAGTTGGAGAATGCGCTCAATATCTACATGCTTGAACACACATTGCATGTATCATTAGCATATAAAATCTCCACCTAGGGGTGTGCTTTTTACTATTAAAATTAGGGAAAGGTTACTATGAGCTAAACCTGGAGACCAGATAGGAAGGCAGCAAGATGGGGCCTAGACCATGGGGCCCTGCATGCTGTTAAGGTTGTGGCTAGGAATGGTGCAATGCTGCAGGAGCTGCAGGAAAGCAGGAGGGACAGGGCGCAGATTACAAAGGGCTATGTGCTAACACATTTGAAAACTTAGCTAAAAATGGTAAATTCCTATAGAAATATGAAACTTCAAAAATTGTTGAAGAGCCTAGGTGTACATGCAGGACCCCAGAGAAGCCCCTGGCTCTCACAAGGCAGGAATTTGTAGCTAATAGTTTCCTGGGCTTTCAGTGCTGATTGGCTGGAGATTGGGAAAGCTCTATCAGGAATAAGGGGCTTTTGTTCTCTTTGCTGTACTGGGTATTAGGAATGTATAACAATCTGGCAGTCTGCTGGGATCCTCTAGGACTGCTTACCTTGCAAAAGAGTTAGGTGCTGACACACAAGGGTGCAAGAGGTGTGGAGCCTGCTGAGAAAGGGGCCCACCGGGCTTCCCAAGGGGGCAAGTCAGTAGGGCCTCCTAATCTTACTTATCCTCCCTCAAAGACAAAAGAAGAATGCATTCAACAAGCCAAGGACTGCTTGAGGCTACCAGAAGCTAGAAGAGAGTCCCAGAACAGATTTTCCCTCAGAACCCTCAGAAAGAATCAATCTTGTGGACACTTTGGGGACTTCTAGCCTTCAGAACTGTGACATAGTATATTTCTGCTGTTGAGTCTACCCAGTTTCTGGTATTTTGCTACAACAACCCTAGCAAACTAATATGCAGTAGACGTGGTGAAAAATGGTGGGAATTATAATTCTACAGTTTGTCCTCGTTACTCACATATTCCAAATTTGCAGATTCACCTGCTTGCTAAAATTGATTTGTAACCTCAAAATCAACACCCATGATGCTTTCATGGATAGTTGCAGACATGCTCAGAGCAGCGAGAAATCTGAATTGTCTGACACACATGTTCCAGCTAAGGCTGAACAAGGCCCTGCTCACACTGTAAACAAGTGCCCTTTCACAGTGTATTTAGTGCTATGCTTTTCGTATTTTTGTGCTCGTTGCAGGTGACTTTGCTGCTTTAAATAGCCCTCAAGTAGAGTGCTGAAGTGCTGTCTGCTGTTCCTGAGCATAAGAAAACTGTGATGGGCCTCGCATAGAATAAACGTGGGTTAGACAAGCACCTTTCAGGCATGAGTCAGAGAATAGTTGGTCCTGAGTTCAATGTTAATGAATCAACTGTATATATTAAATAAGGTATATTTCTGTAGAAACTCAGACAAAACATAGTTATGTATCAATTAGTTGGCAAAATGTGATGGAGGCTTGCAGGACAACAGCCTTGTAATTCCCTTCTGGGACAATAATTCAGTATTTGCTAATTCAGTGTCTGTGGCAACTTTATAGGGCATAACTGCCATGGATAATGAGAATAGATTGTGTTTTGAAATCAGACCCAAGATATAACAGTATTTTTTGAAGAACTGGGTGTGCAGTCTGAGAAAATGAGAAGTTAAGATTAACTCCGAAGATTTTAGCCTGATAAGCTAGAAAGATAGAGATGTCATTTATTGAGATGCAAAGACAACGGAGGAAACAGGGTGTTTTGAGTTTTTGTTTTTGAAGGGGCTGAGGATTAGGAGCCCTCTATTTTCTAAATATAAATTTGAGTTTAAGTTGGGTTATCTGCACAAAAATAATGTTCTATGGTTGGGTCCGACCAGCAATAAGAAATGTATCATTAACATCCAGGGAGAAAGAAGAGACTCCCCGCGGTCCAGTGTAGGGTGGTGGTGAGAGTCTGGGGGCAGAATTCTGTGCTCTCATCCCACCACTGCCCCCTCTGAGCTGTGACACAGAACTGACCTTTTAGTTGATAGGAGCCTTGAGCTAGATTAGAAAGCTCTGAACAGAGGCTTAGCAATTGCTCCTCACATCTTAGTTGTTATTGGCAGGCTAACTTTCATGTTTAACATGAAGTAACCTTAATTTAAGACCACTATGTAGTTTTGGAGGGGAAAGAAAAAGAAAAAAAAACTGCAGAAGGGAACATTTGAAGGTGAAATTTCATTCTAGTTTCAGCATATCTGCAGTGGTACCCTGAATGTCACAGAAATGAATTATTTAAAACTGATAGGAAGAGAGTGTTAGACTTTTATCCTCAGCCTCTGATTTCTTAAAAAATATCAATCTGCTTACCAGAGTTCCTGCTCTTAAAAAACCTCTATATTTATAGTTCCTCATTGTATCATAAAAAGCAGAATGTAAATAAATAAGAGAGGGGGAGAAAAGCCAATGATATTCTTCTACAGGAAATACAGCAGCCTGTGGCCATGCCATACTTAGAACAGAAAGATGTTAAAATCGGGGATGGAGAAGATTTTAAATCAAGTTCAAATGCACTGCAATAGGTGCAGACCCTGAGCCACAGTGCTAGAAAGAGCCTGGCCAGGTACTTGAGGTCATGTTCTAATTGAAACCCAGTAAACTCTCTGGTCACAACCCATTTGAGAAACACTTCGAAGGAAGTGAAGTTTTCAGCGGTGATCTGGTATTTCTATACTTACTTAAGCCTATTTAGGACCTATCTCTTTAACAAATCATTCGTTAATTTATTTCTTAAATCAAACCCTGCTGGGGGATCCAGACACAGAATACTGTGTTTTTAAAAAAGAAGTAGCCTTTACTTTCCCAAAACCATGGAGCCACTAGATTGCTGCCTTTGCCTCTACAACTCTATGCTCCTTAACAAACTGTAGATTTAAGCCAATAGATATCTGGCAAATTAGCCTAGTTAAGGACCATGATGACACACATTTTTACCACATGGACAAGTCTGAAGCACATCGTAAACATCATTGCAGCTTCCAGTGTGATTGTTTATAGCCATCTAACATCCCTGTGATTTTTATAAAACACTCCAATTAATTAAGACAACTTCACTAGGTCTGCGTTTTCTATGTAATTTTACTCACTCATTCCATGAATATGGTCTGCGTTTTCTATGTAGTTTTACTCACTCATTCCATGAATATTGAGCAGCCATTAAGTGCCAGGCACTACAGTAGGCACTGGGATGTAAAAGTGGGGAAGATAAACAGACTATCTTCGAGGAAGTTAGAATCCAGCAGGAAAAAAGATAACCAAATAAGCAGTTTTATAACTTGTAACATATACTGGGTAGTATTGTTTCTAGAGCTCACTACATAAGCAACTAACCTACTCTGGGATTAAGAAAAGTTTCTCAGAAGAAATGAGAATCTAGCTAAAATCTGAATGATGACAATAAATTAGCTTGATCTGGGTGAAGGTTGAAGGAATATGGTTTGTTATGAAAGGCAGAGCCCAGGGGAAGAGAGACCCAGAGGTATGAGAAGTTCAAGGGACTGAAAGAAGTTCAGAAACTAGAAAGAATTTAGCAAATATATTAATATAAGGTCAGCATCTGGTTTCCAAAATATTGGATGGAATATAAGCACCTGAGGTCTTCCTCAGAGAGCATAACTTTACATATCAAACTGCCTATCCAGCTCCTATCAAAGGCATAAAGCAGAAAACGACATTTAGAGAAGATAGTCTAGGAAGCATGTAATCCATTCATTCCCTTGAGTGGTTACCATTCAGTTCTTGGATCATTTGAGACCACAAGAACTCTACGTGCTTGGATTATATTTGCCCAGCCACTCACAGAGGCCTTCACTGAAGGTGCGCAAATATTCTGTCTTCTTTAAGAAAGAAAAAAATGAGTCTAAAGTCATGGCCTTTTTAGTACTAGTTATAAAAGCTATTGTTAACATAAACCCAATGTGCCCCAAATAAAAAGCATTTCCATCCAAATTCAACAAAAACTGTTTTGAAGTTTCTTATTGCCCTGTAAGATTGATATGTTTTTTCTCCTTTCCTATAATGAGAGCTATATAATATATCATGTTTAATAAATAAAATATAAAAAAATTTTTTTGGCCTTGGTTATTACCTTGGTTTTCAGCAATCTCATAACCAAATTGTATTTCAAGCACAATAACCGTTTGACCCTTTGGATTTTCTTAAGCTTTAAAATTCATGGCACATGTATACATATGTAACTAACCTGTACAATGTGCACATGTACCCTAAAACTTAAAGTATAATTTAAAAAAAAAAAACAAAACAGAAAAAAATAAATAAATAAATAAATAAAATTCTCTATAAGACACCTTTTATGCAACCCCTCAGATCTTCCTGGACTCACCTGTCTGAAGGGCTCTTGGTCACTTGTTCATTCCTTCTGCTAACCACTTCTGCAAGGGCTCTTCTGGACTATCACCTGTGTTATCATGACATGGGCACAGCCCAAAGCAGCTTATCTCAGGCCAATGCCACAGACCCCTTGCCTCCCACACCAAAGTTTTCCTGCTGCTGCTGAGCCATGAGTCACCCATATATGTGTAACTGGGAAGTGTGGAAGAGTTAAAGTCCCAGAAGTGAACATTGGACCAATAGAAGAGAAAAGCTAGTGGGTCAGTTCTTCCTTCCTTCTACCAGATAGTCTGTCCTGAGATGCATTATTCATAAAGCACCTCTGAAGACGTTCCTGTGAGATCAATGGTCAGTTATACTTGCTACCAAGTAGAGATCAGTTTGCAAATCCCAACACCCTCCATGTTTGTTCTCTCTCTTCCCTGATGCTCCCTTTTCTCCTCACTCTTGCTTCCAGGCCCTGTATGTCCCAATAAACTATTAGCACATAAAGCTTTTTCTTCTCTGTTTCAAAGGAATGACAGCTACAAACCATCATCCTGATTCTTGGGAGTTACTTTCTGCTCATATTTTACTAACCACAGTGTATGCATTTTTTTATGTTGAGTTTCTCACATTCTTTTTGAAAATTTATAGATTCTACATAAATTCTAAATAGGCTTACAGTGAGCTTAATTTTGTATTAATTTTACAGAACTGGGGAATTTGGCCAAAGAGGATAATTTAACTCCTTAAATAAAATTCCACTGGAAAATTCAAAGCACAGTCTAATGTGTTTTCAAAAAAGAGATAGCTTCCATTTCCTCAAAATAATCTGTTAGCTCGCTGCTTGCTACTCTCTCTGAATCTCCATGCTTGCTGATATGGTTTGGCTGTGTCTCCACCCGAATCTCACCTTGAATTGTAATAATTCCCACGTGTCATGGGAGGAACCTAGTGGGAGGTAACTGAATCATGGGGTGGGTTTTTTTCCCATGTTGTTCTTATGATAGTAAGTCTCACGAGATCTGATGGTTTTATAAATGGCAGCTCCCCTGAACATGCTTTCTTGCCTGCTGCCATGTAAAATGTGTTTTTGCTCCTCCTTCACCTTCTGCCATGACTGTGAGGCCTCCCTGGCCATGTGGAACTGTGAGTCAATTAAACTTCTTTCGTTTATAAATTACCCAGTCTTGGCTGTCTTTATTATCAGTTTGAGAACAGACTAATACACTTGGCTTCTCCTTAACAGACCAGAATTTTTGTGTAATAAAATGTTTTTTGAAAAGGGAACTTTAATTCTTCCTATATAGTAAGACAGTTTTAGGATTTTGGAGAAATCACAGTCAGCAAGCTTTTTTTTCTTTCTGAATAATCAAAGTGCATTTTGTTGGGAAGAGTAGCTGAAACTTTAGCTGCAGCTCAGCTTTAATTAATTTTTCTTTTTGCTAGATATGTTTTTCTGTATTTTTTATACACTTAAGATCAGCACTTGGAGACCAGTAATTTAAAGAATGTGTTTCTTTGTGCTTATTTCTTTCAGAATACCTTATTTCCTGTTGTAGAAGGCCATCACTGAATATCAGCAAGCTTCCTCACCCACAACCACCATTCAATTATACTGTACATGTAGAGTAGGCTTTAGTAGCTACAGTGGAATGGTTTTCCCCAAAGGGCTTTTTTCTTTTATTATACAATTCTATTCCTATTCCTTAAACATTTCTTAAGATTTCTGATTTTTTTTACTTTTGAAATTAATAATAATTTTTAAAATATCCATTTTGTGCTAGTTATTATGTCAAAAAGGAAATACAGATAAATAAGATAGTCTTTCCCTACAAATAGTTTCTAATGTAGTAGGAACTTAAGACAAGTATACACTTAAGAAAAACGAAAAGATAAATATAATTGGTGCCATAGCGGCAATACACACACAATCTTAAATCTATTGTTGAGAGGAAGAATACAACCGTTAATTCCTGGCTATGTCAGTTTGAAGTAATTTCTGTATTTTTTGCTGGGAAATCAGGATGTAATTCTGTTTAGTACTTTAGATCATCTATTCAAAATATATATTAGATTAATATAGGATATGTATATGTGTATATATATAATATAAATATACATATAGTATATGTATATGTGTATATATAATATAAATATACATATAGTATATGTATATGTGTATATATAATATAAATATACATATAGTATATGTATATGTGTATATATAATATAAATATACATATAGTATATGTATATGTGTATATATATAAATATAAATATAAAATACAATATTTTTTGTGTTTATATATACACATACACACAATGTACATTATGTAACACGTATTGTGTGTATGTGTGTATGTATATTTTATTATATGTAACATATAAGTTATATATAATGTATATTTTATTACATATAATAAAATATAAAATGGAAGGACATTCTGACATGCTACAATATGGATGAAACTTGAGGACAGTATGTTACGTAAAATAAGCCAGTCACTAAAAGACAAATACTGCATGATTCCACTTATATGAGCTACTTAAAGTAGTTAAAATCGTAGAGACAGAAAGCAGGTTGGTGTTTGCTGAGGGGTGCAGGGAGAGAGTGATGGGGAGTTACCATTTAAATATAAGTTTTGCAAGATGATAAGAATTCTGGAGCTGGATGGTGGTGATGGTTGAATGTATTTAATACTACTGAACTACATACAGAAAAAATGGTTAAGACAGTAAATCTTATGTTATATATATTTTACCACGATAAAGAAATGAGAAAAAAATAAGAGTGCATATATTGTATTGTATTGTACTGTATTCTGTAATGGGGAAAAATGATTAATGAAAATATAATGAAATAATAGCAGAGTCCGCTAGGTCTTACGTGATCTGCAGAAAGTGCCAGGGTAGTGTGGGTGCAGAGATGAGGGTGTGGATAGTGTTGTCTGTTATGAATAAAGGTGGGAGCAGGTAGGAAAAGGGGTAGAGATATCTTTTAATCTTTTAAAGCTTTGTAAAAGAGATAGCCTTGAAAAGTAAATAGACTTTTTAAAGATGACAGAGGAAGTATTTCAGGCAGAGAAACAGAGGTAGTAAAAGGATGGAGTTCAGGTAAGCTGAGAAAATTTCTGTTTAGTTGAAACATAGAGCGTATGGAAGAGAGTCATAGGAGATGATGTCAGTGAAATAGATACCTGGAGGTTGCACTGTCCACTATGTTAGTGAGTTTGGATTTCATTATAAATCAATGGTCTTAACCAGAAATGGGCTTCAGAATCACCTGTGGAGCCTTGAAAAATTCATATGCCCGTGTATCTCACGGGAGATTTGATTTAGTAGATCCAGAGTGGAGTCTGGGCTTGTATATGTTGTCAAAGCTCTACAGGTGATTAACATGTGCTCCCAGAATCGCTACTGTACATAATAAGATATTACTGGAAGTTTTATTTTTAAGGCCCGAGATGTACTAAGGTTCACTTATGTAGCTCTGATGGCAATAAGATGGATCACCTGTAGAGGGTGGAACCTGAAGATAAGGAGAAAAGATAAAAGACTCCTAAATGAATGGTTTGGATTAACACATTGGCAATAGGAAGAAAAAAGAGCAATAGATTGGAGAGGCATTTAGAAAGTCAAAATGATTGGACTTGGTGGTCAATGAGATTCTATTTGTAAAAGAGGAAGAAATAAAAGACAGTGCTCATATTTCTACATCAGATAACTGGGTGATGGTGGATCTATTAACTGAGATAGTAAATGCTGGCATAGGTACTAAACGCTATGTCTGATGGATTGGCTGTCAAAGTTAGGTGCTCAATAAGTGCTTGTTGAATGAATTAAAAAACCCTAATAAATCAAGTGATCATCTAATTTTGGATGAAAAAAGTAGGTAAGGGTTTGTTTCTAGAACAGGCTTTTGTTGGTTTTTGACAAATCTATATGCCTTGGGGCAGATGGAGTAGCAGATTGAGGAAAGAGACATGCAAAGCAGAGAAAAAAAGGATAGAAGAAAAGAAGCACAAATGTTGGAAAGTTTAAGCTGGGCTTCAGAAACAATGAATGGTTTAGTTTGCTTCTAGAATAGTAAGAGATGAAGGCATGAAGATATAGTGGCACCATTACGTGGTATGTCTGAAAGTCAGGCTGAGGAAGTTTTAATTAATTCAGCAGGCATTGATGAGGCAGGAATTTTGGGCAGAGGTCTTCCATGTTTTTAAGATCTTGTTCTTTTGGAAAACTTATAATAGCACTTCTGGCCTGGGATTCCTGGATCTCAACATTTTAAGACAGGAAGTAGTCAAGGTTAAAATTACCATATTACATAGCAATATGTGTTTCAGGCTATCTGTGGCAATTAACTAGATATCATAACACTCTTAATTGAACCAACCTTTTTGTCACTAACTTGAATGCTACTTTTATCATCAACTATATCCTCATATAGATTTATGCCTATCTCTGGATTTTCTATTTCATTTCATTTTGTACAAAATCTGCTGTATTTAATTAAGATTGCCTTGAGTTTATAAATTAGTTTGAGAAATACTGGTGTATTTACAACATTCAGTTTACTAAAAAGAATAGTTACTTAAGCTTTCTTCTGAATTCCTCAGTGGAAGATACTTATGTTTTCATATACATCTTAAACTTGTCTTTTTTAGTTTATAACCCTGTATTTCTCTTTTGAATTGCTATTGCCAATGGTATTATTTCTTGCATTGTAACTGTGTGTGTGTGTGTGTAAATAAGAAGTCTTCCTAGATGAACAATTAAAATTGGAAAGAAAAAAGCAAAAGCAAATGGAAATATTTTTAAGAGTATCTGACCCTCACTGAACTGATATATATGTAAAAATCATTTTGGATAATATTATCATAGAAAACAAACAAAAAAAGAATGCTGTCTGTTTTGCCTATGTATTGTCAAAGTTTTCCTTACATAAGATAATATGTGATTATATTTACAGTTAAAGTGCGGTATTTCTTCAGTCAGTCCTAGCCACCACCAGTGGGAACTCCATTTTGGGAGCTCCATTTCCTTCCTAATGTCACACAAAGCCCTACCTAGATTCTCGCTCCTTCCACAGAAAAACCGTCCTCTTTAGCCCTGTGCTTGAGCTCATGACCAGATCTCACTGGCTTTTCAGTGTCTGCTCTCAAGGTGCTGGTGGGATAGAATGAAGGATACTGTAGCCGTAGGAATAACCCCCCACCGTAAACACTCATCAGGGTCAGAAGTATTTTCAGATAGTTTCATGCAGCTATGAGTCAGAAAAAGTTTTGGTTTTATCTTATCCTTTATCTCAGTCCTTCAAAATTTTTCAGTTTGAATAACCTATTTAACAAATCTTTTGGATAAGGGGTCCATAAACTTTTTTCATAAATGGACAGATCGAAAATATTTTAGGCTTTACCGGCAATATGGTTTCTGTTGCAACTACTTAACTCTGCTGTGGTGGTGTTAAGGCAGTCAAAGACAACAGTGAGGGGAGTGTATTCTAATAAAAGTTGATTTACTAAACAAGCAGTGGGCCAGATTTGGCGCAAGAGCCATAGTTTCTAGATCCCTATTTTAGATCAGTAAACTTCCAAACCATTCGTTATTTATATTTTAAAAAATCAAAAGCAATGCACTAGTTTCCATGGAAGCGATGATGACAAAATGCAAAGCACTGGAATGAACAAAATGCAGAAAAATCATCAGAATGACTTCTTATCAATCCCTGAATAATGCTTCTGTGCATAAACAGCATTTTTTTTTAAATGAAGCACAAGCGGGATTGTAGTGTAATGTAAACACATATATTACATTGCGGTATGGTCACTGCTTTGGGAAGAAAGACAGAGTTGACCGGAGAACCATCATTATCAGTAATAAGAGTATTTGCTCTGACTTACCAATCTTGTACTGCATTGAAGGATTCTTCATTTGTAATGTCATACATTAAAATAAAGCCCATGGCTCCACGATAATAGGCTGTGGTGATAGTCCTGTATCTTTCCTGGCCTGCTGTGTCCTAAAGAATAAAAAAAAAATGATAATCTCTCAGAAATAAGGCAATACATTTTTGGGAAGTGATTAATAATTCCAAAAAGAGTCACAATAGAGTCTAAAATGTACTTGTTGTGTATAGCTGTCTATCTTTTTTGGTCTTGTTTCCCCTAATGATTTTTAAAAATGATTTTTTTACTGATACATAATAGATGTAGATATTTTCAGGGTACATGTAATAATTTAATAGATTTATATAATTTGTAAAGATCAAATCAGTATAATTAAGATATACAACACTTTAAATATTTGTCTTTATGCAGAAACATTCAAATTATTCATTCCTAGCTACTTTAAAATATACAATCGATTATTGTAAATTATAGTCACCCTACTGAGTTATCAAACACTACATCTTATTTCTTCTACCAAACTCTATATTTGTACTTCAAATGACCAAATCTAAAAATTATTGGCATTCAAAAGAGTTGAGCAGGAGCAAGGGATAGAAAGCTTATTTAAAGAAATAATAAGAGAAAACTTTCCAAAGCTTGAGAAAGAGATAAATAATCAGAGGTAGCAAGGTCAGGGAATACCAAACAGATTTGACCCAAATAAGACTACCCCAAGACTTATAATAGTCAAACTCTCAAAGGTCAAGGACAACTGGAGAATCCTAAAAGCAGCAAGTACAAAGAAGCAAATAACATATAAAGGAGCTCCAATTTGTCTGACAACAGGCTTCTCAATGAAAACCATAAAGGCCAGGAGAGAGTGGGACTGCATTTTCAAAGTGCTGAAGAAACCTGCCATCCAAGAATACTGTAGCCAGCAAAAATATCCTTTATCTATGAAGGAGATGAAGTCTTTCTCAGGCAAACAAAAGCTGAGAAAATTCACCACCACCAGACCCATCTACAAATGCTAAAGGGAGTTCTTCAATTTGAAAACAAACTCCATTAATATGCAAAAAGAAGACACTTAAAGGTATAAAACCCACTGGTAAAATTAAGCGCATAGACAAACCGACAATACTGTACAATTGTGGTGGCAATCCCCTCATAACTCTAGTATGAAGCCCAAAAGACAAATCTATGAAAACAACAGTAGTTACAGCAACCTGTTAAGAGAAAGGCAATATAAATATATGTAAATTGTAATAACACAAAGTCAGAATGTGGGAGGATGGAGTTAAAGTGCAGAGGGTTTTTTTTTTCATTTGTTTCTTTGTTTCTGTTCTTTTCTTTGTGATCTAGGATAAGTTGCTACCTCTTTTAAACCACTTTTATGTCCTAATGATTTTTATATTGCAGTTCTGCAATATTCTGAAAAATTCTTTTTTTGGTAAAGAACCCGCTCAAAGTACCTTCTACATATGTTTACTTTCATTAAGCAGCATCTGACTATAGAAAACAAAATAAAAAGATAGATCATATTTATTTAAAATCTGAGCTTTTTATTGCAGTTTAAGATCAGAGGAGTATATTAGCTCCACCACTATGCATTTGTCTATCTACCAAGTACAAGCCACTGTGGGGGGAAAAAAGGAAGTTTATAAAAAGGTCCCTGCTTTTAAGAAGCTTGCAATTCAGTCTCAGTTTATTTAATTGTAAAATGGGAATAAAAAAACCTGCTTTGTATGTATGTTTGAGTCAGACAGATCCAGATTTGAGGTCCTTCTCTCCCATTAGATAGCCGAGGAATGTGGCCAAGTTACTGAACCTCTGTAAACCAAATCCCTCTAACATTTAGCATGCTTGTTAGGGTTCCATGAAGTAATTCATGTAAAGTGCTTCCCACAGAGAGCAGCACACAAAAATTGGTCAATAAATGGCAAGTACTAGCTTTTATTACTTAGATGTGGGACAGCAAGGCTAATACAAGATAAAGACAGCAGCTTACAAGTACAGAAGTTTGACATTTGCAAAAGAGAGATGGCATATAACAGTTCAATTTGGGAATCAGAGGCAGATACATTACCAAAATGGACCTGTATACATCACATATACCTTATAGTGTAATTAGAGTAATTGTTCCTCAACTCAAACTCCCTCCTCAGGACCTGGGGCATCACTTATAATTCAAATGCTCTTCAGTTTCTCTCTTCGCCACTTTCCCTGGAGATTGGCATCTAACTTCTCTTTCCTAGTACTCTTTAGATGCTTAGCAGTTTGGACAGAAATATTATCTTCTTTCTGACATCAATCTGGACTCTCTTATCCCAGAGATGCCTCCTTTGGATGCAGAGTGCATCCCAGCTACCCCTAAGATTTAACAGGCCTTGGAGGCAAAACTAACATGTTGCACACAGAAACAGCTCCCTTTACCATCAAAATGAAATTAACGTCTCATAAGGTCACTATTGGGAAGGGCTCATGTTGAATTTGCTGTTCTTCACCCATAGGTGTGTACCTGCTTAGATGCTTACACCCCACCATGAACAGCAGTGTGAAACTAAAGATTGCCTACAACTCTTTCCCAATTTGTGTGTTATATCCTATTCGGCTCCTGAAAGTTTAGAGAAGAGTGATCCAAGGAGGCTGGGAATCAGTGAATTATTCTGGAAGAATGTAGGCTATAAAATGGAACTGAAAATTAGCTAAGAGTGTGATTTTTTGTGAAGCCAACAATTATATTCTACTCTTGGAGCAGGGGTAAGGCTGGCCTGATTACAAGGTATTTATTTGGTAATTTTACAGAAAAGAAAGTTTCAAAAGTAAGATGAAAACAGATTATAGCACTCAAAATAGCAGAAATAATGTAGAACAGGTGAGGAAGATCTTTCAGAACATACTATCAATGGCAGAAAACAAAAAAGAAAGTAAAGATTTCACCACATGAAAATCTGTCAATCCCTTGAATATAAAAAAAGTAGAATTAAAATGATAGAACATCAAATGATAAACTGGGAAGTATATTTGCATTAGACCAGAGAGACCAAAGGTTAATATATTTAATATGTAAAACGGTGCTAAGAAATCACTAAAAAAGTTAAATATTCTAATAGTAAAAATTATTGAAAAGGTAAATAAATGGTTAATGAATTTAAGAGTTGAATCCCAGCCATAACAATGCAATGTTGCATAATTGCATGACTATATGATAGAAATTACTTGGCCACTATTTGAATATTTTATTATACTTTGCTTACTATTTTATAAATATTTTAAAATAAAAATGTAGATGCTAGGGATAAACATAGATGTCGTAAAGTGTATCTCATTGGGACAAATATACAAATTAGGCAGAAAGAAGCAACTCTTGAACTTATTTGGATATTCTTGTATATTCATTGGATTTAATTCAGTTAGCAGTATATCCAGCTGTGAAACAAAGAAGAAAGGTAGACAATATGGATAAAATGCCAGGACCAAACTTCAAAAGACTGTTTAAAATGAAAAGCATAAGCAAAGCTTTTGTGATATGTGTAAGCTTTCTGGGGAGCATAACCCCTTATAACTAGTCAGTCTATTTTAAAATTTTCCCACATTTGGCTTGGGTTCGTATTTTCCAGAACATATTATCTATAAATGTAATTTACCATTTTTATTTTGCCTATTGTAAAGTAACTTTAAATGGCTTTCTTTTTCTCTTGGTCACACTTTTTTTTTTTTGGCATTGATTACACAGCATTCTTACAGGTTGGGACCCCATGCCTGCTGCCTTCTCTGCACTACAATAGACAGCTTCCCCCTAATTTCTCAGTAGGGGAAAACAAACAGTATACCAAGACACTGCTAAAAGGTGACCCAGACCTTTTCTGTCAAGCATGTTTTCAGCACAGACACTGAATAATGTTGTATTGGAAAACTGACTTTATCTCTCTCTTCCTTCTTGACCTCTTCCAGTGATGGTGTCCCATTTTCATAAGATGTTAATTTCATTTTGACAGTAAAGAAACTTGTTCTTTGTTATAAAATGCATCAATTTCATATGTGGACATATTTAATCTTTGAGAGAGAAGAAATCAAGTCACCATTATATTCTGATTGAAATGTTACAGGAAACTGTTAGAACCCATGGATTGAATAGCCATTATGTATCAAAATCAAAAAAGAGAGAGGGAAAAACCAGCTTTTAAGAAAAAAAAAATAGAAGCTTTCAGATAGTACGTAAGTCACAGCAAGGGGCAGGATCTTCAACATCATTCTGATTTGAACCCAGAAATACAATCTAATTGGTAATATTTATCATTTAAAAGCTCTCAGGGAGAATAAGAAATTGCACTAAGTAGGGAAAATATAGTAAGAAACAAAATGAGAAAATTTGTTCTCCAAATATAAAGAATAAAATTAAGCTAATAAACAGACACCAAGCTGACTTTGTTTTGGCTTTGAAAACAATTTCAGGATTATAAACTCATTAGCATTTTCTTCCGTTATATCAGGAAGAAAAGGAAGTGGGAAAAACACTTCATTATAATTGACGTTTACTAATGATGGAAGAAGGTTATATCTGAAAGAAAAAAACATTTTATAATGTCAAGTGCCACTAATGTAATTAAACTTGAACAGTCTCAGGTAACTAACTAAAATGGTATCTTTTCCCAATTTGCCCAGGAAGCTGGCTCAAAATCCTGGCTTTGTGTTGTTCCTCTCCCTAGCTGATGCTAATAGCTGGTTATACTTGCTGATTTTCCATAAATGTAGGCTTCTCGTGACTGAAAAAAACAACTGGAAATATCAGAGAGAAAATGAGGGATAAAAATGTGATTAAAAAATAAAAACTTTCTTCCATGAGTGATACAGCTTTCATTTTCCTCTTTTTTTTTTTTTTTTGAAAAAAAAATTATTTCAGTTAGCTTAAATATTTTGATTTCCTAATCATGTTTTTAGGGGAATTTTGGCATTAATGGCAAGTTTGATTAACAAATACTTGAATATCTGTCAAGAAAAAACTATAAAATAGAAAACATTCACAGCTTGATAAGTAGTAGCTTAAAACTTTTTTGGTTTGAATTTTGGCACTCTGTTTCTGCCTTAGAATGTTTTTCTAATGAAATCTTTCTTTTTTAAAACTGTATGTACTGAATTCTTAAAACCTTCTAAGGTCATGCAGAAATAACATTCAGTTTTAAAACTGAGGAAATAGCAGTCATTTGTAAGGTAGGAGTTGTAATGTAATTTGTTTTTTGTTTTAGTGGTTACTTCTCCTTGTATTCAATTAAAGGGAAAATGGGAGTAACCGTTAGTAAAGAAATACAACTCAAATAATATAACCACGATCAAAATACATTTATTGGATACCTAGACAGAGAAAAATAGATCAAAGGACAGACAATCCTGATACATGATAAAGTAGACAATTTTATAGGTGGAGAAACCAAATCAGAACACATTGATGTTAATTGTTCAACAGAAGTAGTTTAATTAAGCTATAGAAAAGAATATGTGATAACCCAAAGGGGAAAGTCAAAAGAAATGGGGGCTGGGAACAGTGTAATCCAAGACAAAAAACCTAATGAGTTTCCAAATGGACATAAAGAAGTGAAATAGAATAAATACTTAGTCATTGAGCACTCAGGCAAGTGGGGATCTCTTAATTCATACCTAGTTACCTTTTGCCCAAAGAAAATGTTTTGAATCATTAAAGACAGATTAAATTATGCTCAGTATATTTTAATGTTAACACTGATTGATTCATTCAATAAACATTTAGTGGAACACCTATTACAAGTTAGGAACTGTGATAGGTATATATTCAATTTATTTTACCTATTCTAACCATATTTGTACATTTTAAAATTCTACACATTGAGAGCACTTAATTAGGAATACCATATTCTCTATATATCTACAAAAATTTAAAGTTGAAGGGAAAGGGAAAATGAGAGTAACCATTAGTAATGAAACATAACTCAAGTAATATCACCATTTATTTCCCTAAAGAACTAGACAGCATAGCAATTTAAAATTGTAATAGAGATAATTTATTTAGTGTCGAAGTCCCTCAATTCAGTTTCTGCTGTGGGTTGTATTGTGTCCCCCAGAAATATACACTGAATTCCTCACCCCAGAACCTATGAAGGTGACTTTATTTAGAAAAAGGGTCATTGCAGATGTAACCAAATTAAATGAGGTCTTCCTTTTTTAAATTATTTCAATAAGTTTTTGGGGAACAGGTGGTGTTTGGTTACATGAATTAAGTTGTTTAGTGGTTATTTCTGAGATTTTGGTGTACCCATCACCCAAGCAGTATACCCTGTACCCAGTAGGTAGGTCACTTTGGATTAAAATGGGCCCTAATCTTTATATACATAACACTTTAGAGATATAACACTCAGAGGAGAAAGCCATGTAAAGGCAGAGGCAGAGACTGGCCTGATGAATCTATAAGACAAGGACTGCCAAGAATTGGATTCTCCCCTAGAGCCTTCAGTGACAGCATGGCACTGCTAACACCTTAATTTAGAACTTCCAGCCTCTGGAACTGTGAGACAATAAATTTCTGCTGTGTTAAGCCACCCAGTTTGTGCCTCTTTGTTATAGCAGCCCTAGGAAACTAGCACAGTCACTGACCCCACTTTGCAATCTTCATGATCAGACTGAAGGCAATATAAATCTCAGAGCTACCCACACACACTGTTAGTACTTTACAGAAGAAAAAACTACAGAAAATTCAAGGTGGTCTATGGAGAAGTCAGACATAGTCTCACTGTGTGAATTCAGGAAAGATGTTATGCTAAAATCCACTACCATGTTCTACATTTAACTTACATTTAAATTAAATGAAACTCTTCAAAAAAGTTGGTTTGATATATCTTGTTACTTTAAAAACTAGATATCTATTTCTCTCTTATTCTAATGTATGTCCTATTAGAAGGACAGAGCAATGTTGCTTGATATGACAAAAAATATATATTAGTTTCTGTTGGAATTTCATCCCAAAATGATTGAGATACTGTTCCAGAAAAATGTAAAGTCATGACGCATATACTGAGACACAACTCCCCCAAACAACAGAAACAACAGAATTTCAATTATTACACACCATGTTGTTTGTGTAATGTCATTAATACTTCTCCCAAGTTGCATTTTTAGAAATTTCCATAAATAGGCACAAAACAGTATTGAATTTGTCTTTTAAAAATAGTAAGAAAAATAGGAAGCTTAAATATTTTATGCTTTCTTGTTTCATTCGGAATGAAATGGAAACTTTTTCCCTAGAGCAGTTAATCCTCCATTAAAATAAAATTTACAAACCACTTTTCCCAACTGATCTTGTGCAGTCAGCCTGGCTTCATTTATGCATATTCAGTTATACAAGCATCTGTGAAACAAGCCCACATTTTAGAAGAGTACTAATAAACCAGCCTCTAAATAGTTCTCCAATCAGTTTAACTCCCTACCTGTTGTCCTTTATCCAACCTTTTCATACCAGCAGATTTTATTGATCAGATTTTTCTTGTCATGATGTTTAGTTTTGAAATACCAAAAACCTTCATTTTACAATGGCATCCACTTCTAAGTAAAACCTAATAGAATAAGCCTGAGGCAGAAGGATAAAACCTGACCTATTATTTCATGGCAGTGTTACCATGGCAATTCATCTTTCCTGGAAGAGAGGAAAAGCCATAGATAGCTTTTTTATAAGGGGCCTTTGACTCCATTTTCAGTAATACCCTGACAGATCTAACAATTGCATGTTTCTGCTCATGAAAGTTGGAGATGGTTTTCAGTAAATGCTATTTAAACACTCAGAGGAACTCTCTTCAAGACCTTAATAAAATTTACAGCCGAAAGTATATAGAGGCATCTTTACTTATTTTATTTCAGTGCTTGTTTTCTAAGAATGTTTAACACAAAGGCAGGAGAAGACATCATTTTTGCTTTCCTTCTAATTAATCTTTTTGACATACTTTTTCCCAGTGGGATTTTGATTACACTCAATTTTTTCAAAACCTGCAGGATAAATACATAAATGCAGGCAGCTTACAGCTTTTAGTCAAGGTTGAGAATTGTTTTTCTTCACAGAACACAATAAGAAATGCTTGCATTAGATCAAATGCATTGCGTTTTAAAGGATAACAGGCTTTTGAATGGGACTTTTACTATTGCCCTAAAATAGGCAACTAAGACTCAAACCAGACTCTTTGTAAAGGGATGGGCACTTTCATGCACACAAAGCCATGTGCCGATTGGGCTCATTGAATAGTATCTGCTTAAACAATGAAATTTTGATCGGCTTTTGTGCAAGAGTACTTGATACCTGGAGAGAGACAGCAGGGTTGAGGAAGGGGAGGCAGTGGAGAAGCCTGATTTCCCACAGGCTAGCATGGCTAGATTATGTGAGTTTCCCATGGATCTGTAAACACTACAGCAGGTAGCTGCACTTGAGACGTTTTGCCATTAAGCCATCTCCAAGAGAGCTGTCTCCTGGATGAGGTGTGGAAAGCTATGATGTATATTAACAGGGGCAGAAGGGAGCTGAAGAAATTTTAAAAGAGAAGGAATCTGAGCAAATCTTCCATGTCATGGCACTATGCAGCGAGAGAGCCCTAACAGGCTCCCTGAAGGTCCTCCATAAGGGAACCAGCATTCAGATGACCAGCATTCAGATGTCTGTCACACAGAAGCTTGTCCTGTGGGTGGCAGGACAGGCTTCACTGAAGAAGCCAAGAAAGAATTGTAATTGCACATCAGGTTACGTACAGTCATCTGCCCTCCCTTCATCTCCCAGCTCTTCTTCATCCCTGATTTTGAAACAGCAAGAGCTACAAAAAGAAGGGACAGAAAGGGAGGATCAAACTGCTCTTTTGATTGTACTACCAGTCGCTGAGAATATAGTCAGATTTATGGTAAGGGAAGAATATTATTGTTAAACTGGATATGACAATTTTGCCTTTTTAAACTGGGCTCAACAGTACTGAGATTTGTTTCTGTCTTAATAATCAACTTTTTAAAAAGCAGTTTTAGGTTCACGCAAAACTGAACAAAATACGGAGATATCTCATAAACACCCTAGCCCCACACATGCATAGCCTCCTCCACTATCAACATCCCCCACCCGAGTGGTGCATTTGTCACAACTGATGAACCTACAGTAACACATCATTATCACCCAAAGTCCATAGTTTACATTAGGGTTCCCTCATGGTGCTTTACATCCTGTGGTTTTGCAGAAATTTGTAATGACATGAATTCACAATTATAGTATCATATGGAGTAGTTTCACTGCCCTAAAAGTCCCCTGTGTTCTGCCTGAGTTGTTTTTTTTTTTTTTTTTAATAAGAGAACAATGACTGGAAATACTATGAGATCTATTCGAGTCATGGTTTGGGGATGGGTACAGGTGACTGGGCAGAGCACGATCAAAAACAGGGTTTAGATAAAACATCAAAGTATACCACAAGTTTAGGCTTTTTACCGAGCAAACTACCAATAAAATATTATAAAAACAACATCAAGAATGTAGACTTAAACAGGGTGTTACATATATGCACATTCATATGTATCATGCCATTTATTTATTCTGAAGCAGTAGACCATTTTTTAGATGATGAAACTGAGAAATAAAGAGGTTAGGTGCCAGTTCTAAGTCACAGTGCTGGGAGGTGACACAGGTCATACCAAAGATCAGCTTTTCTCAAATATCCAAAGTCTAGTCCTCTTTCTGAATATTAGGTTGAATAGTGAAGAAGTTAGGTTATAGTTTTTTTTACTTTGGCTTTCTGTTTGATGTTATCATCTCGCTTTTGAACCTTTGTTCATGTATGTGCTTTAGATCTTTTTCAGCTTCGTTATTTCAAACCCCATTCATTTTTCAACCAATTGTAGCTGTGTCCAGTGCTAAGACTCTACTGAAATTGTTCATGCTAAAATAATCAATGACCTCATCACTACCATATCCAGCAGTTTAACTTTTGGTTCTCATCTTACTTGTCTATTCTAAAACACATGGTATAGATGATAACCCCTTATTTCTTTTTTTTTTTTCCTGCTGAAAGACTTTTATGTATTTATTTATTTATTATTTTTTTTCCTTTTCTTTTTTTTTTATTGTACTTTAAGTTATAGGGTACATGTGCACATTGTGCAGGTTAGTTACATATGTGAGTTAGTGGGTGCAGTGCACCAGCATGGCACATGTATACATATGTAACTAACCCCTTATTTCTTTAAATTCACTCTTCCAGGGCATGACGCTCTCCTGATTCTTTAGTCTCTCTAAGTTTTCTTCTTCATGTGGCGAGCTCCTCTTCCTGATTGGCAAGCTTCCCTTTCTGCTCACCTCTTCATGGTGCTGTACAGGCTTCTGATCTTCATTCTCTCTCATCGTCTTGTATGATGCTACCAGATACTACACTTTCTTCACAATTTGAAATGTAATCTATAAATATAATAGTCCGCTTACTAGGAAACCTTGACTACACTTCTGTATTCCAGAACCATATTTTCATCATGGGACACACAGATATCTCGAATTTAACTTGTGCAAAAAACTAAAGTCAATGAAATTCTCCAAAATCTACTGTGTCACCGGCACTTAAAATCTTTAATCACAACATCAAAACTCACAAATTTTAACAAGCTGAAAATGTTCCACCTATTCAAGATTCTTCTTCTTCTTCCTTCATTAATTCCCTTCCGTACTTTTAAAGATACAATTAGACAAGAAATTATCTTTCCTTAAGCTTAGGTCAGTCAAAGCAAAAGAAAAAAAATCACCTAAGATTTTTCTTTATTGCAATATTTTTATTCTCATCAGCAGTCACAACTTTGTCTACCCTCTAGGAAAAAAAAAATACTTTTAGTCCTGGAGAAAAGGCTAGTAGTATCTTCAAGAAGAAAAAAAAAAGATGCACAGGAAACTCAGCCTGTGGAATTAAATACGTTTTTGTGGAAAAGAAGACAAAAGTATAATTTAATAGATCATATAGTATTAGAAGCCAGGAAACTTAGATTCTGGTTGAATCTCTGGTACTTGTTAGAAAAGTGACTTTGGTTATCTCACTCGACTCTCTAGGCTTTGATTTTCTCATTTATAAATGAGAAACTACATTTTCTAAGTCCTTTTCAGCTCTGAATTAAAATATATTTTTCTTTCTCATAGTATTTTTGATACAGTGGATCAGAATCCTTTTATCAAGAAATTGGCCCACTAATATTTTCTATAATAACCACTATATTTATTTGTATATTTACTATCTTGTTCTATGACATTTGGTCTGATTATGTTATGTTTCTTTTTTTCATATCCTGCTTTCTCTTTGGTTGAAAATTTTCTATTTTGTCTAATCTCATTCATCTCTTTATTAATTTGGAAGTTATGCCTATAATAAAGTGATTATGAAAATGTAGAAATTTATATTTAAAAAAAACAAGCAATATCTTTAACTTCATTCTCCAAAATTCAATTTTTCAGTCATCCATTCCTATCATAAATCATAATGTTGTACAATGTTTTATATTTTAAACTACCTTGATTTTTTACTCCCTAAGTCAGACACTTTTTAACACAGACATTATTTATTTGTATTTATCCACATGTTTTCCAGTTTCTCTGCTCACAAGTTTTTCTTGTATCTCAAATCCTCCTTTCATGTTTTTGAAGTGCATTTTTTTAGAAATCCCATTGGGGAAGGTCTGCCGGTAATAAATACTTCTTTTGTATGTCCAAATATATTTTTGTTTAACCCTTACTTATGAATAATGTTTAGCTGGGTATATAATTCTAGTTATAGTCTATCTTCACTTTACCACATCATTCCATTGTCTTCAGGCTTTAGTTGATACCATTGAAAAGTCTGCTGTAAATCTAATTATTGTTCCATTTTAATCACTATCTTTATTGTGATAAAGACCTCATGACTTCCATCACCATCCATACTACCATTCACCTCTTGTTCAAAACCATGCTATGTCTTCCTATTGGCTAGGAAATAAAGTCCAAGTTTCTTAGGCTCTTTTCCATTTGTCCCCAACATATGAACTATCATTACTCTGAAGCTACTTTTAGGAGCTTCTTTTCATCTTTGGTATTCTGTAGTTTCACTGTGATGTGGCTACATTTACATTCTTTTTACATGTGCTGCTGGGGGAATAACTGTGCTTCCCAATTTTGAGGATTATTATCTTATAACAATTCTAGAAGAAAATTTCAGTTATTAACCCTTCAAGCTACTTTAACCTCATTTTAAAAATGTGTTTATTTTAGAATTCCAACTATATGTAAGTAGATAGGGTAACCATACGTCCTAGTTTGCCCAAGAATGTCCTGGTTTATGCCTGTGTTTTATCAATGAATACTTGGTTAATTATTGTCTCAAAAGTCCTCTAGCACCTGTTTAATTTATGTTTAAAGTCAGGTGAGGGTTTATAAAGCAAGTTCTTAATTTCTGATGTATTTTAAAGATTCTTGTTATATTACCATTGTCAATTCTAAAGAGTTGAATGTTTGCAAAAGTTCTAAAGCTCAGCTGATTTACACACTGTAAACATGTTCATTTTAAAATAAAACCAGTGAGTCTGCCTCTAAAATAAGAATATTTCTCTGCCATGTGCAGTTCTTGCCCTGATTCTGACCAGCTTTCTCTAGTTAACTATTTTGAAAAGTGATTGTGTCACTCATGTAGGTCAAGATCACAGGCTGGTATCTGCCTCACAGAAGTGGCCTGTTTGATTAACGTCGTGTTTAAAATTCCTTAAGCTAACATTTTAAAATGTAAATTTTTTACACAAAAGCCCAGATTTCTAATTTGTTTTGAAAAATTTCAAAAGATGGTAAAAATGGTTCCTGCATTGCTGTGTGGCCATGGAGGACTACAACTAGTAGCAGCTGCCACTTTTGTACTCTTATCTGGCTGTCTTTATGTTGTTGACTGGCCCCTGAGGTATTGAAGTTTAGAGATGACCCCACTACCTCCATCACCATCTGTACCACCACTCACTCCTGTTCAAAAACAGTCTATGTCTTCCTACTGGCCATAGAATAAAGTCCAAATTTCTTAGGCTACTTTTTATTTGGCTCCAAGATCCCTATCCAATTTTATATTTACATTTATACTTAGTATGTGTGTTTATTCTTTTGTTTTTGATCCCTTCATGTCAGAATTTGGCCATGTTTCCCAGCCTGTACCTATGTTTTCTTATCTTTGTCTTCTTCATTGACTACACTCCTCTCACCCATTTGACCTTGTGTTTTCATGTTCAAGAGAATCCACATATATCTTCAAAAATAAAAATAAAAACAAAAATATTCTAGGTCAGGCATGGTGGCTTATGCCTATAATCCCAGCACTTTGGGAGGCTGAGATGGGTGGATCACTGGAGGTTAGAAGTTCGAGATCAGCCTAGCTAACATGGTGAAACCCTGTCTCTACTAAAAATACAAAAATTAGCCGGGCATCATGGCACATGCCTGTAATCCCAGCTACTTGGGAGGCTGAGGTAGGAGAATCGCTTGAACCCGGGAGGCAGAGGTTGAAGTGAGCCAAGATCGCTCCACTGAACTCCAGCCTGGGTGATAGAGCCAGACTCTGTCTCGAGAAAAAAAAATCTATCAAATGGCTATTCTTTTTTTTGTAGACAGTTTTAAACCAAGAATAAAACTAGTTATTAACTTATCCCAAACAATTTAGTGCCTAGGTGAAATTGATGTTTGGACTCAAAATTGATACAAAGCAAAAATTATGTTATTTAATCAATATTCTTAACCTAACTTCTTAATGAAAACCAACCAAACATTAAATATCTATATACCTAGCATTGTGTGGGGTACTGAGAAAAATACAAAGTAAACATCTACGAGATACAACCTAGAAATCAGAAAATTTCTATTTCCCATAAACTGGCAAAATGAAGCACACAAAGCAATCTGAGAGCCTGGTTGTGTGTGAAGTGTTTATAGTATGACGTAAGTACTAGAGAAATCAGAGAAAAAACAAATCAATGTAAGCTGAAGTAAGCTCCAGGAACGGGGACGGTTGGTGCAGGTTTCCAGTGATGGGTAGATTTTGATGGGCTGAGGGGTGTTTGTTACCACACGAAAATCACAATCATGGCAAAAAGGCTGACACTGATGTTCATCTTTTGTGCATTTTCTACCATTTTTACATTGTAAGAACTGAAACAATATTCAGGTATTGCAGAGGCTTCTGTTTGGCATTGAAAAATTCACCAGGCACTGCACATGCACAGTATGATGATCACACCCTCCCTATCTTTAAAACTATAGTATCCGAGGGGATGGTGGGGTTGGAGGGAAGGTACCAAGAACAAATTCTTGTGTATTCCAGAGGAGGATCCACAATCTGTAATGGAGGAAAGAAAATGTAATATTTGACATGGTATCAGTTATATGACCCTGGGCAAGTAATTAAACCCCTTTGAGTTCTTGCTTTCTAGCTAAAATAATGATGATATCATCTATCTTCTCAAGATTACTGTGAGAATTAACGTATGTAATGCTTCTTGTGCATACTAGGTGCTCAATAAATGAGACTCCCTCTGCTTTTTTATTCAGTAATAGCAATGTGTGGCACAAAGAAAGGGCTTTGGAGTTAGAACACCTGGGTTCCTACCCTGGCTCTAAGACTCACAAGCAGGGTATCTTCAGAAATATCATCTAACCTCTCTGTGCATGTTTCCTGATTTCCAAAATGAAATCAATACCTAATAGTGAGTTGAACTGCAAGCCATAAATGAGAAAAGTTCTCTGTAAAGTGTAATATGCTAGAGGCAGCATCATCATTATTGATCATGTTAATGAGTAAAAAATCGAAGCGAGCCTGTCAGATCCCAGTAGAAAGTGTCTGTTAAGACAAAACTGGATTGCACAGTGGAACATTGTTTCTTGCTCATCCCACTCCCAGGGGAGAAGAGAAAATAAAGATATTTGTCCTTCAGGATCAGCCAGAATTCACATGCTCTCCTTTTCGCTCTCCATGCCTCCTTACATAAAAGGAGAACAGAATGCAAAGATGAAATACGCAATTAAATTCTTTTCATGACTATCATCTGATTATGCTTGCTGATTTCTTTAAGGTCTTCTGCACATTCTTATTTTTATGATTGCTTTGATCCTCATGGAAACAAAGGGCCTAGTGAATTATATGAGTGTTCCAAGATTAAAGCAGATTCCCGCATCTCACATTACTTTGAGTGACAAGAATCAGTAAGTATTATGTCTGGTGATGAACTCCCTAAAATAGATAGAAAGAAAAAGGGAAATGAAAATGTAGAAATCAGATGCTAGAGAACTAGAAGCTGCTGCAGCATCTCATCATGTACGCCATAGAGAGAGCGAGCACATAGCTGGCTGTGCAACAGATATGAAACAGGAGGATAAAATGGCTGCCTCTCGGAAGAGCAGGGGAAAGCCAGGGAGAAGATACCAGAGAAAGGGTGTCAACGTTGGAAAAGCTTCTCTTTTTTAAAATTTCTATTTATTTATTTATTTATTTATTTATTTATTTATTTATTTATTTTGAGACAGAGTCTTGCTCTTTTGCCCAGGCTAGAGTGCAGTGGCGTGATCTCGGCTCACTGCAACCTCCGCCTCCCAGACTCAGGCAATTCTCCTGCCTCAGCCTCTTGAGTAGCTGAGATTACAGGCGTGTGCCACCATGCTGGGCTAATTTTTGTATTTTTAGTAGAAATGGGGTTTCGCAATGTTGGCCAGGCTGGTCTCGAACTCCTGACCTCAAATGATCCTCCCACCTTGGCCTCCCGAAGTGCTGGGATTATAGGTGTGAGCCACCACGCCCGGCCTGGAAAAGCTTCTTGATTTGACCTGAAATAGTACTACTATTAATAATGATATACATTTCTCTTTATAAGTGGGTCCAATTTACTTATTAGTTGCTTTTAAAATAATATTTCATCTTAAATAATTCTAAAACCATAGTGGGATGATAGTACATTCAAATGGAGTATCTAAACATCAAAAGCAATTTTGAGTGGGCCAGTACTGTCTCACAAGTGGTTAACTTGGTAAAAAATATTAAGCCTATTTGTCTGGCATTTGGGAAATGATGACACTCAGACCAAGGCCTCAGACAGCCTAGTGTACTTTCATGTGTGAATTTAGTGACCTCACATTTCTGTATGAGATTATACAATATCAAACTTTACAAGGCACAAAGTTACCCACGGCCTCCTAAGATCAATGATAACAGCAAATGAGGCTTCACCATCACACAGCTAATTAGAGAGAAACCCTGGCTTTTCAATGACTTGTTTTTTGGATATGTTGAAATCATCCAGAAATGGCTTCAATTGCTGTTAAAGTAATTCTTTTCCGTTCAGTTCTGATCAGACACCAATGAGACTGGCGCTCGGATCCATAATTGGAGGACATGAAATCAGAGGCGTGGGTCAGAGGCCAGCTACAAAGAAGACGAAAGGATTGAGAGATGCACCTATGGAAAACAATTCAACAACAATTACGGGCCAGGCTTGATAAACCTCAGAAGTCTGAAGAGTGACTTCCTACCAATTCTGAGGATAGAAGTCTTTCTGATAGAGCATACAGCATGGGAAATGGCTTTTTTCATTTTATACATCTTCATTCAAAACAGAACTGGAATTTATTGGGGAGAACTGCGGCCTGATCATTAGCTGCAAGGATTAAGAAGCTAGAAAGGCAGACATCTCAGTTTGAGGACTGGACTGTGAATTGTGGACTCGCCTCTGTGGAGGAGGTGCTACCCCTCTGGAAGGTAGAAGGGCCTGGGTGGTGTACAGAGGGTGAGTCCCATGGGCACCCAGGGCCACTTTAACACTGTCACTTTGGGTGCTGCTTTTGAAAATGATAAAATTTGACTGAAATGCCAAAAGACAACAACATGTAAAATTAAGGCCAAACTCTTATTACAACTTGACACAATTTAAATATAGAATAACATCTACAGAATGTATTCAATATGAATTCTCTTTAGGGGTTAATTTCTCTGCTAAGGCAGAGAAAACAAATTTCCAGAAGTTATTACACATGAACCAACCATATTATTTCCAGATCAACAGAAAATAAGAGTAAAAAGCCACAAATGAGAAAGGACCTATATTGATTTATGTGTGAAAAAGAAAGCAGACAAGCAAGTATATGCTATATAGCATACATCTGTACATTGACATTTTAAATTTAAGAAGAAAGACGAGGTAGGACTAAGAATGTTATTGTTGGAGAAATAAAACCCATGTATACAGCAAAATTTAATTCTTTATTTTCATATTATTTTGCAGTTAACAAAAATCACTGCTTCACAAATAAACCAAGTAGACCTAAATCATTTGCCAAACAATCTGGCAGTCCATAAAAGCATTTTTCCCACATTTAAATTTCACTGACAACATGACTGTTGGCATGAGAAACCTGAAAGGGAATTAGTAGTCTGACTATAATTCAAATTCCTATTTCAATGCAAAAAGTTCTTTCAGGGATTGTGTGCCAGACAAATGTATTTTTCTTACCCTGTAAACAGACTCTACTGCTTGAATTGCTTGGTAGCAGAGTCAGGGAGCAGATGCACTGGCCTCTACTGATCCTTCTCCTACAGGAAAGACAGAAACTTCTCCAGCTGGGTGCCACTCTGTCTGGATTATGCCAGGCATGATGATCATGCCGTGCTAATAAGGTCAGGGTCTGATCCCTGTGTGTTCTTCCCTCTGCTCCAAGCAGCCCAGCTACATGCTCAGCCTGGTGAATTATTTCACAAATGTGAGAGCAGGCAGATGGGCAAGGGTGTAATGCTAGATTTGCCCAGATCCATCATCGTTCATAGAAGGATGAAGGAATGGGCCAGGCATGGTGGCTTATGCCTGTAATCCTAGCACTTTGGGAGCCCGAGGCTAGAGGATCACTTGAGCCCAGGAGTTTGAGACCAGCCTGGGCAACATCGCAAGACCTTTCTCTACAAAATGTAAACAAATTAGCCAGGTGTGGGGGTGTGCACCTATGGTCTCAGCAACTTGGGAGGCTAAGGTGGGAGGATCGCTTAAACCCAGGAGTTTGAGGCTACAGTGAGCTGTGATTGTACCACTGCATTCCAGCCTGGGCAACACAGAGAGACCCTGTCTCAAAAAGAAAAAAAAAAAAAAGGAAAGAAAGATAAGGGATGATTCTTAGTACCCAAAGATGGTTGCAAGCTGCTGTAGAACATGCCCAGGCGGGGCAGGGTTTCTTCTCTTTTGGAACCAAGCAATGAATCCTAGTAAAGCACAGAGCTGGCTGGGGGGAAAAATAGAGTGAAGAGTTTCCCTATCATTCATTTTCAGGGAAGTTTTAGGAGACCTATTCCTTCTAATGAATTTATTTATAAATTACATTTGGCAATTTAACATAGTGCTCCTCTCAGAAGTTCTCCCTTAGTAGATTTGGCAGCTGAGTCTGGGAATGTGTACCTTCTCCAAGCACCCTTGGTCATTCTGATGCTGGCAGTCTGATCAACGTGGGATAATTGTTAAGAGCAGGAATTCTAGGGCTGGATGACCTGTGTTCACATTCTGGCTCCACTCCTTACTGGCTGTGTGATGTTGGGCAAATCAATCAACCTTTCTGTACCCCAGTTTTCTCAACTGTAAAATGAGTTTCTCTGGAAACCTAAGGTTGCTATGAAAATCAAATGAGCTAACACAGGTAACTTGGTTAGAATAGGACCTCAGACACAGGAAGCATGCAACACCTGTCAGCTGTTATAACTCCTAGCTGCTCTTTCTTTATTTCTAAGTTTCTTTTTCATGTGCAATGTTTTATACATCAACATATTTCATGTTCATGATTTGGGTTTATTATATCTCTATAGAATTATCCAAATGTTATGTATGATATCTAATTTTTGGATGTCCTTTTTAAAAAAGGTGTGATTACAAACTACTGTTAATCTCTCTTATTTGAATAAAATTGTATTTTACAAGGAGTGAAGATACAGGTTGTCATTCTTTGCTCAAATATCATCTTTTTTCCAGAAATGGAAATAAGATTACTGCTATGGCCTTCCAATTTGCTTAAAGTTGACAAGCAAAAAACAATGAGCTTTAAAACTTCTGCCAGAGGACCCACTTCAATATGGAATGTCCAAGGCAATCGAACAACAAATTGAGACAAGTAAATAAAAACTGGAAACTGTCATGGAAAGAAAAGCAGGCAAAGGATGACTAAAATGTTGTCTGGGCTTTTCTCCAAACTGGCTTTGGCAACGGGATGAAAACCCTTTGTCTCAACGGTAAAAATGATTGGATATGTATAGATTTTGACTCAAGATAGAAACTAATAAAAATGGGCTGCATTAGAAATTGGTGAGTACTTTATCACAGGAGATGTTTGAACATAAGAATGTTAAGAATGAACAACATTAAGGATGTTGTAGAAGAGAGTTGTGCATTCTGTAAGAGGTTAGATTACACAACCACAAGAACACAAGAGACAAGTTGCAGATGGTATCAAGGTTGCAAAAATGAGGTATTGGAAGGCTAACATTATTAATCAATACAAATAAGTAGATAAGTTACTGCAAGTCTGTGGAAAGATAAGAAGCTCGAATGTTAGAGATACTTTATTTTAATCCTAGATGAAAACTTCTAAGGAGAGATATTCTAAAACCAACAATGTATAAATGGATATATTCTCATTATATTACAACTCTACCTTTTCTTCCAATAAGTCTGTTGTTACTGCTTTTCTGCTTTTCCTATCCTATAAATTTCAGTGTGTCCATGAGGGAGACTAGCCACTTATTTCTAAATAAAGATATGAATTTGAGACGAATGCCCAAGGTGGCCACCGAAAAAAATGCTTATCCAGAGGTGCTCAAACTCTGACTTCCGATGCTACTGTCCTACAACTTGTAGCTGTAACTGATGGATCTCAGTTCTCAATTAGTGGGATAGTAAAGCTTATCATTCAACATGGCCACCATAAACTATTCCTAAGCAACAACAACAAAAGTTTCTGTACTTGCCATCTCCTTTACACTAACTCCTAGATCACCCAGTGGTTGTTTGTACTTGATTATTTTTATTTGCATTTTTAAAAATTCATCTCAAGTAACTTTCAAACCATCAGAAAAACATCAACTGGATGTACCAAAAATGTAATATCCAGTATCTCCTAAGATTAAATGAACTGCAAGGGTACTAGGAGCAATATGAAAGTAAGGGGTGGTGGACTGGGCAACACAGGATCAAGTGCAGCCTTATCTCCCATCATAAGAAGATGGATACTCCAGGCATAAGCACATTAATGAGTAAAATTTAATTTGCTTCATTTCCAGAAACAAGTTAAATAAGGTTAGGAAGCAAAGGGCTCCTTTCTAAAGAAAGACAGAGGGAGGGATGAAGAGAGGGAGAGAGAGTGCAAGTGGGTAGGGGGAAGACAAAAGTGCTTGGGAACAAGTCATTGTAACCAAGGAGTCCTTTCAATAAAAAAATGTGGGCATCATCTACTTCTATTCCATAAACACAGTTGCAAGAGACTTATATTCTCCCTCAAAAGAAAATTTCTCTTTAACCTTATTAATATTTACTGAAACACATGTTTATCTTGGATTCTGAATTCAAGTACCTCTTAACTCCTTTCCTAATAAATAGCAAATCCAAATACCATAATGCAAAATTTGTCATCAAAATTTTTTAAGAATTCATAAAAGAAAGCCAATTATTTGTAGATTTTCAATAATGTCACTTAATAACAGTATTGCAAAACTCCTGACCATAAGACAGAAGAATCTAGTTCACATTTGGACTGGGCACTTCTTTCCAATTGGTGCAATGGAATTCGCTTGTGAGAAGCTGTTTTCTTCCTGAAGGTAAAGGTTGCTTTGCCTACTTATAAATACGAACTTAAAAAATACCAGATGTATAGTTATTCTACTAGTTGTTTATTCTAAAAGTATGTTGAAAGCAGAGATTCACTGAAGAAGTATCTTTCTACCTTCCTTTAGTGTTACATATAATGTGATGTCATAAATAACCAGATGGTTAAAAAAATTATCAAAGATCCAGGAAAAAAATTATCATAGTGATATTTAAAAATAATAAATTATTATCCTGTTTGCTTCAGTGAAATTGTCTCTGAATATAACATTGCATTATCACTCACTTTGAATCTACCATTCATAAATTTTAAAGTAAAAGGAAACTCATACAATTATTAATAGTTAATGCTGAAAGTGCTCTCTGATTTGATAACTTGAGTTTCTTATTGTGCTAACTAATGGTGAACAAGAATCAGCCTTTCTGGTGTTTAGCTATAAGATCACCACCCCTAACTCAAACTGGAACTAAATGTTCAAACAGAGAATGAATAAAAGATACAGAAATTTTTTAAAAAAGAAAGAAAGAAAAAGCTAGCACCCCTTTAAACTTCTGAAAATATGGCAACCAAAATAATTCAGATAAAGGAAAAGTCATTTTACCTGCTTATCATGTTTTTTATGACCTTTTAATGACTGTTGTTCTGAAATGGAATAGAATCTCAACCCCAGATACATTCAGCACAGATCATTTGTATAGCATTTCTTTTGTGTATCTTTACTAAAAAATTCTCAGTACTTTCAAGAATTCTGTTTGCGATTATATTCAGCTATTTAGATTACTTTTCACCTCACTAAACAAGCAGAATTTTTTCCTTTTCAGGAAATAGAGATATTGATGCAGTTTATTCTATCAGAGTCCTTTAATTTGGAAGTCTAGCTGCTTCCTCTTATCTGAGTACACCAGCAGGCAAACTTGAGCATTATGAACCACAAATTACATGCAAACTCCAAGCAGTATGCAGTTAGCAAAGGAGATTTCATGGCTCTGTAGTTTTCATAATTACATTAAAGCCAGGAATGTTTCTCTTCACACACCAAAATGCGTTTTTATAAAGAAATTGATTTCAGGATTTGTCATTAGAAAGTAAATAAGCAAAGATTAAAGTGGCATTTACTGTGATGAAATAGTGGCTTAAAATAGGTAAGCCAGCAGATATAGTAAAGTTTGCTCCAGTCTGGAATAGGGAAGAGGGCTTAGGACTTGGAATCAGAGATTCTTTCTGGGTAAAAGGTTCAATTCTTCTACAAACCTGCTCAGTGACTTGTGAGAGGTCATTTCATCTTTTTAGTTTCCTCATTTGCACAAAGATGTGATTAAATTACATATTTTAAGGTCTCGTTTGGTTCTAAAGACTCCTGAGGTTAAGCCTTTTTAAAGGAACTGATTTCTAGGGAGAATTTACATTAACACAAACTATTAGTGCTCCCAAATAGCTGTTTAGAACATTGATTTTTACAGTTTTATAAGTTTAGTGTAGTGATGCTCAAATTTTATTACGCATCAAAATTTGTTAAAAGGGGGACATTCCTGGGCTCCATGATTAAAGACATATTCAGTAGGACAGGGTAAGCATGGGAATCTGAGCTTTTAGTAGCCCTCAAAGTGATTCTCATGTAGTTGCACGGTGGACCTCACTTTGAGAATGGACTAGTAGCTTGAAAAAAGTAAAACAATTTCTCCAAATTCTGGTTTCGTCCCTGGTAAACTGTCTTAATAGGGTATTAAGGCACAATAATAATTCCAAATAAAAACTTGTTTTTCATCAGAAATATGATTACAAAAGAATAAACATGGCCAGACGCGGTGGCTCATGCCTGTAATTCCAGCGCTTTGGGAGGCCAAGGCAGGCGGATCAGCTGAGGTCGGGAGTTCAAGACCAGCCTCACTAACACGGAGAAACCCCATCTCTACAAAAAATACAAAATTAGGTGGCTGTGGTGGCACATGCCTGTAATCCCAGCTACTTGCGAGGCTGAAGCAGGAAAATCGCTTGAATCCAGGAGGCAGAGTTTGCGGTGAGCCGAGATCACACCATTGCACTCCAGCCTGGGCAACAAGAACGAAATTCCGTCTCAAAAACAAAACAAACAAAAAAAAAGAATAAACAAGATCTTATTCATCAGGAGAGTCCAAATTTGGCTGCCAAATATAATTTTGGTTGCCACGTATAATTTTGGAAGAATTCCTTACTTATTTTATTAAACGTTATTTACATTTCTTTTCATGGAAGTCATCTTTAATTACTATATATCCTGAATATTCATTAAACCAATATATAGGTTGCCTTGTATTTTTCCGTCAAAAATTGCTGGTTATAACTTATACTCACTATCCAGGTTAACGTCAAGTCCATCCCAACAGGTTCCAAAATTTTACAGCATGAACCTATTTCTGTTCAGTAAAGTGTGTAGATTTAGATATCAAAAAGATTAACTGAAAATGTGTAAATATTATTAGTTCTCTCTGGAGGGTTTGTTTAGAGGTAGGTTTAGCTTTCTGTTTATTCTTCTGTATTTTCAAATTTTTCTACAAAGGCTATTGTATCTCTTATTATCTTTCTTTTAGAATGAAATAAAAAGAAAAGGAGAAAGGGAGGAAAACAGGAAAGGAAGGAGGAAGGCAGAAGAAGGAGATGGAAGAGGAGGAGAAAGAGAAGGATGTGTGTGTGCAGGAGAGAGAGAAAGAAAAAGAAAGAGAGAGAGAGAAAGGAGAATGAGAGACTACCTGGCAAGTGCTATAACAGAGACAATACGGGAGGCTGGCAAGACGTAGGTGTGCAGGTGCCTGGAGGAAATCAATGGAGTCTTTCTAAAGAAAGTAATGTTTTGTGTTGAGCCTGTCAGCAGAAATGGCATGTAAGCTTTGTAGGGCAAGAATAGCCTAAAGTGCATGAGGCATGAAAGAAAACAGCCTGTTTGGGATCTAAAAGTAGTTTGCATGGATGAAGCACACACAGCCTATATGATGTTTAAACTGTGGTTTGAAACCCACTAACAGGCCAGAAACTCTGTGAAATGGGTCACGGACAGCATTTTACAAATTAATAGGCTATAACAGAAATTATGAAAGTGAATTACACATAAGAGTAAGTGCCAAATTTTGTGAAGATTTTCATGTGTGTGAGTGTGTGTGTAAATTAGATAATGATGTAAAATATATATTTTTAATTGTAGGTTGAGATCAGAAAAATTTGAAGCTGTTGCCGAGGCCTGGGAAGTCATGAGTGCTCCATGCAGGAAAATGGCAGGACCAGATTTGCATCTTACTAAAAGACATCACTTGAGTTCTGAATGATGGCTCTCCAAGGGGTCTACTTTCCAATCTCCAAACCTGTGAATATTACTTTACATGGCCAAAGGAATTTCATAGGTATGATTAAATTAATGATCTCACAATGAGGGGATTATCCTATAATTTCTGGGTGGGCTCAATGTAATCACAAAGGTTTTTATAAGGGAAAGGAGGAGGCAGGAGAGTCAGAG
The DNA here is from genome assembly GCF_000001405.40 of Homo sapiens. Taxonomy (NCBI): domain Eukaryota; kingdom Metazoa; phylum Chordata; class Mammalia; order Primates; family Hominidae; genus Homo; species Homo sapiens. The sequence continues at coordinate 58,701,791 of NC_000005.10, read as the reverse complement.
AAGAGGTGAAAACAAAAGAAAAGGTGAGAAAGAGATTTGATGAGGTGCTATCTTGTTGGCTATGAAGGTAGAGGAAGGGGCCATGAGCCCAGGAATGCAGGTGGCCTCTGAATGCCGGAGAAGGCAAGGAAGTGGATTCTCCCCTACAGTTTGCAGAAGGAACACAGCCCTGAAGACCCATTTTGGACTTCTGACTTCCAGAACTGTAAGATAATACATTTTTGTGGTTTCAAGCCACTAAATTTTTGGTAATTTGTTACAGTAGTAGGAAACAAATACATGTTCAATGGGAATGGATTTGCTACCAGGAAGCTAGAAGCTTAAAAATAAAGAGAGGCAATTGCAATATCCTGGGAGAGATAAGTAAACTAAACTATAATTGGAAAGGAAACTCATCTTCAGAATGAGAAAGATTCTGAAGGCATTTCAAAGGTAAAATTGATAACACCTGAAGAATAACAGAATTTAGAATGTGATTAAAAAATGAACTAGGCCGGGCGCAGTAGCTCACGCCTGTAATTCCAGCACCTTGGGAGGCCAAGGCGGGTGGATCATGAGGTCAGGAGATCGAGACCATCCTGGCTAACATGGTGAAACCCCATCTCTACTGAAAATACAAAATCAAAAAATTAGCTGGGCATGGTGGCGGGTGCCTGCAGTCCCAGCTACTCTGGGGGCTGAGGCGGGAGAATGTTGTGAACTTGGGAGGCGGAGCTTGCAGTGAGCCCAGATCACACCACTGCACTCCAGCCTGGGTGACAGGGTGAGAGTCCATCTCAAATAAATAAATAAATAAATAAATAAATAAATAAATAAATAAAAGATTTTTAAGCTGGAGTACCTCAAAAGCTACCTCCTTTCAACTATTTGGAGGTCTATCCATAAAGGAGGAATTAATGACAATGTTACCATAGCATTTTTTCTTGCCAGGCTCACCAAACCAAGTGCTCTCAATTTTTTTCCTCAGTAGCATGATTGTGAAATGGTTCAAGACCTCGAGTCGATTTCCTAGCCAACTGGAACAGACAGGAATATCTATTTTTAAATACATGTTACATATTTTATATACACACCTATGCATCAAATAATCATATTAAAAAACTTCACAGGGAAATAATGATGATGTTTTGCAAAGTGGTTCATAAACTACAATCACATTATCACCTCACTTGATCTTAGACAAACTTTGCAAGGGAACACACAATGAATGTTATTTTTGCTTTGCAGATAAACACCTTAGGGCTCTGAGTTGGGAGGACATTCTCAAGCTTATCCATTAGATCCATAAGTTAATTGTGTTTCTAAACAGAAATAAAAGTCTTAAACTGGATGTTACCTATTCAGTATTTGAATAGAATTCAAACTTAGTTCATGGAATTAATATCATGCACACACACAAAATGCATTCTTTGCTTCTCGCCATCCCCCTCATCACAGAACGTGAACATGTAGAGAATCAGGATGCTTTGGATTTTAATATTACCTGGAAGTTTCATAAAACTAAATCATATGAAACACATGTAAAGCACTGCTTTTGTCTTTTAAAGTATTTAATTAACTTGTAAGATAATATTCATAAAACATTTCCTGAGCACTTACTACCACGTGTCATGCACCATGCTGACTCATTTAAAAATTGTATAGATGGGGTCTACCTTTCAATTTAATTCAAAAACTGAACAGATTGGGGGCGTTCCAAGATAACTGAATAGGAACAGCTCTGGTCTGCAGCTCCCAGCATGATCTACAGAGAAGATGGGTGATTTCTGCATTTCCAACTGAGGTGCCTGGTTCATCTCATTGGGACTGGCTGGAGAGTGGGTGCAGCCCACAGAGGGTGAGCCAAAGCAGGGCATGGCATCGCCTCACCCAGGAAGCACACGGGGTCAGGGGATTTCCCTTTCCTAGCCAAGGGAAGCAGTGACAAACTACTTGGAAAAATGGGACACTCCTGCCTAAATACTGCGCTTTTCCCAAGATCTTAGAAACCGGCAGACAAGGTGATTCTCTCCCGTGACTGGCTTGGTGGGTCCCATGCCCATGGGGCCTTGCTCACTGCTAGCACAGCAATCTGAGACTGAACGGCAAGGCAGCAGCCTGGTTGGGGGAGGGGTGTCTGCCATAGCTGAGGCTTGAGTAGGTAAACAAAGCAGCAGGGAAGCTCTAACTGGGTGGAGCCCACCTTAGCTCAACAAGGCCTACTGCCTCCAGACAACACCTGTATGGGCAGGGCATAGGTGAACAAAAGGCAGCAGACAACTTCTGCAGACATAAACTTCCCTGTCTGACAGCTCTGAAGAGAGCAGTGGCTCTCCCAGCATGGCGTTTGAGCGTTAAGAATAGACAGACTGCTTCCTCAAGTGGGTCCCTGACCCCCATGTAGCCTAACTGGAGGACACCTCCCAGTAGGGGTTGACAGAAACCTCATATAGGTGGCTGCTCCTCTGGGACGAAGCTTCCAGAGGAAGGATCAGGCAGCAATATTTGCTGTTCTGCAATATTTGCTGTTCTGCAATATTTGCTGTTCTGCAGCCTCTGCTGATGCTACCCAGGCAAACAGGGTCTGGAGTGGAACTCCAGCAAACTCCAACAGACCTGCAGCTGAGGAACCTGACTGTTATAAGGAAAACTAACAAACAGAAAGGAATAGCATCGACATCAACAAAAAGGTCATCTACACCAAAACCCCATGTGTAGGTCACCAACATCAAAGACCAAAGATAGATAAAACCACAAAGATGGGGAAAAACCAGAGCAGAAAAGCTGAAAATACTAAAAATCGGAGCGCCTCTTCTCCTCCAAAGGATCGCAGCTCCTTGTGAGCAACGGAATAAAGCTGGATGGAGAATGACTTTGACGAGCTGAGAGAAGTAGGCTTCAGAAGGTTGGTAATAACAAACTTCTCCGAGCTAAAGGAGGATGCTCGAACCCATCACAAGGAAGTTAAACACATTGAAAAAAGATTAGGCGAATGGCTAACTAGAATAAACAGTGTAGAGAAGACCTTAAATGACCTGATGGAGCTGAAAACCATGGCATGAGAACTTCGTGATGCATGCACAAGCTTCAATAGCCAACTTGATCAAGTGGAAGAAAGGGTATCAGTGATTGAAGATCAAATTAATGAAATAAAGTGAAAAGAGAAGTTTAGAGAAAAAAGAGTAAAAAGAAATCAACAAAGCCTCCAAGAAATATGGGACTATGTGAAAAGACCAAATCTACGTTTGATTGTGGACCTGAAAGTGATGGGGAAAATGGAACCAAGTTGGAAAACACACTTCAGGGCATTATCCAGGAGAACTTCCCCAACCTAGCAAGCAAAGCCAACATTCAAATTCAGGAAATACAGTGAACACCACAAAGATACTCCTCGAGAAGAGCAACCCCAAGACACAAAATTTTCAGATTCACCAAGGTTGAAATGAAGGAAAAAGTGTTAAGTGCAGCCAGAGAGAAAGGTCAGGTTACCCTCAAAGGGAAGCCCATCATACTAACAGCTGATCTCTCGGCAGAAACCCTACAAGCCAGAAGAGAGTGGGGGCCGATATTCAACATTCTTAAAGAAAAGAATTTTCAACCCAGAATTTCATATCCAGCCAAAATTACCTTCACAAGTGAAGGAGAAATAAAATCCTTTACAGACAAGCAAATGCTCAGAGATTTTGTCACCAACAGGCCTGACTTACAAGAGCTCCTGAAGGAAGGAAGCACTAAACATGGAAGGAAACAACTGGTACCAGCCACTGCAAAAACATCCCAAATTGTAAAGACCATCGATGCTATGAAGAAACTGCATCAATTAACGGACAAAATAACCAGCTAACATCATAATGACACGATCAAATTCACATATAACAATATTAACCTTAAATGTAAATGGGCTAAATGCCCCAATTAAAAGACATAGACTGGCAAATTGTATAGAGTCAAGACCCATCAGTGTGCTTATTCGGAAGACCCATCTCATGTGCAAAGACGCACATAGGCTCAAAATAAAGGGATAGAGGAAGATCTACCAAGCAAATAGAAAACAAAAAAAAGCAGGGGTTGCAATCCTAGTCTCGGATAAAACAGACTTTAAACCAACAAACATCAGAAGAGACAAAGAAGACCGTTACATAATGGTAAAGGGATCAATTCAACAAGAAGAGCTAACTATCCTAAATATATATGCACCCAATACAGGAGCACCCAGATTCATAAAGCAAGTCCTTAGAGATGTACAAAGAAACTTAGACTCCCACACAATAATAATGGGAGACTTTAACACCCTACTGCCAATATTAGGCAGATCAACGAGACAGAAGCTTAACAAGGATATCCAGGACCTGAACTCAGCTCTGCAACGAGCAGACCTAATAGACATCTACAAAACTCTCCACCCCAAATCAACAGAATATACATTCTTCTCAGCACCACATCACACTTATTCTAAAATTGACCACATAATTGGAAGTAAAGCACTCCTCAGCAATTGTAAAAGACTGGAAATCACAACAAACTGTCTCTCACACAACAGTGCAATCAAACTAAAACTCAGGATTAAGAAACTCACTCAAAACTGCACAACTACATGGAAACGGAACAACCTGCTCCTGAATGACTACTGGGTAAATAACGAAATGAAGGTAGAAATAAAGATGTTCTTTGAAACCAATGAGAACAAAGACACAACGTACCAGAACCTCTGGGACACGTTTAAAGCAGTGTGTAGAGGGAAATTTATAGCACTAAATGCCCACAAGAGACAGCAGGAAAGATGTAAAATCGACACCCTAACATCACAATTAAAAGAACTAGAGAAGTAAGAGCAAACACATTCAAAAGCTAGCAGAAGGCAAGAAATAAATAAGATCAGAGCAGAACTGAAAGAGATAGAGACACAAAAAAACCCTTCAAAAAATCAATGAATCCAGGAGCTGGTTTTTTGAAAAGATCAACAAAATTGGTAGACTGCTAGAAAGACTAATAAAGAAGGAAAGAGAGAAGAATCAAATAGATGCAATAAAAAATGATAAAGGGGATATCACCAGCAATCCCATAGAAATACAAACTACCATCAGAGAATACTATAAACATCTCTACACAAATAAACTAGAAAATCTAGAAGAAATGGATAAATTCCTGAACACATACACACTCCCAAGATTAAACCAGGAAGAAGTTTAATCTCTGAATAGACCAATAACAGGCTCTGAAATTGAAGCAATAATTAATAGCCTACCAAACAAAAAGAGTCCAGGACCAGACGGATTCACAGCTGAATTCTACCAGAGGTACAAAGAAGAGCTGGTACTATTCCTTCTGAAACTTCCAATCAATAGAAAAAGAGGGAATCCTCCCTAACTCATTTTATGAGACCAACATCATCCTGATACCAAGGTCTGGCAGAGATACAACAAAAAAAGAGAATTTTAGACCAATATCCCTGATAAATATCGATGGAAAAATCCTCAATAAAATACTGGCAAACCGAATCCAGCAGCACATCAAAAAGCTTATCCACCACGATCAAGTTGGCTTCATCCCTGGAATGCAAGGCTGGTTCAACATATGCTAATCAATAAACGTAATTCATCACATAAACAGAACCAAAGATAAAAACCACATGAGTATCTCAATAGATGCAGAAGAGGCCTTCAACAAAATTCAACAGCTCTTCCTGCTAAAAATTCTTAATAAACTAAGTATTGATGGAACGTATCTCAAAATAATATGAGTTATTTATGACAAATCCACAGCCAATATCATACTGAATGGACAAAAACTGGAAGCATTCTCTTTGAAAACCAGCACAAGACAAGGATGCCCTCTCTCACCACTCCTATTCAACATAGTGTTGGAAATTCTGGCCAGGGCAATCAGGCAAGAGAACCAAATAAAGGGTATTCAATTAGGAAATGAGGAAGTAAAATTGTCCCTTTTTGCAGATGACATGATTATATATTTAGAAAACCCCATCGTCTCAGCCCAAATCTCCTTAAGCTGATAAGCAACTTCAGCAAAGTCTCAGGATACAAAATCAATGTGCAAAAAACACAAGCATTCCTATACACCAATAACAGACAAACAGAGAGCCAAATCATGAATGAATTCCCATTCACAATTGCTACAAAGAGAATAAAATACCTAGGAATCCAACTTACAAGGGATGTGAAGGACCTCTTCAAGGAGAATTACAAACCACTGCTCAACGAAATAAAAGAGGACACAAACAAATGGAAGAATATTCTGTGCTCATGGATAGAAAGAATCAGTATTGTGAAAATGGCCATATTGCCCAAAGTAATTTATAGACTCAATGCCATCCCCATCAAGCTACCAATGACTTTCTTCACAGAATTGGAAAAACCTACTTTAAAGTTCATATGGAACCAACAAAGAGCCTGCATTGCCAAAACAATCCTAAGCAAAAAGAACAAAGCTGGAGGCATCACGCTACCTGACTTCAAATTATACTACAAAGCTACAGTGACCAAAACAGCATGGTATGGTACCAAAACAGAGATATAGCCCAATGGAACAGAACAGAGGCCTCAGAAATAACACCACACATCTACAACCATCTGATCTTTGACAAATCTGACAAAAACAAGAAATGGATTCCCTATTGAATAAATGGTGCTGGGAAAACTGGCTAGCCATATGTAGAAAGCTGAAGCTGGATCCCTTCCCTACACCTCATATAAAAATTAGTTCAAGATGGATTAAAGACTTAAATGTTAGACCTAAAACCATAAAAACCCCAGAAGAAAACCTAGGCAATACCATTCAGGACATAAACATGGGCAAAGACTTCATGACTAAAACACCGAAAGCAACGGCGACAAAAGCCAAAACAGACAAATGGGATCTAATTAAACTAAAGAGCCTCTGCACGGCAAAAGAAACTACCATCAGAGTGAACAGGCAACCTACAGAATGGGAGAAAATTTTTGCAATCTACCCATCTGACAAAGGGCTAATATCCAGAATCTACAAAGAACTCAAATTTACAAGAAAAAAACAAACAGCCCCATCAAAAAGTGGGCAAAGGATATGAACAGACACTTCTCAAAAGAAGACATCTATGCAGCCAACAGACACATGAAAAAATGCTCATCATCACTGGTCATCAGAAAAATGCAAATCAAAACCACAATGAGATAGCATCTCACGCCAGTTAGAATGGCAATCACTAAAAAGTCAGGAAACAACAGATGCTGGAGAGGATGTGGAGAAATAGGAACACTTTTGCACTGTTGCTGGGAGTGTAAATTAGTTCAACCATCGTGGAAGACAGTGTGGTGATTCCTCAAGGATCTAGAACTAGAATTACCATTTGACCCAGCAATCCCATTACTGGGTATATACCCAAAGGATTATAAATCATGCTACTATAAAGACACATGCACATGTATGTTTATTGCGGCACTATTCACAATAGCAAAGACTTGAAACCAACCCAAATGTCCATCAATGATAGACTAGATTAAGAAAATGTGGCACATATACACCATGGAATACTATGCAGCCGTAAAAAGGATGAGTTCATGTCCTTTGCAGGGACATGGATGAAACTGGAAACCATCATTCTCAGCAAACTATCACAAGGACAGGAAACCAAAGACTGCATGTTCTCATTCATAGGTGGGAATTGAACAATGAGATCACTTGGACACAGGGCAGGGAACATCACACACCAGGGCCTGTTGTGGGGGTGGAGGGGCTGGGGGAGCGATAGCATTAGGAGAAATACCTAATGTCAATAATGAGTTAATGGGTGCTGCAAACCACCATGGCACATGTATACCTACGTATCAAACCTGCATGTTGTGCACATGTACCCTAGAACTTAAAGTATAATAAAAAATATAAATTAAAAAAAAATTGAACAGATGGGAACGTATGGGATAGTTGGATGGACTGGGTTGTCAAGCATATCCAGGAAAGCCCCCAGATGCCTGTGACTCTGGCTTTTCATTCAGAGGGGCTCTCCCTGCATAGACTAGAATTGGCATGCCATCAGGCAAACATTTATTGAGCCCTGCATGTTCTGGTCACTGGGTTAGGCAGTGGGTTTACAGAGACATATGTATATGAAAAGGTACTGTACTCAAGGGCTTAGAGTTTAATAGAGGAATGTGTGGGGCGATTTATGTTGGACCATCTATGGTAGCTTTTGCTGAATAGAAGTCACTTGGAGTCACTTTTCAATTTCTCAGCTCTACCTCTTGGCTGAATTAATATCTATTTTAATCAAAGAACAGTAAACAAAATATTGCAGTGTTTTGTTACATTTGGGTAAAAAGAAGGAAACCTGATGGTTTGTATTAAACAAGATATATTATGACCTACCTCTCATAGTTTGAAACCAAAAATGTTTATTCCCAGGTTATATTATAATTCAAATTCCCAGTCCAGGTGAATTGCAAGGTTTTAAGAAATTTTATATATATATATATATATATATATACACATATATATATAATTTCTTAATTTTATTTATATAATTAAATTTATATAATTATAACTTTATCTTAATTATATTTATATAATTAAATTTATATAATTATAACTTTATCTTAACTATATTTATATAATTAAATTTATATAATTATAAACTTATCTTAATTATATTTATATAATTTATATAATTATACAAATATAATTTATATATATTTTTATATTTATATACATATTTTGAGACGGAGTTTCACTCTTGTTGCCCAGGCTGGAGTGCAATAGCACGATCTAGGCTCACTGCAACCTCTGCCTCCTGGGTTCAAGCGATTCTCCTGCCTCAGCCTCCTGAGTAGCTGGGATTACAGGCATGCACCAACACTCCTGGCTAATTTTGTATTTTTAGTAGAGAAGGGGTTTCTCCATGTTGGTCAGGCTGGTCTCAAACTCCCAACCTCAGGTGATCCACCCACCTCGGCCTCCCAAAGTGCTGGGATTACAGGTGTGAGCCACCGTGCCCAGCCAAGAAATTATATTTTGAATCTCTAAAGGATTATAAAATTATAGGTGCCAAGGACTTACAACCATTGTCTAAATACTTTATTTTGGAGACAGTAATTGAAAAAGGAATAGAAATGGAAAAGCAATGCCAGAAAAGTTGGCCCAAGAAGAATCCTCAAACACAGGGCATGGATAGGGAACTATCTGGGGGTGGGGGTGGTGGATATTGATGCTTACTTCTATTTGAATGAAGTGCTATTATCACCTCAATGTTTACAGTAAAAATGATGCATATGGGCCAAAACTCAAGAGAATATGTAACGTTCTAACTGTCATAATGTTTTTCCCACTTAAATTTAATGTTATCTTGGTGGTAGTAGGCTAAACTTTATGCTTAACATCAAAATAAAATCCCAGCTACTGGCAAAAGATATCATTACCTATCCTTCCTATTCAATTATAAATATGAGGTCAGTCTATTCTTTTTTTTCTGAACATTATTTTCTTCCTAGCAAATATGTATTTGCATTTCTGACTAATAGTATACTAATTCATTGTGTTTTTTAAACAAATGCATTATCGAAACGTTTGAACAAACAGTGAATATTCCATTAGCTAAACTTTGAGTTTATAAAACACTGAGATAAAAATGGACGTGGCTATATTTTAAGATCTATTTAAATTGCATATACAACCTTATTCTTTCATTGCTGTGACTATACATACTTTCAGATTTTAAGTGTCCAACCATTTGGAGCTATTTTCATGCCAGATGTATCAGAAAAGAACCATTGTACAGCAGGCTTACTCATCCTTGGGTGTTCTGACCTTGAAGAAAAAGCGTCACTTTATTGCTTTAGCTGAAGTCTAGACTGTGATCCCCTGGTCTAAAATATGCTTGGGTCCATGAATCTTCAGAACACAATCACATTTTGTGAAGGGAAGAATGGAAGATTCACTTATGATTAAAGAACAAGAAGACCAGTTCCACACACTAATCGAATCATGGTATAAATGTGATTTATCTGGTGTGTTTTTTCAGTGACATCACAGGTGAGCAGAAAATAGATAAACTCTAGTCCAAAAGTGCATTATGCAAAAAAATATACATTTTGAGATCAAACACCCACTTGTATTCATTGCATGTCTGGGTTCTAGGTACAGGCACAGTACCAGAAGCTTTCAGTAATATGACATTATTATGTATATTCCCTGAAAAGACATTTTGTACCAAGACTGTTCCGTCTCAGTCCCAGTCAGTGTCTCTCAGAGAGTCTATTATGCCTGGTAATTACCCACATTTTCTCCTTCCACACAGATCTTTTAATTAGTGGATTTAAAGATGTAAAAGTGTTTTGGCTGGTTTCTCCTTACGTCTGTGTCAATGCTAAGAAAGAAACATCTCTTCTTCCCTTTCTTGCTTCTTTCCTTGGCTTTTCATTTCCTGTTAATTAAACCAATATTTATCCAGAAGACACCCCATCTATACGTCTCCAACACTCTCCGGTTGTTAATCTCTTCTCCATTTGGAGAAAGAAAACTCAGCCCACTTATGAACAAATGCAGAAGAAACTTCATTATACATTCCCCCACAGCCTAAAGACTAGATTCAGTAAGACAAGAGTGGGTGTGGGAATCTGTACTTTTAGTAGCCCTATGGGAAATTCTGATGTAGGTGCACTGTGGACCTCATTCTAAAAATGAACTAGTGGCTTGAAAGAAATAAAGCAATTTATCCATTTTTTTTTTTTACTGGAAATTGTGTGAACTATCATAATGTATGTGTTTTTGGTGACTTAAATATACAGTTCTTAGTAATAAGCACATACAAAAGTGGCTTAAGAGCAACTTATCACGAAACATGAAAATCTTCTGTAAGCTATCATCAATGATAGCCTCTTATCTTATGATCAATTGCTATACTTTTTAAATGTGGTAACTGGATTTATTAGTTATTACAAATCTTATTAGTTATATCACCATATTATAAACTAATAGAACTATAGTAATAAGAAATATTAATGATCTCCACCTAACTATACATCCTGCTTTCATCTTTCATGCCTTTCTATAGTCTGCTTTTTTTTTCTTTAACTACAAAGGCAGCAAAGAACCTTGTGCCATTTCTCAGCCTAAGCAGAAAGTAGACCTGACAGTTTCAAGTTTTTTACTTTCCAGAGGCCTAAGCTGCTGCGTAAGAAGCTGGATTGCCCTGTTGGAGAGACTATGTGAAAAGATACAGAGAGACAGAAAGACCTAGAGACTGCATGGAGGAAAATTAAAGAATCCAGCTGACAGAAATCTGTGGCCCCAAACATACAACCCCAGTTAGGTTATTGCAGCCAACACTAGCTGTCTAAGCCACCCCAGTTGAGATATCAGACATGTGAGTACAGAAGCCATTTTGCACATTTCACTCCAGCAGACATCATGTGGAGAGAGATGAATTCTCCACACCATGTCCTGTCCAGTTTTTTTACATAGGAAACCATGAGAAGTAATAAAATATTTTAAGCCTAAAACTTAGTTTTGGTATAGTTTGTTACACACTAATAAATAACTGAAACAGGAATGAATTCAGTTACCATTGTTTCAGTTTTAAAAATAATATTTTAAAATTAGAAAACATTAAGACCATCTCAAATGGCTATAGAATTCTTAACTAGAAGTACCTATTTCTAATGCCAAGAACTGGGTCATTCAGGTCTATATAGCTTTTCCTGTTGCTTCTCAATAACCTTATTTCTGCCTCTAGAGAAGGGTATACATTTTAAAAAGTAATTCTTATAGGAGGAGGCAGTTTGGATGGATGCCAGTATGCATAACTCTAGGTATAAATTGTAAAGTAGTTTAGAGGAATTAGTGAGCCATATAAACTTCGAGATATCTCCCCTAAGTATTGCTTCACACATTGGGCTTTTGCTAAATATTGAGTGACAGAATATTAGACAAGAATTTGATCTGGAGTACAGTTTGTCTATTATACCACTTAACACTAAGCAGTGTACTTTAATAGTCATCTGAACAAGGAGAAGAGTTGCATCCTCTCAGGGCTTTGAGGAGAAGTTGAGGAGGCTGTCAGGAATAACGGCCTGAACAGAGGACATTTCCACCCCACTTAACTTGTGTCAAGGGAATGAATGGAAGGAGGAAAGGCCATGATTCTCTTTAAGAAATAATTTTGGATCTGCTCTCCCACTAGACAAATGGATAGTCAAGCCTCATTGTCTTCACCATCAGGCATGGCAACACTGATTTTAACCACCCCCACAATCCAAATTTTGGAACGGTCACAACCAGAAATTAACCTGGGCCATACACTTTTTTTTCTTCAACAAAACATCTACAGTAAATAAAATAAAAATAAAAATAAAATTATCTTGAGCAGAATTACTTCATGGGATGCCCTCTAAATTATCTGGTTACAAAATAGACATCTACATAACTGAAATATTTAAATTGCTGTAGGATCTCATACTTAAGCCAGTTAAAAGTTAGGAATTCATTGTGAAAATTACCTTTAGTTTTATTGTCTGTTGTGAAATATTGTGTTGGCACCAGGGAGCAGGATAAGTTGTCCATACCAAATCTAAATTAAGAAAACAATATTATCTTCGCATAAGAGGTAGTATATAGTAATAATTAAGAGTTCAGGTTCTGGAGTCAGATTTTCTGACTCGAATTCTGGTCTCGTCTCATAGTAGCCATGCTACCTGTGAAAAGTTACTTCTATCTCTCTAGGCTTCAGCTTTCTATTTGGAAAAATGGAAATAAAAATGGCATCAACTTCATAGAGCTTCTGTGGGGATTAAATGAGAATAAACTTGGAGATGCTTAGCCTAATACCTGGCACAGAGTAAAAGGTCAACAAATGTCAGCTATTTCTAGTCCCTATTATGGAGGATGTATATCCAACTCACTACCAAGTGTTAACAAATTATTAAGGTAAAAATTACAAAAAAGGCAAAAACAAATCAAATACATGTTTGACTTCACAGAAATCACGATTGGATCCATCAAGAGACCATTTCTACTGATTTTCTAAGTAGTATTAAGGTGTCAGTATTAATAATCTAAGATACGCAATATCTTTATGGAGTTTAATCTGTAATCAACTCCTATTCACAGATTCAAAGGCCAAAGAAATATCAATAAGTCACACAAAGTAATTAAAATGGATTGCAAAGTGATAAAGAACACAAATCTTTCCTGGTCTTTCTGTAGAACCTATGGCCTGAGAAGACAGTAGAATTGACATGTTCTTAGGAGAGTTGAGGAGCTAAACCTTTTGAGCAGATTGTTACTTTATGTAAAGGCTTCATAATTTAGTGGCATAAAACAGTTGGCTTTCAAAAAGTGGGATAGACTATGCCCTGAATAGAATCAGAAGAGAAGATTGTCTACAGATCTGATGGAGGTCAACTCATTGTCAAAAATTTAAGTATGCAATTTAGAGTTGTCTTTGACCTATTCTGGGTCCTGGAAATGCTACTACTTATATTAAACAGTAAGACAGGGAGAGGTAAGGTTATGCCATGGTACACATGGCTGCCATAAACAACATGCTCTTGGGTCAAAAACCTTCAGCCAGCCAGGCTTGAGCTATGAGGAGCATCTCCTATGTAGAAGATGGAAAAGAAGTGAGTGGGGAAAAGTCAACAGTCAACAACATCTTTACGAGATTCCTTCTTTATGGGTGCTCTGGAGAAACCATTAGAACAATAAACAGGTTATTAAACATCCATACCTCTTGGCACCAAGTAAAATGATTTTTGGTATTATATAGAAACAAACATTTTGGCCTCTCTAAAGCATTTACCAGAATTAATTAAAATAGTTCATATGTTGGAAATATCATATTCATCTAGTGTCTAAGATGGTTAATGGAGGTTGATAGAGAAGGAAATGTTGAATAAACCAAATAAAATTTTAGCAAGTACATTCAGGGACTCAGCTCACAAATTTTTGATGGTCTAAGTCCAAGGTTTCATAAACTGAAGAATACAAAATAATACAGTAGTGACTAGAAAGGATACTAGTGTATCTAAATGCTGAGTCATATTATTTCTTTAGTATATCTTGAGTGCATCTTACATGTAGGATGAACTGCACTAATGTTTAGATTAGGCTCATTATATTAAATGCAATTTATGCCAATATTAAGCTACCTCCTCTCTAGGTGGATTGGGTCTTCTTATTTTTTGCCTTGTATCTCAATTGATGCCACATTCATATAGGCCAAAATTTATTAGGTGTGATTTGCTAACATTCATATAATTAATAGTTCCTAAGCACAAGCAAAAAAATGTCCACTCCCCCACCAAGCAAATTATTACTGAAACGTTTACTGGGTTTTCTTTACTTGCAATTACTTCTGTTGTTGTTGTTTTTAGTCCACAATTAGTTACCTTCATTTTTAGCCCTATTCTATCTAATTCATATCTGAAAAGAAACAGTGTCAAGGAAGAAATCAACTTAAATGGAACTATCCTCCAGCTGTCTACCATGCACTAGCACTAGAAATAGCAAATAAAACTTGGTTTAAAATGAATTCTGGCATGGTTCCCTCTCTTTTAAAACTTGGCATAAAATATGATTTGGGGAATAGATGCACATTTTGCGAAGATAGCAGGTTATTTTGGTATCTTGTGGGTGGGCAAAACAAACCACAATCATTTCTAGAAGGGCTTCAACTCACGAAGATGGATAAAATGATCCTGCTCCCAATTAACCACTAAAAGAAACAAAGATGATTACATTGTCTTCATTATTCACTGGGGAGCTGGGTGGTTGGAGTTCTTAGCAAAGGAAAAAGTCCTTGAGCTCTAGGTCACCGAGTGAAATGACTTTGAGGTTTTAAAATGGAAAGTTTTTCTTTTTTTCAACTCTATTTGGAGGGTAACTGGGCTTGTATCAAAGTTGGTAACGTTGCTGGAGAGATGTTGTTAAATAGGCAAAGGCTTCTACCCTCCTCCAAGGGACTGTGTTAGTGGTCAATGGGCTGGACAACTGGATGGGCCAAGAGGATACCCTGTTACCTATAAATTTATTTCAAAATTAAAGTTATTGATAAGAGTCTGTCCTCCCTTTTACTTCCATTTGATTAAGAGAGCTGGCTCTAAGAATTAACTGCATGCGTGTGTGTGTGTGTGTGTATGTGTGTGTGTGTATGTGTGTGTGTTTGTGTGTGAGAGAGAGACACATAGAAAGAGAATCAGAATTAGAGACAGCTATAGAACAAAGGGCAGTACAGACAGCAACAGGACTCACAAGCCATAATCAGTCATAGCAAAACCAGTTGTTAATATTTTTATTAATTATACCTAAAATGGGAGACATTTAGAAGTAACTATTGCTAATCTATTCCTAGAGAAGGAAATCTGGAATAAAGTGAGATAATAAACCAAATAAAACTTTAGCAAGTCTATTCAGGGACTTAGCTCATAAATTTTCAATGGCCTAAGTCTAAAGCTTCATAAACTGAAGAATACGAAATAATACAGTAGTGACTAGAAAGGATACTAGTGTATCTAAATGCTGAGCCAATCTATGTGTTGTTTGGGTATTTGTCTTTGATCCCTTTTGTCTTTCACTCTTTCCTATCAACTTTGTCTCCATAGGTCACTCTACAAATGTCATGATGATATTTTTCAACTTCTTTGTGCTGCCTTGAATTATGGTACTTCCTGCCTCCAATAGCATCCAGTGCTATTAACCTAATTCAGACTGTCATCACTTATCACCTGGATTAAAGCAGCATCTCCTAATTGGTCTTTCTAATTCCAGTCTTGTTTCCCTCTAATTCACATTTCACCCACAGGCATCTTCATAAATTACATATCTAATCATGTCACCTGCTTTTCTTTTAAAATTATTTCCTGCAGATTAAGTATAACCTTTCTAGCATAGCTCACAATAACTTCATTTCTTTGTATTCTATGCTACTGCCATATTGAACTATGCGTCCATCTCTGAAAGGTGAACACTTTCTATATCTACGTTTTTTCCATGTGCCTGGGTTTTTATTTATACATAGAATCTAAGCCCTTAGAGAACACGGAACTTAGTGAATGTATTCACTATGGTATTCCCATTTTCTGAGCTCCTAGAAGAATGCCTAGCTCATAGTAGATACTCAATAACAGTCTGGTAAGTATGCCAACTAAATGAATGAATGATCAACTGTATTAGCTTAACTAATGTCAGCTTGAGCCAGTTCTCTCAGAGAAGAAGTTATTATCTGTTGCAGGCTGAAAAATACCCCAAGGATGTATACATCCTATTTCCTGGAACCTATGAATATGTGGTCTTATTTGGGAGAAGGAAATTTGCAGATATAATTTAGTTAAGGATCTTGAGATGGAGAGTTATTCTGGATTTTCTGAGTGGGCTCAATGTAATCACATAAGTCTTTTTAAGTGGGCGACAGAAAGTTAAAGAGAGAAGATTCTGGGTTTGAAGATGGAGGAAGAGGCCATGAACCAAAGGATGCAGGCAGTTTCTGGACACTGGAAAGCACAAGACAGGAGATTCTTCCTGGAACCTCCAGAACGAATGCAGCCTAATAGATTCATTTTAGACATCTAACCCCAAGAACATAAGATAATACAGTAGTTGTCCCTTATCTGAGGGAAATATGTTCCAAGACTCCCCAGTGGATGCCTGAAACCATGGATAGTACAAAACCCTATATAGACAGTCATCCTTTGGTATCTATGAGGGATTAGCATGTATCTGTATGTGTCTCATGAAAGTTAGGGTCAATAAAGATTCTATCACATTTTCTTATTAAACATAAGCTTAAGGATTTCTCTTTTTAAGTAAAAACTGCCACACCAATATCTTCAGTAACATATTATCAGTAACATATTGCAATATATTCAGTAATATATTACCAGTAACACATTGTGATAATCTGTAACAAATGTTTCCCAGTGGGCAGAACTGGGCCTCTAAAACAAGTGGATAGCATCACTGTCTTTTTTGACCCAGGAGCCCACATGGCGGTAAAATCTTCCCTAATGCATGCAGCCAGCCAAGGGCAAAAGTAGGATTGCAACTCCTGGTCACCAATTTGAACAATGATATCTTGCTATGATGACTTCTGATCCCCCAGAAAGCCAGATAACGGTTTTATTTGGCAGTGCTATTCCTGCAGACATTGCCCTTTCATTAATTAATACTCCCCTCCTATATGAGCTGCTAAATTCAAACAGGCCTGAAAATGGCCTCCATTAAGAAGATCCTTTACCTTTTTCCTATGAACCAGTGTGGATATGGGGGTCAGGTAAGAATGTTCAGCTAAGCCACAGCCAGAAAAAAAGACACTATACACTTCCTAGAGCTGCTCACTTACTTGGCCTGATAGCCTACTAACTGTGGCACCCCATAACCTAAGTTGGCATTCCAACTGAGGCCTGTGGATCTCTAGGCTGCCTCAAAAGAAGTGATAAAGACTGCTTCTGTCAATCCCAGGTCCTGTTCCAAAATTAAGTTGATTCCAAAACCTGAAGAAACAGAGTTGCATGTTTAATGATGTACAGACACTGAAATCTGTACAGGCTCAAGTCCCTGGTATAAAATGGCATAGTATTCGCATATAACTTACGCAGATCCTCCTGGATACTTTAAATTATCTCTAGATTACTTATAATACCTAATACAATGTAAATGCTATGTAAATAGTTGTTATACGGTATTGTTTAGAGAATAATGATAACGGTAAAAAGTCTGTACATGTTCAGTGCAGATGCATGTTTTTCTGGATATTTTCAGTTCATGGTTGGTTGGAGTCATGGATGTGGAATGCACAAATATGGAGGGCTGGCTGTACTATATTTTTCCTGTACATATTGATGATAAATTTTAATTTATAAGTTGAGCGTAGTAAGAGATGAACAATAATAATAAAATAGAACAATTATAAAAATATGTCAGCATCAATACTCTTGTGCTTTGGTACCATTAGATTATTAAGTTAAGTAAGAGTTACTCAAATGCAAGCACTGCGATATTGGGACAGTTGATCTGATAACCACAGTAGCCACTATATTACTAACAGGAGGGTAGTGTATGCAGTGTGGATAGTATGGACAAAGGGATGACTCATGTCCTAGACAGGATGGAGTGGAACAGTGTGAGATTCCATCACACTACTCAGAATGGGATGCAATTTTAAATGTATGAATTGTTTATTTCTGGAATTTTCCATTTACACTTTTTTAACCATGGTGGACCACAGGTAACTGAAACTATAGAAAGTGCAACCATGGATAAGGGGGAACAACTATACATTTGTGTTTTTTTAAGCCATTAAGCTTGTGGTACCCGGTTATAGCCGCAATAGGAAACCAATACATCATTCCTGTATTCCCAGTGTTCATGTGCCTGTATGCAGATATAACCAAAATGCAGACGTGTACATAACTGGTTCCATGTACAATTCTAAGTGGTTTACAAAGTATATGAAAAAGATAACTTTATTTTTAAACAGAAAAATAACAAAAAAGAATTGCAGACCAGGAGGAAAAGTATATAAGAAGAATGAAGCCAGGAATTCAAATTTAAATTATTATCTAAATCACATATTTTCAAGCTTTAAAACTTATAAAAGTGGGCATAAATTTGTCTCTAGGCTTTTCTGTAGCTAATGCAAAGAGATATACATGGTGTAAAGCTATATAATATTCAATATTTGGGTCATAAAATAATAAACCATGTTCATGAGAATCACATATTCCTAGCCCTGAGAACAGAGAGAAATTCCTCCAGTAAATCCTCATTTCTCAAAGTAGGCTGAAGGTACAAAAAAGATAATTCAGTAAAAGCAAAGAGAAAAAATATACACTTCAGGCAAGGAAACATCGTTTGTTGCATGTTTAATGATGTACAGAACACTATAGAGCTAAGGAAAGTACTAGTTGATAATACAGTCTTTTGTGTTATAATTTTGCAAACTTGCAAACTGTCAGGAACATGTTGAGTAAATCCCCAAATCTTGAGAAAATATATGGATTCATGGAAGGGTGATCCTGGAATAATTTCAGATGCTCTCAGTCATTTAAATTCCTTCTCTTACACTTCCCTCATAATAGTTATATACCATACAGTATTTCTGAAATCATCTTAAAAACTGTCTTTTTTTTTTTTTTTCTTTTTTCTTTTTGAGACGGAGTCTCACTCTGTTGCCCAGGCTGGAGTGCAGTGGCACGATCCCGGCTCACTGCAAGCTCCACCTCCCGGGTTCACGCCATTCTCCCGCCTCAGCCTCTCCAGTAGCTGGGACTATAGGCGCCCGCCACCACGCCCGGCTAATTTTTTGTATTTTTAATAGAGACAGGGTTTCACCATGTTAGCCAGGGTGGTCTCGATCTCCTGACCCCATGATCCACCTGCCTCAGCCTCCCAAAGTGCTGAGATTACAGGTGTGAGCCACCACGCCCAGCCAAAAACTGTCTTTAAGTAATAATGCCTCAAGAATGTCTTTTTCATTCTATTTTAACATAGTGGCAGTGGCAAAATGACCTACGTACAAAAAAGCTATTTGACGATAAAATGAATAAGAGTCGACCTTACTGCCACTCTCATGTTCAGTCACATAAGCATATAACCTCTAAGTTAGTTGACTCATATTTTCTTTCTAGCCTTGACCTGTCTTCCTGAGCTTTCTGTCTAGCTCACTTGACATCACCATTGTCATGTCTGTAGTCACCCCACACTCAATACTTCCAAACTGAAACTTCACGTGCCTCACCTCAACCATACAAATGTTTCTCCTCATGACATATCACTTCTTGATAATGCCAACATCAGTTACAAAAGCTTGAACTTTGGAAACCTTGTTTTCCTCTTTGATTCACCCCTTCGACCCACAGCAAATCAGCTGATAAATCACAAAGGTGTTTCCTTTGCACAGCCTCAAATCTGTTCCTTCCCTTCTTCCAGCATTATCTCAGCTACAATTTGCTCACTTTTTCATTAACTTATTTTCCTAATCAACCTGCCTCTAAAAGAATGGTCAGATGAATCTTCCTAAAATATCCCAATCTTGCTTAAAATCCCCAGTCACCACCCTACCATTTCCTATTCAACTAAGAATTCTTTTCTAGTCTAGTATTTATAGGTCCCATGCTATGGCTTCAGGTTCCATCTCTAGCTTTTTCTTGTATGTATCCTCAACTCCAGCCACTATTCCCAAATACAAATGATTCCTCTCTCTTCACTGTGGCTCAAGGCAGTTCATACTAAAGATTTGTTCTTACAACTATAAACTTATTCCTGCAGGTAACAGAACAGCAAAAGTA
The DNA here is from genome assembly GCF_000001405.40 of Homo sapiens. NCBI lineage: Eukaryota > Metazoa > Chordata > Mammalia > Primates > Hominidae > Homo > Homo sapiens. The sequence goes on along the minus strand of NC_000005.10, from coordinate 58,681,545 downwards.
AAAAGTATTCACTCAGGTGTTCTATGACACTTCATCTTAATTTTTGTGAGATTGCTTAATAGTAGCCATTTAAATGTTAATTTCTCTCATGGGAACAAAAAGTACTTCATCACAATACAAATTTTCCTCTGGCGTAATTGCCTGTCCAATTTTCCAAAATGACATTCTAGTTTAGTACCAGTTTCATTTCCTTCTTTTCAAGGATAAGGCAGATCTTCACATTGGCAATATCCCAATATTCATCTGTAATGATTGTGGAAGTCCTTGATTTATCATGTTTTGCACCTTGAATAGATGCAGCTTTTATTTGTCGATTAAATTTTTTAATGAAATAAAATAAACATGGGAAGCAGTGCCTCACTATTTCCTTCTTTGGTCATGTCTTTTCTGATACTTTTAATCTGTTTTAAGGATTAGAAACAAGCCTTGATATAAACAATATTTGCATAAACAGCATATATTTTCTTCATGAACATAATCAGTTCTCTATTGATGGACCCATTTTCCCACAAAAATTAAAAAAAATTTTATTAAATAAATTTAAAAATTAGCCCTTATTCCATTAAGATTTATGTACTTGCTGTTTAAACAGCTGAGTGAAGCAAGGGGGATGTGGTGGGCTGAATAATAGCCCTTTAGTGAAGTCCAAATCCAAATCCCCTGAATCTGTGAATGTGTTAACTTACAGGGCAAGAGGTCTTTAGAAGATGTGATTAAGGGTCTTGAGATGAGGAGAGTATCTTGGATTATCTGAATGGGCCCACAGTAATCACAAATCCTTATAAGAAGGATACCGGAAGGTCAGAAGAGAAAGAGATGTGCTGATGGAGGAAGGAAGTGGCCATGAGCTTAGGAATGCAGAAAATCTCTACAAGCTGGGTAAACACAAGGAAACCTGTCCACTTCTAGATCCTCCAGCCGGAAAGAAGCCCTGCCAACACCCTGACTTTGGTCCAGTGGGACTGATTTTGGACTTCTAACTTCAGAACTATAAGATAATATATTTGTGTATTTTATGCCATAAGTTTGTGGTGATTTGTTATACTAGTAGGGAATGAATACAGAGGATAACTAAATGTTTTTCCTAATAAGTTGCTGAGCAATTTTTTGTTTTTGTTTCATATAACATACAAGTGTCCAGGTCATTTTATTCTTACAATTCACTTCAATAATGCCACATGCAAGAAGTGTAGCTTTCTGTATCATTCTTGATCTGGTTTCTAGGCAATATAAGTTTTTCTCCTTCACTAATGGCCTTGCAAAGCTAATTATTTTTTCAGATTCTAGGATCTCAAAGGAAAGTTCAATGGCCTAATTAACAAGTAGCTAAAGTGTTGGTATTGTTTATGGGTTATCTCATTTTTTTTAAAAGGGAAACTTCTGAATCCTCACTCAAAAATGAACTCCTTCCCTTTCTTTGATTCTTTTATTTGTTGTAAATTAGTGCCACATTTCCCTTACTACCATTCATTAACAAGGTTAATTTCCCTGTTTATTTCAGTTTATAAATTTTGGCCCCCAATCATTTAAAATATACAGATGGAGAAATTTTAGATTCCCAAAGAAACAAGCAAAAATTAGAATGACACAAAAATCTGCTGACAAACTGAACCTCTAAAAGAAAGAGCATAGCACACATTTCCGCACTGAAAATCAAACAGTACATTGCCTAAAGGATATGTGTACTGCTCACTGATTCTGAAGAAAATATTGCCTCTGCTTATTTTACCGTGCAAAGAAAAGCCTGCATGATTTTGCTGAATAATTCACATTTGGATTCTCTGATTCTGATTCAGATTTTTGAATCAAATAACCGTATTAACTAGCTTAATTTGAGGTTAAAAGCATTCAAATACAGCAAAGATATATGAAGACATCATTTTCAGGGAGAAAGCTACAGAAAATATGTTAAACAACAACAACAACAAAACTGCCTTTGGTCAGATAAACAGCATGCTATGAGACTATAAAGAACTGAAATGTATCATTCCATGTGGAAAAACCATAAGGTGAAGGCCCTTGATCTACAGAATTACCATGTTCTAGATAAAGACACAGGCTTGTACTATAACAGAATTGTCTACCTCAAAAAAATTGAGATTGAAGCGCTCCAAATATTATGTCTTCAGTGAAAGCAAAGATTCTCCTTTCAGAGTATTCACAATTAAGCTTAAGAGAAGCCTAGCATCCTAGAGATGAAAGGGGCTCTAGAGAAGATGTAGTTCAAATTGTGCAATGAGTCTCATAGAGATCAAGGAATCTACTGAGAACTACCAAAAAAAAATGAGCCAAGTCCCAAGTCCTGGACCATGACATTCACAGAACCCTCAATCTCTCTCCTTCCTGATACCCCCACCCTGCTGCTTCTCCTTCAAAATTTTCCTCACTGTTTCCTCCTTTCCTCCACTCCACACTGTCTCTTTGCTTTACACTACCACATCGTGTTCTTGTTCATAGGACTTGACACTGTGTCTCTGTTCTGGCTTGCATCATTGGGGTGGAAGAAGATGACAGGGGCCAAATACAACCAGCTTACAGTCCATCAGCTCAGGAAACATATATTAGCCAGCATCTAAAATGTGAATGTTCCCTAAGCTGGAAAAACAAAAAGTCTTTTTGGACACGTAATAGCCTTTCCCTGGTGAAATAGGGTTTTTCTATTTATACCCTACATCCAGCAAAGATAGTAAAAGATTAGAATATGCCCTTTTAGTCAATAATAAAAGAGCTTAGCATGATTCATATAATTCTAAGCTTTTCAAAAAGAAGTTACAATTATATGGGAATTGGAGTGACTTGCAGTTGGGTTATTGTTAAAATGTAGAGAAAATAGAGAATGGGTGAATTTAAATTTTTATTCAGTTTAAAATAAATGTCTTAGGCAGAGTTGGAAAAAATATTTATTAGTAATTCAAAAACTGTTTGTTTCTAAAAGCTAGCATATTAATACTTTTCTCTGAAACATGCAGGGAAGACTATGTTAAAATATAAACAATATATAGTGTTTTGCTGAGAGATAAACTCTTGATATATTTTTTTCTAATGACTTTCCTGATGTCAGTGACTTATCTTGCCATCTTGTCCCATGAAATAGCTTCACTTGACACTAACCAATGGTCAGGCAGACTCCATGTGTTCCCATCAAAATACAAATTACTATCTGTAATCACTCTGAACATAAATATAAATTAAATGTAAAAATTTCAGCTATTTGTAGCATAATATCCAAGTACATATCTATGTGTTATCAAATACCGAACATGGACCTACATAAGTTTCATTCCTAGCCACCAAAACTTAGTTTTCAATATTTTTTATATCTTTTTTGTCTTATATGAAAAATACTTAGGAATTTAGCATCATAAAGAAGGAGATTGTTCCCTAAAACTTAAAATTTGGAATAGACCCCAAACAATCATTTACTATTATTGCTCTAAAATGTTGCTTCTAAATATTTTCATGAGCTTCCATGGCTGTTCCTAGGATTATTTTCCTTGCCCACTTCCCCAACATATGTACCTTGAACACACACACACACGCATGCACACACACACACACACACACACACAAAATAATCTAGCTACTACCTGCCAGTAAAAGAAGAGCTCTGTTTTATAAATCATTCTTTGATTCTAGGTCATTACCCTGTCCTCTGTGCTGGTACAAAAGATATGTCACAGGAACTGTATTCATTTCCTTCAATAAACAGAAAATGTTAGTATTTTTTTAACCCAATATCCTTTCAGATCACTGCAGCTATAGGCTTTGTCAATTCTCTAGGATATCTTCACTACCTGTGATCAAATTTCTAGATAGCCGCTATCAGTTCAAATAAACAAGCTATCTTCTAGTTATAAACTTAACAATTCAGTTACCTGGTAAGTGATGTGATTCAATCTTAAAGAAATTTATTGAGCATTGGTGTCAATATTTTTATATTTATTTATTGGGTATCAATCATTTTGCTAGGCTCTGGAGAGAATAATATAATGGATAAAACACTATAATTAGCACTAACTATTCAGTAAAATATCCATGTGCATTCTTCCCCCTGTCTTATTCCTTAGACCAAGTAAATTTCAGGTGAACTTCAGATGAGGAAAATAAACAAACTAAAACAACAAAAATTATCTATCTAGTTAGCTAGCTATCCAAAAGACTTATAAGAAAGCCAGGACAGTGTGTTTAGTAGAGTGTGTATAGATTGTCTTGTGCCCACTCCCCGAAATTTATATGCTCAAATCCTAGTTGCCAGTGCCTCAGAATATAACCCTATTTTGAAGTGAGGTCGTTATGAATATAATTTGTTAAGTTAGAATGATGTTATATCTAAGTAGGATGGGTCCTTAATCCAATATGACTAGTGTCTTTATAAAAAAAGGAAATTTAGACACAGACATGCACATTGGGAGAACACCACGTGAAGACTGGAGTTATGCTGCCTCAAGCCACAGAATAACAGAAGCGAGGAGGCAGGCCTGGAAGAGATCCTTCCCTAGAGGCTTAAGAGGGAGCACGCTCCTGATAACCCCATAATTTCAGATTCTGGCCTCTAGAAGAGTGAGGCAATAAATTTCTGTTGTTTAAGTCACCCAGTTCATGGTACTTTTTAACAATAACCCCAGTAAACTAAAATAGAGTGGGAAAGGCCATTCTAAGCAAACATAAAATCTAGAAGCCAGAAAATACATTGATAATTTTGAGTACCTAAAACTTTTTTTAAAAAAAGTCTGCATGACAAAGGAAAACAAAACAAAACAATGTAAAACAAAACAAACAAAATGAAACTTCCTGTTTTGAAATTTCAGCTGAGGTCCCAAAGCTGAGGAAAACAGGTGTCAAATATCCTCACATGCTAATGAAGCTGCCAGGTCATCAATGCAGGACATGCTAAGGGGGTGATCAAAACTGAACTCTGCCAAGACCAACCCACCTCCCCTACCACCCCGCACCTCCAGTCTGAATTCTCAACCCTTGCCAGTCCAGTCTAGCATGTGTTGAGAATTTGGGGTGGCAATAGGTTCTTTTTTATTATTTTTTTTGGCAACAGAGTCTTGCTCTGTTGCCCACATTGGAGCACAATGGCATGATCTGGGCTCACTGCAACCTCTGCCTCCCAGGTTCAAGCGATTCTCCTGCCTCAGCCTCCCAAATAGCTGGGATTACAAGCGCCTGCCACCACACCTGGCTAATTTTTGCATTTTTAGTAGAGACAGGGTTTCACCAAGTTGGCCAGGCTGGTCTCGAACTCCTGACCTCAAGTGATCCACTCCCTCGGCCTCCCAAAGTTCTGGGATTACAGGTGTGAGCCACGCCGCTCGACCCAGCTATAGGTTCTTTAGAGTTTAGAGAGAAGGTTGTCTGAATGTTACAGAATTTCCTTGGTCCTTGACAGAGTTTGAATAAGGGAGGCTTCAGAGAACCCCTCAGAAAGCGTGACTTATGTCCTCTGGGATTTGGGGAAATACAGGGACTTTTTCTTCGAAATGAGTCTAAGGGCAAAAGGCTGATGGGAGGAAGCTTCCTGGGGCAGCAAAGAGCCAAGCTGTGCCAGGAAAGCCCTGCCCTTCCACAGTGCCACAGGGTAAGGCTGCACAAGGAATTTGGTGGGCCAGCTGGGGCCTGCTGAAAGAGCTAGACTTGAGCAGAATGGAAAGGAACCCACCCAGGAGACCAGAGGGGAAAGCTGACGCCAACAGAGGAGTCAATGAGTAGGAAATGAGAAGGCTGGGGAAGAATCATAGCAAGCTTAGAAGATACATTCATCTCAGATTCACCATGAGAAACATTTTTAATAGAAATCTTAACCCTTCCATGATCCAATGTAATGCTTTGTGCAACAAGGGTTGGAGTGCTACTGATTTGGGTTTTGAGAGACTTTCCTTTAGCAGTCATTTGCTGAAAAGCCAAAAAAAAAAAAAAAAAAAAAAGACAAATGGCCTCTGGTTGGAGATGCTGACGCTGTGTTGGGAAGCACATTTCCTTCTCATTTCAGTACAACTGTGACTCCCAGTTGCTATGCTTGAATGCCTTCCATGTGTGGAAATGAAGCAATGGTGAGGTTTTCTGCTGAGAAGAAAATTTGACTAGCAGATGGGAGAAAGAAACAGAAAACTTAAATTACAATATACAGAAAGTTTAAAATGGATCTTTGCAAAGGAACTTCAAAAGCCTTGCAGACATAGGAGTTAAGTAAAGGTATAGCCAAGGAAGAATTGATAGAGGTGAAGAAAATTAGGTGTGGAGAAAAAATGTTTCTCTTTTTAGAGATATATGCAACGCCATGTAAGAGATATATTCAATGCCATGTCTCAATGAGCTGAAAATAACAGGATACGAGATGGACACAAAGCCATTTTCATAAAAAATGTTTTTCAGAAAGGTAGATATTGAGCCTGAGACAGGTTTGTGCTTGCAGCAAATCTTGCCTGCGGGGAGCATGAGAAAAGTACTTAGGAAAAGAAAAGCCTAAGCTGTAGTAATGGAGTTTTTAGGCTCAGTTTAAAAACTTCAATATGATCCTCAAGGTGCTGGATTCACCACGAGGTCTGAGGAATGCATTCAGAGGGATCCTCTGAGCTTCAGGGAAACAAATGGAGGTGCATAAAGTCATGGTGCTTTTGGTTGTCTATCATGTGACTCAGGATTGAGTTAGACTTCAGGTTTATAAAGACCTTTTTTTTTTTTATGTATGTTTCATCTCAAGACTTGTCCTAGCTTGAAAGAGAATTCAAATTTCTAAAGACCAACACAAGATACATCTTATACTTTGTGTCTTTACCTTCTAAAGTTTTCCGTGCACTTTCTTTGTAAGAAAGACCTCTATGCACTTAAAATACACTGTATTATTCAATTTAAAGCATCTCAACACCTATTTCAACTTCATACTATTGGAAACTGTATTACAGTATTAAATATTGCATTATTGTATTGTATTGACCACATGGTCATCTGTACTCCATTTGTAGTTGAACAGATCTTTTTGACAGTCATCCATATACTTTTCACATGGATTAAGCAGGAAACATGATTTCTTGGCATTATATGCCATTTCCCACTGCTTTCTCTTCTGTAGGAGAAAGAAAAACTTTCCAAGTGGCATCCATTAGAAATTGGTTGGTTTATATCCCACCATAATACTTAGCTTTCAATTAAAAACCCAGGAATCACTGGATTTACTAAAAAACATATTAATATATACTTCAAAAATATAAAGCAATGACTCAAGCTCTAAATCTAGTTCCTGAAGAGTGAGAGAAATGATGCCTCGAAGTCTAAATCTTTGTGTAATACTCACAGGGATGATTCACATAGAACATTCAAATACTCATTGCTCTCACTAAATAATAAACATCACACACATGAAATTACCTCACTTTCAATTCTGATCTCAATATACCATTTCTATATTCCCTTTCTAGAGTCCTTCAAATATTTATGAGTCGGATTTTATTCTGAAAAATGCCAACACCTTGTATCCTCCCAAACTTACTCTTATCTATTCTGCAACTTGCCTGTACTATCATTGTGCTGCTTCCTAATCCACTAAATGTACTTTAACAATTATTGATTGATTTATGTCATCTACAAAATGATTTCTATATATGACATATATTTCTCTATGTTTCTTATGTGCATGTGCTGGTGCTGGACAAAGTATCTACATTTTACCGCAGGAGTCACAGCCATCCTCTGCATCAATCCTGGATACCTCTGAGTTATGAGAGGCATGTTCAGGGTGAAACAGCCTTGTGCCTCATCAAACACATGCAGATACACAAAAAGTATTTCAACATAACTAAACTATTTGATCCTTTTTCATTGGGAAACGTAATTTAAGAGAAGCAAATCCAACCACCACATTCACACCACACACGTCAACCATGTGGGTAACTGACATTTTGAGAGGTAAAAGAGGGCAGTGGAAACAATCTGCTTTAAAATCCTTGGGTCAAACCCTATAAAATGTATGATGTCTTTTTAGTTGTAGTTTCTATAAAATGGGAACAGTCAAGCCTACTTTAAGAGATTGTCATAAATGAGGATTGAAAATTGTATGTGTGTGTGTGTGTGTGTGTGTGTGTGTGTGTGTGTGTGTATAACTAGTTCGTTGAGAAGAAGAAAGAAACCGCTCCCCACTTTCCCCCTACAGTTTCCAAATTGGACCAGGCTTGATGGGGAAGAAACTTTGAATTGGGTCTCTGATGAAAATTTTGTTTTGGATCAGGTTGGACTTTTTAATACCTTAAAGTGAAATTACTGTAATATCTGAAATTACTCAAAGAATCTGTGGTGCTGAATGATGCAGGGGCAGGACAGAGGGAACCCATAGAACATGTTTTAAGGGTTGTGGGTTTTTCCAAGGCTAGTCTACTCACTAAATAGGTTTCTTCATGCAGAGCACCTTGCCTAATGCCTAGAACACAATAAACACTTTTGAAAGTGTGTATTTTATTTTAGTAATCCTCTCTGCCCTGCCAATTCCCCTCACCCCAACAAAACCCAACTCCAAGAATCTGATCTGTTTACCAGAATTAAATACTAACATATATTTTTGGAATATCCTTAGAGAGAAAAGTAAAGACAAGAACAACTGAATAACTGAAATGGGGTAGACTTTAACAAATGACAACCATTATATATAGTTTATTCTTCTCCTAGCATATAAATGTGGCTGATGCAGGATAGAAGACCCACAGAGCATTATTCGAAACTAAGTAGGTTATGTTTTCTCAGAGTACCCACTGACTTAAAAGAGAGCTAATGGTAAAAACAAAGGTTATCTAGGTTGTCACAAATGGCAGAATTTTCTTCCTTTTTATTGCTGAATAATCATTTCATAAGGCTTATGTATATCACATTATCATGTATACCTTGAATATATACAACTTTTATTTGTCAATTATATCTCAATACAGCTGGAAAAAACAACCAACCAACCAGAAGTCCTTCAATAAGAGGCATGAATTAGAATGATACACGACAAAGACACCTTTCAGAGTTTAATTCCTCACATAATTTTAGACTGAAGATGGGAATGCTGGACATAGATATGACCTTCGAGAACCATCCAGTCCCATCTCCTCATTTTACAGGTGAGATAAGTGAGCCTCAAGGAAATAGTTTGGCAAGTTAACAGTGCAGGTATGAAGTTGACTAAACTGTTGTGTATTCCACTGCATTAGAGGTCCATGACCCCGCTGAAGAGCTTAGAGTCTAAAGGAGAGAGTGCTGTGGAGCAGGGCAGTGGTTCCCGTGTTTGTCTAACCCCAGGGGATCACCTGTGCCCCTTGCTTAGTGTGCCGTTTCTGCAGTTCTTGGGTCCTTCCAAAGAGAGACATCATACTCCTGACCCCTCATCCAAATGCTGTTTTTACTTTATCCCATTATCCAGAAAACATTGAAACAGTCTACTTTTAGTATGTTTTGTTTTCGTTAGTAACCCCTCTTGAAAGCTCTATAGTGAGACATCTTAAAAGTATATTTACTATAAAATTCTGGGATGATGGCCCCTAGTTTATAATATGCCAAGCTGAAAAGATGAATGAAGAGTACCTGATTGGTATATAAGTAATTCTTATTTAAAATTAAAGTTTTTTTTCTAGAACTTTTCTTATGTATCATGTCATTGTTTACGTGTATTTTAATTCAGTTTAGTATCTTAGCCTTTCTCCTGGTGGAAGCAGTATATTCTCAGTATTTCTAAATAAACTTGTATTTTGCTAGTAGCCTATTTCTTATAAAAAATGAACTTGCAAAGATCTTGGCTATCAGCACACCTAAAAGCTGAATGAAAAGTGCAACCTCAAAGTTTGGTCACATAAATAACAACCGAAACTTTCCAGTTCAAATTATATTTTGTTTTGAAACCCTATGCAGCCAGCAATCAATGTATCTGTAACAGAAAGCTGATATGGAGACATGGGAAGGACTTAGTTAAAAGCAGATATGCTTGACAGGGGAATTAATTATATCAGGTGATTTTTAGGGGCACAATTTTTTTTTATGGTTCCAGTCCAAAGTGTGTAAATTTTGGTTAAATGTCTCAAATCCAAGAAAATACACTGGAAAATACGCAAGTTGATGTAAGAATCCTAACTAGAAACAATTATTGCTTTGCTTCAACAGTAGAGTCATTATTTGTGCTGGCTCTGGAACGAGACAGCCTTCGTTTTGAAGCCTCACTGTGCCTCTTGCCAACTGTATGACCTTGAGCACATTATTGAACTTTCCTGATCTGCAGGTTTTTTTCATATTTCAAAGTGGGGGGAGAATGAGAGCACCTATGACATAAGGTTGTTGTGAGAATTTTTTTAAAAACATAGCGTGCTTTGATCAGTGCCTGGTATTGATACATCTCAGGCTTTTGACAATTATTATTATCTTTGGGAAAAGAAACAACAGGCAATCAATCATCAGCCATGATGATAAATCATTAGGAAGATCAGGAAGAGCATCACCTGGGACCTGAGAGGTAAGTAATTCAATCTGGCCACTTTACAGAAAAATAAACTGGGGCCCACAGAAGTTGTGACTTGCCCAAATAGAAACAAGAATCCAGTTATCCCCTACTCCAACTGCCTACCTGAAAAACATATGATGGCCAGGGGTTTGACATGAGTTTGATTTCACAGATCTCATTGCATACTGACTAGATATGGCACATGGAGTGAGCTCTGTAAGTCATAAATAAGGGCAAGTCTGAGTCAATAGTGGAAATGAGATCATGATTTCTGACTTTGACCTTGAAGTTGGCCAGGTTCTGTTATGCAGTCTATGAAATAAAAATGTCCCAGCTGTCATCCAAAGCAGACATAAGGCCTCTGCTTAATGTACTTTAACAGTTACACTTCGGGCGGACAGTCTAAACAAATAAGCACTGCAGTTCTATACTGTCTGGATTTTGAAGTGATAAATGTATAATTTGTCTTTGATAACATTTCCACACTTTTCAGCATGTTTTCATATGCACCTTAACTTTTTCTTCTGTTGGAAATACATAATTACATAACTTTGCTTTGAAAATTGGCAGGTCCTTAAGAGAGATTTGGCTAGCTTAGAATATTATCACATTCAGCATAGCCCAGGAAGTCCAAAATCACCAAAAAGGAAAAGATAGTTGAAGAGAAATGTGTCTTTTCTTTAGATGTTGAGCACAAATCACTTATGTTCTTTCACAAATTTTTTTCTTAAATTATATATGAGCCAAAGCTTAAATTAAAAAAAAAAACTATCCTTTGGAGACCGTCTTTATTTTAAGAAGCGTATGTAGGCATAGAATAGAAGACTTTATCACTACAGACTTTTCCAGAGGGTCCATGAAGGCATCAGGAAGTGCTGGGCCTCTAAGATCGTATGTCAATTGTTCAGATATGTATGTGGTAGTAGTGTTGGTGGGAGAGAGAATAAGAACTGCTACTATCAGATTCCCCAAAGACTCAATGACCTCCACCCTCAAATACAGGCAATTCTCAGAATATGGAGAAAGGCACACAGAATGATTTATAGACACGTGCATCAATAAGAAAATATTCATGCAGATGGTGAAAATGGCTGAGTATTGCCTACTCTCCAGATCTTCAAAACAAACGGGAATGAGAGCGAAACAAGATTAAACTATTCAGAAGTCACCAAATCCATCCATGGAAAAAGCATTGGTTAAGGAAAAGATATGTGAAGAGTTCATCTTTGATGGGAACTGGATGATGAGTTCTTGGTTGTCTTGAGCCTTGGTCTTGCCTGCATTTAGGATTCTAACAGACTCAGTGCTAGTATCAAGCTGGGATCACACTTACATGAGTCATTCATTTGATCCTTTTAACTCTATGGAGTTAATATTGTTAGATCTGTTTTACAGATGAAAAAATCCAAAGCACAGAGACAATAAGTGACTTTCTCAAAACAAATTTAAAAACGAGTTACTAGTGGAGCCGGCATGTGATCTCAGCTGCACTAGTGCACACCTAAACTACTGCCTTCTGTCTACTGCCTCTAAGGAGCCACTGGCTGACCTTGGAACTGGGATTTACACCATCACTGTTAGTGTTACCTTGAATTTGAGGCTGACGGAGGTTGTTGGGAAGTGGGTTGGATGTAAGCTTAGCCCATCCCTCTGGGCTCACTCTTTTCCACGTTGTATTAGTCTCTGGGTGTGGTCTGGTGTGACCTGGGCAGCAGGCTCTTTGAACATGAGGTTGCATCTCAACAGGGGTATTTTCTACATTTTTCTTGATGGGAAATGATACCATATGTGACCACATTTGGGATAGGGATTTGGTTTTAGCAAAAACACAGGACACATTTGAAAGTTACTCATTGCTTGTAATTATACCCATCTAGTGAGACTTAGAATATGAAAAAAATACTAGGGAAATTGCTATGGCTAAATTTTGTCCCCCCAAAATTCATATTTTGAGCCCTGACTCTCAATGTAATAGTATTTGGAGGCCTTCAGGAGGTAATTAGGTTGTGGGGGTGGAGCCCTCATGATGGGATTAGTGCCCTTATAAGAAGAGACATGAGATAGCTCTCTCCCTCTTCCTCTGTATGCAGCAAGAAGATGGCCATCTCCAACTGTAAGCCAGGAAGAGAGTCCTTTCCAGGAACTGAATCAGCTGGCACCTTGATCTTGGACTTCCAAGCCCCTAGAACTGTGAGCAATAAATGTCTGTTGCGTAAGCCACCCAGTCTATGGTATTTTGTTGTAGCAGCCAAACTGATTATGGCAGGAATCTTTCATGGGAGACCATGAGTGACTAGAAATTAAGACGTAGGAGCCCCTAACTCTATTTTTGGCTTAGGTACTAGAAAAAAAAATGATTAGAACATTAAGTGGAGGGGTGACTTCTACCTCTCAGCTATATTATTTTCATTTCTAAATTATTACCTTAAACTAGATACTATGAGGTCTTTAAATTTTGGTGATTCTCTGATTTGACCCTGATTATGCCTCAAATATACCTAATGTGGACTCAGAAGACAGGATTTGAAAACTCTGTGATCTCCATATAGGGGACTAGGCTGTGGGACTCATGAAAACCATTGGTTGGGCTTTAATAATGATTTTGTGGAACACTGAGTGCCACAGAAATTTTCAGTTATTTTGAGGATAATTGACTAGAATTTCAGTCTGATATTAAATCTAATTTAAAGCTAGATTCTCAATTTGTCTCCCAAGACCCTAACCTCCCACCCTCATATTTAAGCTGCAAATAAATTCTAGATAGTGTGAACCATTTCTTTGCAAGCTAATTTATTCCTTTATTTATCTCTGAGGGTCAGGTCAGTTTGCTCCACTTAATGTTCTAATCACTTTTCTCTGAAGAGGAAAGGAAGGAACATGACAGCACAGACAGATTTTTAACATGGGCAATTGCAATACAAAAATAATGAAACTGTCCAGACCACTAGAATATAATATTAATTTCAGGACATGCATGGGTAAGCTATGTTATATATCATACTTACAGCATCTACAATGAGGTCAAGTCTACTCAACCCAGATTCTCTCCATAGTTTACACCCAAGTTACAAGAATCAAAACTGGGTTTTGTTTGTTTCTTTGTTTTTGGTAGTAAACTTCACCTGTTTTTGAGCCCAATGGAGGATGAATATTAATAATTTCAAGTCCATATAAGAGGCATAGAATATAATCACCATAAAATACATTATGTGTAAAATAAGTGTCAAGAGACTATCTTAGGAGAGGAGTTAAGTCAGGTTAAAGTAAATAAAATTTAAACTTACACACAGAAATTTACCCTGGCATTATTAAAAGTCCATTTTAAAATGCTATTGATTCTTCTTAGAGCTTTTGGTAAAATAGAACGATATATCTCACGGGGCCACTGTCAGAATTCAATGATATATAATATATATACAACTTTTAGAAAAGTGGCTAGCATGTAGTAAATTCTTAACAAATCATATCCATTTCATCTGTTAGGAATTTTGTATGGCTCCATATAACAGGCACACAAAAGCAGCTGCTTAAGCAAATTAATATACTCTTCCTAGGCAACAGGAGTCTGGGGTAGGCAGCCCGGGGCTAGTATGGAAGTCCCAGGCTCCCTCCATCTTTTCATTTGGCTTTTGTCCTAATGCTTTCAGGATGGCTCCTACACACCCAGGCCTTACAACTACATTCCAGGAAAGGAGGGAGAGGAAATAGCAAAGGGTGCAATGCAGCTAAGTCTGCCCTTTCATTTCCTTAAGTCAGGAAAACAATAGATTCCCAGAAGCCTGCTTAGTAGAGCTCTGGTTATCTCTCACTTGCTAGAACTCTGTCATGCAGATCTATGCAGCTTTAAAGGAGGCTGAGGAATCAAATTTTATAACTGGGCAAATTGCCAAGCTCAGTAAGGCCTACCCCCATTGTTAGTGTCATCAGTGCGTAAAACCAATTCTCATTTGTTTCCAATTGATATGATATGGTGGTTCTGTTGGTAAAGGGGTGAAAAGACATTGGGAAAGCAACTTGGAGAGTCTGCCACAACTATCACCATGATTCATTTACACTTCACATAGTCTGTCTAAAAGCATCAGATAATTTTGTTTTCCAACATTAATGGCAATTGGTTGTCTCCCCAGGACAAAACGCTCAAATGTTCAGATGCAATAAAAGAAATTTTTGGCTCTGGTCTGACGTCCCACGCACGTCATCACCTCACTGCTGTTTTCATATTTCCACCCAGTTTTGTAGCACAACTTTCCATAAATCATCTCCATTATCCTCTGAGTCAACTCCCATATAATTAGCTTCACATTCATCATCTGTCTTCAGAGAAGTCGCAGTTTCTTCCTGGGGAAGATGCAGGCCTTCCTGCCCTGACCGCAGCTCAGGCTTCCAGCTGATTTCCACCTAACTTCATCCACATGTGTGACCAGCAGCCCCTATCTCTACTAACTGGTCAGCCTAGTGTGGTGTTACAAAGACTGTGGTGTGTGAACCACCATTGTTTGGGAGCTTGTTAGAGATTCAATATCTTTTGCATGCTTTGATCCTCTGGAATCAGAATCTATGGAAATAAGGCCTAAGAATCTTGAATTTTAACAAATACTCCAAGTGATTCTCATTTATGCTCAAATTTGAGAAAGACTGTCCTTGTCCCCCGCAGTGGTTTTCAACATATCTGTAATATAAACACTTGGCAAAACTAGAGATGTGAACACTTCAAGCTATCCACTCATACAGAGTAATAGCTTGTTCACCTTCTCTGTCAACAAATACTTTACATATTTTTGGTCTCAGTGCAATCAAATAAAGCACAGCTGACTTGGGGAAACATGAACATTACAAACAATAAAATAAAGCCAATTATATTGTGTTGTGCCAATTTCCTGAGGGACATTGAATATTACCCTATGCAATCCCTAACCAAATAATTATAGCTGTCTACTATTGTTTCATCCTCTTACCCCTGTGTGTTGGAACCTGCCAGAAGCAAGGAATTAAAATATAGTACAGCCCATCATCTATTCACAGAAATCTATTGCAGAAACAGATGAATTTGCAGTGCAGGCAATAAAAGGGTTCTTTGTGTCCCTCAATATTTTAGTGCAGTGTATTGGCCTTCATGATCCTCAGTAGATATGCACGTTTCCCACTGACTCCTACATTAAAGGATTTGTAGAAGTGTAGTATTCCATGACTTCATTGAGTTTCAAAGAAAATAAGCTTATCAAAGATCCCTATTCCTAAATATGTAAAATAAGATTAAATGTCCTTTGTTTATTCATTTCTTTGTTCTAAAATACATGTATGGGATACCTTTAACATGCAAGGCACTATGATGCTACCACGAAGATAGAAAATGAGTAACACGGAGTTTGAATGACCTCAAGGAGAAGCAGTCCCAGGATTTGCATTGAGAAGATGATTTTTTCCAAAACAAGTGTCCATCAAGGAGTTAATGAAATAACAGCAATAAAATGAAAGCACGTAAATTCAAGAGCATTTAATGGACCATTTATTGTACTACTTCAATCTGAAATCATTAGTACCTTTCTTTGGTACTAATAAATAGTCTTCTGTTTCCTGGTAGAGCCCAAGATGTAGTGTTTTCTGATAAGGACAGGCACATAGCAGCTCATTTCTCAGTAGGACTACTTAAATAAATAGAAACTATATTGCAACTGAAAGAAGTTGCTACCAAATTTGCACGCAAAACATTTTTCTTAGGTCACACACTCACATTTTCTGCAAAAACACTAATGGCTATCAGGTATTACTTATCTCTTATCTTACTCATAATGCAGTATTCCCCCATAAAAGCCTTATCCACTTACCTGCCTGGTAGGATTAAACAATATATAATGATTTTTTTTGTGCATTAAATTTTACACACAAATGTTCTCATAAAGATATGAATACTTTTCCGACTTATTTTTGCTCATCAGAAAATACAGAAATATGTGTGCTGTTTTAGACAAACTGGTCAGGGAAGTCCTTTTTCAGGAAGTGATATTTTAGCAAATAACATTAAGGGAGTGAGATTAAGGAGGTGACGTTAGAGCAACTATATTAAGGGAGGGAGTAAACTAGACTATGATCTGGGAGAAACATATTTCAGAGGCTGGAGGCATCCAGCGCCAAGATCCTAAGGTGGGAACACCTTTGGAGTATTTGAGAAACCAAAAGAAGCCAAGTGTGGTTAGGAGCAAAGTCAGCCAGAGGGAGAATAGTAGGAAATGAGCTGGGAAGGGACGTCAGGAGCCAGCTCCTGCAAGTCCTATTAGGCAACATTGAGGAGTTTTGGATTCTTAGTATATTATGGGAAGCTACTAGATGGTTTGCAGGAGAGCAACATGATTTAATGTACTTTATCAAAATTAAATGTTTTATTTTGAATTAAATGTAGATTCACATGCAGTTTTAAGAAATGATATAAAGAGATCCTGTGTACCCCTCACCTAGTGTCCCCTAATGGTAACATCTTACAAATCTATAGTACAGTATCACAACCTGGATATGGACATTGATACAGTCAAATGTTACAGAGCATTCCCATCACCCTCATGTTGATTACTCATGTTGCCCTTTTATAGCCACCTCCACTGCCTCCCTGCTCCTCTGTCCTGACCCCTAGCAACCGCTATTCTGAAATGGTTCGCCATTTCTATAATTTTACCATTTCAAGAATATTATATTAATGGAATCATATAATATATGACCTTTGGAGATTGGCCTTTTCACTCAGCATAATTCCCTGAAGATTCATCCAGGTTACTGTGTTATCAATAGTGCATTTCTCTTTATCGCTCAGTTGTATTCGATAGTATGGATTTGCCACATTTGTTTAATGATTCATCTATTGAAGGAAATCTAGGTTGTTTCCAGTTTGAAGCTATTAAAAATAATGCTGTTATAAATACGTACGTACAGATTTCTATGAAAATGTAAGTTTTCATTCCTCTGGGATAAATGTTCAGCAATTGATTGCTGGACTGCGCTGAATTTCTATAAGTGTAATTCCATGACTTCATGGGGTTTTAGGAAAAATAAACTTATCAAAGGTCCCTATTCCAAAATATGTAAAATAGAATGAAATGTCATGCATTCATCTCGTTATTCTAAAATACATCTATGGAAAGCCTATCACAGGCAAAGCACTATTACGATACTAAGAAGATATAAAACATGCACTTGCTTAGTTTTATAAGAAAGTGCCAAAGGGTTTTTCAGGATGGCCATACTATTTCACACTCCTGCCACCAATTGCTTTGCAAGTTTGCCAGTTCTTATCATTTTCAGCTTTTTGCCGTTTTTTGTTTGTTTTCATTTTTTAATTTTTGTTTTCTACTGCATCCATTCTAATATGTGTGTGGTGGTATCCCACTATGGTTTAATTTGAATTTCCCTAATAACTAATGATGATAAGCAACTTTTCTTACCCTTATTGGCCATCTGAATGTCATCTTTGGTCAAGTGTCTGTTCAGCTCTTTTGCCCAAGTAACATTTACTTTTAGCTAATAGTTACATTTGAATAAATCTTTCCCTTCTATTTCATCCAAATGAATTTAGTTACATTTTAATATTTTAAACTTGAAATTCTTAGGAGTAAGATGATCAAAATTAATTTTTCAACAAATGATAAAGAAATTTTTATCCAAAATCACTTTTTGAAATGTGTTTACAGGACAGAATGTCTGCCCAAGGATGGATCTACTAATTCTATCCCTTTGATATGAATTGGTATGAATTTTATAATACACATTTGCCAGTGGGGTCGCCTAGGCAGTGGTCAACAAAGCCTTATCTTTACATATATAATGTCTACAGATAAAAGCAAAAATTAAAGCAATCATTTGAATATTTTAATTCTCTAAACCATGCTTTCTTTTTAATTTGAAAAAAAAAAGAAGCGAAGGAATGCCTGGATTCTTCACTTTGCATACTTTGTATATTTAGACATAACTTTTCTGTCCCTATTAATTAAATACAATGAAATGTTCAGTAGTTAACTAGAAAAATGCAGAAGTACTATTTATATTATTGACACAAAAGAAACATAAACAGCTCTTTCTTCAATGGCAAGCAATTCCGTGCTTATATTCTCCTTGAGGGAAGAAGATACAACATTGACAGGATCATAGCCTTCATTGTGTTAAAACTTACATGCAATAAAAGACATCCATTTTTACATACAGTTCAATAAGTTCTGACAAACATAATTGAACTACCACAATTAAGAAATAGAGCATATCCATCATCCAAAAAGAGTTCCCTCATACCCCTTTGAAATCAATCCCCTCCTACCCCTCACCCAATTAACTGCTGATCTGGTTTCTATCACCACAGCTTACTTTTTGTCTGTCCTTGAATTTCATGTAAATGGTATCTTGTGGTATATTCTCTTCTGTGTCTGGCTTTCTTTGTTTTGCATGTTTCTGAGATTCATCCAGCTCAATGGATTTGAATCTCAGATCTTTTTTATAAGATATACGACATTTGGGCCAATTATTTATCTTCTGCTTTCTTAGCTGATAAATGGTCTTATTAATACCTTCCCCATGTGGTTGCTGTAAGAATTAATTTTAATATACTTGGCTTGGTGTTTAATAACTATATCAGTATGGATATAAATAATATAATTTATATGACTATGATTTTTTCCTTCAACCCCTCCTTCTCACCAGAGGAAGAATCTGCTGTAAGGCTTATTCAAGTTCAGCATGTTCTGTGAAAGGAATCAGCATGAAGAAAACTCTACAATCATAATTTTGTATTATTGAACAACAGCACACCCCTCTATTTCTGCCGCCTCCTTTCCTGTCTCCATGGGCTCTGACAAATTGGCAGCAGTCAGCTCTGCTTTCTCTGCTCTATCTACAATTTTGCCCCTTCCAGAGTCTAATAATTTCCAAGAAAAGGGCACAATATCCTCTTCCCCACTATCCAGAAATAGAGAGAGTGAGCAGGATCTAAGACCTAAAGGAGACCTCCCACAAGAGCTGATGTAAAAGACTAAATTAAAAAGGACCTCCCTTCTAAAAAAGATCTCATCACTCCTGACCTGATTCCATCAAATAAGGACCTGGGATGTGGGAGAGAATGAGCAGTGAGAAGGATTAAGTATCTCTTCCCTGAATATTTACCTCTGCTAAGTCTTTTCCTGCTCACACTAAAAATGATTAATATTCTAGTTTCTTTTTGCTTTTACAACTGTTCATTCTGTTTTGCATGCGTTCTCTAACCCCTCTGTCCATCTCTTCCTCAGTGTGCATACATAATAATATCATGTGAGCTTCAGAGGAAGCTAAGGAAAAGGGAGGTAAGACAGGGCCAATAGTTCCAGCAATTAGCAGCTCTTAGAAATAGGGTTAATGGATTCAGTAAACTAGCCTTGTCTAACCTTTAAGACCTATCTTGCAGTGTCCCTGCTCTCAAGCATTGCCACCACACTAGATACAGGCAGGTCATCAATTGAGAGACAGATCTTGTGTGTTTGATCAAAGCTAGATCTATTTCATCTAGGACTTCTCTAATCAATCAGCTGCATTGTCATTTGCTCCAATGGGTCTTTAACCCTTAAATTATTGGAGCCACTTAGTCAGGCATGCAATAGCAAATATGAAAAAAATGTAAACAAAGAATATCTTTAAGCAGCCAATGTTTGGTTCCAGGAAATTAACAATTCCTTTGGGTTGCTACAGACTGTCTGCTATGAATGGCATATTATAAACATGGAAATGTATATTAGAAATACCATGGAAGAAAAAAAGATATCGGCACATGATTTCAAGTGATATTTTGATGCAGTCATTTATAATTCCTGAGTTTGCTTATTTTACTGAGTATAATAATACCTGCAGTAGGTCACAAAATTCTAATGAAAAGCCCATGAGACATGACTATACTTTAAGATATATTCTAGTTTCTTTTTTTTCACATAATGAATATCCCATGTTTATTTCCTGAAAGAAATGAAATACCCACAATTAATACTTTAATAGGACCTTAAAATAAGAGATGAATTTTGGGGAGGCAGGAACATTATCATGTTTTGATTTTGATAGAGTCCGTGTTAATCAAGCTTGTCTGCATACCTCTCTGTGTGAGAGAGGCTGTTAGTTCCCACCTAATTTGCATGTGCTCCTCTGCATTCCCCCAGCTTCAAGCATCCATGGTAGATGGGTCCTATGACTCACTCTTGCCAATGGGATTTGACAATAGTGAGGTCTCACTTTCAGTCCATGCCAGGTAAGAGTGCGCCCTCTCCATGCTCTCTCTTTTTTCCTTATGATTAAAATAAAGGAATCTAAAATGGCAGACTTGAAAGATGGAAGTAGCCTGCAGCCTTGAGCTTCAAGGAAAACCATACAAAAGGGCTACCCAACCTGCTTCAGATAAAGAAATAACCATATATTCCTTTAAGTCACTAATCAGCGTTGGTCTATCTTGTTGGCATTAATTACACTGACTAATGTGGGCTCCTTCTCTCATCTGATTCATGTGATAAAATGGGGCTGCCATTGGCAGATCAAAATAAAGAATATTTGCCAAATTTTTGTTCTTAAAAAATACAATATGGTATGGAAAATATATGAGATATATCCCTCCAACTCCAGGCAACAGGATGAGACATCTTTGCAAGTCTATTTACGTCGTCCTCTCATGTTGTTTCTGCATGGCTTGGGGTGGGAGTGAATGGGAAGAAGAATAAATATTATACTTCTCATGATGGAAGTTTATACCACATAGTAACTGTCAGTCTCAGGGACTATTTCATCTTTTACTTTTCAAATCCCAGGCAAGAAATAACAATTAGAATTTCCATAATGCACTGCTAAAATATCATAGGCTTAGGCAATCATCTAATATGGTTCACATCTATCTACCTTGCATAGATAGGAAGGGGGTATTAAATTTTTTGTTTGTTTGCTTTGTTTTGTTTTATTTCTTCATCCCAAGGTAATTGCTGTATTAGGAATTTAAGAAAAGCCAGGTGTGGTGGCTCACACCTGTAATCCCAGCACTTTGGGAGGCCGAGGCGGGCGGATTGCTTGAGTTCAAGAATTCAAGACTAGCCTGGGCAACATGACCAAATCGCTGTCTCTACAAAAAACACAAAAATTAGCCAGGCATGGTGGCATGTGCCTGTAGTCCCATCTACTCAAGAGCCTGAGGTGGGAGGATGGCTTGAGCCCAGGAGGCAGAGGTTGCAGTGAGCCGAGATCATGTCACTGCATTCCAGCCTGGGCGATAGAGCCAGACCTTGTCTCAAAACAAAACAAGCTTAAGAAAAAAAGGGATCATCATAAGACTGATGGTCAGGGGATTACAACCATTTTTCAGCTGCTTGAGAAAAAATTAATTTTATTATTTCTTTGAAAGTTTAATATTGACAAGTTTTCAGACTTACTTTCTTTTCTATAAGAAAATCAGTGGGGGAAATGAAGCTTGGTTCTACTGGAGGAAAGTAGAAAACTAACTGTTTTCTTGGTATAAACACAAGAGCATAACTGAATATTCTACTTACTTCAGATTCTGGAGGGATACAGTATCTGCTACTTAGAAAAGCAATGAAGTCTATTCCTTTCATTGGCAAATGAGTGATATAAAAATAAAAGATTGCTTATTTTTCCTCTGGGGCGAAAGGGAGAAAAAGATTACATGATGCCTGCAAATAACTGGTCATCCAATCTCTGTTGAGAGTTTATTGTGTGCCAGGCATATTCTCAAAGGAACCAAAGAAAAAGCATATAGTGAAGGCATTACCTCTTTCAGAAGAAGACATATAATTTCACTTCAGTATATTTTAAAATTTGAAATAAAAACACATAATTTGGACATATAATTTATATATGTGCATGTGTATATATATATATACCTACATATCTGCACATGCATGGGCATATGTATATATCTCAAACAGCAGTATTGAGAATTGTTTTCCTATGTGATTAATTCACTGTGTGATTATAAAAGTTTTTTTGCCTAACATGGTAGATTGCGAAAATAGCCATGATTTTCAAAACCTACCCGTCTTCATTCCCCTTTTATGATGTGACTTTGTGGCTTCTCCCATCTCTCCTGTCATAGAAGTGACAGCTATTTCCCTACTCCTTTGAATTTGGGCTGGACTTGCGACTTGCTCTGGCCAATACAAATGACTACAGTGATAATGTTCCAGTTCTGAGTCTAGATCTTAAGAAGCCTTGCATGCTTCCTCCCTCTCTCAAAATTTTGGCAAATCTTCATCTAGACAAACCCAGGGTGGTCTGCTAGATGATGAAATACACTTGGCTCAGTAACCCCATTGCCTTATTGCTCCACTGCCCAGACAATAGCCAATTAACTCTCAGAAGTAGTGCTACCCTGCTGCTGATCACAGATGCATCATGATTAGAGAATCTAATCAGGACCAGAAGAGCCACCCAGCTAAACCCAGTCCAAATTGCTGACCCACAGAATAGTAGGCTAAGGAAATTGTCATTTTACGCCACTAAACCTTACCATGGTTAGGCTGTAAGAGATAACTGATGCAAACAATAAGGAATGTTTTTATCTTTTCATTAACCATGGCATAATTTCCAGTAGGCTGCTAAATCATATTCTATTGATTGTTTAAAAGTAAAGTTCTCCTTTCTCATTTCTAAACCACAATCCTTTCCCACAATCCTTTCCTGTTTGCAGATGACATGATTGCATATCTAGAAAACCCCATCGTCTCAGCCCAAAATCTCCTCAAGCTGATAACCACAGTCCTTTCCTCCCATACTCACCTTGGTGAATACGGAAGCAGGACTGGGTTTAAATCCCAAATTTCCCACTTCTTTAGCAGATGAACATTGTGAAAGTCGCTGGGTGGGTTTAGGTTTTAGTCTGTCCTACTATAAGTTAGGGATAATGTAATCTCACAGAATATTTTTGGGAGGATTAAATGACCCGATATAGGCAAATTGTCTAATACTATACCTGCAACATAATAGACACGTATGAAGCAGTTTTATTCTTCCCAAACTTTCTTTCCTTTCTCTGTATTTTTAAGTGTGCAGTGATATACAGTGTCCCCTTCTTTCACTAATTAGTTTTGGAGCTATCATCACTCTGAGATAAAAACGTAGCTAATTTTTATTCTGGTGGCTTACTTTTTGCATTTAAAAATAAATTTTTCATGGGCCTTTTCACAAACTAGATTTATTGCATTGAATACTTTCCATAATTTATGTTAAGGATAAAACTAGCAGTTAAAGAAAAAGCATAGCATGGACAAACAACAGCAGTTTTAGGGGGGATAAAACTAAGAGAAAAACAGAATAAAAGTCTATCTTGTGTGAAGGTACATTCTGTGAGATCATGTCACTCTTCTCCTTGAAATCCTCCAGAGGATTCCTTTGGCACTTAGAATAAAATCAGACCTTCTCAGCACAGCCTATATATAAGGCCTATTATGGTCTGGCCCTTGTCTGCTTCTCCCACCTCACCATCTGCCATTCTTTCCCTTTCTAACTTTGCTTAAATGCTAGTGACCTTCCTGCGGATCTGTGAGAACTCCAGGTCTTTTCTCTCCTAAGAGCTATTGTACTGCTGCTCTCTAAGTTCAAATGTTGTTCTTCCAATCTTCACATGATGCACACATCGTCATTCAGATCTCTCTCAAATGTCATCTCTTTGGAAAGTCCTTCCCCGAATACTCTTTCCTTTTTTTTTTTTCTATAAATTATTGGAGTATAGGTGGTATTTGGTTACATAAGTAAGTTCTTTAGTGGTGATTTGTGAGATTTTGGTGCACCCATCACCTGAGCAGTATACACTGCACCCTATTTGTAGTCTTTTAGATAAACCTCACCCCCTTCCCATTCTTCCCCCCAAAGTCCTCAAAGTCCATTGTATCAGTCTTATGCCTTTGTGTCCTCATAGCTTAGCTCACACATATCAGTGAGAACATACAATGTTTGGTTTTCCATTCCTGAGTTACTTCACTCAGAATAATAGTGTCCAATCTCATCCAGGTTGCTGAAAACATTGTTAATTCATTCCTTTTTATGGCTGAGCAGTATTCCATCTTATAAATATACCACAGTTTCTTTATCCACTAGTTGCTTGATGGGCATTTGAGTTGGTTCCACGATTTTGCAATTGTGAACTGTGCTGCTATAAACATGCGTGTGCAAGTATCTTTTTGGTATAATGACTTCTTTTCCTCTGGGTAGATACCCAGTAGTGGGACTGTTGGATCAAATGGTGGTTCTGCTTTTAGTTCTTTAAGGAATCTCCACACTGTTTTCCATAGTGGTTGTACTGGTTTATGTTCCCACCAGTCGAGCCCTGACCACTCATTCTAAAGGGACTCCCACAGTCACCCTCTGTCCCCTCTCCTCACCTTTGTGTCATTTCCTCTTATAATGTATATGCTTACTTCATTTTTATCCACTTAACCTATCTTTTAGAGTATTACTAGTATGTTTCTGTGTATTTCTACTTTATAAACATGTTTATGTTATTTGAGGCGAGATATTAAAAACTGCTATAACTTTATTGTGACTTATTGACTTTAGCATTACATTTTTATTTTTATTTTTTAAAATGTTTTTAATTGCCAGATACAAATGTACACATTTTGGGCATACAATATGGTGTTTTGATATATGTATACATTATGGAATGGTTAATTCAAGATAATTAACATATCCATCACCTCACATACTTATTTTTTGTGTATGTGGTGAGAACATTTAAGATCTACTCTCTTAGCAACTGTCAAATACAAAGTACATTATGATTAGTTATAGTCACCATGCTGAAAAATAGAGGTCTTTGGTATTATGAAATGTTTTATTTATCCCATTCTGTAGGTTTGGGCTATAAGTCTACTTTGTGTGTAAACTAGATCAAAACTTCTAGTTGTTTTTGGTCAGCGTCTGCCTTACGTATCTCTGTTGATACCTTTATTTTAGCCTTTCTAAGTCTCTTTGTTTGGTGTGCCTCTTATCAACCATGTAAGAGTTAGGTTTAGGGCCGGGCGCGGTGGCTCACGCTTGTAATCCCAGCACTTTGGGAGGCCAAGGCGGGTGGATCACGAGGTCAGGAGATCGAGACCACGGTGAAACCCCGTCTCTACTAAAAATACAAAAAAATTAGCCGGGCGTGGTGGCGGGCGCCTGTAGTCCCAGCTACTCGGAGAGGCTGAGGCAGGAGAAAGGCGTGAACCCGGGAGGCGGAGCTTGCAGTGAGCCGAGACTGCGTCACTGCACTCCAGCCTGGGTGACAGAGCGAGACTCCGTCTCAAAAAAAAAAAAAAAAAAAAAAAAGAGTTAGGTTTTACTTTGTCAGCCATTCTGAAACCCTTTTCTTTTTAACAGGTGATGTGACCATATAGTATTGATATGGCAAATATGCTTGATCTCAAATCTGTCATAATATTTTGGGTTATATTTACCATGGCATTGTATTTACCATATTTAATTCTCCAAATAATGTTTCCTTGCTCTTTTTAAAAAAAATTTTGTTAATTAAGATGGCTTGTTGCAGTCATTAGTTTTACTCTTTACCTTTCATAATGACCTAGTTCTTAGTTCCCTTAACATTCTACTATTTGGTTTGTCAGCCTTAAACTAGAGCCTTTGCCTCCCAACAATTACACGACAATCAAAGAGCGATTCCGGTTTTATCTTTCTCTGTCTCTTCTCCATTTCTTAAGTTTGCTATTTCTAGATTGTCAAAACATGTCCTTTTATACAATTCTTCCACACTTGTCCCATCTTTGTTTTTAATGTATTTCATTGGTCACTGCAAAACCTTTTGCCAAAGACTCCTCATTCATCTCTTGACTGGATGAGGCTCATTTTTAGTTGGTGCCACAGGAAGAAAACTTGACTAAAGTATTCCCTGAGGTTTTGTATCTTGCTATCTTAATTATGATGAGAACTTAAGTTGTAGATGGTTTATTTGTTCTTCTTGCTGATCTGCATAACTTTGGAGGCATGAGAGCAAAGCTGTGTATTTAGCAACCCTGATCATATAGGTCTGTCTTTGTCCCTTGTATCCTGCTTTATTTTCTGTATAATATCTATCATAAATAAAATTATAAGTACAGAGAAAAAGAGTATGTATATATGTAATTTATCACTACCTAAAATTATATGTGCATAATTTATATTTCATCACTTACTGTTTGTCTCACCTACAGAAATATAAGCTCTCTGAGGCATTTGTACATTATATCCCCACTACCTGGGATATTGCCTGGGACGTAATAGGCACCCAATAAATGTTGAATGAAGGAATACATGAACAAATGAGTCTGAATCATCACTATCAAACATGTTTAAGCATTTTTGGAAAGACAGCTATACAGTAAAAGATTTTCAAATGCAATTTTGGGATACATTGGAGAGAGAGAGAGGGAAAAAGAGGAGAAGAGAGAGTGAGAGCATGATATGAAAGGACTTCACTGCTGCTTGCTTTACACAAACCTTATAATGACTTTTTATCACAATGGGAATTTCCTGAAATTTTTCTCATCTAAATATGAAGATTTCATTTAAAAATGGGAAAAGTAATTATATAAGTAATTATTTAAGCAACCTCTTTGTAATAGAGATTGTTCCTGTGACTTAAAAACATTTAAATTATAATTAAATGGCATAATCACATATATACTCTGTCATATAATCTAGTTGAGAAGTTGGATTTGAATCTTGTAGGGTAAAGTAAAATTGTTTTGTAATTGTTTCTTATTTCCCCATTTAAAATATAACTTAACTTGCTAAGCTCTTTGGAAAGAATCCATAAATCCTCTACCAAGAAAACCTTTTAATATCTGCCTTTAAAAATGATTTCCCTTGGGTACATTGCACACTCCAAGCAATACTTCATTACCTACATGATATATTATAGTCCAGTAGTGGACCTAAGAATGCTTTAGAAACCCTTAGATTGCTCTAAGCTTTAAAATCAAATGCTTAGACTAAGCCAGCTCATCTAACAAAAAGTGCCACCTGAAGAAATTAGGCCAGCAAGGTGATGATGAAGAAAAAGAAAATGCAGAAAACATTAAATTAGTCAGAAAGTCAGAAAATATAAAGTTTTATAGTTTTGGGATTCAGTTCTGGGGTTATTTAATGTAAAACACTTTGTATATTCTTAAGGCTGCTGGTATGATATGAATAATGGGCACCATAAGTAGATTACATGTGAATAGAAGATTGTGGGAATTAGGATGCACAAAACTTGATGATAATTGTTTTTAAGTTGAGATAAAATGTATCTTTCTATGACTTCAACTATCAGCTCAAGACTAATGATGTCCAGATCTTTGTTACTAGTTCCTGTATCTCTCATGTGCTTCAGTGGCCATCACCAAATAAATGTCTTACCAACACCTCATCACAATATTGTGAAAATAGAGATTTTCTGCTGAGAATGATGGTTTCCAGCTTCATCCATATTCCTGCAAAGGACACGAACTCATTCTTTTTTAGGACTCCATAGTATTCCATGGTGTATATGTGCCACACTTTCTTTATCCAGTCTATAATTGATGGGTATTTGGGTTGATTCCAAGTCTTTGCTATTGTGAATACTGCTGCAATAAACATATGTGTGCATGTGTTTTTATAGTAGAATGATTTATAATCCTTTGGGTATACACCCAGTAATGGGATTGCTGGGTCAAATGGTATTTCTGGTTCTAGATCCTTGAGGAATCGCCACACTGTCTTCTACAATGGTTGATCTAATTTACACTCCCACCAACAGTGTAAAAGCATTCCTATTTTTCCACATCCTCTCCAGCATCTGTTGTTTCCTGACTTTTTAATGATCACCATTCTAACTGGCGTGAGATGGAACTAACACAGGAACAGAAAACCAAACACTGCATGTTCTCACTCATAAGTGGGAGTTGAACAATGAGAACATGTGGGCACAGGGAGGGGAACATCACACACTGGGGCCTGTCAGAGGGTGGGGGGCAAGGGGAGGGATAGCATTAGGAGAAACATCTACATTAGTAGATGACGGGTTGATGGGTGCTGCAAACCACCATGGCACATGTATACCTATGTAACAAACCTGCACATTCTGCACTTGTATCCTAGAAGTTAAAGTATAATAATACAAAAATAGCTTTTTTTTCCCTAAATTGCGTGCAAATTCAACGTGATTTTTAAAAAACCCAACAGATTTTTATTTTGAAAGTTATCGAATTTTTCTAAAGTTTATCTGGAAAAGTAATAGAGGAAAATTTCTAGCAATAAACAATATGGAGAGAAATAGTATCCTTCCAAATACTGAAACTATTATAAAGCTACAGTAATTAAAGCCAAGGTACTGGCACAGAATTAACAAACTGTCATCAACACATTTATTTCATCTTTTCTCTTGTTTTTTTTTTTTTCCTTTATCAAGATAAAAACCCCTAAACATCTAAATATATAGATGTGTATATGTGTATGTACCAGTACCAGAGGTTTGAAACTGCAAGTTGCAATGTATAATTAACTGCATCTCTCCTGTTATACCCTGGTGGAATAATAGCAGCCTCTGGACAACCTGCTCTAAGCTTAGATATAATAATACTTCTGACTGTACAGTTCATGCAATAATGATTTCATCTTTATAGTAGACAATGGAGAAAAGAAAAAATATAACTCATTACATTTTAAGAAAAAAAATAAGTTTTAAGAAAAAAAGATAAGTTTCTCCTCCTTGGAGAATATAAATTGATTGTAGACACTATATTAATGGTGATCATTAATATTCTCTAAGTATAGCATCTACAATCAATTTATATTCTCTAAGTATATAGACGCTCCATATACTTAGAGAATATAAATTGATTGTAGATGCTATACTTTATGGGACAATTCCTTAGAGAACATTGTAAAATATTTTCCAACTTGAAAAGAAAACTATACAAGAATAATAAGTCAGAAGCCTTCCTTGACAGCTCCCAATCGCAGACTAGGCCAAGTGCCCCTATTATAAGATTACATAGCACTTATCACCCTTAGAATTACAGCCTGCCCTCCAGATCCATCAGTTCTGCAAACATGGATTCAAACAACCAAGTATGGAAAATATTCAGGACAAAGAAACCAATAAAAGATAATAATACAACAATAAAATAGAATACAAATAACAATACAACATTATAATTATTTACATAGCATTTACATTGTATTAGGTATTATAAGTAATCTAGAGATGATTTAAAGTATGCAGAGGATGTGCGTACGTTATATGTAAACACTACACCATTTTATCTAAGAGACCCGAGCATCAGGCAATTTTGGTATAGGGATGGGGGTGGTCCTGGAACCAGTCCTCAGTGGATACCGACTCTACTACTGAATGTAGGACTTGGGTTTATCTTGATTACGATCATATTCTCAATGCCCAGCATAGTGCTTGGAACAAAATAGGTGCTAAACGATGTTTGTTGGATGAATGAATAATTAAATAAATTCATTGAAGTTGAAATCAAGTCCATATAATGCTTAGTTTTATTTGGATTGCATACACATGCATACATAATAAATTATATATTACTACTGTACTAATATCAGAAATATGTGCAAACAAAAGAACATACATAAAAATAGATTTTAATAGTATAAATAGATTTTCTAACATTTCATGCTAATGTATTATCTCGTGCACCCCCTGGAGTGAATATCACCTCTACCATTACCATCACCTCCACCATCCTTGTCACTTTAAAGACAACTGATCCAAAGAACCACTAACAGTTTCAAATATTGACTCATTTAATGGTGACAGAAAACATGAAAAAGAGATAGGAAGCTAGAAAAATACACTCAGTGTCAGTCATGATTAAGCAAGTGGTCAATGGTACTGTGGCCACAGCTAGTGCAGATCAGCATTTCTACCTCACAACTCTGTGATGTGACATAGTTTATGTGAAAGCACTGGGGTTGCTACTTCTATTGCTGATCCTGCAGGTTGCATAGTGAATAGAAACAACCTGATTTTAAATAGGGTCTAATTTGCCCAAGTTCAATATTCTCATGTCAGTGACACATTACAGGCTCCAAATGTTGCAAAGACATTACCTAGCTCCTATGGATCCAAATGCCCAGTTCAGTCTTGGCACAGAGAAAGTGATTTCTCTGAATAATGAGTGATCCTGCTTGATAAAAACATTCAAAGCTGTTTTCTATTTCAGGTCCTAGTTTTCCCCTTTTCTTTGCCCTTGAGACTGGTCTTTTAGACTTGTATATTTTCTTACCGGAATGTACAAGAATGTTGTGGAAGTTATTTACCAAATAAGTCTCAGAAATTTCCTAGCCAATTCTCAGTAATTCATAGGGGGAATCATGGCTGTTAAAAGCCTGGACTCAAACCATCTGCAGATACACCTTTAGAGATGATAAAAGAGGCTTAGCAAATATGACCATATGTATTTATACAGGAGTAGTTTCCTTAGTATAATTTACAACTATAATTATGAAAGCTGATAAACTGAGGTATGAAAGGACTCCATCATGCTCTATTGATAATGTTTAGCACACGTATGCCAATTATCACATGTATCAGAAATTCTGAGGGGTTCTCCTTATTCAACCAGTTAAACCGTATTACTTGCAAATTCATTCATTATTATTTGTCATTCATCATTCAAAAACCAGAATTTTACATTTTGTTCTTTTCAAGTTTCTTGACTGCTACTCTTTTCTGTATGCTAGCCTTCTCTCTCCCTTCCCTCTTTTTACTGTCTCACTTCATTTCTCTTATTTCCTCTCCTTCTTCATAGACTCTGATCTCTTACCTGATATTACTAAATCACTAGCCCCAAATATATATCTTGCATCTTAAATTTGAATGGAGACCAGAGTTAGAAACCCTCATATCATATTTAAGAAAATGTTAACTGGTACAAAGCCAGTATTTAATGTTTATTTATTTAAAAGGTCCCTGGCTACATGAGTTGGGATTTGTAAACCCACTTAATTCTAGGTCCAAGAGCAATATTATGCAATTTCTTTCAGTTTGTAATGGTCAGATGTTGAAAATTCTTTCCATATAAATTGTAAATTATAAACAGAAAGGCAGAAAGTCAGAAATGCAAGGAAGAAAGAATTAGAGGTCACCATAGACAGGGGAGGAAAAGTGCAGTTTGATGCTGCTGTAGTGCCTGAAAAAACAACAGAGAGTGCTGCTTTTTGAGCTAAGGCTTTATCTTCAGCAGTCTCCAGATGTCAGGCAAATGTGCTGTCTGTGATGGGCAGACCATTAAAACGTTAGCAGAGATGTGTTCACTGCTTTGGCTACAGAGTTCAGAGTTTCCTGGAAAGATAATATTGGTCACCCAGATTTCGATGAGGTGGGGATGAAAATCTCTCTTTGTGGGAGGAAGACTGAGAGGGAAATCGTAAGCAGGGAGAGACAAGAGCTTGTCGGGCTTGGTGAAGCGTGACAGTAAGAGACCCAGAAAGGGAAATTATGAAGATTCTGGGTGCCTTGGAGCCTCCTCTGGGGTGGTTAAGAGAATGTGGGGCTCCTCTGGGGTGGTTAAGAGACCTGGGAGGGGAAATGGGCAGACAGTAAGGTGGAGATGGGTCGCCTTAAGTGAGGGTTTGAGAGAAGTAGGTCTGTATCCTGGCAAGGAAAGATGAAGCACTTCAGGAAGGTACCAATCATCAGGTCCAAAGGAAGAGATCTGAAATTAGAGGTCAGTGACCACAGCAAGCAAGTTAGTGCCAGTGAGTTTGGAAAATGGAGCTTGCAAAGATACTAGATGCTGACGTGCTATGTCAAATATTTAATAATCAGTACTGAATAGGCATCAACTAATCAGAAGGGATTCCAGGCAGAACTTTGAAACAATGTCTTAGATCCTACTTAGTTTTGGGCATTTGGTCACCAGACCGTAGGGAGGTTCAGGAGCTCCCAGTGGACCAGCAGGTGGTAGAGCAATTGCGGGACTTGAGACAGCAACTCTTTACCATAACATAACCAACTAAGATGTTTACTGGGAAGTGGCTGTCTAGCCAGGACATTTCTAGGCTTCCTTTTCAGCATGGTGGGACCATGTGACCAGTTCTTGCCGAAGGAATGTGAAGGAAACTGATGTTTGGTTTATAACCTCGGTGATTAAGCACTGGGTGTGAGATCATTTTCCCAACAACAGGGAAATCTTGAAGCTACAGGATGATGAAGCCTTGAGATAGCCACAAGCCATAAGACAGAAGCCCCATGGGGCTGCTCAGGAGAACTGTCCCCCAGGAGAAAATCAGAATTGGACTTTACATGACTCAGAATTAAATTTTATTGCATTAACCTCCTTAGATTTGGAGGTTTTATAGCATCTTTTAAGATCTTTTGTATCTTTTATAGCTTGCTCTGATAAAAATATGGCATAAAATACTTGAGTATTTTAATGCATCTATTTTACACTGATAAAGATGAGCAAATTCTAAGTTCAGACTTGTCTCTCTTAGAGGCTATGAAATATTCCACAAAGACCTTTAGGTTCTTTTCAAGAAACAAGTTTCCAGATCTTGTGGTAAAATCTTTTCAAGAAACAGGAGAATATTTTGTTTTTATTTTCTACTTCATTACATTTTGAAGCATGATTTCCCTTTACGTTACAGAAAACTATGAGAGATTTCCATTTATATTGAGAAGCTCATTTCACAAACTCAAAACCCAAGCAATCACATATTAGATTGTGATCTCTCTAAGAGAAGACACTAAGCAGGGAGTCTTGTTCATCTTTGCACACACAGCACAGAATCTACGGGACTCATCGAATAAGTGTTTGTTGAATGCATGGATGGGTGGATGGGTAAATAAACAAAATCATTACTACTAGAAAAGCAGTGTGCTGAGAAAAAGTAAATTAAAACGCAATTAGGGAGGCCAACCTGGGGTCTTCTGTTAATTAACTTTAGGATGTAGAATTCTCCATGAACCAGTGGACTTTATTTCTTAGAAGGACTTTCATGACTTTTTAGTTTTAGCTCTCATTTTCCAGTGAGGAAACTGTGGCCCAGGGAAGCAAAGTCATCAGCTTATACCCATGGAATTATTTCATTTCAAAACTTAGATAAAAACTGTGGTTTTTATAATCTAAAAATGATATTATATTCCCTATACTATGTCACATTTTTTTATTCAGCTGTTTTCCATCTTCAAAACATGATAACCACATTGATTTAACCCCAAACAGTTGTTGTAAAGAGAACAAGAGTGTCAAAGTGCTACATCATACTCATTATCAAAGGAACGTGGATCCTTTCACTATGGAGACCTGGTTAGTTAATTCAGGTTCATGTGAGATTGTGTGCATGATTACATCCAAGGGTTAGGATTATTGTTAACTTCAACGTGTCATTGAAAAAATTTTATGGTGGTTACTTACCCTGGATGCAACGCAATACTGTCTGTTCTCAGATATTCTTGTGAGGCTGCCTGAAGGCACGGACTGTCAGCCAAAGTATAGATCTCAAAGTTTTGGAGAGAGAAAATGATTATTCAGTTTATTAAAAAATAGCTAAAGTATCTGATATGGTTTGGCTGTGTCCCCACTGAAATCTCATCTTGAATTGTAATCCCCATAATCCCCACGTGTCGAGGGGGGCCCAGTGGGAGGGAGGTGATTGGATCATGGGCGTGGTTCCCCCATGCTGTTCTCATGATAATGAGTGAGTGCTCACGAGATCTGATGGTTTTATAAGTGTTTGGCAAGTTCCTCCTTTTCTCACTCTTCTCTCTCCTGCTCCCATGTGAGAAGGTCTAAACTTGCCTCCCCTTCACCTTCTGCCATAATTGTAAGTTTCCTGAGGGCTCCCCAGCCATGCAGAACTGTGAGACAATTAAACCTTTTTCCTTAATAAAATTACCCAGTGTTGGGAAGTTCTTTATAGCAGTCTGAGAACGGACTAATACAGTATCTTTGTAGCTACAAAGCTGTTATGTTGGGATTTTTATCATCCTGAGAGCTGACTTTACTTTTAATTGGCTTAAGTGCCTTATCCAGTAGCTTTTCAAAACAGAGGATCTACATTTGATTTGAGGTCCAGTTTCTAAAGAGGAATATTGGATCAAGCAATACTGTGCCTCTATATCTGGATACTTTATAGGTGGACCTAGAACTAATAATTCCAGCCTGCAACACAGGATAAGCAATATAGAGTGTGATTACTATTCTCCTTAGCTGATTCTGTACACTTTAAAACTATACAGCAGAAGGTGCCAAGGGGCAGCTTGAGGAGAATTATTTGCAAGACTCCTAATTGAATATGTCGGCCATGACTGATCACTGGTCTTGCCATTTAATGAATGCACTAAAACCCACCCTAGAGATGCATGGGGCCGGCTTTCCCTGCCCCCACAAGTGGTGAGAGAGTGTGATCACAGAAAGCTGGAGGCAAAACTGGGCAGCACGCAAAATTGATTTCAATGCCTCTATTTTCACTGTGTGCCCTGCCCTCCACGTACAGCACTCCCCACCCATCTGAAGGAGCTTAGTGTACACCAGTGAAAGGTTTGTTCTTCCTTCTCACTCTAACCCCACAGCAGGCCTGGGAGTCTGTCAAGTGCCTAGAGAGAACATTGTACTTTGCTCGGTGGGTTACTGGTGTGAAGCTTGCGCTGTTAATGTTTTCTTTTTTTTTCCACCGAGAAAACCTTATGTATAATAGATTTTCTTAAAATTCACCAGAATATCTAACTCATGTATTTGTAGACTAATTGTTTCAATGAACCTTTATCAATGCTTAGTGTGTCAGGCACTGTGCCGAGCATTAAGGATGCAGAGGTATTAAATAAATACATTGTTTTATGCTTCTCGAGAGACTGAGATAGAAGCTGTTTGTGTCAGTTACAACACACTATGCTAGGTGCAGTGAGAGAAGACGCTATGAGAACAGAAAGGGGGCCCCTAACTCAGCCTTGGGATGAGGATGGGTGGTGCTCCAGAGGCTTCCTAGCACTCAAAGAATGAAGCCAAAATAGAAATCAGGCATATCCCAAAAGGAGAAAATCATTCGACTTCGCTCCTTTTGTGAAACTTTTAACCAAGGGTCAATAATGAGGTTCAGTGCGGGTAGAATGTCCCGCACACTCCAGAGCCCACTTATGGCCCTGTCCAAATCCTAATAGGCAACACTGAATGTGAACGACATTTGTTTCTGGAATCAGTCTCTCCTCTCCTAACGTGGGAAAGAGTGTCCTTAGTTACTCACCTCCAGGCCCTACCTGACCAGTCAGGTCCCAGTTATCTGTGGGCCCCAGGTCCACTTCACCTCATTCTGCTCCCTCTGCCTGGAAATTCCTGACCCTCAACACCAATCCTTCACTCTTCAATTAATTCGTTCTTGACCTCAGGGCTCAGGGAAGTTATCAGTTTTTCCAGAAAGCATTCCTGCACTCTTCCATGAAAATGCTATGATATCCACTGCTTAGTTACTTCCAGTCTTTCACAAATTACACTAATGACCCTGTCTTATATTTTCACTTGTCTGATTTTGAAAAGGCAGATCTTTATCTTCTTCCTCTTTGAACACGATGCCTGGCAAAGGGTGGATGTTCATGACGGTGGGTAGGTGGGTAGGTGGATGAATGAATATTGTGCCCTTACTTTTTATCACTTTTAAAACTTCCAACAATTATCTTACTCAAAGAGTAATTGGTGCTACATTTCTTCTGTATTTCCAGCTAGTTGTATTTCATGCATCTTTGTAAATCTGAAGCATATTTTCTTCTATTAGAAGTGAGACACATGATTGGTCATGGAAATACATGCTCTACACATTCATTTAGGAGAGGTACAAGAGAAAATTAGAATCTGGTGATCTCTCAATTTATATACTGTGGTGCTAATAATCAGCCCCTGGCACTTGCTGACGCACTGAAGCCTAATAAACCTTACAGAGGGAAATGTGTTCAGTCTCATTTGACCCTGAATGATCCTAATATGTCTACTGACTACCTTGTAGCCATATTCAGGAGCCTTCATCTGAATCACATCTCCTTTCCTTTCCTAGTGTCTCCACTACCTCAAACACTCTCTGGGAAATTCTGTTTCCCAAATGATAGCTGCTTTGATCATAAATCACTTTCTCATTAATATTACTTGATTCTTGAATTACTCGGTTTGGTTATTAACCAAGAAATAGCCAAATCAGAATTTCATTTGTTCTCTGTAAATGCACTGCTTAAGGGACAGGCTGTTCTCACTGTGTGCTCCTGTTTAGCTTTTCCAGTCCTCCTGCTGTGGCCCACTTAGGGATGGGAAAAAGATAGAGTGCAGAGAAGCCTGCCATCATGGTAGCTCTGCAAGTGTGCATGGTAACGCTTTCTTTTTATATTGGACAAAATATTTTAAATAATTTTTATACCAGAAATAGCATGAAAATAAGGAGCTAAACTTTAAATGAAGAACCAGGAGAAATAGTTAGGATGGGAACATTTCTTCTTGATTCTCGATTCAACCTATTTATAGCTCCAAAATCTTAATCTTTAATCTTGACCTCTATGCCAGGCTTGAGACCCACTGACAACTCCACTCCACAGAGACTCAAACTTTACAGTCTAAAATGGAACTGAGTTTCCTTAAAAGTGACTGGCTTTTTCTCCCGGTGCCTGATGTCTCAGATATCATAATTATGAGTTATTTGTATCTTCCACCTACCATGCAGGCACGGGGCTAGGCATCTTACACAAATTATGCCATCAAATCCTCTCAGCACTCTGAAAAGTTGGTATCATTACCATTATCCCTAGAAGAAACAACTGAAGCTCAGAGAAGTAATTCCATTACAGTCATCCAGCTAATACGTGGCAGAGCTAGAATTGAAATCCAATTCGTAGAATCCATATTCTTAATCTTAGGCTACTATCTGACTCAATTTCTCACAAAATAATTAATAGAATGTTTTGTTGTTCTTTTATTCCACAAATATTATGTCATAGAGGGCCAGTATTTGTGGAAAATAAAACCAGTATTGCTCGGCTGGGTGCAGTGGTTCACGCCTGTAATTCAGCACTTTGGGAGGCTGAGGCAGGTGGATCACCTGAGGTCAGGAGTTCGAGACCACCCTGACCCACTTGGTGAAACTCTGACTCTACTAAAAGTACGAAAATTAGTCAGGCATCATGGCAGGTGCCTGTAATCCCAGCTCCTCGGGGGCTGAGGCAGGAGAATCTCTCGAACCCAGGAGGCGGAGGTTGCAGTGAGCTGAGATCACACCCCTGCACTCCAGCCTGGGCAACAGAGCGAGACTCCATCTCAAAAACAAAAACTAAAACTAAAACAGTATTGCTTTAGCAATTTAAACACACCTTGATATAGATGAAAATCAGTGATGTCCTCATTAGTATTTTGCAATCTGCATTGTGAGCTTTCTGACTTGGTAACATTGTGACCAATTTAACCTGGATTCCAATTTTTTTGAGACAGAGTTTCTCACTCTATCGCCCATGTTGGAGTGCAGTATTGCAATCTCGGCTCACTGGAACCTTCACCTCCCAGGTTCAAATGATTCTCATGCCTGAGCCTCCCAAGCAGCTGGGATTACAGGTGTCCACCACCATGCCCAGCTAATGGATTCCAACTTCTAAACATAATTAAATAGAAGAATAATTCTAAGCTATATAGAAAGAAAAAAAAAGTTATAGTTTACTAGGGTCCTAAAAATAAATGCCACAGGTGTCACCAGAATCAGAATAGCTGAACATGCATAAAAATAAGCCGGCCAACTGATACTTATGTCATTTATCCTAAATTCACTGAAAAAGGATTATTCCATATTGAAATAAGATTGAGGATTTTAAAAGGACAATGTTCTTTCAGCTTAAAAGGACAATGTTCTTTCAGCTTAAAAGGACAATGTTCTTTTAGCTGTTATGACTCTAATTATCTGCTAGTATGCTCAGCCACATGCCCCATGCTTGGGAAATCTGTTACAACATGACAGGTATCAGATTCTTTATGATATGTAATTGGTAATTAGCTATACAGGCAGACTGTTGGCAAATGTATCACATTTTCCTTTTTGAAATTTAGGCAAACTGCTCTCAGTTGAAAACATACATTAAAGAGTCTGATTTGGCTTCCAGGTTGATGCATGATTGAAAGTAATGATTTTCTACCTTTCAATTCATCACATGTGACCTTCTAAGATCCCTATTATAAATTGCCCATTTCTAAAATCTTGCCTCTGTGTGGCCACAACCAATTAATTACACCACCACTACTGAAATGGTTTCCTGCCTTACTTTACATAAAATAGTTCATTAGCTTTGCAGGGATTTTACTTCAATACTGTATTTAGTTTGCACTCCCCGCGATGTTTCAAACAGAAGAGTGAGTTCTCTAGGGAGGAAGAAGTGAAGTTAAAAGAGCAATCAAGAAATACATATATGACTTTAAAAATGTTCTTGGTTATAAAGGAAAAACCATCCATCACAAGTCAATAGCACTGTTTTTCTAGTAGGCTTTTCTTACATGATTACTTCAGGCAAGTCACAACTCAGCTTTCTCTAACAGGAAAAATATACTGTGAATCTCAGGGAGCACTATCTATTATTACTGTTGTTGTTTTATAATGCTTAAAATTTTATTGAGGCCTGGTATAGAATCCCTTGTAGGTAGAATGTGGTTGGTGACTAGACTTAGTAACTGCATTAAATTGGAAGAGTGAATGTGAGGAGAGTAGTCGACAGAAATAGTTATAAGAGAGAAAGAAAGCTCAGGTAGAAGAAAAATCAATAGATCTGGAGTCTGGTCAGATGGAATGTCCAGCTTTGGTGCTACCGTGTACAACCTCCCATGAATTATTTCAGGTCTGGGTGCCTCAGTTTTATCTTCCATTGAACTAGAACCTAAAGCTAAGATTGCTTAAGTCTCACTTGGTTCTAGAGTTCTATAGTTCAGTAATGGTTCAAAACAGTTCACCATGTTTAGAATCAACATTAGGCTGACAGCAAATGCAGCTCATCATGCAAATGGCATGGCTTGATAATAGAAATGGCTCATAGAAAGGAAGTTAGGCTAGACAAGGTGCAGTGTACCCACAATAGCCAGCCCTATGCACAGGTGTTACTACTATTGTCCTTATTTTCTAGAGGAGAACTGAGGCACAAGGGAGTTATGTTATGTGCCCAAGGAGCCTGTGCTCTTAACAACTACACTTGCCACAAGCCAATATTGGTCAGACATATTCCAGAAATTTTACAACACAAAAAAACATAAATAATAACTCTTTTTTAAAACAAAAAGTGGAGAAAAAGAACAAAACAGTTAATAGATGAGGCTGACATTGGAGACAGCGGCTTAGGTGTGAAAACCCTAGAGGTAGACAGACTTCTCCCCAGTCATAGAAGTTACTGGTCCACCTAGATGGTGCTGAAGGGACAGGTCTTCCTGAAACCTGCAGCCCTGAGGAACAGAGCAGACAGCAAACTCCTGCAGAAGGTTTGTTTGCTTGTTTTGTTTTCTCTCCCAACTCACTAGTCAGATGTGCCACTCTGGGTAATGCTGAGTAAGGAGTAGAAGAGAGGCCAGAGTGCTCCCATCATGGGTGCCAGTTGGAAAGAAAAAATCAGAAATGGAGAAGAAATGTCCCATCCTTAGCATTTCTCCTGGTTTTTCATTTATAATTTAGTTCCCCATTTCCATGCTATTTCTGGTGTTAAAATTATTTAGAACATTTTGACCAATATGAAAATAAATTGTTACCACGCACACTGGCGGAGCTACCATGGTGGCAGGCTTCTGTGCACTCTCTTGTTTTCTCCTTCGTAAGTGGGCCACAGCAGGAGGATTGGAAAAACTAAACAACGGTACACAGTGAAAACAGCCTGTTCCTTAAATACCACATTTACAGAGACTCTACGCATTCTATTGACTACTGAGTACAGCCTGCACCAGCACATAGCACACCTCCATTCTTTTAGGGGTCAACTCTTTTTGCACTCACACATTAACTTTGCTCTGATACAAACTGACAGAGCACACCAGATCTTATTATATGAAGTTGCTGACAGGTGATGACAGTCAGCCTGCAGGAGAGATCAAAAGCAGCTAAAGCAGTTCATTTATGAACATGGCTCCAGGATGGTTGGTTTGATGGGATAAATCACAATCCAAGGAATGATCTGATTAAGAAAAATATGTATTTCTTTATTCCTAAAACAAGAGTACAAAATACCAAAAAGGTAACTCAACTAAAACTGTCTTTTGGAAGCCTCTGTTGTCAGATGATCGGAAAGTTAGTATAATTACAATA
Source organism: Homo sapiens (assembly GCF_000001405.40). Classification (NCBI taxonomy): domain Eukaryota; kingdom Metazoa; phylum Chordata; class Mammalia; order Primates; family Hominidae; genus Homo; species Homo sapiens. Next base: position 58,640,840 of record NC_000005.10, on the reverse strand, counting down.
TTGCACTAGAGTACCAGTTAACAGCAGAAGAATTGATGTCCTCTTTATAAAATGATGTTAAGTGTGATTAGCATCCTACAGAAGACACCTTCTCTGACAACACTGTCTCTGAAAGACATCTGATTTTCTATTCTACTGTTTCATTTCAGTATCCTTTGGCCACACTTATGAGAGGATTTTTAGGGTCAGATATTTCAGTGGCATCTTATATACCACCTGACACAAGATAGTCTCAAAACCAGCACTGAGCATCATGGAAGTAATTATAAATAATAATTATGTCCTCACAGTATGTTGGCTCATAAATTTTAATGGAGCACTCTCTACAATGGTGATTGCCAACTTTCCTGGCATTTGTGGGATCAATGTTTATCCAAATAGAAATAATATAGTCTGAATAATTGCATAGTCAGCCTCAATCTTCCCTTCCTCATTCCACACTCCGAGTTATTTTAAACGCGTAAGGTTTGGGGGAAAGGCAGAGGGGAAGGCTATCCTACTTTACAAGTTCTGATGTACATTCCTGACATTCATTTTCCTGGCAGAGATATAGGTCATGAAAAATAGCTCCAAAGCAGGCAGACATATTGGCTGCCAGCAGCTGGAAGTTCCTCCTTTCCAAGAGGCCAGAATGAGCTTGACTTCAGGAAAGGAACCAGGAGAGGCTGCTCCCCTTTCTCTCTCTTTAGTCTTTGTTGGTTGGAGAGAGGCTGGGAAAGAAATCAAGCCCACACTTTAAAAAGGCACTGGGAATACCCAGCATGACTGCACTTTTATATTATGCCCCTGTGTGCAGTAGATTCCCTTTATGTAGTAAGCTTCCCTAGTACATTTAAAAAATCATTGATTAATTGACAGAATCTGTGGATAAAGAAAGAGAATGGAAATGTTAGGAATTCATGACAATGAAACATCACTGGGGAAGGAAGGGTAACATCTTTACAATTATAAAATAGATCTTTGAAAAAACATGATTTTATATCATCCAAGCACAGTTAACAGATAAGTTTTAGAGAAGACACTATTTGAATTTGAGTTCCTTTAAAAGTGGAGCCTGAGGAGGGAACTTGTGGTGAGCAGGTGGTTTATTTGGGAGGTGATTCTGGGAAAAAGGAGTGAAGCAACAGGGAGCAAGACTGAGGAGACTGAAAGTTTGTGTTCTCCCAAAATTCATATATTGAAGCCCTAATCCCCAGCGTGATGACATTTGGAGGCGAGGCCTGTGGAAGGTAAACAGGCTTAGATGAAGTCATGAGGAGGTGGTCCCCATGATGAGATTATTGTCCTTAAAAGAAGAGAGATCAGGGCTCTCTCTCCTCTCTCTGCCATGTGAGGACACAGAGGAAGGCAGCTGTCTACAAACCAGGAAGAGAGCCTTCACCAGAAACTGAATCTGCTGGCACAGGTATCCTGGACTTCCCAGCCTTCAGAACTGTGAGAAAATAATTTTTGTTGTTTGAGCAACTTGTTTATAGTATTTTCCTATAGCAGCCCAAGCTGACTAAGACAGGGAGGGTGAGACAGGAAAGAAGAAAAAGACAATGTAAAGATATATCATGCATACCTTCATAATGTATCTTTAAAAAAAATCAAGGTCATCGATAATGTATCTTTACATTGTCTTTTTCTCCTTTCCTAGCTCACTCATTTCAATGAGCAAGGGTGTTTCAGTACAGCTATTATCTGAAAAGCATACAGAAAGCTTTCCAGAATTGTCCATTCGAAAGAGGGAAGACTCAATAACTTATCTCCTGGCTCTGGTCTTCTATCAGATGAGGGTTAGTGTGAGAGTGGCAGTGTTTCAAGGCACTGCACTTCCAGGCCACACTTGCAAGTGTAGATCTAGGGAGCTGTGCCATCAGAAAAGCCTTGGCAAATGCAGTAAGGCAGGCATGGTGTGCTTGAGGTGGGATGCTGACTGTGCACAGACCTGCCCACGCTGCCATTGGGGCTAACATCAGATGCAGGCCAAGGAACCTTGTAGGGAACTCAGAGGCACCTGCTACACACCTGTTACTATATTTTGATCTACTGAACAAAGAAAGATCATTTCCTAGTGTTGATGTCAACTGCTTCAAGAGCTTCTAACAGTGATCCATATACAGCTTGCATACGTTCAGTGCCCGAGGTGACATATAATGTCTGTTTCCTGCTATTTTCAATTCTGAACTTTGTTTCTCTGTTCTGACATTGCTTTTCTACAGGTTCTTAGTCTGCTGAGGTTTCTATTATACTCACACCTAACATATATCTATGTGAGTTGTAAAGTGGGTTATAATTATAAAATAACACGGACTTTAGAAAATGTTATAATGGTTTTAACATTAGTATGGCTTGTCTTTTGGATACATTTATTTTTAAGAAAATAATTGATAAATATAACTCCATGAGAATAAAAAAAATTAAGGATGACCAAAACATGCCATAAACAAAATGCAAAGAATTAGAAAAGCTTATTTTCAGGAAAAACAAGCTTATTTATAAGAGGAAAAAGCCTCACAAATCAATGAAAATAAAGATGCACAGAACAATAGAAAAGTTAGTAACTTATAAAGAAAAAAATGCAAATGAAAAGACACCTCAAAAGATGAAAGGGAAAATATAATGAATTCAAAACTGGCAATCAAAAGAATAATTATGACAAGCATTGCAGGGTTCAAAGAAATAGGCATCTCATGCCCTCTTGTTGGAAGTGTAAAATCACAGCAATTAGGATGTCAACTAGGCAACATAACTGTAAGAACCTCAAAATTCTATTTTCTGGGACTTATCCACCCAAAGAGGTATTTATACCATTGAAAATTATCATTATTTATAATGACAAAAATAATCAGGAAAAAAGAAAAGCCAGTAATAAGGTATTGCTTAAATAAATTACTCCTGTGTTGCTACTTATAACCAGGATTTCAATGTATATTTAAATATTTTAGAAAAGATTCATAACATATATGTGAAAACACAGTTGGTGATATCATATGTATATTTTCTTTAAAATATGGAACATATATATAGGGAAAAATCGGAAAGCTGTATGCCAAATAGTTACCTTTGGGTAGTAAGATTTCCAGTGATGTCTTTTTCTTTCTACTTTTTGTATTTGCACATTTTCTACAATGAACATATGTACTTTTAAAACACTAATGAAAGCTAATCATCTTTCCAAAAAATCTACTTCAGTATTAAAGTTAATTATGACTAAGCCTTGAGTGGGTAGCTCCAACTACTTTTTCTGTCTTTCCACCTTTCCTTTTAAAAATTTTTATCTTTCAAAGGAATATATTAATTTTGGAACTTATAGTATATCCAAAATTTAAAGAGTTTCTCTAAATCCTGTCTATTCTTCTTCAGTTAAGTCTTTTTATAGGAAAATCCCAGAAAAAATCTGGAGTCTTCGGGGATAGAAATCACAGATCTTTTACTGTTCCAGCAACAGAATATATCCGGATAATGAATATCTAGTCATTTAGAGAGAGAGTGAGTGATAGCAGGAGAGACAAAGGGAAAGAGGAAGACAGAAGAACAAAGGAAGAAGAAAAGCAGGTAAAAAATTACAGAATACAGCTTGAATGTTCAACACTTGTTTTGTTTGATTTTCTTTCTTGAGTTCAGGAAGCCAGAAAGGCTTACTAAAAGATTATTAAACCTTTTGGTTTTCCAAATATGACACTTTTGTGACATCAGGGATGGGGAATTGGAAGAGATTATTAAACCATTCAAACTGAATAGTAAAAAAAAAAAAAAAGTTCTTTGAAATAAAAAAAAAATGATAATGCTCTCTCAACATGCCCATTCTTTCCATGGTTACTTTCCACTAATTGTGAATTTAACAACAACAGCAACAAATAACTAACCTATTATTAAAAGTTTCTTTCCTATTCATGCTTCCAATTTTCATATGCTCCTCATCAGGTTTTCCAAAATTTTTTATGTGATGTATTGAATATGCAAAAATTTTACAAATGCAGGAACTTTAAGGACACATATGAAAGGCCTTGACATCACAAAAATAAGGAGATTGAAATTCTCATATGCCCTTCCTATCTTTTTGGTGGTCTGTTATTGCCTTCTCATTGCAACAATGTTCTTCGGGAACGAAAAGGAGACAATTCCAAGGCTTATGATTCACCACTTTCTGGGTGATTTATTTTTCATCCTGGTCAGGCACATTTTGTTCCTCTTTATTTGTTCTTTTCTAATTAGAGGAGGCTGGCAAAATGATATTAACATAATTGAAAATAGACTGGAGAAAGCATTTGGTGGATATAAAATCCAAACGATGGACTGGGATATAGGGAGTCAAATCAGAAGACTCAAGAACACAGTGCAGGCAGATAAATAAGGCAAAAGTAAATAAAGGGGCAGAAATGCAAAAGCAAGGTGATGGCTAATCAAGAGGCATCCACAGTAGGACATGAGTCAAAAGACAGGATTCAACGTTCCAGTTATGATGGATACTTGACCAGAACCCAAACTGAATACAGAGATTAGCATTCACATCAGGAATGTAGTTTCTAAAAGGACTGGGATACTAGGGAAGCACATTTGGGCAGGAACCCATCTACTAGAGAGCTGGGATAGAAGAACAGGGAAACCAGTTTCTAGGAAATTGGGATACCAGGAAGACCAGACAGAAGATCTCTTTGAAACTGAGCAGGTGAACAAGTATGTTTTGATTTTATATATTCTCTTCATCCAAGAAGGATTGGTTTTCAAGCTGGGGTGGAGCCAAAATAATAAATACAGTAATTATTTCAGCTGCCTCAAGTTTGCTGGCTTGAGCGCAATGAGTCAAACAGGTAATTAATGTAATACTATATTCTCTTTGGCCCGTTCTTTAACTTTCCTAATTTGACAGCATTTTATTTTTAATATACTCAGTGATTTTCAATGTGTTCTTTTCTCTACTTCCCAAATGCAGGTATAAATTAGTAACCAGAATTAAATAACCTGTTAACACAAATTTTGCATATATCTCCTATTACCAAACACCACGCGTTGTCCACCATCTAGTGAACTCTTCCCTCCTGAGCACCTTATTAGCTATATCATGATCATGGACTGCCTTCTCAAACTGTGACAGAACAGTATTTATCTTCCTTCCTGTGTCAGGAAAGAAAACAAATGCTCAGGGGACAACTACTCTAGAGGTAAAGTATGCTCTAGAGCACAGCCTCTGGGGCTAGAGGAGGAAGAAAGAATCTGACGATGTACAAACCCTGGTCCTGACAGGCACCTGCACTAGCCAAGTCCCAGGAGGTTTCTAGGTCTGGAAAAAATTAGTCTGATTTTGACTCCCAGGATGACAATTCTCCGTCTGGCTAAAAAATATCTGTAGAAATCATTCCTGTAAGCTCAGGGAACTATTCTGTGTGCCAGATGACACCCTTTAATTTAAAAAGGGTTTTTTTGGAGGCAGGAGCCTTTATAAGTCACCAATTCACTGCTTTCTTTCTTTACACCATTGCACCCAGATTAAAATGCATTCCTTTGGAAAGTTCCCATTAAGAATGGACAGCAACCTCCCCATGTAACTTCCCATGTTTGACAAAACAAGACAGTCTTCCTTATGCATTTGATCTTAAACTTTTCCTTTGCCATTTTAGCACATCTCTTCCCACTTTGTCTTCAAGAAAAACAGAGGAGAGCTGATAACTTTTACATCTAGATGGGTATTCCAGTGTTGTGACTCTGGACACGTGATAGCTCTGATGACTTATCCCTTCACTCACTGAACACTGGACAGAAAATATTCTTGTCACCTCTTTGAGTGTTTTTACATCAAACATCAACCTTACTGTGGTACCTTTAGTTAATTGAATTCAATAATGCACTTGTATCAAAAAGTGCTGCTTTTTTGCTTATATTATCTCACATTCTGTCTTTACCTCACTATCTCTATCAGTTTATTTTAGTCCAATTAAAAGTCTTCATCTTGAAATAAGTCTTCATCTTCTTCTGCGAAGAGGATCAGCAACCTCCAATATATTGTTACTACACTGCTTCAGCTTTTCTCCCCCACTGACTTGGGAACTGCCACAGACCCAGGTTCTGTGGGGCCCAAAGTTTATAATATTTGGGAGGCATCTTGCACAACTTTCTATTTTTCTCAAGGAGAGAGTCAGGGAGGTGTGACCTGAGGTGGTGATGGTGGGGCACTCTGATTTAGTAGTTTTATATTAACAGGGGAAAGTTTCAAAGTGGCAAAACACAACTTTCTGAGATTGGATGTTGAATTTTTTCTTGGTCTAAGCCACAAATAATAACAAGAACTAATATTTCTTGAGTCTTACCATTTATGAGGTTCTGTGTTAAATGAATTGCATGTTTTATCCTGATTATTCCTCATAACCATACTATAAGGGAGATATTCTAATATGCCCATTATACAGATAAAGAAACTAGAATTGAGAGAAGTTAGGAAGCCTCTAGAATGGAGCTGATTCAGCATTTGAACCCAGACAGTTTGACATCAGGGCCTGTGCTCCTAACCAGAATGCTACACTTGCTTCTGGAAGGCAGAGTTCTCCCAAGTGATCTTATTTCCCTGTATAATATTTCTTTAAACTTTTCAATGGTGTGAATAAATATCCCTCAACCTGAACTCCTGAAATAATGGGAAAGAAGAACAGTGATGATTGTGAGAACTAAAAATATCTAAATAAAATTTAGGAGTACAAACAAACAATTTTTTTTTTTTTTTGAGATGGAGTCTTGCTCTGTTGCCCAAGCTGGAGTGCAGTGGCGCAATCTCAGCTCACTGCAAGCTCTGCCTCCTGGGTTGACGCCATTCTCCTGCCTCAGCCTCCTGAGTAGCTGGGACTACAGGCACCAGCCACCATGCCCGGCTAATTTTTTTTTTTTTTGTATTTTTTAGTAGAGATGGGGTTTCACCGTGTTAACCAGGATGGTCTCAATCTCTGGACCTCATGATCCGCCCACCTCGGCCTCCCAAAGTGCTGGGATTATAGGCGTGAGCCACCACACGTGGCCCAAACAAACAAATTTAACAAGTAAATATGTATAGGGTAAACGAGCATGATCATAACTCTGTTAGATATTACTATACCCATTCATTAATTCAATATGTACTGAGATCTCCTGTGGGCCAATAATGCTAGATGCTGAGACTCCTGAATTAAATAATGTCCAGCCCATAACCCTTAGGAGCCCATATAACTTAGTGGAAGAGGCAGTTAAGAAAAATCAAAATCTGAACGATAGATTATTCATGTATCTCTTAATAATATGACTTTTATTCAGATATGGAAAGTTTTAACTGTTGGTCTCATCTCAATTTTTTTCTCTTCTCTACCTGGAGAGAATGTCCATATTAAATGTTTTTCCTGGCACTATTTACTAATGAATCCTTATCACACAAATACACAAGTTATGTTAGAGTTACGGCAGATTCCCTGTGGGCTAGATGTCTTTACGTTTGTGCCTCCCCCTCTACTTTCCTTCCTATAGTCTAGTTTTAAGAGACTTTATGGGCTCTTTCCATAAGATCTGCCATCTCTAAAGGGGCTTACCCCATGGATGGAGTCTGCCAGAGATGTGTCTGTAGGTTCTTCTGCCCTCATTCTAAAAGATGTTGTAGAGCAATGGTTTTCCAGGATGAGCCCTCTCTGCCTTCCTCTAGGTAAGGGGTTGGGAAGTTGAAGAAATGAAACCGTATGCTTCCTAGCCTGCTGAAAACAGGTCAGTTCCCTCTAGTCATTGGAATTTTCCATATGCCTTCCTTTAAAGACATGACTCCATGACATAAAAAGAAATTTGCAAATCACTGTGGGAAATGCCAAAAAGCTTAAGGAGACAAACATCTCTTTGGTTGAGACAGAGATAGTATTAGAACCTCCCATTTTGCTTCATGTCCAGTTCAGAGACTAGAATAGAAAACTGAGATGAAGGTGAATGGAGAGAAAATGCTTCTAAACTTCAATAGCTAAGAATGTAGTGAATAGGAGGAAAGAGAAAGAATCCAAAGCAAAGTTAGCAATCAGACAGAAGTGGGACTGTATTCAGTCATGGAGAGAGGGAAGGGGATGGTAATAGGCTGGTAGGGAAAGAAGAGAAGGGGATGAAAGAGCAAGTAGAACCATTGTCAAATACAGTATGTCAGAAGCTCTTAAGCTTTGATGCTATTCTCCAGGCACATATACCCTCTGTCCACAGCCACTCGAAGAATAGGCCTACAGCCTGCTGCCATATTTGGGCCAATCTAAGACTGTTATCTGGCTACAGAAAACAGAAGGAGGTCTGAGAAAAAGACCTTGGTCTGCCCCTTCCCCGATCCATCATCAATGTTTATAGACTGAAGTAGACCTCCCTTCAGCCCTCCGTGAACAGACACAATATGACAGGATGAACTGTTTCTCAGAATGGCAGTTATCACCTGGGAAGTTTATTAGAAATCCATATTCCCTGCTTCTGTTTACAGAGAGATATGAATTCAGTAGGCTTGACATGGGGTTCAAAATCTACAGTTATAACAAATTCCCCAAGTGATTCCGACAAGGGACTGACTCTGGGACCACACTTTGAGGTCTGTAGAGACCATGGTTCCTATGTTAAAATTATTGACCAGACACTCCTCTGGGAGACAATGGTTCTGATAAACCCCAGCGTAAAAAACTGTTCACCCAGGCTTCTAGTTTCTACAGCCTTCTTTGTCTGGTTGCTTTCATATGTGAATCTCTCTCATATTGTGAGATCAGGCCATCTGCAAACTTGAGTGCCTCCCAACTGTAGAATCACTTTCATGTGTCACCATCAAGGCCAGGCTGAAAGGTCTCAGCAGATCTGGATTTTCACCAGTCTCTGAGTAAGAAGCCTCTCTCCTTTAATCTCTGCTTTCAGCCTTTATGTCATTATAAAACTCAATTTAGAATTTCATTCTCAAAACCACATGTACAGAACTTGCTACAGCATTTGCAGAAGCTAGCCATACAGCAAAGTAAGAAAAATGCTTTCAATTCTCACTCTTTTATTATATTTCCAATTGACTGTAAATTTGTGACAAATTAAGTGGTAGAGATAAAATATTCTGAGTTTTGTCTTAACCTGAAGGTTAATTGCTTTGCAAAATTTGAAGAGAGGAAAAACCCCAAAAAACAAAACTATTACCTTTTTCCTTTCTTATAGTAGGAGGACAGATCCATTGTTTAATTAAAATGAAATAATTTATATCAGTCCATTTCTCCCCCTCAATTACAGTAAAGTGTCAATAATATGCCTTGTGAGTCTGAGTCAGCCTTCACACAGGGACTCTAATCTGAAGAGTCCAGGGAAGATGACCCATGATTTAACTTGTTGCTGAAAGCTCATTCATTCCTTTGCTTCACAAACTACTATTTTAAAATTTAAATACCATTAAATATTTGAGACATTAGCCTATCAGTCATGCATAACTTCATGTAATTGAACATTTAGCTTCTGATAAACTTTGAAAGACTGGGATTTCAGATTCCAGGAGCTTGTTTTCACCAGCTATGCTCCCTTTTTCAGAATTTTGCCAGAAAACCCAATGGCTTCTCCACTCAGTTGCCCAGTTTGTAAAGCAAATGGAGGATGGAGGAAGGAGGATTCATCATATTTGTCACCTGCCTCTCTTCTCAGAACTGGGAAGACTGTTGCTCCAGTGAGCCAGATTTGAGCAGTGAGGTGGGGCCACAGGACCTATTTTCCAGTCCTTTGCACTTGCTGTTGCCATATTGTTGAAAATAACTGGTATAAAGGGTGTGTATTTGTGTTTTCATTTACTCATTCTCTCACTCAGATACTGCTGAAAAATAAGAACTTCTCTCTGGTTTAGTCTTCATTTGCAAGACCTGCACTCTTCGTCCTGAGCCTCAGACCTGGCTTCCAGGGAAGCCACCTATTGTCAGAAGATCTCCTGCCTTTAATCTGCCAGCATATAGGAGTTTTCCAATCATTGACAACAACAAGGCCTCTTTATCAAGACAGACCTCTATAAAGAAGTGCCCCTTGTGATAAATGCCAACACTGCTGTAGTCTTCTGCTAATATTATTAATGATTTATATGAGTGCCTTCTATGGTCTAGAGCAGTGGTATTGAAAATGTGGTCTGAAGGTTCCTAAAGTCTTTCAGAGGGTCTCTGAATTGAAAACTACTCTCACAAGAATACCAAGTTTTTATTTGCCTTTCTCATTGTCTTTCTCCCATGAGTGTACAGTGGAAATTTCCAGAGGTTACATGATGTGTGATACAGCAACAGGTTGAATAAGGAAACAGATATGAAAAATCAGCTGTCTTTGATTAAGCCAGATATAATGAGATTTTTTTAAATGCCACTTTTCTCACTAATTGTACTGTCTTTCAAAATGCAGTTATTTTTCATTAAAATATGTTCTTTATGTGTACATACAATGGGTTTATTGTTATTTTAAAATGAAAATAAATATTTTTAATTTTCTTCATTTTAATTTATAATACATTAAATATCAGTAGATATAACCCACATAAAAACAAGGTCATTGATGACCTCAATAGTTTTTAAGGGTGAAATGAGTTCAAAAAATATGAGAACACCAAAAGAGGCACAATACACATGTTAGGTAATTCCTTAAAACAGCCCTACAAGCCAAATATATTTTGCCTGCAAGGCAAATATTATTATCCTTATTTTATAGAAAATTAAAACCAATGCATTACAGAGTTTAATAACTTGCCTAGAGCCAAGCTATCAGACACCCAAAACCCTTTACTTTTTCTTGTGCTATCTCTCTTGCTGCTCTTATTAAAGTTGGTTCTGAGTTAGGTATATTTGTGAGACTCAACGTACAAATAGACAACACCCAGAACACATGTAAAAGCAGAACTTTGACCCACAACCTGCAGCAACCTTCCCAGGAAACCAACCTCCTTATCTACAATAAACACCAGGAAAGCCAGCCTGTTAGAAGTCAGACTTGCGGGAAGCCACACTGCTCTAATTAGTGACAATCTTGGAGGCTTAGCAAAAACTTTTGTAATAATTTTCCCAAAAGGTCCAGGACTTGATTAATCACTGACAGCTTCCCCAATTTTTGTCCCTGCTTCCAATTTAGGATCAATCAAAGAAAGCAAAATATGCACCACCAGCCAATAACATAGGATGTCTCACTTCTTGTTAGCATGCCTACAGTTTCCCCATGCTAACAGCCTGCAACCAGGGCATACATAAACGCTCCCCTTTTTTCCATTATAAAGCTTTCCCACTCCTCTGCTTGCCTTTGAGTCTCTGCCAAAATGCAAGTGATGGTGGCTGATCCCTTTGCTATAGCTAAGCCTATTCTCATTTGGCTGGTCTTTTGTTTATTTCCACGCCTGTTTCTATGTCATTATTTAGTAAGTTACTAGAAGATAGGAAGCTTAAAAACTCTTGGCTCCCTCTCCTCCATGGCCTAGCACTTTGCGTAGCACACTGCAGTCATTCATAAATGTCTGGTGCTTTAAGCTGCACCAGGAGTTGTTTGACTAAAATACAGCCCCTGCCTGGCTCTCCAGCTGCTTCCTTTATACTGTCCAGCTATACATAGCCCAGGGGCGTCTATACTACCCTCCACATCACTGAATCCCAGATATTTGGGCTTCCAAAACCAAAATAATGTTAATAAATAAATACAAATGGGTAATTGACGGAGGATTGCCATCTCCAACAAAAAAAATTTAAAAAAATCTACCACCTGCCAGATTACCAAAAGAGTGAGAAGAATTTAATTATAACAAGTAATATTCTTTTCAAGTGTTTTTAAAAATTAAATAAATAATTAAATAAATTTCACCTTTTTTTTTTTTTTTTTTTTTTTTTTTTCCAGAAGTGAGGTCTCACTATGTTGCCCAAGCTGGTATTGAACTTCTGGGTACTCAAGCAATCCTCTCGCCTCCACCTCCCAAAGTGTCAGGATTACAGGCATGAGCCACCATGCCCAGCCCTTTATAAAAAACAGATTGACTTATCTTTTGGAGGAAACATGTTTGTCAGAGGCCAGTGTGGGTCGGCTGTTGTTGTGTGGGAACCTTGCTCAGGCAGCAGGGAGCGTGCTCAGCCTGGCAAGGCGGAAGGCACCCTCTGAATCCCAGCCCTTCTTTCTTGTGCTGGATATGTTTCTTTGCTTTCCAGATCCACTCCTTACCAAATCTCACCCTACCCTGTGCTCCGGGGACTAAGTTTTGTGAACTGCTAAAACAGAGCAGTTGCCACCCTGTTCCACTAACCTCAAGGTGGGTTCAACCCATGAGAAGCACAGGCAAGAGATCAGAAGGTGGGATGAATGAGAGGTCCAAGGCATCTGTGGCCCCTTCCATGATGAGCTACTGATTGGCAGTGGCTGTGTTCTAAAAGGCCAAGGCTCTAATGTAATGTCCTTCTCCTATTACTACAGCTACAGGTCTTTCCTAACTGCTCTTTCTCTGTTCCCTTCAGTCCAAGGGGGTGGTAATGACTCTCTGATGCTAGCTCTGGAGTCTGCATCTTCCCTTATTACTTCCCTAAGCCTGCACACACCTTTGTAAAATCATTAAACTCCCTAAAATTATCCTCTTTGTTTTTCTCCAAAACCCTGTCTCATACTTTACCTACTTCAACTCTTTTTTATTTTATGTCTCCTTTGTACTTTTCTGTTGTTTCTCTATTGTTTCTCACACGATGCTTTGTAAACTGTTTTTTTTTTTTTTTTTTTTTTGAGACGGAGTCTTGCCTTGTCGCCCAGGCTGGAGTGCAGTGGTACGATCTCGGCTCACTGCAACCCCTGCCTCCCAGGTTCAAGCGATTCTCCTGCCTCAGCCTCCCAAGTAGCTGGGACTACAGGCGCCTGCCACCACGCCCAGCTAACTTTTTGTATTTTTAGTAGAGACGGGGTTTCACCGTGTTAGCCAGGATGGTCTCAATCTCCTGACCTCGTGATCTGCCTGCCTCAGCTTCCCAATGTGCTAGGATTACATGCGTGAGCCTTTGCGCCTGGCCCCGATGCTTTGTAAACATTTTTAAATTGATTTAGTTGCTCCAGAGATAGTAAAACAAGATGGAGACCTTGCTTTCCTTCCCTTCATATGCATCAGCACCTTCAGCAAAGTGATTTGTATCAAGTGATGCTCACATTTGCTATCTCTTATCTCGCTGTTTAGCTGCCACAGTGGCAATGTTCAGGACTAGCAAAATTAGTGTTAGGAAAGTAAAAGCACAAGGAAAAAGAAGAATATGCCTACTACTGAAAATAAGTACTATCCAACTAGAAAAATGCTGTACTTTTTTCTTAAGTCTGGCTTGAAAAATAAATATGGGGTAATTAAATGCTTAATTTGCACCGAATTTAAGCTGTGTTTTTTTTTTTTTTTTTTTTTTTTTTTTTTTTTTTTTTTTTTTTTTTTAAGACGGAGTCTCGCTCTGTCGCCCAGGCCGGACTGCGGACTGCAGTGGCGCAATCTCGGCTCACTGCAAGCTCCGCTTCCCGGGTTCACGCCATTCTCCTGCCTCAGCCTCCCGAGTAGCTGTGTTTAATGCCAGAAAAACTGGTCAGTTCAGTATAACTGTAAATGAATCAATAGAAAAATAACTACAGGTGACCTGGTGGCATGGACACAGCTCACATCTTAGACCAGAAGCTGCTGACATCAGTAGGCAATATCCTGAGGAAATCATATCCCAATAGGTGAATTACAGCTCTCTGTGGATCCAGTGATTTATAATTGTTTTGCTCTAGGGCAGGGCATCAATTTTATGAGCATTTAATAAATAAGCTGTATGGTTTTGCCTTTCCTGTGCAGTTGATGACTCTATTTAAATGCATAGATGGCTCCAAAACACCAGGAAACACCTCAACAACACAGCTCACTGCACTTGGGCATATTAAAATTTACCAGTGGTTGGTGAGAGCAATCCAGGTGATCCAGAGAGCAATCCAGAAGATATGCCACCTTGTCAATATGCTTGTATATATCATTACTTCAGGACACCAAAATTGAAGTTCTTCATATAAATACCTGCCTGCAAACTGGCAATTTATTTACCAAAAAAAGTACTACTACTTGCTATTTCAGAAAGTATGGCGTTAAATAGGTTTGGCCCATAAAATAAAGGCTGTTGAGAGAAATAATAATGATTTGTTTCTTGAGTACTTACTATATGCCAGGTATTGTGCTAAGAACTTTGTAAATATCATTTTATTTCATCTTTACGATAAGACTATAAGCAAAATATTATTATTGTCCCCAGTTTACAGATGAAAACACTGGCATGGAGAAGTTAATTAACTTGTCCAAGGTCATAATATCCACAAATCTTACAGCCATAATTTGAACTCAGACAGCCTGGCTTTGGGGCCCATTCTTGATCACAAAACCACTGTGTGATATTTTTGTCTTAGGGGGATTTAGAACCAAGTAAGTCTAGAATAGGCCTAATATAAAAGTAACACCAATGTGTTCAGGCAGATTAAACATTTTGGTTGGTAAATTTATGAAGATTACAAAACAGTGCAAAGGGAGGCTTCTGTGAGACTAAATTAGATCTCCCCAGTGCCCCTACTACAAAGCTCATGCATACTAATTTAAAAGATCTTCATACCTACATATTGAGCCACTTTCCTCTCAACTTGGCTAACAAATGACAATGAACATGGTTTATAAGAAAAAAGAAACTTAATGAAAGCTAAAAATTAGAATGAGAAAGGAAAGCAGCTAGAAACATGAAGACGGACAGTTTGACACTGAAGAAAGAAAAGAAAACATACTAAGTAGAACCAAGTATACAGAAAACATCATCAGATGCTGATAATCCTGAGCGTCAAGTTGGCTTATCTTTCATGTTCTTTTTTTCCCTTATGATAAACAAATGTGCAGCACATATTAGAAGAATTTTCATTAAAAGATTTAATTGGTTTAAAGTTCTCATAATGTGAAGCTTTACTTACCTGAAATTTCAGTTACACAGAACTGCCGTTCTCTGTTACCAAAACTATGGTATTCCAATTTTTTTTTTTTTTTTGAGACAGAGTCTCACTCTGTCACCCAGGCTGGAGTGCAATGGCGTGATCTCGGCTCACTGCAACCTCCACCTCCCAGGTTCAAGCGATTCTCCTGTCTCAGCCTCCTAAGTAGCTGGGATTACAGGCGTGCACCACAACACCCGGCTAATTTTTGTATTTTTAGTAGAGACGGGTTTTCACCACGTTGGTCAGGCTGGTCTCAAACTCCTGACCTCGTGATCCACCCACCTCGGCCTCCCAAAGTGCTGGGATTACAGGCATAAGCCACAGTGCCCGGCCGGTATTTGAATTTTTAGAAGCTTTGAGAGCTGCTTAGCAGTCTTGGGATAGAAGTCCTGTAGGAATTGGGCTGACTAGAGGATCATGAAAGAGATTAATCTGGATGGAATATAATGTCATGATTTGTCCATTTTACCTTATGTATTCCTGGAAAAACTTTTTCCTCCATTGATTGTTGGCTACCATTTGATTTATTATTTTAATCAGTTATAAGGCTTGAAGTTACTCTATAAGCAGTATAAAGAGTTATGTGACCAGGGGGGAATTATTTAAACTCTCTGAGTCTTGGTTTCCTCTTACCTTATAAAGAGCAATATTAATACCAACATTTTGAGGTTAAAAATAAAATTTCCAGCATTGCAAATAAAATATGCACAGTGGCTGGTCGAGAGCAATTACTCAAATGTTGTACTTATAGAGAAAGGGTGCAGCAGAATGGATTAAGAGAAAAAGCTCCAAAGCTAGGTGGTCCATACTTAAATCTGCTAGCCACTTCTTGTCTATGTGACCCTGGGCAAGGTATTCACACACTCTATGCCTCAGTTTACTCATTTGTAAACTAAAGACAAGAATAGCATCTATCTCACAGGGTTTTTGTGAGGATTAGATAACTCACTACCTATAAACCACACACAGCTGTATGTGGCACATTAGGGATCACTGAATGCCAGATTGGGGGTTTTTTTTGTTTGTTTTTTTTTCAGTTGAGTGGATCCTCTTCATTTTACAGATCAGATAACTGCTTCCCAGAAAGGTGAAGTCATTTGTCCCAAGGTTACACAGAGAGGTCTCAAATCCAGTCTCCTGCCCCGATGCCTCTTCTTTATCCCACTGTCTTCACACATCTTTGCCTGCATGTTCCACTGTACATTGCTCTTTGGTACTAGTTGTCAATGTTTCCCATCTCCCACATGTGTCTGTCAGTCCCTATAGAATCACAGGTAAATTTTCGACAAAAGTAGAGGTGGATTTCCATGAAGCTGATTAAAGATTAGGCTTTGGGTACCTTCCAAGTGGGCTTTAGCAATGTGTTTGTATGGTCACCTGCTTTCTGTCACTTATTCATAAGAAAGACATTGTGTATCTTTTTCCTTAAAGAGGACTGGCAAACTGTAAAAGCTTCAAGCCCCAACAGTATCAATCCACCTCTGCTCAAACAGGGGCAAAATGGGAGGAAAATCAGGCTTTGTTAGCTCAGTTAGCATCTTGTATCAATCCGCACTGATCACCTAAAATAGGCTTCCCCTTCCCATTGTTGTTACACCCAGGAAACCTTCCCGAGTCCCCAGGATGGTGTTGGGCATCCTCCCTGTGTGTGCTGTGCTCAGGCCTTTTGGACCATTTATAGCAGCAGTGGAATTCGATCTCCTTATGGCTCCATATGGCAGACCCTTGGCGTGCTCTACCATTATATGTCCAATGCCTGGCACAGTGCCTGGCACACAGTAGGCACCAACAAGTATTGGATTCAATTAAATTACTTAATTGAATACAAAAGTCTGAATTTTGGTACACTATTTTTAGAAAAGAAGAAAACTAACATTTGTGAGTGCCTGGTTTGTGCCCAGTATTGAACTAAGTATAATTTACCATAGCAAATACTTAACAGCTCAGGGGTAGGTGTTATTTCCCCCCACTACATAAACGAGGAAATGGAAGCACAGAGAAGTCAGGGCTTGAGGTCAAACCCTAGTGAGAATCAGGGACAACATTTGAACCCTGGGTCACCAGACTCCAAAGTCCCTGCTCAAGCCACTAGGCCACTCTACCCCTTGGCAGAACACAGTTACTGATCCACAGGTTGATCCTTTCTTCTATGTTTGTTTTCCTGTCTTCCCATGCAGTTGGTAAGCTCTATTAAGCCAGGAACAATGCCCGTACCATCCTTTGTATTTTGTCAATGCTGAGAAGAGTGGTTAAACACAGTGGGATGTAGGAGCTCCTGCGTTCAGCTGCCTGACAGAGTGAATGTTTTCAGGCATCTTGACATTTCAGACACAGTATCAGCTTTCTCTCAAGAGTAAAACTAAATCTTGCCTTTCTCAATCTCTCAGGAAAAGCAGATGCTAAGTTAGAAGAAATGTGATGGGGGAAAAGAGCATACAAATGACAGCACCAAGAATGGTCTTGGCAGCTGTCACTGGCTTTGGTGGTTTTCTTAAGAAGCTTGCCTGGGCAGAAAGTGTTGTTTCCTTATAAATAGACCAGAGGACCTGATTGTTTTCCTGGAATCAATGGGTAGGGTGACTAGGCCACCTGAGCACCAAATGCAAAGATTATAGGCAGAAATATTTTCCTGTAGGTATTTATGCCATTAGACTCCTTCTTTCATGCCCTTTTCTTTATGTTCACGTTCTCCAACAGCAGAAACAGCATTCCAGAAATGTGCAGGAAGAAGTTAGTTGAATGTGTTCCAGTCCCTCCTTCTGTGCATATCTATGTGTTTTAAACACAAAACAGATAATGCACAAAGTGCTCATGCTGCCAGATAGTAAGTTCCAAGCAAAACAACTGGTTCTTTTCTGTAACTATAAATAATATCTTGGACAGGTCATAAGAAACTACTGAAAGATACTGAGTAATTATACAGCATGGAAAAAGTACTTGCTATGAATTAAAATATGTGGAATTTAATATCAGATCTGAAACTTCTGACAAATCACTTGGCCTCCCTGGATCTCTTCTACCATGTGGTCAAGTACATGGGCTTTGCGCTCAGTGCCCAGGTTGGAATCCTGCTTGTGACTATAACCTTGGGCAAATCACTTTGTCTTTCTGGTTTTCTGTTTCCTTGCTATAAAAGAGAGCTAATAATACCACCTTGGTTTATTTGGTTGTTGCAAAAAATAAATTTTAAAATGCATGGAAACATAAAGTGCTTATTTTATGGGTCAGCACTGGGCTTGATAAATGTTGCTATTATTAGTAGTATCATCAAATGAGGAGGTTGAGCCAGAAAATCTGTCAGATCTTTTCCTGACTCAATGTACTAGGTCTCCAAATACTGAGACCCAAAAATATACCAATCCTGTAGTGAGACAGTTGGGAATCACAGCATTTGTCAGAGTGAAATTAGTGACAGAGACTGCCCCTGAGGCCCCAAGAACTTTCCCTCCATATTAACCATGTCTTTTATTTTTAGATTTTTTATTTTTTGTATTCTGATGCTTTGACATTTGGGGCCTCACTGATTCTGCAGGGACTGACCCTCCCAGGATTAGCCAGTTTCTAGAGATAGTAAACAACTTACTGGAGCACTCTTTTCAAAGGCAAACCAACCAATCCAGAGCACACACTCCCAACCACCTCCATTATAGGGCTTTCACACTCTGGGCCACTATCCACCTGCCCTAATCGCTCCAGGACTTATTAAGTGCCAGGCAACTGAGGGATCGTTCCTGTGTCCCAGAGTAAGTTGAAGTTGTTCAAACTAGCTAATCTGAACCCTGCGTACTCTGACCCTCCCATTCTTTCCTGCTTCCACAGAGAGGAGGTGTAACGCATTCAGGAAGTATAAATGTGTCTATTACTTGTTAAAATGCTTTATTTGAATGTAGACTGTTGCAAATCTACTAATCCAGTTTGAAGAATCAGAAAATCCCTATGCAGCACGTGACAAGAAAGCAAACCATCAAGTAGAAAATGAGGAGCGCTTTCCCACTCAGGCTCTTCCTTCCTGACCCAGTAAAAATGCCACTTGAGGCCAGGCGTGGTGGCTCATGCCTGTAATCCCAGCACTTTGGGAGGCTGAGGCGAGTGGATCACTTGAGGTCAGGAGTTTGAGACCAGCTTGGCCAACATGGTGAAACCCCATCTCCCCTAAAAATATAAAAATTAACCAGGTGTGCTGGCACACACCTGTAATCCCAGCTACTCTGGAGGCTGAGGCTGGAGAATTGCTTGAACCTGGGAGGCAGAGGTTGCAGTGGGCCAAGATTGCACCACTGCACTCCAGGCTGGGCAAGAGGGTGAGACTCCTTCTCAAAAAAATAAAAATAAAAACAAAAATCATACTTGAAACCTGGCCTCAAGTTTGATTTTTTTCTATAGCTGGAGGATTCCACTGACAACCAGGTTGAGATTTATTACAATTTTTGTCATACAACACTTACCTTGAGAAGAAGTATAATGTAGTAGAAACCAGACTAGCCCACCTAGCAGGAGACCTGGATTTTAGGCTCTGCTCTGGTACTAACTGTAAGGTAAGGTCAAATCGCTTAGCCTCTCTATATCTTGGTTTCCTAACTTAGAAACAGTTCTATTTGGGGGCAGTTTAAAATGAATAGAGTGATCCAAATTAAATCAATGTCTGAAACCTGTCTTGGTAGAGAAAATGGTATAGTGTTTCAACCCACGATGGCTTTCATACTATGAAACCATTTTGCCTCTTTTCTTTGAAATATATAATAGGCTAAGATGATGTGGATCTTAATGAATTATTTACACATAATATAAATGCATAAAAATACTATAAGTTGGGAAGAGCAGTTCACTGCTTGGTTATTAAAGCACAATGAGATGACAAGCCATCTGTGCTAAATATATTTCCAAATAAGTGATTTGTGAGAGTTGTTAAACAATCATAACTACCTACAACTAAATAATTTCCAGCACACTTATATTATAGCATAATGCAAGGATTCCTGGAATTATCATAGGAATGCCTATACTTAAGCATACCACTGTTGCTCCTCATTATTTCTTCTCCTGCATGCCTTCAATGTGAACTCTTTCAAAAACATTTCACCATCCCAGATGCATCACTCAAGATTGCCATTTTCAAAAAAAATAACCACCACATTAGTCAAGAAGACTCTTAATTAGCGCAGTGTTAGAATGTGATAGACCTAGCTTGGAATCCCCTCTTAGCCATTCAGCATGTGCAACCCTGAACAAGTTATTTCACTTATTTAACTGTCCTACATGCAGATTTCTCAGGTAAAATAGGATAGTAATAAATTAAAAGTTGGGTTGTGAGAATTAGAAATAAGGCAAAGATAATGCCTAACATATGGTATGTATTCAATAAATGCTAGCTATGCATAATATTTATACAATTTGATATTTGCTTATAGAAGTACATAATTATCCAACGAGTGTTAATTTCCTTTTCTAACTATACTACAAGTTCCATAAGCACAAAATCTTTGTATTGTACTTCTTTTAAATGTTTCACAATCTAACAGACCACAATAGTACATATAATAGTATACAGTATTGTATACACTATTATAAAACTGATTTTCACACTCCTAAAATCAGATGTGCCTTAAGAGCTCCTAATGTACCTAAAGAGGAAGAAATTGGATTATGTTTTAATTGCAATGATAGTAATGGCTATTAATCTACTATTGTGACTGACGATGGGGGAAAGTGAAGGATTCCCAAGTGGCTGAACCCTGATGGGAGTGTGGGCATCCACAGAGCAGGAGAATGGAGGCCCTAGAATGAGGTCCCAGGCCTGACTGTCTATAGACTTAAAGGGTTTTTTTTTTAATAAGAAACTAGTAGATTGTAGAAGATTAGAGGCAAATCTGAAGATAATAATATTTCAGAGACTTTTTCATGAACTTATGGAAACTGAGCAGCATGAGGAGGTATTAGAGTAGAAGCAGCTCAGGGATCTGAGCTTTGGTTGGCTCAGAGAAGAGCTATATTCATCCAGAAGTGAGATGTAGACATAAATAACTTATTTCAATGCCAAAAAAAAAAGGTGAGTGAATTAGCACTGGCCTGGTACCAGCATTGTTTTAAAGAAAATAATTTTTAAGTGTGAAAAATAATTTATATTATTTGAAATATATCTGATTTACATTGAAGATAGATAATTTTGCACCTCAACAAAGAATTTCTGTCAAAAACCTACACTGAAAATTTGCCAGAAATTATAAGACTGGCTTAACACACCATGCTGATGCTTTATCTAAATGATTCTAACCACTATTTTTAATTATCTCTATGACAGAAAGAAGAGAGGAAAAAGTGGAGCTATCAACCAGAGGAATGATTGTTCTTTCATATTAGTAAAAAGAACATTGTCATGGAGTTAAGGGATGTATCGTTTCCAAATTAATTTAATTTTCCATTCACCAAAGCCCCTGAGAATTAAGGAACCTTCCTTAAAACTTAATACGAAATGTATCATATAACAATTGGATTGCCTGCAATTCAAAAGGAAGAGAATGAATCAGGACCCATACTTGAAGCAATGGACAAAGCTTTTTCTGTCTCCATACAGAGGAGTGTGTGATAGGTATCTCCATTAATTGAGGTCAAGTTTCTGAAAAGGAACACTCCCAATAAAAATGGCTTTGGGGAATGATGGAGCAGGGAATATGCCCAGCCTAAGGTCTACTTGTACAAATTCTTACGTGATTTATAATTAGATTTGAAAGACTCTAGAGTTAGAACAAGTAAAATAGTAACAGCCTATTGTAAGCTACATAAGAAGGTACCTGTCTGTGTATATACCTGCCTCTTTAAATATTACTTTAAATTTCTACTTTAATAAGACCTTTAGGATGTGTAAAGGTCATTCAGTTTATACAGATTTTTAAATAAAGGGCTGTTTTCTTTTTTAAAAAAGTTAAAATCCTCTACTCTGCGATTTGTTTGTTTTTTGTTTTTAGCTTTCCATATTTATGAAGGGAGGGTTATTGTCAGTCCTATTGATCAATCCTGGCACCAGCACCAAATGGTAGTAGCTGTTGTAAATGTCTCAGAAGGAGCTAGAAAACACCTCTTGGGAAATGCCTGATTACAGATCAAATCAATTTGAGTGGCAGAGGTACAAAGGAATAGGAAAAAGGTGCCAAAACTTACTGTAGAAACATTCTTCCTATGTACATATTACGATGTCCATAAAATATTTACTACATCAGTCTTTTTTGGTGTAACAATTTTTTTAAATTGGCTGCTCCATCTTTTATATTGCCTTGGACCTGCTATCCACATAGATTTTCCTCTGTTTTTTGCTCACTGGTCTCCTAAATTTATCCCACCAGTTTGGCTAAGCTACCTCTGATCTTCTTCTGGAGGTAAGGAGAGGCAAAAAGCTAACCAAATGGTCTCAAAACTTTGGGAGAACCTTCTACTTTGGAAAGACCCTGTTTCAAATAAATATTTCATTTCATTTGTTTTATTTGCATATATAAACATAGCTCTTAGAGTTGAAAACAGTTTGCACAGTATAAATAGACCATCTCTGAAGTTCTATCTGGAGCTTTATGAAGGGTCTAAACCTACACTTTTCCTATATTTGGTTGTTTATCTTCTTCTTTGAAATGCCCAGGAGAGGCTGCTTTCTGTGACCTAAAAACCCAGAACCACTTAGCTTATTTTATAGATTACAAAAATGTCAGAGAAGGAGTCACAGACTTTCTCAAGGTTACAGAGATCATAAAAGGCAAAGCCAGACTTAAAGTGTTCCTTCCACCACCAACAAGATAGAGGTTTGGATTTTTTTTTTATTCTGAAGACTCTTAAGGAGCACCACATGACAACAAGGCATAATAATAATTCACCCCTCATGTCTTAAAGAGGCATCACCACTACTTTCTTTGAAACAGAATGTTCTGCAGCAAAGAAGCTGGAAATTGAGGCTTGTGGATGCCCTGGGGATAGAACAAGGCAGAAAGTTTCTCCCTTACAAATGGATATGTTCAACACCCCAGCCTGAAGAACACTGCCAGTTCAAAGCCACTTACCCAAATCTGAAGCTTGATTCTCTTTTCATTTTTGAATACAGTTTTTACTTTGAAATCGATCCCAACTGTGCTGACGAATGCAGATGTAAAGGAGTCATCTGCATAACGGAATAGAAAAGATGTTTTCCCCACACTGCTATTGCCGATGATGAGTAATTTGAACATGTAGTCAAAGTTCTGATCAGAGGAGTCTTTCTGGCCGTACCTGGCATCTTGGGCAGAGGCCATCTGTGATAAAAACAAAACAAAACAAAAACAAAATAGGTGTAGATCAGACTCTCATTTGATATGAAGCTAGCAGCATACTCATTATTGGCCTTGCCAGAAACAGATGTCAGACACTCAGGAGGCGAGTGGTGAGTGCTCCCCAGTCTTCCTCTGATATTGGTATCCATGGCAATAATTCCCTGCTGGAAGACAGAATAGCAAATCTTACAGGCCTTTCCAGCTGTGTTGGTGCATGTCACTGCTCAGCATTCAGAACCAATCAAAGACACCAAAGGGGATGTCTATAAGGGTAACATGACAAGCAAAGAGATGAGAAATTGGCCAGGGCATGTGGGCTCTGAAACTTTATAATCCTACTGACAGAGACACCAAAGTGGCTGAACAGCAGGGTATTTCTTCCTGAATTATCTGAATGATTCGAATCTCTCTTATTTCATAGGGAAGCACACCCAAAGCATATCTCTACTTCATTTATTATCATATCAAATCAACATCCTAACATAAAGGGCAGTGTCTTTTAAATTAAAAATAATTATGATGGCAAATATATATAGTTCAAACAATGTGCCGGATACTAACTTATTTAATCCCTCACAGTAACCCAATGAGATGGGTACTTTTAATATTTCCATATTAAAATGAGAAAATTGAGGCCCAGAGATATTATTAAGTAACTTGCTCAACTTCATATAGGTGTTAATAGTAGAGGCAGGATTCAAACAAGCAGTGTGGTGCCAGGGCTCATGTTCTTGACACCTGCCCTACTTCCAAATGACGACTAGGGAGGCATGCGCAAGTGCCCTAGAAGATCATGTCGGAAATATTCATTGTGAAATGCATCAAAGGAGAGCCTGACCTGGGTTCAAAACTTGGCTCCACTCTTTACTGGCTGTGTGACCTTGGTTTGTTATTTTAAATTGGTGTGCTGCAGTTTCCTGCCTTAGATGAAATGGGAAAATATAATATCTAACTTGGAATTCTTGTGAAAATAATAGATGATACAGCTGTAAAGCGATATGTAAAGCATCTAGCATAAAATAGAAAATGGTCTCTACAATCAATTACAAATGCTTTAGGTGGATATTGGCTTTTATTCATCTTTTTTGATGATCATCTTAACATCTATCAAAAATGATATTGCATTACTTCTAAGTACCATTTGGCTCAATATAGAAAAGAGGTATTTAGAATGTTGCATCCCACTGATTAGTACATTTGCTCAGCACAGTTTCTGATGCTATAAATTATTTGGCAATTGTTATTCTGTTTAATATGGTAGCCACTAGTCACATATGGTGATTTAAATTTACATTAACATGAAACAAAATTAGAAATTCAGTTCCTCAATCCTACTAGCCACATTTCAAGTGCAAAATAGCAGCATATGACTAATGGCTACTATACTGGACAGTGCAAATACAGAACATTGGCATAATTGCAGAAAACTCTATTGTACAATGCTAGGCTAGAGAGTCTATTTTCCATTTCCCATAAAAGCTGATTAATAGTTACTTGTTTCTCTTTGGGGTAGGGGGAGGAAAAGGGAGAGGCTCCAAGAGATGGAAAAATGTTAGAAACAGGAAACAGTGCTCAGCCTCATCTAGGACAACACTGGTTACCTGAAGTCAGGGGTGTGTGTGTGTGTGTGTGTGTGTGTCTGTGTGTGTGTACACGTATGTTTACAGAAAACTGAGGAAAAAGGAAAAAGGGAAATGGTGAGATTGTGTATTTCTCTTCTACAAATACTTAATGCCAGCAAGATAACACAATTTTATGTATAAGAATAAGGACAAACAAAAAACCCGTGGGTATTTCATGAAAGTTAAGGATAATAAAGACTCAAATTGCATTTTACATTTTCTTATTAAACATAAGCTTAAGCATTTCTCTTTTTAAGTCTATACAGCCACACAAATATATTTAGAAATTGTGAAAACCTATAACAAACGCTTCCCAGTGGGCAGAGGTCGGCCTCTAAAACAGGCAGATAGCATCACTTTCTTTTTTGGCCCACCAGCCCACATACTAAGGTCAACTTTCCCCAACACATGCCGGCCAAAGGGCAAAAGTAGGATTGCAACTCTTGACCACTAGTTTGAACAATGATCTTTTGCCATGATGATTTCTGGTCCCCCAGAAAGCCAGTTAACTGTTTTATTTGGCAGTGCTATTCCTGCAGACATTGTCCTTTCATCATTTAATGCTCCTCTCCTATATGAGCTGCTAAATTCAAACAGGCCTAAAAATGGCCTTCATTAAGAAGATTATTTTACCTTTTTTCATATGAACCAGACTGGATTTGGGGGTCTGGTAAGAATGTTCAGCTAAGCCACAGCCAGAAAAGAGACACTATATATTTCCTAGAGCTGCTCACTTACTTGGCCTGATAGCTTACTATCTGTTACAGCCCCATAACCCTACGGTGGCATTCAAACTGAGGCCCGAGGATCTCTAGGATACCTCAAAAGTTGTAATGAAGACTGCTGCTATCAACTTCAGGTCCCATTCCAAAATTAAGTTGGTTTCAAAACCTGAAGAAACATAATTGTCCCTCGGTATCTATAGGGGTTGATTCCAGTACCTCCCATGGACACCACAATCTGCAGATGGCTCAAGTACTTGATATAAAATGGTGTGGTATTCACATATGACTTATGCATATTCTCCTGTACAGTTTAAATTATGTACAGATTATTTATAATACCTAACACAATGTAAATGCTATGTAAACAGTGGTTATTATTCTGTATTATTTAGGAAATGATAACAAGAAAAAAAGTCTATACATGTTCAGTACACATGAAATTTTTTCCCAAATATTTTATATCTGCAATTAGTTCACTCCACACACGGGAGCTCATGTATATGAAGGGTGAACTATATAGATATCACTAATATATAGTCTTTTGGAATATGACTGTATGCATTTAGGTGAAGACAAGCACAACTGGGACAGCAACATCTTTAATTTCAAGGGCTAATATACCTTGTTGTGGTAGCAGCAAAGAAGGTAATGGGGGCAAAAGAGGGGGTCTAGGAGGGACACAGAGCTGGTGGACATGTGCACCCAGCAAAATTCTTCTCAGGAAGAGCCTCTAAAGAATTAATTAGGAAAAGTTATTAACTCACTTACTCTTGAAGACTGTTCATGGGTTTTTTTTTGTACTATTTCCTAATTTAACACACCTAATAAGATTCCACAAAGAGCCAAAAAGATATGCATTTGGAATGTATGTGTGTTTTTGTATAACTTCAGAATAATGAAATAAATCCTAGCTCAGAGGATGAAGAAAGAAACAGCCCTAATCTTGCTGAGACCACAAGTGAAGCAATTTGACAGCATACGAATGTCAAAGAGGTTTACAGACAGGCACTATGTAAGTTTACTGATATCTCTAAATACTAAAGTCATGTGAACATTCTCAAAATTTTCATGGGGAAACATAGCTGAAATTTGAAAATAGGAACAGTCAAGGGGAACATCAAATTTCATAAAAGATATACAAAAATAACTCTTCAAATGGCATTAATCTTGAACTTCAAATAACAAATAACCATAGAGTTGGAAAGAATCTTCAAAGGCCGTGCAACTTCCCACCCATCCCATGTCCCTTTCATGGCATCCATCATCTGAGGTTGTTGTCCTAGCTTCATCCTTCACACTGAGCAGCAAGATGTTTACTATGCTGTGAAGAAGCCTTTACAGCATAGAGAGAACTTCAGGTATCTGAAGGAACCCCTCGGGCTCCATAAGCTTTCTCTCCTCCTGCTTGGATGATCCCAACTGATTTAGCCTCTCTTCCACATAGGACGTGTCTGAAAAATTGAACACATCCTGCTAGGTTAAAACTGACACCTCTTCAGATTTTCAAAGTCCCATGTGTGGCTTTCATAATTGGTCACAATATTCTAGATATTTACCTACTTAGTCCAAAGTAGAATGAAACCATTATATCTTATCACACTTGACTTAAAATGCTCATCACTATTTTCACATTAACTGTTATGAACATAGGTTTCTTCTATTCCCATTCTATATTTGACAACTTATTTTTTTATGAAAGTGTCAACCTTTATGTGTATTCTGTTAAATTTCCTCTTGTTTGCTTTGATTTACAATTCAATTGTGATCTGACAATCCCTTCATCAAAAATATTAGTTATCTTTTTCAGATTTGTCATTCCTAAATTTGATCAGTATGTATTTTATGTGTTCATCTAAGGCCCTCATCAAAATGGTAATCACTTTTTAGACAAATAACAATTAACTTTTTAGCCTGTTGAATATATAAATCTACGGGTGAGACCTCAACAGAATGTCATTAAGGAATTCAAAATGTGAAGCAAATTCTTAACCTTTAAAAGTTGGTGTCTTGGAAAGCCACTGTGTTGTTGCTCCAGGTAGGCCTTGGTTCAATAGCAGTGAATAGATCATGGATTTAATTGTTGTGTCATTTTAAATTTTAACTACTGTTTTCCCAGAAGTTCTATTGACCAGGAACCAAATCGGTTACCTCTGATTAAAACATGTAACCACAGCCTCCTTCAGAGTTGTTCACATTTGTTTTTCAAACAACACAGGAAAAAGAAATTACTTACAGGAATTCACTTGGCCACTCACAAATCTAAACTGTACTAAGCCATTCTGTGGATCTGATGAGGAAAAACAAAAATAAGTTGTTTCAAAGTTATTACGTTTCATACTGAATGGGCAAAAGCTGGAAGCATTCCCCTTGAAAACCAGCACAAGACAAGGATGCCCTCTTTCACCACTCCTATTCAACACAGTATTGGAAGTCCTGGTCAGGGCAATCAGGCAAGAGAAAGAAATCAAAGGCATCCAAATAGGAAGACAGGGAGTCAAACTATCCCTGTTTGCAGACTACATGATCCTATATTTAGAAAACCCCGTAGCCTTGGCCCAAAAGCTCCTTAAGCTGATAAACAACTTCAGCAAAGTCTCGTGATACAAAAATATTAATGCGCAAAAATCACTAGTATTCCTAAACACCAATAACAGTCAAGTTGAAAGCTACATCAGGAATACAATTCCATTCACAACTGCCAAATATATATATACATATATATATATATACATATATATATATATATATATATATATACACACACACACACACACACACACACACACACACCTAGGAACACAGCTAACCAGCTAACCAGCTAACCAGGGAACTGAAAGATTTCTACAAAAACAACTACAAAACACTGCTCAAAGAAATCAGAGATGACACAAACAAATGGAAAAATAGTCCTTGCTCATGGATAGGAAGAAGCAATATCATTAAAATGGGTATACTGCCCAAAGCAATTTATAGATTCAATGATATTCCTATTTAACTACCAATGATATTCTTCACAGAACTAGAAAAAAATATTTTAAAATTCATATTGAACCAAAAAAGAGCATGAATAGCCAAGGCAATCTTAAGCAAAAAGAACAAAGCTGGAGGCATCATGCTACCCAACTTCAAACTATACTACAGGGCTATAATAACCAAAACAGCATGATACTGGTACAAAAACAAGACATATAGACCAATGGAACAGAATAGAGAACCCAGAAATAAGACCGCACACCTACAACTGTCTGATCTTCAACAAACCTGACAAAAACAAGCAATGGGGAAAGGACTCCCTATTCAATAAATGGTGCTGGGAGAACGGGCTAGCAGTATGCAGAAGATTGAAACTGGACCCCTTCCTTACACGATATACAAAAACTAACTCAAGATGGATTAAAGGCTTAAATATAAAACACAACTATAAAAACCCTGGAAGACAACCTAGGCAATACCATTATTGACATAGGAGCAGGCAAAGATTTCATGACAAAAGATGCCAAAACCAACTGCAACAAAAGCAAAAATTGGCAAATAGGTTCTAATTAAACTAAAGAGCTTCTGTACAGCAACAGAAACTACCAACAGAGTGAACAGACAACCTACAGAATAGGAAAAATTTTTTGCAAACTATGCCTCTAACAAATGTCTAATATACTGCATCTATGAGGAACTTAAACAAATCTACAAGAGAACAATTAAAAACTCCATTAAAAAGTAGGTAAAGTGCATGAACAGACACTTTTCAAATGCAGACATACATGTGGCCAACAAACACATGAAAAAAAGGTCAACATCACTGATCATTACAGAAATGCAAATCAAAACCACAATGAGATACCATTTCACACCAGTCAGAATGGCTATTACTAAAAAATCAAAAAATAACAGATTCTGGCAAGGCTGCAGAGAAAAAGGAATGCTTATATACTGTCGGTAGGAGTGTAAATTAGTTCAACCATTGTGGAAGACAGTGTGGCAATTCCCCAAAGACCTAAAAACAGAAATGCCATTAGACCCAGCGATCTCACCACTGGGTATATACCCAAAGGACCAGACATTGTTCTATTATAAAGAGACATGCACATATATGTTCATTATCGCCCTATTCACAATAGCAAAGATATGGAATCAACCTAAATGCCCACCAATGGTAGACTGGATAAAGAAAATGTGGCAATCCTATGCAGCCATAAAAATGTCTTTTGCAGGAACATGGGATGGAGCTGGAGGCCATTATTCTTGGCAAACTAACTCAAGAACAGAAAACCAAATACTTCATGTTCTCACTTACGAGTGGTAGCTAAATGATGAGAACACACGGACACATAGAGGGGAACAAAATACACTGGGGCCTATAGAACAGTGAAGGGTGGGGAGGAGGGAGAGGATTAGGAAAAATAACTAAGGGGTACTGGG
Organism: Homo sapiens; assembly: GCF_000001405.40. Lineage (NCBI taxonomy): Eukaryota > Metazoa > Chordata > Mammalia > Primates > Hominidae > Homo > Homo sapiens. The sequence continues at coordinate 58,610,861 of NC_000005.10, read as the reverse complement.
CTTAATACCTGGATGATGAAATAATCTGTACAACAAACTCCATGACACAAATTTACCTATATACAAACCTGCGCATGTACCCCTAAACTTAAAAGTTAAATAAATAAAGTTACTATGTTCCAGCTACTACTATTGATAATAGTCTAAGTCATTCCCTGCTAAGGTAAAGAATGGAAGGAGGAACTAGGGTAAATTATCCAAAAAAAAATGCAATTATTCTTTGAAATTAGAAGGGTAAAAATAAGGATGGGATATATGTATTGGAAGTGCAGAAACACATAAATTCAAACCTCAATCATTGTCACCTGTGAAAAAAAGAAAAGAAAATGGCAAATTGCAAACAAAAAACATACTCAACATTGTTAATATTAGAAAATGTAAATTAAGACCCCAGTGAGATACCACTGTATACCTATTATAACAGCTACAATTAGAAAAAAAAATTAAAACCTGACAACAATTGCTGGCAAGGATGTGGAGCAACTGGAATGCTCATAAATTGCTGCTGAGACTGTTTAAAATGGCACAGCCTCTCTGACAAACAGTTTAGCAGTTTCTCATGAAGTTAAATTGTATTTACCATATGACCTAACAATCCCACTCCTAGGGATTTGCCCAAGAGAAATAAAAACGTATGTACACACACACACACACACACACACACACAGAAAAACAAAAATCATTTTTTTCTGACAGCTTCAAAGTAAAGGCTAAATTTTTAAAGCCAAGAAAGAAAACATTTCAAGTTAGCATTTCCAAAAGTCTGTCATCTGGACTCCAGGCGATTTCTCCTGGTAAAAGTCCTCATCTGTGCACAGGTTTGCAGGTCTCCACGTTTGTCTCTCAGAATCGATTAGAATTGTGATGTGCTTTGCAATCTCTGGCCAGCAATTTCTCCATGTATCTGCTACTGTTTGCTCTTGCAGGAACCAGTTCACTGCTTACAACTCACCATCAAGCTGAAAGGGCTGCCCAGGGAACAAGAAGTGGCCAAGACGCTGGAAAGTTTAAATCCTAATCCTGGCTTCTGAAGTAAAGGGGCCCGGAAAAGGTCAGATTCAGAAATTTTATTTATCTTTTTTCTTTACCTTAGCAGGGAATGAATAACTATTTTATGGGATTCATAGGAGAATGTATACAATAGTATGCCAAATTATGGTAATGCTTTCAAGATGCAAACCACTATACATTTTAAAGGTATAAAGGCATTCCTCCAGCTAAATTTCACCTTTCTCCTTTCAGCCTTTCTCTGGATGTCCAACTCATGTGTAGCTTCTTTAGTAGAGGTGAATAACCCTCAGCTTATGTATAGGAATATGGCTAAATAATAACAGCAGCACGGGTCTTACATGCTCTATGTGCTTTACATGTATTATCACACCTAATCTTTGCACTATCCCTAGAAGGTGTAACTAGTTCAACCATTAGCATCCCCCTTTTAAAGGAACAGAACCTTCTGGTACATTTCAAAGGCTACTTCCCCCTTTCCCCTGCTGGAAAAATGAGACATTTTTCTCTGATCTTCACTGGAGGACCTGCTAGGGCTCCTGAAGGTAAAATGTAAAAAGTATGAAGGGGCTCCCCAAGACTGGCACCCCCTGGAATTTTTCTCTCTGACTGGTCCACACTGAGCATCCAGCAATGCAATTATAGTTCAGGTTTTTCTTTTCTTTATTATACTTTAAGTTCTAGGTACATGTGCACAACATGCGGGTTTGTTACATAGGTACACATGTGCCATGTTGGTTTGCTGCACCCATTAACACGTCATTTACATTAGGTATTTCTCCTAATGCTATCCCTCCCCCTCCTCCCCACTCCCCAACATGTCCCAGTGTGTGATGTTTCCTGCCCTAAGTCCAAGTGTTCTCATTGTTCAATTCCCACCTAAGAGTGAGAACATGCTGTGTTTGGTTTTCTGTCCTTGTGTGATAGTTTGCTGAGAATGATGGTTTCCAGCTTCATCCATGTCCCTACAAAGGATATGAACTCATCCTTTTTTATGGCTGCATAGTATTCCACGGTGTATATGTGCCACATTTTCTTAATCCAGTCTACCTTTGATGGATATTTGGGTTGGTTCCAAGTCTTTGCTATTGTGAATAGTGCCACAATAAATATACATGTGCATGTGTCTTTATAGTAGCATGATTTATAATCATTTGGGTATATACCCAGTAATGGGATCTCTGAGTCAAATGGTATTTCTAGTTCCAGATCCTTGAGGAACTGCCACACTGTTTTGCACAATGGTTAAATTAATTTACACTCCCATCAACAGTGTAAAAGTGTTCCTATTTCTCCACATCCTCTCCAGCATCTGTTGTTTCCTGACTTTTTAATGATCGCCATTCTAACTAGCATGAGTTAGTATCTCATTGTAGTTTTGATTTGCATTTCTCTGATGGCCAGTGATGATGAGCATTTTTTCATGTGTCTTTTGGCTGCATAAATGTCTTCTTTTGAGAAGTGTCTGTTCATATCCTTTGCCCAATTTTTGATGGGGTTGTTTTTTTCTTGTAAATTTGTTTAAGTTCTTTGTAGATTCTTTGTAGATTCTGGATATTAGCCCTTTGTCAGATGCAACCCCTGCTCTTTTTTTGCTTTCCATTTGCTTGGTAGATCTTCCTCCATCCCTTTATTTTAAGCCTACACATGTCTCTGCACATAAGATGGGTCTCCTGAATACAGTACACTGATGGGTTTGGACTCTTTATCCAATTTGCCAGTCTGTGTCTTTTAATTGGGGTATTTAGCCCATTTACATTTAAGGTTAATATTGTTATGTGTGAATTTGACCCTGTCATTATGATGTTAGCTGGTTATTTTGCCCATTAATTGATGCAGTTTCTTCATAGCATTGATGGTCTTTACAATTTGGGATGTTTTTGCAGTGGCTGGTACCGGTTGTTTCCTTCCATGTTTAGTGCTTCCTTCAGGAGCTCTTGTAAGGCAGGCCTGGTGGTGACAAAATCTCTCAGCATTTGCTTGTCTGTAAAGGATTTGCTTGTCTGTAAAGGATTTTATTTCTCCTTCACTTATGAAGCTTAGTTTGGCTGGATATGAGATTCTGGGATGAAAATTCTTTTCTTTAAGAATGTTGAATATTGGCCCCCACTCTCTTCTCACTTGTAGGGTTTCTGCCGAGAGATCAGCTGTTAGTCTAATGGGCTTCCCTTTGTGGGTAACCCGACCTTTCTCTCTGGCTGCCCTTAACACTTTTTCCTTCATTTCAACCTTGGTGAATCTGACAATTATGTGTCTTGGGGTTGTGATTCTTGAGGAGTATCTTTGTGGTGTTCTCTGTATTTCCTGAATTTGAATGTTGGCCTGCCTTGCTAGGTTGGGGAAGTTCTCCTGGATAATATCCTGAAGAGTGTTTTCCAACTTGGTTCCATTCTCCCCGTCACTTTCAGGTACACTAATCAAACGTAGATTTGGTCTTTTCACATAGTTCTATATTTCTTGGAGGCTTTGTTCATTTCTTTTTACTCTTTTTTCTCTAATCTTGTCTTCTTGCTTTATTTCATTAATTTGATTCTCAATCACTGATATCCTTTCTTCCACTTGATCGAATTGGCTATTGAAGTTTGTGCATACATCACAAAGTTCTCATGCCACAGTTTTCAACTCCATCAAGTCACTTAAGGTCCTTTCTACACTGTTTATTCTAGTTAGCCATTCATCTAACCTTTTTTCAAGGTTTTTACCTTCCTTGTGACAGGTTAGAACATGCTCGTTTAGCTCAGAGATGTTTGTTATTACTGACCTTCTGAAGCCTACTTCTGTCAACTCGTCAGTCATTCTCCATCCAGCTTTGTTCTGTTGCTGGCAAGGAGCTGCGATCTTTTGGAGGAGAAGAGGCGCGCTGGTTTTTGGAATTTTCAGCTTTTCTGCTCTGGTTTCTCCCCATCTGTGGTTTTATCTACCTTTGGTCTCTGATGTTTGTGACCTACAGATGGGGTTTTGGTGTGGATGTCCTTTTTGTTGATGTCGATGCTATTTCTTTCTGTTTGTTAGTTTTCCTTCTAACAGGTCCCTCAGCTGCAGGTCTGTTGGAGTTTGCTGGAGGTCCACTACTCCAGACCGTGTTTGCCTGGGTATTACCAGCAGAGACTGCAGAACAGCAAATATTGCAGAATAGCATATATTGCTGCCTGATCCTTCCTCTGGAAGTTTCATCCCAGAGGAGCACCCACCTGTATGAGGTCTGTCGGACCCTACTGGGAGGTGTCTCCCAGTTAGGCTACATGGGGCTCAGGGACCCACTTGAAGAGGCAGCCTGTCCATTCTCAGAGCTCAAACCCTGTGCTGGGAGAACCACTGCTCTCTTCAGAGCTGTCAGACAGGGACGTTTAAGTCTGCAGAAGTTTCTGCTGCCTTTTGTTCAGCTATGCCCTGCCCACAGAGGGGGAGTCTATAGAGGCAGTAGGCCTTGCTGAGCTGCGGTGGGCTCTGCCCAATTTGTGCTTCTCAGCCACTTTACCTATTCAAGCCTCAGCAATGGTGGATGCCCCTCCCCCATCAGGCTGCCACCTTGCAGGTCAATCTCAGACTGCTGTGCTATCAGTGAGCAAGGCTGCGTTGGTGTGGGACCTGCCAAGCCACACACAGGAGAGAATTTCCTGGTCTGCCTGTTGCTAAGACCGTGGGAGAAGCACAGTATTTGGGCAGAGTGTCCCATTTTTCCAGATACAGTCTGTCATGGCTTCCCTTGGCTAGGAAAGGGAAATCCCTGACCCCTTGTGCTTCCCAGCTGAGGTGATGCCCCACCCTGCTTCAGCTCACCCTCCGTGGGCTGCACCCACTGTCCAACCAGTCCTAATGAGATGAACCAGGTACCTCAGTTGGAAATGCAGAAATCACCCGTCTTCAGTGTCGAACATGCTGGGAGCTGCAGACCAGAGCTGTTCCTATTTGGCCATCTTGGAACGGAAGACCTCTTTTTTATTTTTTGAGATGGAGTTTCACTCTTGTCACCCAGGTTGGAGTGCAATGGCACGATCTTGGCTCACCGCAACCTCTACCTCCCGGGTGTAAGCGAGACTCCTGTCTCAGCCTCCCAAGTAGCAGGGATTACAAGCGCTTGGTGCCCACCAACACATTCGGCTAATTTTTGTATTTTTAGTAGAAACAGGGTTTCACTATGTTGGCCAAGATGATCTTGAACTCCTGACCTCAAGAGATCCTCCTGCCTCGGCCTCCCAAAGTACTAGGATTACAGGTGTGAGCCACCGCGCCCAGCCAGTTCAGGTTTTTCTACTTCAGTGCTAGTTCCCACAGAAGTTTCTGCTCCGTTAAGTTGTGATATTCTTTATCTGCCTGTCTGTCACTCCAATTACAAGGGGCAGTGATTTGCCCTGTGACTTCATTTCTCTGATAGATATAAGAAGAGTTGTTGATTTTTAGTTTGTTCAGCTTTTTTCTAGTGTGAAGATGGAAGTGATGACTTCCAAGCTCCTCACATGCAGAACCAAAATCATCTCCATTTTAAAGATGAAATTAAGGGAATCTGAGAGGAGAGATAATCATGGTGCATGGGAGGCAGGACTAGATTGCACCTGTACAGAGCAGTGTATGGAGGCTTGCACTGTGAATTTTAGCTCCAGATTGACCGCAAGAAAAAAACAGCAATTCTGAGAGGACCCACAGACCCTCTGATGGAAGCAGACTGCTCCTGCAGGACCCAGGAGACACCCCAAATACTGTGAGTGCCCCAACTGTAGAAGTGAGAAAGGGAGGCCCTCCTCTCCCAAACACACCCCACTGGAGAAGTTGAAGGTTTGCTTGTGGGAGAAGTTTCAGACTTTACCTGGAGCTGAGTTAAATTAGAGAGCCAAGCCAAGAGAAATATAGGGGTAGAGGAAGCAGCAGAAAGGCCCTGCGAGCTCTCTGGGTCCCCAAGCAGCCCATTCCTGCCTGGCACCACAGGGATCCATCTGGACGGTGGCCAGAGGAGCAGCGGTTAAAACTCCACAGGGAGAAGGAATTCTCTAGGTGAACTTTGTAACAATTTTAATAGGGCAAAAATCTTCCTGGCCAGAACTCAGGGAAGAGCACAAATCTGAATCCAGCTTGCAGACTTCACAGGCTGGGGAAGAACTAAAGCCTTTTTCTTTCACAGCTGGGAGGCAGACAGCCTCGGGCAAGTTTTCAAGCCCATCTTGCCCTCCACCTGGAAACAGAATTGGGGCTGTTGTTGGGGTCACAGTGTGAGTGAGACCAGCCCTTCAGTTTGCACAGGAGCTGGGTGAGGCCTGTGACTACCGGCTTTCCCCTACTTTCCTGACAACCTCCATGACTCAGCAGAGGCAGCCATAATACTTCCACAACTCCAGTGTCCTGGAAATCTCACCCCCATGCCCCACAGCAGCTGAAGCAAGACCCACTCAAAGAGAGTCTGAGCTCAGACAGGCCTAGTCCCACTCCCCATAGTCCTTCCCTACCTACCCACCTTTCTGGTAGTGGAAGACAAAGGGCATATAATCTTGGGAGGTCTAAGGCCCCGCCTACCGCCGGTCCCTCTCCACACTACTACAGCTGATGCTTTCTGCAAAGTGCCACCTCCTGGCAGAAGGCCAACCAGGACAAAAATAGAGCATTAAACCACCAAAGCTAAGGACCTTCACAGAATCCACTGTACCCTCTGCCACCTCCAGTGGAATAGGCACTGATATCCACACCTGAGAGACCCACAGATGGTTCACATCACAGGACTCTGTGCAGACAACCTCCAGTACCAGGCTGGAGCCAGGTAGACTGGCTGGGTGGCTAGACCCAGAAGACAGACAACAATCACTGCAGTTTGGCTCACAGGAAGCCACATCCACAGGAAAAGGGGGAGAGTACTACATGAAGAGAATACCTTGTGGGACAAAAAAGAAATCTGAACAACAGCCTTCAGCCCTAGACCTTCCCTCTGACAGAGCCTACCCAAATGAGAAGGAACCAGAAAACCAACCCTCATAATATGACAAAACAAGGCTCTTCAACACCCCTAAAAATCACACTAGTTCACCAGCAATGAATCCAAACCAAGAAGAAATCCCTGATTTGCCTGAAAAAGAATTAAGGCAGTTAGTTATTAAGCTAATCAGGGAGGGACCAGAGAAAGCTGAAACCCAATGTAAGGAAATCCAAAAAATGATACAAGAAGTGAAGGGAGAAATATTCAAGGAAATAGCTTAAATAAAAAACAATCAAAAATTCAGGAAGCTTTGGACACACCTTTAGAAATGTGAAATGCTCAGGAAAATCTCAGCAATAGAATTGAACAAGTAGAAAAAAGAAATTCAGAGCTTGAAGACAAGGTCTTTGAATTAACCCAATCCAACAAAGACAAAAAAGAATAAGAAAATATGAACAAAGCCCCCAAGGGGTCTGGGATTATGTTAAATGACCAAACCTTAGAATAATCAGTGTTCCTGAAGAAGACAATTCTAAAAGCTTGGAAAACATATTTGGGGGAATAATTGAGGAAAACTTCCCCAGCCTTGCTAGAGATCTAGACATTCAAATACAAGAAGCGCAAGGAACACCTGGGAAATGTATCACAAAAAGATCTTCACCTAGGCACATTGTCATCAGGTTATTCAAAGTTAAGACAAAGGAAAGAATCTTAAGAGCTGTGAGACAGAAGCACCAGGTAACCTATAAAGGAAAACCTATCAGATTAACAGCAGATTTCTCAGAAGAAACCCTACGAGCTAGAAGGGATTGGGGCCATATCTTCAGCTTCCTCAAACAAAACGATTATCAGCCAAGAATTCTGTATGCAGCGAAACTAAGCATCATATATGAAGGAAAGATACAGTCATATTCAGACAAGCAAATGCTGAGAGAATTCACCGTTACCAAGCCATCACTACAAGAACTGCTAAAAGGAGCTCTAAACCTTGAAACAAATCCTGGAAACACATCAAAACAGAACCTTATTAAAGCATAAATCACACAGGACCTATAAAACAAAAATACCATTGCATGATGAATACAATGGTACCTCATATTTCAATACTAACATTGAATGTAAATGGCCTTAATGCTCCACTTAATAAAAGATACAGAATCGCAGAATGGATAAAAACTCACCAACCAACTATCTCCTGCCTTTAGGAGACTCCCCTAAAACATAAGGACTCACATAAACTTAAAGGGCTGGAAAAAGGCATTTCATGCAAATGAACACCAAAAGTGAGCAGGGATAGCTATTTGTATATCAGACAAAACAAACTTTAAAGCAACAGTGGTTAAAAGAGACAAAGAGGGACATTATATAATGGTAAAAGGCCTTATCCAACAGGAAAATATCACAATCCTAAACATATGCACCTAATGCTCCCAAATTTATAAAACAATTATTAGCAGACCTAAGAAATGAGATAGATAGCAACACAGTACTAGTGGGGGACATCAATACTCCACTGACAGCACTAGACAGGTCATCAAGACAGAAAATCAAAAAAGAAACAATGGATTTAAACTATACCTTGGAACAAATGGACTTAACAGATATATATAGAACATTTCATCCAACAACTGCAGAATACACATTCTATTCAACAGCACATGGAACTTTCTCCAAGATAGACCATATGATAGGTCATAAAAGAAACCTCAAAAAATTTAAGAAAATTAAAATTATATCAAGCATTCTCTTAGACCACAGTGGAATAAAACTGGAAATCAATTCCAAAAGGAACCTTCAAAACCACGCAAATACATGGAAGTTAAATGACCTGCTCCTGAATGAACACTGGGTCAAAAAAAAATCAGGATGGAAATTTAAAAATTCTTTGAACTGAATGACAATAATGACACAACCTATCAAAACCTCTGGGATACAGCTAAGGCAGTACTAAGAGGAAAGTTCATAGCCTTAAACACCCACATCAGAAAGTCTGAAGAGCACAAACAGACAGTCTAAGGTTGCACCTCAAGTAACTAGAACAAGAAAAAAACAAACACAAAAGCAGCATAAGGAAGGAAATAACCAAGATCAGAGCAGAACTAAATGAAATTGAAAGAAACAAACAAACAAAAAATACAAAAGATAAATGAAACAAAAAGCTGGTTCTTTGAAAAGATAAATAAAATTGATAGACCATTAGCAAGATTAACCAAGAAAAAAAGAGAGAAAATCCAAATAATCTCACTAAGAAACTAAACAGGTGATATTACAGCTGACACCACTGAAATACAAAAGATCAGTCAAGGCTCTATGAACACCTTTATGCACGTAAACTGGAAAACTTAGAAGAGATGGATAAATTCCTGGAAAAAATACAACCCTCCTAGCTTAAATCAGGAAGAATCAGATACCCTGAACAGACCAAAAACAAGCAGTGAGATTGAAATGGTAATTAAAAAATTACCAACATAAAAAAGTCCAGGAACAGACAGATTCACAGCAGAATTCTACCAGACATTCAAAGAAGAATTGGTACCAATCCTTTTGATACTATTCCACAAGATAGAGAAAGAAGGAACCCTCCCTACTTCATTCTATGAAGCCAGCATCACCTTAATACCAAAATCAGGAAAGGACACAACCAATAAAGAAAACTACAGACTGATATCCCTGAAGAACACAGATGCTAAAATCCTTAACAGAATACTAGCTAACCGAATCCAACAACATATTAAAAAGATAATCCACCATGATCAAGAGGGTTTCATACCAGATATGCAGGGACAGTTTAACATACATAAGTCAATAAATGTGATACACCAGATAACAGAATTAAAAACAAAAATCACATGATGGTCTCAATAGATGAAGGAAAAGCATTCAACAAAATCCAGCATCCCTTTATAATTAAAACTTTCAGCAAAATTGGCATACAAGGGACATCCCTCAATGTAATAAAAGCCATCTGTGACAAACCCACAGCCAACATAACACTGAATGGGGAAAAGTTGAAAGCATTCCCTCTGAGAACTGGAACAAGACAAGGATGCCCACTCTCACCACTCCTCTTCAACATCGTATTGAAAGTCTGATCCCAAAGTAATCAGACGAGAAAGAAATAAAGGGCATCCAGATCAGGAAAGAGGAAGTGAAACTGTCACTGTTTGCTGATGATAAGATAGTTTACCTTGAAAACCCTAAAGACTCCTCCAGAAAGCTCCTAGAACTGATAAAAGAATTCAGCAAAGTTTCCAGATAAAAGATTAATGTACACAAATCAGTACCTCTTCTATACACCAACAGCAACTAAGCAGAGAGTCAAATCAAAAACTCAATTCCTTTCACATTAGCTGCAAAAATAAATAAATAAAAATACTTAGGAATATACCTAACCGAGGAGGCAAAAGACCTCTACAGGGAAAACTACAAAACATTACTGAAAGAAATCATAGATGACACAAACAAATGGAAACACATCCCATGCTCATGTATGGGTAGAATCAATATTGTGAAAATGACCATACTGCCAAAAGCAATCTGCAAATCCAATGCAATCCCCATAAAAATATCACCATTATTCTTCACAGAATTAGAAAAAAAAATTCTAAAATTCATATGAAACCAAAAAGAGCCTGCATAGCCAAAGCAAGATTAAGCAAAAAGAACAAATCTGGAGGCATCATACTACCTGATTTCAAACTAAACTATAAGGCCATAGTCACCAAAACATCATGGTACTGATATAAAAATAGATCCGTAGACCAATGGAACAGAATAGAGAACCCAGAAATAAACGCAAATACTTACAGCCAACTGATTTTCGACAAAGCAAACAAAAACATAAAGTCCCCCTTTTTCAACAACTGGTGCTGGGATAATTGGCTAGCCACATGTAGGAGAATGAAACTGGATCCTCATCTTTCACCTTAAACAAAAATCAACTGAAGATGGATTAAGGACTTAAACCTAAGACGTGAAACTATAAAAATGTAGAAGATAACATTGGAAAAACCCTTCTAGACATTGGCTTAGGCAAGGATTTCATGACCAAGAACCCAAAAGCAAATGCAGTAAAAACAAAGATAAACAGCTGGGACCTAATTAAACTAAAGAGCTTTTGCACATCAAAAGGAACAGTCAGCAGAGTAAACAGACAATCCACAGAGTGGGAGAAAATCTTCACAATCTATACATCTGACAAAGGACTAATATTCAGAATCTACACAAAACTGAACTTAAAGTATAATAAAAAAGAAAAAAAAAAGAAAAAGGAGATGAATTTTATCAAACCATGTGAAAACTGTTCCTACTAGTATCAAAGGCCAGTGTTCTTCTCTCAGCCCATAGTATGTAGTTTACTTCCAGTTTGGTTCCAGCGGTTTCCCAGAGTGGAGATAGCCCACACTGAGTCTTGGCAGCAGCAGAGTAAAGGAGAACCCCAGAACACAGAGAGAGGATTGTAAGCAAGGTCTGCTGGAACAGGAATGACAGTGGCTAGGAGAGCCCCTAGACCCTGACAATGCAATCCTGACAGCTGCAATGATATGGTCCTGAAGCTCAGGACTAGATTCAGATGTAGTCCTGAAGCTCAGGCCCTGGTCCCTGCTCAGAAATGTGGAAGCTTTGCAGTCCTGGGATGGCAGACAGGACCCAGCTACTGGTAATCCAGGCCTTATAAATCACAGTGTAGTAAGAAGTAGGAAAATACCATTCCACCTATTTTCTATTTCTAAAGTTACGTGCATGCAGATGCATCTCTGAAAAAGAGCATTCCACATTCTTAGTGGGATGTGAGTATGGATAAGAGCACATGCCCTGAGTCAGGCTGCCAAAGAAGGAATCCCAGCCCTGCTATTTGCTCCTTTGCTACTCATGAACATTTAGGCAAGGTTTTTGTTTTATTTTGTTTTGTTTTTACCTATCCTAAGCTGCAGTTTCCTCATCTATAATAAGAATAGCGAGATGAGCAAAGGAAAAGTGTTGGTATGTGTTAAACGCTCAAGTGAGGCTTCCATGATTATCTTTGATATTCTTCTTCTTGAATTCCCACCAATGCTATTCTCTGAAATGCAAATGGTTAGTTTTACAGAATATGCTTTCTCTTATTACCTAACTTCAGAGGGCAAAAGGTTTTAACACCCAACACTTTCCTGAGACTTTCATAATTTCTGAAATAGATGACTCAAATTTTCTCCTATTTTCAATTGTTATGATATGCCACAAAAAGTATTTATCAATATACCTCTTGGGGTAGAAGCTAAGACACTGAGGCATCTGTGTTTAGATAGAAGTGTTCTGTGATCCAGACACACTACAAGGAGGAGAACGTAGCCAAAGGCCATATTCCCTGTGATAGGACCTGTCCTAGAACACTGCCTGACACTGAATAACTTCTAAAAATCTGCTAAACTCATGAAATCCTTAAGAGCAAGTGGAATTTTGTAGAAACCTGGAGAGAGCTGAGTTTCATGTCTAGACTAATAAGGGGAAGAATCCAAGTGGTAAGAAAAGATAAGAAAGGGAACCCCAGGAACTCAAAGCACTGTAGGAAAACTGTCCTCTCCTACAGCTTTGAAGTGTGTTTGGGTAAAGTTTAACTTAATCTCTGATACTGAATTTGGAAAATCACCGAAGTCTACAATATCATTATTTCAATATTGGGAATCATTAAAAGGCTTTCAGCTATATATATATATATAATGTATTACATATTATCATATACTTATATATAATGTATTACATGTTATCGTATACTTATATATAATGTATTACATGTTATCGTATACTTATATATAATGTATTACATGTTATCGTATACTTATATATAATGTATTACATGTTATCGTATACTTATATATAATGTATTACATGTTATCGTATACTTATATATAATGTATTACATGTTATCGTATACTTATATATAATGTATTACATGTTATCGTATACTTATATATAATGTATTACATGTTATCGTATACTTATATATAATGTATTACATGTTATCGTATACTTATATATAATGTATTACATGTTATCGTATACTTATATATAATGTATTACATGTTATCGTATACTTATATATAATGTATTACATGTTATCGTATACTTATATATAATGTATTACATGTTATCGTATACTTATATATAATGTATTACATGTTATATACTTATATATAATGTATTATATGTTATATACTTATATATAATGTATTATATGTTATATACTTATATATAATGTACTATATTATATTATATACTTATATATAATGTACTATATTATATTATATACTTATATATAATGTACTATATATTGTTATATGCTTATATATAATGAACTATATATTGTTATATGCTTATATATAATGAACTATATATTGTTATATGCTTATATATAATGAACTATATATTGTTATATGCTTATATATAATGAACTATATATTGTTATATGCTTATATATAATGAACTATATATTGTTATATGCTTATATATAATGTACTATGTATTGTTATATGCTTATATATAATGTACTATGTATTGTTATATGCTTATATATAATGTACTATGTATTGTTATATGCTTATATATAATGTACTATGTATTGTTATATGCTTATATATAATGATTATATAATATATATTGTGTATTACATATTATATAATATATATTGTGTAGTATATATTATATAATATATTGTGTAGTATATATTATATAATATATTGTGTAGTATATATTATATAATATTTATGTAGTATATATTATTATATAATATATTATGTAGTATATATTATTATATAATATATATTATGTAGTATATATTATTATATTATATATTATGTATTATATATATTATATAATATATATTATGTATTATATATTATTATATAATATATATTATGTATTATATATATTATATAATATATATTATGTATTATATTATTATATATTTATATATTATATTATGCATTATATATTATTATATGTTTATATGTAATATATTATGTATCATATTATTATATATTTATATATAATATATTATGTATTATATATTAAAATATAATATTATATATTATGTATTATATATTAAATATAATATTATATATTATGTATTATATATTATAAATTTATATATAATATATTATGTATTATATATTATAAATTTATATATAATATATTATGTATTATATATTATATATTTATATATTATGTATTATATATTTATATATTATGTATTATATATTATATATTTATATATAATATATTATGTATTATATATTATATATTTATATATAATATATTATGTATTATATATTATATATTTATATATTATGTATTATATATTATATATTTATATATAATATATTATGTATTATATAGTATTATATATTTATATATAATATATGTATTATATAGTATTATATATTTATATATAATATGTATTATATAGTATTATATATTTATATATATATTTACTATATATGTAAAATCTTGCATATGTGGCGATCACCATCCTTTCCCTAAACCTCTCTACAATAATAGTAAAGGGATTTCACAAGAGCAAAATCTTTATAGACAGAGAGAAGTAGACAGGAGACAAGAGTAGAAAAGAAAGGTCAACAAAAGTTTGGAATCTGAAAGTGAATAGACTTGAGAAAGCAGAATCCTAAGCCTGCTGAAAAACCTCACAAGAACTCTTGCCTGGCAGAACCTGGAAAGGCCTTGGAATTGGAGATACCAAGTGTCTTGATTATAGGGTATGGGTAGGGTTACCAATTGTCCTAGTTTGCCTGGGAATGAGGATTTTCATGGTACACAGCAGAACTTTCAGTGCTAAAACCAGCCAGCTAGGTGGTGGGTCACCCTAGTTTTGGCTGGGGCATGCAAACAAGAGAATTGGTTGAAAGTCCAAACCCCACATCCCTCCCAATAGCCAAGCAGCCATCTTCCCCTTATACAACTTAGATAAAACAAAAGTAAGTTTAAAACATTAGAAAAAACTCATCAAACATTCTTGACATTCACACTTTCTATATGCAGATGTCAATTTGTAAAAATGAAGGGCCTCTCTCTTAGCAACAAAATGTAAAGAATCGTTCAAAACTTTTCTTGTGGATATGATAAAATATACATAAGGTTTCTCATCATTTCTTGGCAGCAAAAAACACCAGACATTGTGTTTTCAAATACCTGTTCTCTCCAGTTGGATACATTTTTATTTAGGAATACAAAATGAAATACTTTTAGGGTACACTAGAACCAAAATTCTCAGACATGCGGAACTCCCCTGAAATTCGGGAGAATTAGAATATTTAGAGTGAGGCCAGAAATCTGTCATTTTTTCAAACACTTCATATATTCTTTTCATCAGTCAGGTTTAGAAATCACTGGATTAACAAACGTTCATATGGAAGCCAGGACACATATATGTGGTCAAGGCCTCAGGGATATACTATGAGGTGACTGAGTAATCTGACATTTAGGCCAAGATCCCTGGGAACATGGAAATATGATCCTAGAGCTCTCCACCAGCTGCTGTCTTCACCAGACACCCTTCTTGGTGATATAGCTCAGCAGATCTCACCATCATGATGTTGACTCTTGCAGAGAAGGGTCTATACCCTACAATGCCCAGTCTGCCCAGTCAAGCTGAATTCTGAGAAATGTGTTTCATCAATTATCTCTGCCCTGGTAAAAGCCAGAACCTTCTGAGGACCAGTGATATAACTCACTGCAAGCACCCTACTAGACTTTGAGGAGGGACAACCTAGTAGGAAACAGTAAATATGTTCTCAAAGCTATGCAACTCTGCTCTGCTAAACTCTGTGGAAGAAGGCCTTGACTTTCTCCATCAGTCATTTTTAAAAATAAACACAATCGGGCTTTACTTCCCCCTCGCTCCATTAGAAAGCATTGACAGCTAAAGGAGACCTGTGTCCAAATGGAGAACACAAAATGAGGAATAGCTCTTACAAGAATACCTCTTCCTGAGGAGAAAGAGTAAACAGAATGGACATATCCAGTGCTATGTGGTATAAAGAAAACCTCTCCTAAAAATATCTAGTAAGGTACTCTAAAAATTCCCACTGGGGTAAAAAAAAAAAAAAAAGCCTACATGTTAATATTAATACATTTGTTTCCCAATAAGTTTTCATCATTAAACATTTTTAAAAACACTAAACATTTAAAAAATATCAAAACATTAAAAAAAGAGCCATTGAAAAATTCCTCCTGAGATTTGCTATAAATATTGGTTCTAGATCTTGATATCTTGCCTCCCTTATTTCATCCATCAAGGTAGGTCATGTATAGGAACAAGCACCTTGTTGTCCATGCACTTACGAGACAAAGGAATATCTGGATTATCTGTGAAAAACTTGGTGTATTCATAATCTACATGTTTTTGTTTCCAAATTGTATAACTGTACCAATTAGGATGACTTACAAAGCCACTTTCATAGTCATAATCATCCCTGCTTTCCATTCAAAAGCTACTGCTACTATTATTTATTACAAAGAACAAACCCACCCATGCACATTCATAAAAGAATGTTCACATCACAGGTGTGCTGTGTTTCTGTTATTCTTTTTCATCAGTCCTGCCACTCAGACAGGTGTTCAGTGGATCAAACATTCTAAAGAAAAACTATCTTCTATTAGAGCTAACACCAATAGGTGAGAGTCACAGGAGGGTCATAATTTGCCAGTTGGTAAACATATCTGTTCTTCAGGCTCTTTAGTATCCCTTGAGCTATGGCCACTTGAACAGAAATTATTCATCAGTGTTGGCTTGTAAGTTTCTCTATCATCCAAGCCACTTGGTGGCTAGCAAGTAACGCCCATTGATCTTTGATGAGCTAGAGTTAAACAAGTGGCAGCAGACAAGTGATGAGAGGCTGATGACCTTACCTCTTACCGTTAGATTATGATTCGGGTAGCCAGACATAAAAAGCTAAGACTGTAGGAGCTAAGTGGCTATGATTCCATGTTTTTCGCAGATAGGAGGCCAAGGAGGCATAAAATGTGGTTTTTTTGAAGGTCGCTAGACCTAAGTTACTAATACTATCCCCAAGCCAACCAGCTTGCTGGAGAGTACAGCAAGGAACCACTGACCCTTTCTTTTCACCATTCACTAGAGGACTGAAGACCTAGAATACTTACTCCTATGGCTTCATTGTTTAGTGAATGCAAAAATACTTCATTATCTCAACAGAACTGACAGCACACTTCAAACCAATCTGAAACATGTTGGTGTTGGAAAAGGCATTTTGTTTCTGCAGAGTTGACGCCATTAAGGAATACATAAGTTGGCAAAAGAAAGTAATTGTTAAAGTTATTTTATTTTTACAATTTTGCACCTTGTTAAAATTTCAAAAAGTATCTTGAAGCCCACAATTTAATTTGAAAAACACATAAAAAAGTACAGTATCACAAGAACAATGCTCAATAGAAATGTAATTAAATGACATGGAAATGTAAACATAAGTATTTTTCCAAAAATATCTACAAAAGATAATCAAAGCACTAATGTTATTATTTACATTTCTCTATCACCTTTTTTATAAGAAGCTCAGTTAATTACTGTGCTTCCTTAGTTTCTGCACACTATTATAAATTAATCTTATTAACCTCTTTCAATACTCAAGTACCTCATCCCAAGAGTTAATATCTGTCTTCACTTGGAAACAAGTTTCTAGTGTAAAAAGAGCCACTACTGAGCCTAAAAGGAAAAGTACAATAACTAAAATGAACAATTCCTGGACAGGCTTAACAAAAGACTGAAGATGACACAAGAAAAAGTCATTGAACTTAAAATAAATCAATAGAAATCATACAATCTGACAAATATAAAGGAAAAATTTTTTAATGAACCGAGCCTCAGTTAGTTGTGGGATGATATTAGAATTCTAACATACATGTAATTGGCAATATCAAAAGGAAAAAGAAGAGAATAATTGGATGAAAAAATACTTAAAGATGTAATGGCTAAATATATTTCCAATTAGGGAAAAATATAAACTTATGTATCTGAGAAGCTTATCCAATTCGCCAATCTGACTAAATATAAATAAAACGACATCTAGGCACATTATAGTCAAATTGTTTAAACTCAAAGTTAAACAGAAAATCTTGAAAACAGTCAGATGAAAAAAATGACATTACATACAAGGGCACAATAATATGAAGAACAGCTGAACTCACATTATAAAGGAGATCAGCAGACAACGAAACAGCATATTTAAATTGCTGAAAAAATCAACAAGAAATTTTATATGCAGGCAAAACTCTTATTCAAAAATGAAGGCAAAATTTTAAAAAACCATTATCAGATGAACAAAAACTAAGAGAATGAATTGCCAGCAGATCTATCCTACAGGAAATGCTAATCGAGGTTGTTCAGGCTGAAGAAAAATGATACCAGATAGAAACTATGTACCAGAAATGGTACATAGGTGAAAGACAAACACAAATAAATATACATTTTTTCTTCTCTTAATTAAAAAAATACAGATTGCTATTGAAAGCTAAAATTATAAAACTTTATTGGAGATTTATAACAAATATAGATGTAACATATGACAACAATTTCACAAAGAATGAGGTAAATGAAATTATATCATAGCAAAATTACTATATTTTATGAGAAGTAATATAATATTAACTCTAAGTAGACTGTATAATAAGTTAAATATGCATATTGTAATCCGTAGGATAAACACCAAAAATACACAAAGATACACAGTTGAAAAGCCAACATAGAGGGCTGGGTGCAGTGGCTCACGCCTGTAATCCCAGCACTTTAGGAGGCCGACGCAGGTGGATCACCTGAGGTCAGGAGTTCGAGATGGGTGTGGCCAACATGGTGAAACCCTGTCTCTACTAAAAATACAAAAATTAGCTGGGTGTGGTTGCACATGCCTGTAATTTCAGCTACTCAGAAAGCTGAGGCAGGAGAATCGCTTGAACCCGGGAGGCAGAGGTTGCAGTGAGCCGAGATCGTGCCACTGCACTCCAGCCTGCGCAACAAGTGCAAAACTCCATCTCGAAAAAAAAAAAAAAAA
Organism: Homo sapiens; assembly: GCF_000001405.40. Classification (NCBI taxonomy): domain Eukaryota; kingdom Metazoa; phylum Chordata; class Mammalia; order Primates; family Hominidae; genus Homo; species Homo sapiens. Next base: position 58,591,898 of record NC_000005.10, on the reverse strand, counting down.
TAGAAAAAGAAAAGAAAAGCCAATACAGGAATTGAAATACCTAAAAATATGTAATTAAGCAAAAAAGAATATAAAAACGAAACAGAGAAAGAAAAAGAAACAGAATAAATTAAAAAAACAAAATGGTAGACTTAAATTCAATCATACTGATAATTGTAATATATGAAAATGGACCAAGAAAAAGGCAGTGATTTTTCAAACTGGAAAAAAATGAAAAGCCCAACTCTATACTGACCACAAGATTCACACTTTAAATATAGAGACACATATAAGTTGAAAATAAATAAAATTATATATATATATATATATATACTATGAAAATACTATTAAGAAGGCAAGAGTGTCTGCATTCTCTATTAATATCAGACAATATAGACTTTAAGACAAGGAGTATTGCTGGAGATAAAGTGGGACATTTCATAATATAAAAGGAAAAATTACTCAGGCAGACACATTTAAAATTATGTGTGTATACCTAATAACAGAGTATCAAAATATATGAAAAAACTCAAAAGAACTAAAAGGATAAGTAGGCAAATTGACAATAATAGCTGGAGATTTGAAAACCTCTTTAACAGTAATTGATAGTATAAATAGACCAAAAATCGATAAGGATATTAAAGGTCTTAGCAACACCACACAATGCCATAACCCTAATGATATTTAGAGACTACTACACTGCACAACTACAGCACACACAAGCACACATGGAATGTTCATAAAGTCAGTCCACATGCTGAACTAAAAACAAGTCAACAATTTTAGAAAATTAAAATCTTAAAGAATATCTTCCATAGTAGCAATAGAATTTAACTAGTCATCAGTATCAATAAAATATCTGTAAAAATACCCAAGTATTTGGAAATTAAATATACTTTTAAACCCATGGATTAAACAAAAACATCATAAGTGCCAAATAGTTTGAAATAAAATGTAATGTAAATACTACATTCAGAAATTTGTGCTTGCCAGCTTAAGCAGTACTTAGAGGGAAATTTATGATTTCTAGTGCTTATATTTATTAGCAGAAAAGAAATATTTAAAATCAGTGACCTGACAGGCACAGTGGCTCACACCTGTAATCCCAGCACTTTGGGAGGCTGAAGCAGGTGGATCACTTGAGGCCAGGAGTTCAAGACCAGCCTGGCCAACATGGTGAAACCCTATGTCTCTACGAAAAATGCAAAAATTAGCTGGGTGTGGTGGTGGGCGCCTGTGTTCCCAGCTACTCAGGAGGCTGAGGCAGGAGAATCGCTTGAACCCAGGAGGTAGAGATTGCAATGAGCTGAGATCCAGCCACTGCACTCCAGCCTGGGCAACAGAGTGAGACTCTGCCTTCAAAATAAATAAATAAATAAATAAATAAGTGAACCAAATTTATACCTTAAGAATCTAAATAAAGAAAAGCTTCTACTAAGTAAGTATAAGAAACACAAATATAGTTTTTAAAACAACAGCTAAAATCAATAAAATACAAACTAAATAAAATTAACAAAGGTAAAAGTTGACATTAATACTGATATAAACATTTAGTAAGACTGGCATGAGAGAGACGGAGAAACCTCAGATGATCAGTATTAGGAAAGAAAGGGGATATCACTACAGATCCTAGAGATATTTAAAAGGTATTAAAAATGTTTTTAACAACTTTGTGTTAATAAATTGGAAAAATGAAGTGAAAAACACAATTTACCAAAACTGACTCACAATGAAATAGAAAAATTTTTATATGCATATTTAGTTTTCGATTGCAGCTATAATGGATATTTAAAACCACACCCACTTATTGTTTTCTGAGCCAGAAATCTCAGCTAGGTCCTCTGCTCACTTTGCTCAGGTCCACCCAGCTAAAATCAATGTGTTGGCTGGACTGGCCTTTGATCTGGACAGTCTAGGAAAGATTCCACTTCCAAACTCATTCAGATTGTCAGCATAATCCAGTTGCTGGTGGTTGTAGGACTGAGGTCCCTGCTTCCTTGACACACAGCCTTCTTCATCTTCACCCCAACAATTCTTTTCATGTTTTGAAACTGACTTCTGCCACAACACTCTAAATTCAATGAGAGAAAGTTCTCTACTTTTAAGAGGTATTGTAATTAGATTGGACCAACCTGATAATGCAGGTTAATCTCCCTATTTGAAAGTTTATAATATTAATTATACCTGCGGAGTCCATTCTGTTACAAAATGTAACCTATTCACACGTTACAGGGTTAGGCCATGGAGAATTTTGGGAGGGATGCTATTCTGCCTAATACAATATACTAAAGGGAGATACATAGATAGATAATAGAGATATTAGTATATCAATGAAATCTTTAAAAATTAAAACTCTTATTTAAAATTTTCAGAAAGAAAACTCCAGGCTCCGCTGGCTTCATGGTGAACTCTAGTAGACATTTAACAAACCAAACTATGCTAATCTTATGCAACAAAATTATTCAGAAAACTGAGGGGCAAAGAGTACTTCTCAGCTTGTTTTATAAGCATAATTCCAATACTATAACTTCATGAAGGCATTAAGAGAAAATCATAGCCCAATATCCATCATGACTAATGCAAAAAAATACTTAACAAAATATAATCAAGCTTAATCCAGCTATATATAGAAAGGACAATATATCATGACCAATAGGGTTTATCTAAGGAATGCCAGATTAGCTAAAAAATCCATCCATGAAATCCAACAAAATAAAGTAGATAAACCACACAATCACATCAATAGATGTAGAACAAGCATTTGACAATATTTGACACCCACTTATGTTAAAAACAAATTTTCTCATCAACCGAGAAATCAAATTTGTTCAATATAATAAATAATATCTATACCAAAACAAAGAAACATAGTAACAAAACCCTACAGCTAATTTCACACTTGATGATAAAAAACGGAAGGTCTTCCCTCTTAAAATGGGGAACAAGATAAGGATGTCCGCTGTCATCACGTCTATTCAACATTGTACTGGTTGTTCTATTCTATTCAATAAGATATGGGGAAAAAAAGAGAGTCTTTGGGAAGGAAGAAATAAACTATCTCTATTTGTAAATAATATGATAGTTTATGTTGAAATTCTTATGGAATCTTAAAGAAAACTAGAAATAAATATAGCAAGGCCTCTGGACGCAGAGTCAGGACAAACAGATCAGAGTCTGGATACAGACCCCAGGTATAATTAATTAACCTAAATTTCATCAAAATTCAAAAAAATCCTCACCAAAAGGCACTATTTAGAATATGAATGTACAAGCCACCAACTGGGAGAAACCTTTATTTATATATCTACCTGACTTGACAAAGGACTAAACTGAAGATGAAAGATCTCTTGCAACTAAACAATAAAAACAAACCCCCCAGATGCATAAAAGGTTAAAACCCATGATTCACAAGGGAAGATATATAAGTGGCCAATAAGCACATAAAAATATACTAAAAACCGTTCATCATTAGGAAAATTCAAATTTAAATCATAATCAGATACCAGAAAACACTCATTACCAAGTGGCCAAAACTAAAAAGACCACTGACATTACATGCTGTTGAAGATGTGGAGCCACTAAAACTCTCTCATACATTGCTGGTGAGAATTGCCGGTCCTCCCACTTTGGCAAAAGATTTGATTGTTTCTTATAAAGCTTAATATATACTTACCATTTATTCCAGCAATTTTACTTTTAGGTATTTACCCAAGAGAAGTGAAAAGATATTATCATAAAAAAGAACAATAGAAAAAACATTTATAGCCTTATTCTTAGTATCCCCAAATTAGAAATTACCTCCAAGTTCATAAACAGGATAATGAATTTTAAAAGTATATTAAATTGATTTTAAAAGTATAATATTCAGCAATAAAATGGAATGAATTATTGAAACATGCAACAACATGGATGAATCTCATACACATTATGCTGAACGAAATAAGCCAGACTCAAACAAGAACATATTTTTTTGTTCCACAGTATGTTCATACTGCATGTTCTACAGAACTATATGAAGTTCTAGAACAAATCAAACTCCTATGGTTAAGTCACTCTGCAGGGCTGAGTGACTTTTGAACCTTCCCAGGGAGAGAGGAGACACAGGAAAATCCCACAGCTAACCCGTGATTGGTCAGGAGAACCCAGGGATCTCAAGTTCAAGTCTCACCTAAAAAAGTTTACTGCATAGGTATATTAATTAGGAAAAACCATGAAGGAATACTCAGGGATGATTAGAAATGTTCTATATCTTTATAATGGTGTGTGTTACACAGATTTATACATTTGTCAAAATTTATCAAATTGTTCACTTAAGATTTGTGCATTTCAATGTATATAAATATTATCTAAAAACCTATAAACTAATGAACGAAAAATGCTAAAGATCTATGTTATTCTGAATAACTCTCAAAGATTTAATCTTCACAGGCTGTAGTATCCTTGGTAATAGACTGACCTGCTAAGATGATTCCCACAGAACCTCTGAGCCACATTAATTTAAGAAAGGGAAAAATGGTTGGAAAACCTTTAATCTATATAAAAGAACATTTTTTTGAGGTGGCCCAGCTGCTTGTATTTAGCGAGTTGAGTGGGCAAGAGTAGTTTCAAGAAAACCTATTCCTCAGCATAAACATATATTTCCTTCCTGGAATATGATGGTGAAGAAAGGACTTGCCAATTCCAGTATAAGCTTAGAATGGTGGCAGAAAATTATGATAATTTTGCAGTTTCAATGGAAAAGCATTCTTATACTACAAAAGTGAATTTTTGCTATAGGTTAAGTTTTCTTGCTATCCTCCACTTCCTTTTACAGAAGAAAAGTGGATACTTGAGCAATTAGCCCAAATGGAGTAAGGAAGAATTTCTCATTTCTCTAAAGTCAATTAGGGATTTTCTGTTTCTGTAAAGGATGAGGACTACATGTCCATTTCTCAGAAAGATAGAGGGATGATCACTGAGGATGGATATGGTTAGGAATTCAACAATAATGAAGTGCAAAAATGCCATGTACTTTCCATAGCCAAATAAAACAGTGATATTTAGACTTTAATTCTTTGTAATTTGGTGTTGTGTACAGTATGGCTAACTTTAATATATAACTAATGGTTTTTAGCTCCACTTCATCTTCAGCCTACATCTATAGTCCTTCTTCAATCCTCCTCATCTTTAGCCAAACATTTTTTTTTGGCACTCTGCTCCATGTTTTGGGTAGATATATTTCTTTGAATTTTCCTCAATAGTCAGAAGACTGCATTTATGAAGTGACCCCAAAAGCTTGTGGATAACAAATTGGAAAAGTAAGCATTTAGTCAGAGACAATGAATTCCACTTTGGTCCTGTAAGAGAGTACGTGACCCTGCCAGAAATTATAATAGATAGAAGCAAACCATTTTTAAAACATTGCCCCTTTTCAAATATTCTGTTTAGTTTATGCAAGTTTATTTTATAAGAAGAAGATAGGGCCAATTTTTCTTTCTTCTGAACCAAATGAATGACTCAAATTATATCAATAGTTGTCTCATTCTTTACACCACCAATTTATGTCTTCTTGGGGAATCAAAAGTAACAGAGGAAAGAACGTGGGTTTTCCAGACAGAGAGATCTGGCGGAAATTTTACTCTATCCTAGTGGGAAAGTTATTTAGTCTTAATAAGTTCGAGTGATCATGCCTATAATTAGGGTAATAGTGACTGCTAGGATTTTTAAATATATTTGTAAATACTCTTGTAAAATATATCCATAGATATGTATGATTGTTATATAGTATATATACATATAAAAATTGTTTTATACATACACACAAATACAATGAAATCTAAGTCACAGGGCTCAGCACAGGTAAAGCACTAGATAAACTAGAATTTGTTCAATGTGGCTCCTGAATCAAATGACAATTTGTTAACCAGAGTCTTGTCCTCAAGTCATGAGAACTGTTATTTCTCATCTCATTTGGCCTTCAGGATTCATGTATACACTGAATGAGAAGATACAAATGACCATCTCCTGCATTAGAATTCTAAGCCTATCACTTGGGACACTTACCAAATGCTATTCCTGGTTATTTAGATTAGAAAGGAAATAAAGATGTCAGAGATTATCACTGTATATTATTTTGGTAGTTACTATAAAAAACAATTATCCCTCATTTTCCCTCAATTCAGAAAGAAATACTCTTCATAAAATAGGCACATATCAAAGATAACTACCTCGAACAGAACATCAACTTATTTATATAGATACATCAAATGCTTTTTAAAAGACCTTACATGATTTTTAAAAGGATTCTTTGATTTAAGAAAATACAAGAAGTAAATTGGGAAATAAGCAAATACATTAAAAAGCTCATTTTCTTTCACATCAACAAATGAACTAAATATTTTTTAAAAGCAGAGAAGAAATCTCTTATTTTATGGAACCATAAAATGAGGTTTTGCTTGTGAGTCATCTTCTACAGACCTAAGTAAAAAAATATTTGGGGCATATATTTAAAATGATGATGTGGTTCAGTCTTTAAATGAAAAAAAAAGTCAATTATTTATCTTGTTGCATTGTCATATATCAAAGTCACGTGAAATGTGATTACAATTCAGAAATATCGGTGCTGAAACATTACTTGTTACTTTAAAATATTCAGAGTAAGCTTATAGTTTTTATCCTATCTATTATTACATATTTTTGAAAATTGATAATAATGGAGATGGGGTCACCATAACAACAATTTATTAGTTAAATTGAATTAATGTATGTGCTTTAATTAAATATGCTAAAAAAGTCTTTGATTTCCTAAAATGTACATTACTCATGACAGCATTTGGAAATTTTAAATTTCAAAAACTTAGTCCAACGACTAAAAATACATTATAAATATGACAATAACTCCATCCACAAGCAAATTAATTTCATTTTACCTTATTTTTATTTTAGTTCTTCATTAAAGTTTTGACTAAAATAGAAAATCACAGTGCCTACTACATAGTTGGTGAACACAAAAAATAATTTTAACTGTTTCCTGAAACATTAATACAGTTCTGTAATATTTTAATGACCTTTCTGAACATTCTAAGCAACTCTGTAAGAAAGCAAAATTGATATACAGTGTGGTTAAATTTTTCGTAATTTATTTTGATTGAAAAAATATCAGTGCATACATAGTTTACTTTAAATATTAACAATCTACTTTATTTTTCAAAAATTCTTGGAAATCTTTTTTATTGTGTAAATTTAAGATGTACATGTTTTAATATACATATACATAGTGAAGTATAATGATCTACTTTTAAAGTCTACAATTAGTGTTTACTTATAATTAAATATGATTAATTTAGCCAGTTGGCTCCTGGTAGTATCTCCAGTAATAGAAAATTATCATAAACCAATATATCTTGATTGCAACAGCCTGTACCTTTATTGTCTGTTCAGATTCTTTTCACATCAGGTCTATAATGAAAAGCTAAGTCACAAATAGAGGTATTAGAAGACACACAAAGGGGCCACTGTTCCCTGGAACAAATCAAATTTTCAATAACTCATAGGTAATTTGAGGACTTCCCTTATATAATCACCCAACAAACAATTAAATTCTATAGATTTTTCATCTAACAGTCCAGTAAGGGGTTCTTAATATACATAACCCATAAAATAAATTAAAAGTAAATCAAAGCATATGTTTAAAGTCCTTGATTCATGAAGAAACCAGTTGGAAAACGCTGAAGTCCGAATTAATGTCAAATATTTATACTCTTGGGTTTGGCAGCAGAGGTGGGTTCTCAGGAGAGACAGCACATTCCAAATGATGTTTTCTATTCTTCTCTCAACCCCACTCATAAAATGCCTTTCTGTTACACAGTAGGATCACTGCTTGATTAATAAACACAAGCTGATGTTTAACGTTAACTGGTAGTACATAGAGACGAGAATTATCACTCATCTTTACTTAAAAACAAAACTTAAGCAAGATGCTTAGGCAGTGGTACTTCTGCACCAGAGTCCTTTGCATTTCTCAAAGGAAACAAACCTAAGAATGTGATTGAAATGGGGAATCGGAGAACAAATGGGCACATAACACAGGAAAGCTCAGAGGGGGCTGTCTCCAAAACAGAGTAAACCAGTTGTGTGGACAGTGATGCTGGCATAGCTCAGGGATATGCCAAGCCCCGATGTGTTTGCTATTTTTTGCTGATACTGGGAGCCTAACTGAAGAAAGGGGACTTTGAGGAGCCTAACATTGGCTTCTCTTTATTTAATGCGCCTTTAACCAAGCGGAATTCGCTCTATGCCGACTCCAGTGGGGAGCCTTCAACCCCGAATCTGATCTATCTGCCTTAAATCCGTGAGTTTTCACCGCGATCTCAAACCCCGGATGCCAAGAGAGGAGATCAATGCCAACACGAGATTGCATGCTCCTCTGACTTTTGTTTGCTTGGGTTTTCATTTTAGACAGACACTCTTATCCTCTTTACAGAGCCTAGAAAGATTGCGAATAGCCCGATCCCTCATCAAGACAGCCCCAATCACAGCCACACAGAGCGTAAAGAAACCCAACTCTGTTCCCAGGGTCATGTCACAGAGCCGCATCTCCGCGGGTGACCGCCTAGACCTTTCCTTACGTTGAACTGCTTGTGCGCGGAGCAAGGGGAAAAGCATCTCTTTCAATTCCTCCCGAGGCCACTCTTTCTTTATGGACCCACCTGCATGGGCGCTTCGTGTCTCATTGTTGGCAAATGTCCTTTCTCTCTGGCTAGGACCGCACTGGTCTGGGCTTCCGGTCAAGCGTGCACAGTCCCGGCGCTCCACGCTCCACACTCTGCACTCTTGGGGTTCGCTAACCGGCTCCAACATCAGCACTGGAGCTGTCCTCTCCTGGCGCCGCACACGCGTACTGCCGAGGAGCCCCGTGCACTCCTGGGAGCTGTAGTCTCGCCCTCCGGGTGTTCCCGGCAAACGGGCGAGCGGTGAACTACAACTCCCGGCAAGCAAGCAAACCATTAAACAGGCTCGATCCGCCAGTCGGGCTCGGCCGCGGAGCCTCCCTACTCCTTTCCAAACGCTCCTGGGTTACCTCTCCCAGTCTCCCCTGCTCTTTTCCTCGCCAGGGGCAGGCGAATGTGACCCCAGCTTATCTCAGCTGGAGATTTTTCTTTGCTAACTATCGCCTTCGGAAGTAGATGGTGATTTTCTGATTAGGAAACAACACTACCTTGTGCTAATTTCCAATGCAAACGAAGCCAGAGCTGGTCTCTGGGACTCTCCGCCCTACCCCTCCCCATCCGAATCGGGAAAGTTTCTACGTTTCCTTAGGCAGAGTGGGGCAGTTTTACAATCTCATTCACCAAACGTAGGGGAGAAAGACGATTAACGGTACACACATAAGGAAAGTGGTTTATCCGCATAATTGCACTGAGAAGTCGCGCGCGCGTACATAGTCACACACACAACCCGCACACCGAAGTGCGTGAAAGCGAGATTTCTGGCTAAGCACCCCAAGGAACTCCTTTCGCCTGCTTACCTTTCCATACAGCTCCATTACAACTCGAGGTTCAGAAATTCTCAAGTGCCCTCGCTACAAAGGAGGTTAGGGCTCTACGTAGGAAGCGGGGCTAAAATGAAAAGGCACAACACAATAGAAGGGGTAGGGGTGGCGTCTGGCGGAGAGAAAAAGGAGGGATGTGGAGAAGACAGCTGATTTAGATGGAGGGCTTCTTTCCTCTGGAGGGAAAGCGTGGAATCCAAGCTGCAGCTGCAGAGAAAGGGCTCAGTCTCTTAGGAAGTGCCAGGGGCGCGATAGCGCTGGCCAGCCCCTCCCCAGGCCCTCCCCCAGGCACCTTCCGCCGTCATTAGCGCGCACACACTGCCGCTGGCCGCGGGCTGCAGAGCTGATAGGGCACTGGGTTATTTACCCAGAGCAAGCCACATAAAATGAACACATTCATCACCGGAACCCAAAAGCACCGTGACAGAATGAGATGGGAGACCTCTATTAAGTTATCCTGTCCTTTCTTTAACACAAAGTCATTCCTTATATTACAACTATACTCCTCCCAGATTAGTTCAAAAAAATGGTTTTGAAATCTAGGAACTGTACTTTTGTTAGACTTATCCTTTTCCTGTCAGTTGACTGATAGGTATGACTATCCATGTCCTCTGTAACTATCTAGAGACAGCCCTCTCTACTTAAAAGTAAACGTTGATCATCCAGCAAATCAGCCCTGCCTTGTCATGAAGTCAAAATTATAACGGAGGCAGAGTGAAAAAGGAATGATTGTGATATTGGCATGGAGGTATGGAAGGAATAACTTGAATCAGCTTTAAACTTCATTGCAGCAGTAGAACAGAGGTTCTGAAACTTAAACGTACTTGAAAATCTGTTGAGACGGAGGTTAAAGTTAAAATTTTTAAGCCACAGGTAGAGATTGATTCACTAGATCTTTTGAGAGGTCTGGAAATTAGCATTTTAAATAAACACTCCAGCAATTCTGATGCAAGTGGTTCCCTTGCCATAATTTGAGAAACATTGTCTTAAAAGAATCTATGTGTAACACTTTTTCAAAGGTGCAAACCTCAAAAATGTCACGGTATGGACTCAATAATGCAACAGTCTAATATTGGGAACCTACCATATTCAATATTTCCATTAATTTTAGTTGATTGTATTATTTAACAACTCTATAATCTGTCTTCTAATCTTGCAATTAGTGAGAATGTAATGCGATATCACCTAGGTAAGTAGTTTTTATAACTATTCAGAAAATACATTTAAGCCAGGTGTGGTGGAGCGTGCCTGCAGTTATAGTTACCCTAAAGGCTGAGTTGGGAGGATCATTTGAACCTAGAAATTCGAGGCCAGCCTAGGCAACATAGTGAGACACCCCCATCTGAAAAAAAAAAAAAATAGAAAAGGCATATATTTAAAAACATAAACCTCATAGTTGAGAGTAGTGTGATGCTTAGAGAAGTTTCGTGTAAATTAGCTAATAACAAAATGGAAAGTTAAAAGAAAATCCAATACCAATACGTATCACAGTAGCAACTTATTAGAAGTATGACTTCTGCAATTTTTAAAATTAAGATGTATCTAAAGATGCATCTCTTTAAAAATTGTTTTCAAGAGAAATGCCAACAAAATAATCCTGACATTTAAATGTATAGAATTGTTTGGCATTTAATAATATTTGCTTAGCTACTTAGAGCCTGCCTTTCTTCAGAACAACTTCTTATGTATATTGTACTATCATCACTTTCTGAAATTCTCAGAATTCAGTCTGATATAGAACATATTTAAACCTTATAAATATTTATCTTGCAAAATTACTGTTCTTTGAGAAGTTTATCCCTTCTCAACATTTCACTAAAATTATATATATCTTCGGATTTTTTAGTATGTCTTTTATTTGTGGAAGAACCCATGAAAGTTTAGTTTAAAGCTGGAGTTTTTAAAAAACATTGGGGGGAACTTAATTTTGTCCTAAAGCTGGAGTTTTTAAAAAACATTGGGGGGAACTTAATTTTGTCCTGTTCATAGTGTCTTAGTTGAGAATTTAAGGTGTGCAAAGAGGAAAAAAAATCTAGTCAGGAGTCAGATAAACCAAGAAAAGTGGACTGAAGATGACTAGCTAAAATCAGAGCAGGAGCACTGTAGCTTTGCTTGAAATCAGGCCACCATCCATGAATTTCATTCCTAAGGTCATTAAATGGCTGCTTGAGCTCCAACTCTTACATCCACATTCCAGCTAGCAGGAAGGACGAAAGGTGAAGGGCATTTCTTCATCACTTTATGTACACCACAGCTCTTATATTCCAGTTCCTAGAACTTAATCTTATGACCATACCTTTTACAAAGGAGGCTGAAAAATGTCATCTTTATTCTGATTGGACATGTGCCCAGTTGAAAGTCACAAATTCTGTTACAAACGGGTTTTCACTACTTTGGCCACGCTGGTCTCAAACTCCTGGCCACAAGTGATCCTCCCTCCTCAGCCTCCCAAAGTGCCAGGATTACAGGCATGAGCCACCTCACGTGGCCCTTCCATAGCATTTTAAAAAGACTAGTACACTAAGAAGGGATCTTACAGATAATGTAGCTCAATTCTTCCATTTTCTGAGTACAAAATTAGATCCCAGAAAAGTGAAATAACCTGCCTAAAGCCCAAGAGTCATCCAGTGCTGTTACAAATATTGGAAAAAGACAACTATTTTGAGAGTATATTGCAATTTATTAATATAATCAAATTTTAAGTGTATCAACTATTTTCATTATAGTTAGGGTTATCTATTATAATTTCAAATGAGGAGGGTCAAAAAGACAAGACACCATCTTCATCCTTAAGGGGACTACAAACTAATTCTGGAGACCAGATAGATAAATAGGTAACATAACAATAATAAAAAACATGAGTGGCAGAACAGTGCCTGATTAACTGCTTGTCCACTCTTACCAGTAAATGCTTTAAGGAGTTATAGGAAAGAGTAATCAGATCAATGATATTCTCTGGGAAAGTATATTGTACCCCTAAATATGTTTAAAAAGATCATCTAATTATAAATGTAGAATGAGAGACATTGACTAGAAGATCTTCAAAGGAACCTAAATATCATTTTGTTCTTCTTTCTTAATTTGCAGATAAAGAAATAAAGACCCAAAGATGAGTAATGACTCACATAGCATCACACTAATTACAAACAGAGACAGAACTAACATACAGTTCATGTGACTTCCAGTCCAGACTTCTTTGTAAATACATGACATTTCAATAATCACTACTTTGGACATGAACACTTATTTGCTGTCTCATAATTTGACCATACTTTTACTAAGAAATCATTAAAATTACCAAACATTAAATTATAAGTCAAATACCTCATTCAGAAAGATATGCAATCTGATAGTTATCTCTCCTTTGCTGGTTGAGAAACAGGATATAAGATCTAAGGATAATTGATTATACTTTCTTCTTCAAGTAAGGTGTTGGAAAATATTTTACTTTTTTTATTATTATTATACTTTAAGTTTTAGGGTACATGTGCACAACGTGCAGGTTTCTTACATATGTATACCTGTGCCATGTTGGTGTGCTCCACCCATTAACTCGTCATTTAGCATTAGGTATATCTCCTAATGCAATCCCTCCCCTCTCCCCCACCCCACAACAGTCCCCAGTGTGTGATGTTCCCCTTCACGTGTCCATGTGTTCTCATTGTTCAATTCTCACCTATGAGTGGGAACATGCGGTGTTTGCTGCTTTGTCCTTGCGATAGTTTGCTGAGAAAGATGGTTTCCAGCTTCATCCATGTCCAAACAAAGGACATGAACTCATCATTTTTTATGGCGGCATAGTATTCCATGGCGTATATGTGCCACATTTTCTTAATCCAGTCTATCATTGTTGGACATTTGGGTTGGTTCCAAGTCTTTGCTATTGTGAATAGTGCTGCAATAAACATACGTGTGCATGTGTCTTTACAGCAGCATATTTATACTCCTTTGGGTATATACCCAGTAATGGGATGGCTGGGTCAAATGGTATTTCTAGTTCTAGATCCCTGAAGAATCGCCACACTGACTTCCACAATGGTTGAACTAGTTTACAGTCCCACCAACAGTGTAAAAGTGTTCCTATTTCTCCACATCCTCTCCAGCACCTGTTGTTTCCTGATTTTTTAATGATCGCCATTCTAACTGGTGTGAGATGGTATCTCATTGTGGTTTTGATTTGCATTTCTCTGATGGCCAGTGATGATGAGCATTTTTTCATGTGTCTGTTGGCTGCATAAATGTCTTCTTTTGAGAAGTGTCTGTTCATATCCTTTGCCCACTTTTTGATGGGGTTGTTTGTTTTCTTCTTGTAAATTTGTTTGAGTTCATTGTAGATTCTGGATATTAGCCCTTTGTCAGATGAGTAGGTTGAAAAAATTTTCTCCCATTCTGTGGGTTGCCTCTTCACTCCAATGGTGGTTTCTTTTGCTGTGCAGAAGCTCTTTAGTTTAATTAGATCCCATTTGTCAATTTTGGCTTTTGTTGCCATTGCTTTTGGTGTTTTAGACATGAAGTCCTTGCCCATGCCTGAATGGTATTGCCTAGGTTTTCTTCTAGGGTTTTTATGGTTTTAGGTCTAACATGTAAGTCTTTAATCCACCTTGAATTAATTTTTGTATAAGGTGTAAGGAAGGGATCCAGTTTCAGCTTTCTACATATGGCTAGCCAGTTTTCCCAGCACCATTTATTAAATAGGGAATCCTTTCCCCATTGCTTGTTTTTCTCAGGTTTGTCAAAAATCAGATAGTTGTAGATATGTGGCATTATTTCTGAGTGCTCTGTTGTGTTCCATTGGTCTATATCTCTGTTTTGGTACCAGTACCATGCTGTTTTGGTTACTGTAGCCTTGTAGTATAGTTTGAAGTCAGGTAGCATGATGCCTCCAGCTTTGTTCTTTTGGCTTAGGATTGACTTGGCAATGTGGGCTCTTTTTTGGTTGCATATGAAATTTAAAGTAGTTTTTTCCAATTCTGTGAAGAAAGTCATGGGTAGCTTGATGGGGATGGCATTGAATCTATAAATTACCTTGGGCAGTATGGCCATTTCCACCATATTGATTCTTCCTACCCATGAGCATGGAATGTTCTCCTATTTGTTTGTATCCTCTTTTATTTCATTGAGCAGTGGTTTGTAGTTCTCCTTGAAGAGGTCCTTCACATCCCTTGTAAGTTGGATTCCTAGGCATTTTATTCTCTTTGAAGCAATTATGAGTGGGAATTCACTCATGATTTGGCTCTCTGTTTGTCTGTTATTGGTGTATAAGAATGCTTGTGATTTTTGCACATTGATTTTGTATCCTGAGACTTTGCTGAAGTTGCTTCTCAGCTTAAGGAGATTTTGGGCTGAGACATTGGGGTTTTCTAGATACACAATCATGTCATCTGCAAACAGGGACAATTTGACTTCCTCTTTTCCTAATTGAATACCCTTTATTTCCTTCTCCTGCCTAATTGCCCTGGCCAGAACTGCCAACACTATGTTGAATAGGAGTAGTGAGAGAGGGCAACCCTGTCTTGTGCCAGTTTTCAAAGGGAATGCTTCCAGTTTTTGTCCATTCAGTATGACATTGGCTGTGGGTTTGTCATAGATAGCTCTTATTATTTTGAGATACATCCCATCAATACCTAATTTATTGAGAGTTTTTAGCATGAAGGGTTTTAAATTTTGTCAAAGGCCTTTTCTGCATCTATTGAGATAATCATGTGGTTTTTGTCTTTGGTTCTGTTTATATGCTGGATTATATTTATTGATTTTCGTATGTTGAACCAGCCTTGCATCCCAGGGATGAAGCCCACTTGATCATGGTCGATAAGCTTTTTGATGTGTTGCTGGATTTGGTTTGCCAGTATTTTATTGAGGATTTTCGCATCAATGTTCATCAAGGATATTGGTCTAAAATTCTCTTTTTTTTTGTTGTGTCTCTGCCAGGCTTTGGTATCAGGATGATGCTGGCCTCATAAAATGAGTTAGGGAGGATTCCCTCTTTTTCTATTGATTGGAATAGTTTCAGAAGGAATGGTAACAGCTCCTCCTTGTACCTCTGGTAGAATTCGGCTGTGAATCCATCTGGTCCTGGACTTTTTTTGGTTGGTAAGCTATTAATTATTGCCTCAATTTCAGAGCTTGTTATTGGTCTATTCAGAGATTAAATTTCTTCCTGGTTTAGTCTTGGGAGGGTGTACGTGTCGAGGAATTTATCCATTTCTTCTAGATTTTCTAGTTTATTTGTGTAGAGGTGTTTATAGTATTCTCTGATGGTAGTTTGTACTTCTATGGGATTGGTGGTGATATCCCCTTTGTCATTTTTTATTGCATCTATTTGATTCTTCTCTCTTTTCTTCTTTATTAGTCTTTCTAGCAGTCTATCAATTTTGTTGAACCTTTCAAAAAACCAGCTCCTAGATTCATTGATTTTTTGAAGGGTTTCTTGTGTCTCTATTTCCTTCTGATCTGCTCTGACCTTAGTTATTTCTTGCCGTCTGCTAGCTTTTGAATGTGTTTGCTCTTGCTTCTCTAGTTCTTTTAATTGTGATGTTAGGGTGTCAATTTTAGATCTTTCCTTCTTTCTCTTGTGGGCATTTAGTGCTATAAATTTCCCTCTACACACTGCTTTGAATGTGTCCCAGAGATTCTGGTATGTTGTGTCTTTGTTCTCATTGATTTCAAAGAACCTCTTTATTTCTGCCTTCATTTCATTATGTACCCAGTAGTCATTCAGGAGCAGGTTGTTCAGTTTCCATGTAGTTGAGTGGTTTTGAATGAGTTTCTTAATCCTGAGTTCTAGTTTGATTGCACTGTGGTCTGAGAGATAGTTTGTTATAATTTCTGTTCTTTTACATTTGCTGAGGAGTGCTTTACTTCCAACTATGTGGTAAATTTTGGAATAGGTGTGGTGTGGTGCTGAAAAGAATGTATCTTCTGTTGATTTGGGGTGGAGAGTTCTGTAATGTCTATTAGGTCCGCTTGGTGCAGAGCTGAGTTCAATTCCTGGATATCCTTTTAACTTTCTGTCTCGTTGATCTGTCTAATATTGACAGTGGGGTGTTAAAGTCTCCCATTATTATTGTGTGGGAGTCTAAGTCTCTTTGTAGGTCACTAAGGACTGGCTTTATGAATCTGGGTGCTCCTGTATCGGGTGCATATATATTTAGGATAGTTCGTTCTTCTTGTTGAATTGATCCCTTTACCATTATGTAATGGCCTTCTTTGTCTCTTTTGATCTTTGGTGGTTTAAAGTCTGTTTTATCAGAGACTAGGATTGCAACCCCTGTTTTTTTTTTTTTGTTTTCCATTTGCTTTGTAGATCTTCCTCCATCCCTTTATTTTGAGCCTATGTGTGTCTCTGCACTTGAGATGGGTTTCCTGAATACAGCACATTAATGGGTCTTGACTCTTATCCAATTTGCCAGTCTGTGCCTTTTAATTGGAGCATTTAGCCCATTTACATTTAAGGTTAGTATTGTTATGTGTGAATCTGATCCTGTCATTATGATGTTAGCTGGTTATTTTGCTCGTCAGTTGATGCAGTTTCTTCCTAGCCTTGATGGTCTTCACAATTTGACATGTTTTTGCAGTGGCTGGTACCAGTTTTTCCTTTCCATGTTTAGTGCTTCCTTCAGGAGCTCTTTTAGGGCAGGCCTGGTGGTGACAAAATCTCTCAGCATTTGCTTGTCTGTAAAGGATTTTATTTCTCCTTCACTTATGAAGCTTAGTTTGGCTGGATATGAAATTCTGGGTTGAAAATTCTTTTCTTTAAGAATGTTGAATATTGGCCCCCACTCTCTTCTGGCTTGTAGAGTTTCTGCCGAGAGATCAGCTGTTAGTCTGATGAGCTTCCCTTTGTGGGTAACCCGACCTTTCTCTCTGGCTGCCCTTAACATATTTTCCTTCATTTCAACTTTGGTGAATCTGACAATTATGTGTCTTGGAGTTGCTCTTCTCGAGGACTATCTTTGTGGCGTTCTCTGTATTTCCTGAATGTGAATGTTGGCCTGCGTTGCTAGATTGGGGAAGTTCTCCTGGATAATATCCTGCAGAGTGTTTTTCAACTTGGTTCCATTCTCCCCATCACTTTCAGGTACACCAATTAGACATAGATTTGGTCTTTTCACATAGTCCCATATTTCATGGAGGCTTTGTTCATTTCTTTTTATTCTTTTTTCTCTGAACTTCTCTTCACACTTCATTTCATTCATTTAATCTTCCATCACTGATACCCTTTCTTCCAGTTGATCACATTGGTTACTGAGGCTTGTGCATTCATCATGTAGTTCTTGTGCTGTGGTTTTCAGCTCCATCAGGTCCTTTAAGGACTTCTCTGCTTTGGTTATTCTAGTTATCCATTAGTCTAATTTTTTTTCAAATTTTTAACTTCTTTGCCATTGGTTCAAACTTCCTCCTTTAGCTCAGAGTAGTTTGATCTTCTGAAGCCTTCCTCTCTCAACTCGTCAAAGTCATTCTCCATCCAGCTTTGTTCCGTTGCTGGTGAGGAGCTGCGTTCCTTTGGAGGAGGAGAGGCGCTCTGATTTTTAGTGTTTCCGGTTTTTCTGCTCTGCTTTTTCCCCCATCTTTGTGGTTTTATCTACTTTTGGTCTTTGATGATGGTGATGTACAGATGGGTTTTTGGTGTGGATGTCCTTTCTGTTTGTTAGTTTTCCTTCTAACAGTCAGGACCCTCAGCTGCAGGTCTGTTGGAGTTTACTGGAGGTCCACTCCAGACCCTGTTTGCCTGGGTATCAGCAGCGGTGGCTGCAGAACGGTGGATATTGGTGAATCTCAAATGCTGCTGCTTGATCATTCCTCTGGAAGTTTTGTCTCAGAGGAGTACCCGGCTGTGTGAGGTGTCAGTCCGCCCCTACTGGGGGGTGCCTCCCAGTTAGGCTACTCGGGGGTCAGGGACCCAC
This sequence comes from Homo sapiens, assembly GCF_000001405.40. Taxonomy (NCBI): domain Eukaryota; kingdom Metazoa; phylum Chordata; class Mammalia; order Primates; family Hominidae; genus Homo; species Homo sapiens. The sequence continues at coordinate 58,573,487 of NC_000005.10, read as the reverse complement.
TTGAGGAGGCAGTCTGCCTGTTCTCAGATCTCAAGCTGCTGTGTGCTGGGAGAACCACTACTCTCTTCAAAGCTGTCAGACAGGGACATTTAAGTCTGCAGAGGTTATTGCTGTCTTTTGTTGGTCTGTGCCCTGCCCCCAGAGGTGGAGCCTACAGAGGCAGGCAGGCCTCCTTGAGCTGTGGTGGGCTCCACCCAGTTCAAGCTTCCAGGCTGCTTTGTTTACCTACTCAATCCTGAGCAATGGCAGGCGCCCCTCCCCCAGCCTCGCTGCCACCTTGCAGTTTGATCTCAGACTGCTGTGCTAGCAAAGAGCGAGGCTCTGTGGGCGTAGGACCCTCTGAGCCAGGTGCAGGATATAATCTCCTGGTGTGCAGTTTGTTAAGCCCATTGGAAAAGGGCAGTATTAGGGTGGGAGTGACCTGATTTTCCAGGTGCCGTCTGTCACCCCTTTCTTTGACTAGGAAAGGGAATTCCCTGACCCCTTGTGCTTCCCAGGTGAGGCTATGCCTTGCCCTGCTTTGGCTTACTCACGGTGTGCTGCACCCACTGTCCTGTACCCACTGTCTGGCACTCCCCAGTGAGATGAACCTGGTACCTCATTTGGAAATGCAGAAATCACCCATCTTCTGCGTTGCTCATGCTGGGAGCTGTAGACTGGAGCTGTTCCTATTCAGCCATCTTGGCTCCACCCCGATATTTTAAATTTTATTATTAAAAAATGTCAACAAATTAATTCAGCTATAGAACCAAAGTTTCATTATTTTTATAATTAAAATTAAATTTAACCCTACTATCCACATGTTAAGATGGTCATAAAATCCTGTATCAACTGATGTGGCAGAAGTAACATAGGAGTTTGTCTCTTCTTTCTCCTTAGATGGCACAAGAACCCTGAAGCATAGGCTGAATGGGAAAATGGTAGATGCCAGGCATCTCTCTCATCTTTGATGGTTGTTAATATGGCTCTTTTCAGGTCAACATGGCTCATTTGCATGCAGGTAGCTCCAGTCTCCTCATGCAAAGCTAAGCCACAGAGATCCTGATTGAAGTCCCAAGACCACAGGCACATAGTGTATCAGTTAGCTTTGCTGTGCAGCAAGCAACCTCAAAACTTAATGATTTAAACAACCACATTTTTGGTTCATGATTCTGTGGGTTGAAAATTGGGCCTGGGCTTTGCTGAACAGCTCTTTCTGCCTTGATTTGTGTCATGTATGCATCTGTAGTCAGCTAGAAGTCAGCGAAACAGCTCTGCTTCTTGCAGATTGTCTGGCTGTTGGCTAGGGAATAGGACAGAAACAGTTATACATGTCTCTGATCTTCCAGCAGGGTATCTCAGGTTGCATACATGGTAGCTTTGTAGGGTTACATGGGAAAAATAAGAGACATACAAGGCCTCTTAGAGCCTAGATTCAGAACCAGCATAGCATAATTTCTGCTGCATTATTTTGGCCCAAAGAAGTCATAACTCAGGTCAGATTCAAAAGATGGAACAATAGACTTCAATTCTTGATGGAAGAAGCTTCAAAATCACATTCCAAAAAAACTTGGATACAGGAAGGTATGGAGAATGTGGCCATTGTTGCAACCTACCACACCCAGGCAGGCATCCCCATGGAGGCTCTGCCACTTCAGAGACTGTGCATTCTGATGAGCCCCTGCCTCTGCTGTTCTGAAAACCATAAATCTCACCACCTTCCTGGTTTCAGGGGTTTTATCAACCTCATAGGGGACCTCTTTAATCACAGTACATCTGCTGATTAATTTTCTCCTTGAGAAATACAGGTTAATTATTTACGTGGACCTAAACCTTTAGTAGCAAAGATATATATGGGAAATTCCCTCCAGCATACCATTCACAGTGGATTGCTTCTCTTTCTGGCTGTTAGCTACATCAGGAAGGTGAGTCTTCCTGGACAGAAGGATCCGAAGCCTGGTCATCATTACTGCAAAAAGAGAATATCTTTCATTCTTCCATGACCCCCCTACAGAAAAAAAAAGACTCGGTCATTTCTCAATAGCCATTCTGTCACAGTACATTTTCATTTAATCTTCTTGGCACAAAACTTATAAGAAACATGAGGTAGAATTATTAGTCATTCTCAAAACAAATTTTTGTAAGCAATATTTTGTCCACAAAGGCATTATCTATGTCAAATAAATATGACCACTCACAACTTATTTTTTTTCTATCTGTTCTTTTAGCTTGTTTATAGTCTGAGTATATATGTGTCTCTTAGAGAAGGATAGCATATCATTATAAAACACACATTTAATTCTAGTTCAAACAATTATAGTTGAAGTACACTTTTCTTTATATTGCCAAGACTTTTGGAACATGCATTTTCTTGATTTATTGGGTAATGAACCCTACATAAAAAATAGTTTTCCTTTATAGTAACAAAAGCCTTTTCACATAGAAGCTTATTAAGCTCTTAAAAGTCACACTAAACACAAATTCCCTAGTACCATAGAGGAATATCATGTCTTTAAGAAGGCCAGAGTAGAAGGAGAAGGAGAGTGTGAAAGTCGTGTTTATCTAAGACTTATTTTATACTAGGGGCTGTGCTAGACACTTCATATGGTTTAAATTAATGTTTACACTAGCAAGAAGTAATTATGATTGCCTTCTGTATTAACAGGAAAAGAGGGCATGGTCAAACTGGGTAATTTGTAGAGAATTTAATAAAGAGACTATTTACCATGAGCAGCGTTAGTGGAAACACAGAGGGCGAGTAGAGTACCCTGGGAATATAAGCAGCAGAGAACTAGTGAGAAGTTCTAGACAGAAGGGTCAAGGCCATGAAAAACAGAATCTACTGAAAAGACTGTTGAAAATGGAATCTACAGTAGAAGGAAATTAACAACACTCCCACCCTCTGTCTCCTGCTAGCTCCCCACTGGCTGAACCTGATCAGAATCCAGAGCCTTGGAGCCTGTTGATGCAGTCCAGGCACTCAGCCTCCTAAGACAGAGCTGTGTGGAGAAAGGAGAAGGAGGCAAGCCAGGAGACATCAGCATATTTACCCTGTATCCCCCCATTTTAAAGATGAGCAAGTTGAGAGTCAAAGAAAATAGCTTCAGGAGGTCACCGAGGTAAAACAGAATGTAAAACCAGATCTTGTTCTCTTTGAATAATATGTGTTCACTACCCTACTGAGTTTGGTAAAGAGAAAATATGTATATATATTCATCATAACAAGTATTTTCCAAACCAATTCCATCCCCCACCACCCCCACCTTTAACTTCCATATCCATATCATCACCAGGACTACCCAGTGAGGGATAGTTACGTTATCATCACATTTTAATGGAACCCTTGAATAACCTCTATATTTAATACCATTCCTCTTACACTGCTTTTATTTCCTAATATGAATAATTCCACTACTAAGCATTTAAATTAATTGTCAACAAATATTTATTAACTGCCTAATATGTACCACAGCTATTTTTTTTTTGACACTGTAGAGGATACAACTGATGTCTATATAGACATGGTCTGTACCTTTAACTGGTTATACTCTTGTTTCTGTTTTTTGTTTCTTTTTTCTTTCTTTTTAAAGCACTATATGCTCCAGGAGACCAGGGATCATTTGTGACTTGTTTGCTACTTTTTAGCGGTACCTGGAATAGTGCCTAGCACATAGTAAATGCTCAAAAAATATTGTTGGCCTAATGAATAATAGTTTTAAAATACTGGAAATCAAATGTGATGAAACTCATAAATATGTGACACACATAGTGAGGAGTTTGGAGGCGCAGGAAGATGAAGGCCAGGAATAATTAACAAAGACAGAGGAAGCTTTGTTGAAAACGGAGATACCCAGAGGAGCATTGAAGGGTGGATTGAGTTTAATAGACGTATGAGAGAAGACTTCAAAACGTCCACGGAAATATGGGATTAAGAGATAAAAATAAAAAATATAAAATTCATTTATCAACATAAACTTCATCAAATTCAATAAACTTTTGTAAGCTATGATACCAGCCATTTAGTTCATCCCTTAAGAACTAACGTTCCTGGAAATCTAACCATGTTAATGCAATCATTTTTACATTATTAACTAAAATGGGTGGCTTTTAAAGCTTTTTTTAAGATTACGAGATACAAAGTAGTCAGGAGATCATATTAGGACTGCAATGTGAATGCCTAATGATTTCACATTCAGACTCTTACAAAATTGCCTTGTTAGATGAGAGAATGAGTAGGAGCATTGTTGTAATGGAGAAGGACTATTTGGTGAAGCGTTTCCAGGTGTTCTTCTGCTAAAGTTTTGGCTATCTTTCTCAAAACATCTCATAATAAGCAGTTGTTATTGTTCTTTGGCCCTCCAGAAAGTCAACAACAAAATGCCTTGAGCATCCCCAAAACCTGTTGCCATGACCTCTGCTCTTGGTTCACTTTTGCCATGATCTTTGCTCTTGACTGGTCCAACGGCTACCAAGAGATAGCCATTGAGATGTCAATTTTAGCCAAGTGAGATGTCTATGGTGTTGGCTATTGTTTCTGTTGTTAATCGTTGATCTCCTTCAATTAGGGCACAAATAAGATTAATTTTTTTCTTGCCAACTGATGCGAATGGTCTGCTGTTCATCTCCAACATCGTCTTGTGCCTTATCTTCAACACTGTCTTTTTCCTTCTTAAAAAGAGTTATCCATTTGTAAACTGCTGGTTTCTTTGGGACATTGTCTCCATAAATTTTTCATAATGCCACAGTGATTTCACCATTCTTCCACTCAAGCTTTACCAAAAATTTAATGTTTGTTCTTGCTTCAATTTTAGCAGAATTCATGTTGCTTCTATAGGGGCTTTAAAAAAATTAATGTCTTATCCTTCTTAGTGCCTCGAACTAGACCTTGTTCAAACATGTTAAACAAGTTAGTATGAGTTTGGCTTGGTGCAAAAAAATGTTGAAGTCTATTCATAGTTTTTTCATAACACTTATTTTCCATAAACTTTTTGAAGATCCCTTGTAAATGGTAGGGCTTGTGGGTACTTTAAGCTTAAGGGGAAATGGCTCAGGCGACTAGATTTTTTCTAGAGGAAATCAAGACAAATGTGATAAAAGGGTAAAGTTTGTTCTGGAGGAACCAACTATACCCCTTCTGGTGCATTCATTGGTCTCTTTCTCGTTGTCTCTCCTCCTGCCACTCTGGAGCGCCTCCTTACCTCAGCAATGTCTGCTGTTTTAAGTTGCACGATACAAAAAAACAAAAACAAAAACAAAAAAACACCTGCCCAGCTTGCCCAGCTGTCCCTCTCAGCATATGGCTTTGTTTAGTGACTTCTACCACTACACTAAGAATGTATTTCTTTGTTTTAAGATTTCAGTTTTGCTATCACTCCCATGGGAAGTTTTTCCCAACCCTTCCAGTTATATTCCACTATGTCCTCCTATAATGCTCATAGCTTCTGCCATGACAGCAATTATTGGGATGTATTGAAGTGGTTTGCATTGCAACCCCTTTCTCTGAAGTAAGGGGGAAGAGGTCTGAGACTGTCTTGCTGTTGTCATGTGATGTATGAACAACTATGTCTACCCAATAAGCCATAGGGAGGATTTTCAATCATTTTATGAATATAATTTTACTTATCTCTTCTCAAATGCTGTATTTCATGCTGATAAAGGTGCTTTTCTTGGTGAAGGAGTTTTTGGAACCCTGAAAATTACTATGTAGTTATACCAAGAAATAGGACTAACTTGATTTGAGAAATACGATTGCCAATTATCTTGGTTTAACCAGGACTCAAGAGTTTTTGGGACTTGGGGATTTTCAGTGCTAAATCCTAGAAAGTCCCAGGCAAACCAGGGCAAATTGGCTCCACCATGTTGGAAAATAAAAAACAAATAATAATAAGCTTCCTCTGGGCACTATGCTAGGTCTATAAATACTAGCCAAGGTTATGTTTAATGCTGCAAAATTTAATTTCTGATCTCAATTTTTCTTCCCTTGAGTAATAGAACATTATGTCTTGGCAGGAAAGCACTCACCCTGTGCATGGTGAGTTGAGACAGAGAATTCATAGACTTTGTCAATTTATGTTGCTTTTAGCATACCACAATAATTGGTTCTGTCAAAGTCACCCTTTATACCTTGTGCTATAACTGACTGGAAAGACTCTCAAGTAGAGAGCTTTCCCTTTAGATGTTTTATTACAGATGAATTCACAGGAAATCATTTTTGTGGTTGTTGGTTGTTCTTAACTCTCAGAAGCTCCTTGAGAGAGAATTACTTTCATCCCTCAAGAGGAGATACTGGGTTGGAACACAGCATTCATATCGAGCACTTCAGCACTATTTGGATTGAACCAAAATGAATTTAATTCTTGTTCGACTCTTTCCATTATTTCCTTATTGTGTTCCTTGTTTTTGCCTGTAGTAAAAGGAGTTGGTGGGTGATAGAACAAAGATAAAAAGTAATACAAGATTTTAAGGAATTGATTTTCCTGTTCAGGAAATAAGGTGGATGGAACACATAGTATTGGAAGTACTCTGCAGTCTAACACTCAAAGCCAGGAGGGGGCAGCTTCTTGGCACTTTCATTAGCTTGGAAGCCATAGAATGGTTATCAATTTAACTTACATAGCTCAAATGATTTTCTGGAACATCAGGGATAAGATAAGGATACACAAGAAAAAATTTTGCTCTCTGTGTACTTTATGTTTTATAGCCTCATGAATGATTGGGGCTTAGATTGCTCATTTATTTGTTGTCTCATTCTCACAGATCATAGGTACGTATCAGACAAAGGCAAACCTAGGTCAATCCTTTTAGGCAGAAGTCAGCAAGTGCATTTAATAGCCGGCTTCTCAGGAGCATGCATGAAGCTTTTTACATGTGCTGTTTATCATTTTCTTCCCACATAAAATCTACAAGGTAGATATTATGATGGTTCTTGTTTACAAGAGAAAATCAATTGAGGAGTGGAAAGTTTAAGAAGCTTGCTTTTCTGTAAGCAAAGACATAGATAGGTGTTCCAATCCACGTGATCTGACCCCAGAGCTACATGCTTATTTACCATGCCAGGACTTGCATAGGTGTGAACACGTATCCTTACCCTTTTTTTTTCTTTTTTTGAGACAGAATCTCACTCTGTCTCAGGCTGGAGTGCAGCAGTGCAATCATAGCTCTCTGCAACCTTTGCCTCCCAGGCTCAATCAATCCTTCCGCCTTAGCCTCCAGAGTAGCTGGAACTACAGGAGCATGCCACCATACCTAGCTAATTTTGTGTGTGTGTGTGTGTGTGTGTGTGTGTGTGTGTATGTATGTATATTCCATATGTGTGTGTGTCTGTGTGTGTGTGTATGTGTGTGTGTATATATATATATATATATATATATATATATAGATAGATAGATATACAAAATTAGCTGGATATGGTGGCATGCTCCTGTAGTTCCAGCTACTCTGGAGGCTGAGGTGGAAGGACTGATTGAGCCTGGGAGGCAAAGGTTACAGAGAGCTATGATTGTGCTACTGCACTCAAGCCTGAGGGACAGAGTGAGATTCTGTCTCAAAAAAGATTTTTAAAAAAGGGTAAGTATACACACACACAAACACTTTTTTTTTTTAATTTTTTTTTGGTAGAGACAGGGTTTTGCCATGTTGTCCAGGCTGGTCTCAAACTCTTGGGCTGTAGCCATCCACTTGCCTTGGTCTCCCAAAGTGTTGGGATTACAGGCACAAGCCACCACACCCAGCCTCCTTACCCTTTTATAAAGAGAAATGGTCTCCAGTTCTTAGATAATTCCTCATAATATCACAGGAGTAGGTTTTTACCCTTTGTAACTTTAGAATTTCTCAGTGTATGAATTAAGAAAAAATTATTCCCAAGCTAGTACACAAATTGTCAATTGTCCTAATTAGACGCATACTCAGAAATCAAATCTGGCAGTTTTCCTGCCAAGAATTTCAGTCCTAGCTTCCACAATCTAAATTTTGAATTTAGGAAATAATCAATGAAAAGATAATGAAAATAGAAACATAATATGAGATAAACACTTTGAGGGAGGAAAACATTTATTAATTTTAAAAGTTACTATTTTCTGAGATTCATTAGGCTCGTGGTCTTATACACAAATCCCATATGTTTCTTTTTCTCATTATATTCTTTATACCCAATGAAATACTTTCCTTTTAATAATCCTGTAACATTGCATTAAAACAACTTTGAAATGAAAGATGTATCATAAAACCTCAGAAGAAAAAGTAAAGTAACAGAGTAATAATTTTTTTATATCTTGATGATAACTGTGATGTAAGAATTATTATTATAGCTCCCCCTCCCCCTCCCCCCCCCCCCCCCCACTCTCCATCTCCCTCTTTCTACAGTCTCCCTCTCTTGTGGAGACTGGACTGTACTGCCATGATCTGGGCTCGCTGCAACCTCCCTGCCTTGGGCTCCAGTGATTCTCCTGCCTCGGCCTGCCGAGTGCCTGGGATTCCAGGCACGCACCGCCACTCGTGACTGGTTTTTGTATTTTTGGTGGAGACGGGGATTCGCCATGTTGACCGGGCTGGTCTCCAGCTCCTGGCCTCGGGTGATCTGCCCGCCTCGGCCTCCTGAGGTGCTGGGATTGCAGACGGAGTCTCACTCACTCAATGCTCAATGTTGCCCAGGCTGGAGTGCAGTGGCGTGATCTCGGCTTGCTACCACCTCCACCTCCCAGCCACCTGGCTTGGCCTCCCAAAGTGCTAAGATTACAGCCTCTAACCACCCGCCACCCCGTCTAGGAAGTGAGCAGCGTCTCTGCCTGGCCGCCCATCATCTGGGATGTGAGGAGCCCCTCTGCCTGGCCTCCCCGTCTGGGAGGTGAGGAGCGCCTCTGCCCGGCCGCCACCCCGTCTAAGAAGTGAGGAGCGTCTCTGCCTGGCCGCTCATCGTCTGGGATGTGAGGAGCGCCTCTGCCCGGCCGCCCCGTCTGGGAGGAAGTGAGGAGCGCCTCTGCCCAGCTGCCCCGAATGGGAAGTGAGGAGTGCCTCTGCCTGGCCGCCCGCTCTGGGAAGTGAAGAGTGCCTCTTCCCGGCTGCCCTATCTGGGAGGAAGTGAGGAGCGCCTCTGCCCGGCTGCCCCAAATGGGAAGTGAGGAGCGCCTCTGCCTGGCCGCCCCCATCTGGGAAGCAAGGAGCACCTCTGCCCTGCCGCCACCCTGTCTAGGAAGTGAGGAACATCTCTGCCTGACCACCCATCGTCTGGGATGTGAGGAGCGCCTCTGCCTGGCCGCCCCGTCTGGGAAGTGAGGAGAGCCTCTGCCCGGCCGCCCCTCTGGGAGGCAGTGAGGAGCGCCTCTGCCTGGTTGCCCTGAATGGGAAGTGAGGAGCGCCTCTGCCCGGCTGCCCCATCTGGGAAGTGAGGAGCACCTCTGCCCGGACACCCCCGTCTGGCAGGAAGTGAGGAGCGCCTCTGCCTGGCTGCCCGGTCTGGGAGGTGAGGAGCGCCTCTGCCTGGCCGCCCAGTCTGGGAGGTGAGGGGCGCCTCTGCCCGGACACCCTGCCTGGGAAGTGAGGAGCGCCTCTGCCCGGCCGCCCTTCGTCTGGGAGGTGGGGAGCGCCTCTGCCCAGCCGCCCCATCTGGGAGGTGGGGAGCACCTCTGCCAGGCTGCCCTTCATCTGGGAAGTGAGGAGTGCCACTGCCCAGCCGCCCTTCATCTGGGAGGTGGGGAGCACCTCTGCCCGGCCGCCCCATCTGGGAGGTGGGCGCCTCTGCCTGGCCGCCCCGTCTGCTAGGTGAGGGGCGTCTCTGCCCGGCTGCCACCCCGTCTGGGAAGTGAGGAGAGCCTCTGCCTGGCTGCCGCCCCGTCTGGGAGGTGAGGGGCGTCTCTGCCCGGCCGCTCTTTGTCTGGGAGGTGGGGAGCACCTCTGCCCAGCCGCCCCGCCTGGGAAGTGAGGAGTGCCTCTGCCCAGCCACCCTTCATCTGGGAGGTGGGGAGTGCCTCTGCCCGGCTGCCCTGTCTGGGAGGTGAGGAGCGCCTCTGCCTGGCCACCCCGTCTGGGATGTGGGGAGCGCCTCTGCCCAGCTGCCCATCGTCTGGGAGGTGAGGAGCGTCTTTGCCCCGCCACCCCACCTGAGAAGTGAGGAGTGCCTCTGCCAGGCCGCCCATCATCTGGGAGGTGACGAGCGCCTCTGCCCAGCCACCCTGTCTGGGATGTGGGGAGCGCCTCTGCCTGGCCGCCCATCGTCTGGGAGGTGAGGAGTGTCTCTGCCCCACCACCACGCCTGGGAGGTGAGGAGCGCCTCTGCCCGGCTGCCCCATCTGGGATGTGAGGAGCGCCTCTGCCCGGCTGCCCCGTCTGGGAAGTGGGGGGCGCCTCTGCCCGGCCGCTGTTTGTCTGGGATATGAGGAGCACCTCTGCCAGGCCACCACCCCGTCTGGGAGGTGAGGAGCGCCTCTGCCTGGCAGCCCCATCTGGGAAGTGAGGAGCGCCTCTGCCAGGCTGCCCCGTCTGGGAAGTGTACCCAACAGCTCCGAAGAGACAGCGACCATCGAGAATGGCCCATGATGACGATGGCGGTTTTGTCGAAAACAAAAGCGGGAAATGTGGGGAAAAGAAAGAGAGATCAGATTGTTACCGTGTCTGTGTAGAAAGAAGTAGACATAGGAGACTCCATTTTGTTCTGTACTAAGAAAAATTCTTCTGCCTTGGGATGCTGTTAATCTATAACCTTACCCCCACCCCCCTGCTCTCTGAAATATGTGCTGTGTCAACTCAGGGTTAAATGGATTAAGGGCAGTGCAAGATGTGCTTTGTTAAACAGATGCTTGAAGGCAGCATGCTCGTTAAGAGTCATCACCACTCCCTAATCTCAAGTACCCAGGGACACAAACACTGCGGAAGGCCGCAGGGACCTCTGCCTAGGAAAACCAGAGACCTTTGTTCTCGTGTTTATCTGCTGACCTTCTCTCCACTATTATCCTATGACCCTGCCACATCCCCCTCTCTGAGAAACACCCAAGAATGATCAATAAATACTAAAAAAAAAATAAAAAGAATTATTATTATAATCCCATTTTATAGGTGAGGAAACAAAGCTAAAGGTAAAGTGAATTGCCAAGGGTCACATGTCAACCAAATTGGAGACCAAAAACTGGAACCCGGTTTTTCAAAAGAAGCAATGGCTTACATGGGACATAATAGCCATTCAAGGAAATACAAGGTGATTCCCTGGGTCATCACTCCAGCACTTACACTGCTAGGAAAATTGAACAGTTAGACTTGGAGAAATAAATATCACCACTAAAAGGAAGTTACTCACGTAACCCTAAGCATTCAGCAAGGCCCTGAGTTTCTTTCTCCAGTTACATCAGCCTTCTATACAAATCCTAAATCTGGATATTGTTTTCATTGATGCTGGAATTACTCTGGGTTGATTAAATTCATCTGGATAAAAAAATATTGCTCATGTAGAATTTTCAAGCAGTGATACATTTTGTGACAAGATGGTCCTGCTAGACTGAAGTAGAACCTAGATTATTATCATTAATAAAATAATAAGAATAACTTATCATGTGGGAATTTGCTATTTACTAATCACTTTCATATTGATTAGGTCATTGATCTCCAGACAATCTTTCAAGTGGAGGATATGCTGTTTTCAATCTTATTTTGTACTTCTTTGGTCGAGGGTGGGCTAGTAAGACATTTGTAGGTGGATCCGTCCTGCAATGATTCATAAATTTATGTATAAAAAATTACAAAGGTCTTTCAGTATTATTGCATTAAGTTTTGAATCATACTGTTGTTCCTTATCAATTCCCTTGAAACTGATTATTAGAATCCTGGTGGCAAATTTTAGTAGCTTTCAGGTTCCAAAATAATATCTCCATATTTTAATTTTATGGTACCAGAGAGTCTGGAACTAAAGAAGAAAAATAATCATTAGGGTTAATATTTATTTATTACTTTGTTTTCAGAAGGGACTATACACCTTCTGGCAAAATGTTAGTGAGTTCCTAGAACAATTATGATGCTTGCTGTGGATAGACAGAGGACCAATTTCATATTAAGACAAAGCAATATAAAAAAAACAAAATGTTATTAAAGTCATAGACCATAAAAATTTACTACATAGTTACTATGAGTCAGCAGGTACTAAGAGCTGATTCTATGGCATCAAAAGACCTACATGCAATTTCAGCTACTCCATTTTTAGAGCAGAAATGTTGATTCACCATTTGGCTCCTGTAAACTTTTATGTTCCTACTTGTGATAGAGGGTCAGCCATAGCTTCAGGGCTATTTTTGAATGTATGCCACTATAAAAGGCCATACTAAAGGGACTGATGGTCAGAGGCACTAGGATGGAGCTGGGTGAGCTTGGACAAGTTGAAAATATTGAACTTCTGTAAGCCTCAGTGTCCTTGTCTGTAAAATATGAGTAATGCTAATAACTACTTCATAGGTATTACCATTATTTTTGCAGAATTGAATGAAGAAATGAATGTACGCGGAAATGCTTTTCAACCTGTAAAACAAATGCTAGCCAGATCGTGTTAGTATAGAAAGTGAGTGAATCTACAACTGAAAACATTGTGCTGTCTTTGGATCTTAATAAATTTTCATATTCACCAGTGAATTGTGGAGAAAAACAATCCTAAGGAAGGCCATATTCTAAGTCATGTTTTTAACCTGATTTTAAAACTACTGCCTTCTATTGTGAGGGATCTTCTTTTCACATTGGACATGTTGGGGTTGTTCCAGGGTATACGCCAGTATTTTTCCTGCCCTCTCTCTGCTACCTCCCTAGGCAATCTCATCTGCATCCTAGCTTCAATTTCCATTGATACAGTAATGCCTCTTAGATCCATATTTTGAACCTAGATCATCTCCTCTCCTTTAAACTGGCATAGCTAACTGCTGACTGGTGATCTCCAACAGTATGCCCGTAAGTACCTCAAACATAGTCTTCCTCTGCTCCACACTTAATCCTTCTTATTTCTCATCTTTGTGAATGGTCCCATCATCCACCTACTTATTTAGGTGAGAAATCATGTTTTGACAATGACTTTCAATCTCCATCATTCCTCAAATTCAATCAATCACCACGTATTGTTCACTCCACTGTCTAAATATCTCTCCAATGCAATTCTCTCCATTCCCACTGCTTTCACCCAAACTAGGTCACCATGATTAGTCATTTGAATTATTTCTTCTAGTTCCCAATCTTTATTTTCTCTCAATCAATTCTCCACATTGCATTCTGAATGATTTTCCCCAAATCTAAAAGTGATCAAGTGTTATCTATACTAAAAACCCTTAAGTGGCTTCTGTGTGCCCAGCAACTTGACATGACTCTCAAGACTTCATGATCTAGCTTCTGCTCATTTCCATAGTTTTTATCTCTCAGCACTCCACCTTCACTCTCTGTGCACCAGTTTTGCAGAAGTTTCTACCAGTCTTCCATTGTACCATGCTCCCTCTTACCTGTAGCCTTTAGCACAGGGTAGGTATTCTGCTAGAAATGCTTTATCACTGTACTGCCTGCAACACGCATGTGCACACACACACTTTACTTTCTTAATTCATACTCAGTTTTTCAACTCTCAAATTAAACTTCAGTCTTCCAGGAAACTTTTCTTACTCGTAACACTCTGAAGTCTAAGCTAGGTATCTGTACTTTTACCTTCATAAGGCTGTCTTGTAATCACTTAGCTTCTCCTGTAACATTTCCACTAAACCATACAATTGGTAGGAACAAGGCCTGAGTCTGTCTTGTGTATCCCTTGCTTCTCATATATTAAGTCAGGGTTCAACTAGAGTAACGGAACCAGTAAGAAATAGATGTTAAGTGATTTATTGCAAGAAATAGACCTAAGTGATTTTGGGGACTGGCTGGACAAGTCTGAAATCTGTAGGGCTGGATATCAGGAGGGACAGTTTGGAACTTGGGCATGAGTTGAACTGAAGTCTGCAGATATTGAACTCTAAGCCTCAGTGTCCTAGTCTGTAAAATAGGAATAATGCTAATAGCTACCTCATAGGGCTTGCTTTTCTTCTTCAGGGAAGCCTTAGCTTTGCTCTCAGGGCCTTTAAATGGACTGAATAAATCAAGCCCACTCAGATTATGTAGTATAATCTCCCTTACTTAAAATCAATTGATTGTGGACTTTAATAACACACAAAATGCCTTCATGGCAACACTTGGATTAACATTTGATTGAATAATTAGGGACTGTGGTCTAGCCAAGTTGACAAATAAAACTAATCATCACATCTTCATATTAAGTATAGAGTGGGCACTCAGTAATTATGAGTGAAATGAACAGACACCCAGACTATTTTGTTCAACAAGAGCATTTGCTGGGTACATCTGAAGTGTTCCACTTTGTACTACTTAATGCAGCACTATCATATTATTTATGTCTTTTACTTATCAAAGTTTGTGATTTTTTTTTCCTCTTGGTACATCTGAAAGAAAGAAAATTATGTGCCCCATGCTATTTATGACCCCTCAGATTTCCTTAGAAAGAATACATTCAGGCCAGGTGCAGTGGCTCACACCTGTAATCCCAACATTTCGGGAGGCTGAGTTGGGAGGATCACTTAAGCCCAGGAGTTTGAGGTTACAGTAAGCTATGATTGTGCCACTGCACTCCAGCCTGGATGACAGAAGACCTTTTCTCTTACAAAACCAAAAAAGAATCCTTATCAATTCATGTCATTAAATGTGACAAATGTTGAGCTTCCTGAGGTTGGGGCTGCATGTTAACATTTGTGTGCTTTCTCAGCCTTACCACAGTGTATGTGTGCAGTAATTGTTCAATGCAGCTCTGTTGTAAAAAACTAAACCTACTAAGATTTCTTTAAATGATCAATTTATAGCATTTCCTATTGCATTTATGAATACTTGCAATTGATCTTGGACTATTATAATAAATGCCTTAAAAGAAGTGAAAATATACATTTGGGAGTAAATGAAAGATTTTTTCTCCAGCATCAATGCAATATAAGATTACATGTTATAATTAATAAATGTGAAATAATGTTTAATGTAAACATTATATATGTGAACAATACTGTGAATACAATGTGATGCTTATCAAAATCAGCTAAAATAAATGTTTTTAAGATTACATATTATGTGACTTGATCAGAAGAAGGAGGAAGGAAGTTTAGCATATTTTATCAATTCTAAGATGTCATCAATTGATTACGAGATACATCATTATTTTATTTACCATTAAGAACAAAAGAAAAGGGGGGAGGAGCCAAGACGGCCGAATAGGAACAGCTCCGGTCTACAGCTCCCAGCGTGAGCCACGCAGAAGACGGATGATTTCTGCATTTCCATCTGAGGTACCGGGTTCATCTCACTAGGGAGTGTCAGACAGTGGGTGCAGGCCAGTGGGTGCGCGCACGGTGCGCGAGCCAAAGCAGGGCGAGGCATTGCCTCACCTGGGAAGCTCAAGGGGTCAGGGAGTTCCCTTTCCGAGTCAAAGAAAGGGGTAACGGACGCACCTGGAAAATCAGTTCACTCCCACCCGAATATTGCGCTTTTCAGACCGGCTTAAAAAACGGCGCACCACGAGACTATATCCCACACCTGGCTCGGAGTGTCCTACGCCCACAGAGTCTCCCTGATTGCTAGCACAGCAGTCTGAGATCGAACTGCAAGGCGGCAGCGAGGCTGTGGGAGGGGCGCCCGCCATTGCCCAGGCTTGCTTAGGTAAACAAAGCAGCTCGAACTGGGTGGAGCCCACCACAGCTCAAGGAGGCCTGCCTGCCACTGTAGGCTCCACCTCTGGGGGCAGGGCACAGACAAACAAAAAGACAGCAGTAACCTCTGCGACTTAAATGTCCCTGTCTGACAGCTTTGAAGGGAGCAGTGGTTCTCCCAGCACCCAGCTGGAGATCTGAGAACCGTCAGACTGCCTCCTCAAGTGGGTCCCTGACCCCTGACCCCTGAGCAGCCTAACTGGGAGGCACCCCCAGGAGGGGCACACTGACACCTCACACGGCAGGGTATTCCAACAGACCTGCAGCTGAGGGTCCTGTCTGTTAGAAGGAAAACTAACAAACAGAAAGGACATCCACACCGAAAACCCATCTGTACATCACCATCATCAAAGACCAAAAGTAGATAAAACCACAAAGATGGGGAAAAAACAGAACAGAAAAACTGGAAACTCTAAAACGCAGAGCGCCTCTTCTCCTCCAAAGGAACGCAGTTCCTCACCAGCAACGGAACAAAGCTGGATGGAGAATGACTTTGAAGAGCTGAGAGAAGAAGGCTTCAGACGATCAAATTACTCTGAGCTACGGGAGGACATTCAAACCAAAGGCAAAGAAGTTGAAAACTTTGAAAAAAATTTAGATGAATGTATAACTAGAATAACCAATACAGAGAAGTGCTTAAAGGAGCTGATGGAGCTGAAAACCAAGGCTCGAGAACTACGTGAAGAATGCAGAAGCCTCAGGAGCCGATGCGATCAACTGGAAGAAAGGGTATCAGCAATGGAAGATGAAATGAATGAAATGAAGCGAGAAGGGAAGGTTAGAGCAAAAACAATAAAAAGAAATGAGCAAAGCCTCCAAGAAAAATGGGACTATGTGAAAAGACCAAATCTACGTCTGATTGGTGTAACTGAAAGTGATGGGGAGAATGGAACCAAGTTGGAAAACACTCTGCAGGATATTATCCAGGAGAACTTCCCCAATCTAGCAAGGCAGGCCAACATTCAGATTCAGGAAATACAGAGAACACCACAAAGATACTCCTCGAGAAGAGCAACTCCAAGACACATAATTGTCAGATTCACCAAAGTTGAAATGAAGGAAAAAATGTTAAGGGCAGCTAGAGAGAAAGGTCGGGTTACCCTCAAAGGGAAGCCCATCAGACTAACAGCGGATCTCTCGGCAGAAACTCTACAAGCCAGAAGAGAGTGGGGGCCAATATTCAACATTCTTAAAGAAAAGAATTTTCAACCCAGAATTTCATATCCAGCCAAACTAAGCTTCATAAGTGAACGAGAAATAAAATACTTCACAGACAAGCAAATGCTGAGAGATTTTGTCACCACCAGGCCTGCCCTAAAAGAGCTCCTGAAGAAAGCGCTAAACATGGAAAGGAACAACCGGTACCGGCCACTGCAAAATCATGCCAAAATGTAAAGACCATCGAGACTAGGAAGAAACTGCATCAACTAACGAGCAAAATCACCAGCTAACATCACAATGACAGGATCAAATTCACACATAACAATATTAACTTTAAATGTAAATGGACTAAATGCTCCAATTAAAAGACACAGACTGGCAAATTGGATAAAGAGTCAAGACCCATCAGTGTGCTGTATTCAGGAAACCCATCTCACGTGCAGAGACACACATAGGCTCAAAATAAAAGGATGGAGGAAGATCTACCAAGCAAATGGAAAACAAAAAAAGGCAGGGGTTGCAATCCTAGTCTGATAAAACAGACTTTAAACCACCAAAGATCAAAAGAGACAAAGAAGGCCATTACATAATGGTAAGGGATCAATTCAACAAGAAGAGCTAACTATACTAAATATATATGCACCCAATACAGGAGCACCCAGATTCATAAAGCAAGTCCTGAGTGACCTACAAAGAGACTTAGACTCCCACACATTAATAATGGGAGACTTTAACACCCTACTGTCAACATTAGACAGATCAACGAGACAGAAAGTCAACAAGGATACCCAGGAATTGAACTCAGCTCTGCACCAAGTGGACCTAATAGACATCTACAGAACTCTCCACCCCAAATCAACAGAATATACATTTTTTTTCAGCACCACACCACACCTATTCCAAAATTGACCACATACTTGGAAGTAAAGCTCTCCTCAGCAAATGTAAAAGATCAGAAATTATAACAAACTGTCTCTCAGACCACAGTGCAATCAAACTAGAACTCAGGATTAAGAATCTCACTCAAAGCCGCTCAACTACATGGAAACTGAACAACCTGCTCCTGAATGACTACTGGGTACATAACGAAATGAAGGCAGAAATAAAGATGTTCTTTGAAACCAATGAGAACAAAGACACAACATACCAGAATCTCTGGGATGCATTCAAAGCAGTGTGTAGAGGGAAATTTATAGCACTAAATGCCCACAAGAGAAAGCAGGAAAGATCCAAAATTGACACCCTAACATCACAATTAAAAGAACTAGAGAAGCAAGAGCAAACACATTCAAAAGCTAGCAGAAGGCAAGAAATAACTAAAATCAGAGCAGAACTGAAGGAAACAGAGACACAAAAAACCCTTCAAAAAATCAATGAATCCAGGAGCTGGTTTTTTGAAAGGATCAACAAAATTGATAGACCGCTAGCAAGACTAATAAAGAAAAAAAGAGAGAAGAATCAAATAGACACAATAAAAAATGATAAAGGGGATATCACCACTGATCCCACAGAAATACAAACTACCATCAGAGAATACTACAAACACCTCTACGCAAATAAACTAGAAAATCTAGAAGAAATGGATAAATTCCTCGACACATACACTCTCCCAAGACTAAACCAGGAAGAAGTTGAATCTCTGAATAGACCAATAACAGGATCTGAAATTGTGGCAATAATCAATAGTTTACCAACCAAAAAGAGTCCAGGACCAGATGGATTCACAGCAGAATTCTACCAGAAGTACAAGGAAGAACTGGTACCATTCCTTCTGAAACTATTCCAATCAATAGAAAAAGAAGGAATCCTCTCTAACTCATTTTATGAGGCCAGCATCATTCTGATACCAAAGCTGGGCAGAGACACAACCAAAAAAGAGAATTTTAGACCAATATCGTTGATGAACATTGATGCAAAAATCCTCAATAAAATACTGGCAAACTGAATCCAGCAGCACATCAAAAAGCTTATCCACCATGATCAAGTGGGCTTCATCCCTGGGATGCAAGGCTGGTTCAATATACGCAAATCAATAAATGTAATCCAGCATATAAACAGAGCCAAAGACAAAAACCACATAATTATCTCAATAGATGCAGAAAAAGCCTTTGACAAAATTCAACAACCCTTCATGTTAAAAACTCTCAATAAATTAGGTATTGATGGGACGTATTTCAAAATAATAAGAGCTATCTATAACAAACCCACAGCCAATATCATACTGAATGGGCAAAAACTGGAAGCATTCCCTTTGAAAACTGGCACAAGACAGGGATGCCCCCTCTCACCACTCCTATTCAACATAGTGTTGGAAGTTCTGGCCAGGGCAATTAGGCAGGAGAAGGAAATAAAGTGTATTCAATTAGGAAAAGAGGAAGTCAAATTGTCCCTGTTTGCAGATGACATGATTGTATATCTAGAAAACCCCATTGTCTCAGCCCAAAATCTCCTTAAGCTGATAAGCAACTTCAGCAAACTCTCAGGATACAAAATCAATGTGCAAAAATCACAAGCATTCTTATACACAAATAACAGACAAACAGAGAGCCAAATCATCAGTGAACTCCCATTCACAATTGCTTCAAAGAGAATAAAATACCTAGGAATCCAACTTACAAGGGATGTGAAGGACCTCTTCAAGGAGAACTACAAACCACTGCTCAAGGAAATAAAAGAGGATACAAACAAGTGGAAGAATATTCCATGCTCATGGGTAGGAAGAATCAATATCGTGAAAATGGCCATACTGCCCAAGGTAATTTACAGATTCAATGCCATCCCCATCAAGCTACCAATGACTTTCTTCACAGAATTGGAAAAAAATTACTTTAAAGTTCATATGGAACCAAAAAAGAGCCCACATTGCCAAGTCAATCCTAAGCCAAAAGAACAAAGCTGGAGGCATCACACTACCTGACTTCAAACTATACTACAAGGCTACAGTAACCAAAACAGCATGGTACTGGTACCAAAACAGAGATATAGATCAATGGAACAGAACACAGCCCTCAGAAATAACGCCGCATACCTACAACTATCTGATCTTTGACAAACCTGAGAAAAACAAGCAATGGGGAAAGGATTCCCTATTTAATAAATGGTGCTGGGAAAACTGGCTAGCCATATGTAGAAAGCTGAAACTGGATCCCTTCCTTACACCTTATACAAAAATCAATTCAAGATGGATTAAAGATTTAAACGTTAGACCTAAAACCATAAAAACCCTAGAAGAAAACCTAGGCATTACCATTCAGGACATAGGCATGGGCAAGGACTTCATGTCCAAAACACCAAAAGCAATGGCAACAAAAGCCAAAATTGACAAATGGGATCTAATTAAACTAAAGAGCTTCTGCACAGCAAAGGAAACTACCATCAGAGTGAGCAGGCAACCTACAAAATGGGAGAAAATTTTTGCAACCTACTCATCTGACAAAGGGCTAATATCTAGAATCTACAATGAACTCAAACAAATTTACAAGAAAAAAAAAAACCCATCAAAAAGTGGGCGAAGGACATGAACAGACACTTCTCAAAAGAAGACGTTTATGCAGCCAAAAAACACGTGAAAAAATGCTCATCATCACTGGCCATCAGAGAAATGCCAATCAAAACCACTATGAGATACCATCTCACACCAGTTAGAATGGCAATCATTAAAAAGTCAGGAAACAATAGGTGCTGGAGAGGATGTGGAGAAATAGGAACACTTTTACACTGTTGGTGGGACTGTAAACTAGTTCAACCATTGTGGATGTCAGTGTGGCGATTCCTCAGGGATCTAGAACTAGAAATACCATTTGACCCAGCCATCCCATTACTGGGTATATACCCAAATGACTATAAATCATGCTGCTATAAAGACACATGCACACGTATGTTTATTGCGGCACTATTCACAATAGCAAAGACTTGGAACCAACCCAAATGTCCAACAATGATAGACTGGATTAAGAAAATGTGGCACATATACACCATGGAATACTATGCAGCCATAAAAATGATGAGTTCATGTCCTTTGTAGGGACATGGATGAAATTGGAAATCATCATTCTCAGTAAACTATCGCAAGAACAAAAAACCAAACACCGCATATTCTCACTCATAGGTGGGAATTGAACAATGAGATCACATGGACACAGGAAGGGGAATATCATACTCTGGGGACTGTGGTGGGGTGGGGGGAGGGGGGAGGGATAGCATTGGGAGATATACCTAATGCTAGATGACGAGTTAGTGGGTGCAGTGCACCAGCATGGCACATGTATACATATGTAACTAACCTGTACAATGTGCACATGTACCCTAAAACTTAAAGTATAATAAAAAAAAAAATTGAAAAAAAAAAAAGAACAAAAGAAAAATCTGTGTCAATCAACCATGACTCCTATTATTTATAAATTGCATCCCAAGTTCAGATAAGTTACAATGTGAAAAAAAAATTTTTAAAACTGCATCTCAGAATTGATTAAATGTGACGTGTTATCCTGATTAGTAGTAACCATGCCCCATCAGAGTGGTGATCAGGTATCTGTTTTGTTTTGTCCAAAGTAGAACAAAAAAGCAAACTCAGCCATCATCAAATTATGTTCATCATCTGGTCATTATATTTTTCTATATTGATGGGTGAGCTCCCATGTGTTTTAATTAATTTCCAAGAGATCTATCATTTTACCTTTGAAGTAAAATAAAAATGTTTCTAGATCATAAACTTATCCATAACACTGAAGGTGCATTTTGTTTCAGGATGATTCACATGAATTTTTCTTTCCTGGGAGGCTATAAAGAACAGTGGTCTAGAGTGTAGACCTTATAACCTGACCGACAAATCTTGGTTCTTCCTTTCTAGCTGCAATTTAACTAATCTCTCTTTGCCTTGGTTTCTGCAGCTGGAAGATGGAGATTACAATAGTGCTACTCATGGTACATGATGATGCAATGAGTTTACATGGGTAATGTGCTTAGAAAGTGTCTGATACATATAGTATGTGCCAATAAATGCCAGCTATTTTTTTAGTGTTACTATTGATTCTCAGAGAGGTTGAAGAACTTCAAGGAAATTTTTTTTCTTTTCTGATGTTGCTACTGTAACCTCCAAGTATACAGACTAATGAAGAAAAACTGGCTTCCTCCAATAGAACAATTCCTGTTGCAGGTATCTGCTATTGTGCTATTCCCCGCTAGGAATTCAGAAGATGAATTCATTTGAAGCCATTACTATGATAATAGCATATTATTATTATTGCCTCCCTCTTAGCCTCTGAATTCTCAGTATTTTTGTAGCATTTTTCCAGTGTTGGCTGAGCTGCTTTCATTAGAAGAACAGTTATATTAACTATCTACAGCATTATTTTTGCTGCTTACCCTCAAGAGTGACACTTGAGGCAAGAGACAGGCTATTGGACTAATGGTGTGGTGCAGCCCAAGTCAGTGAAAAGAGTGTGATCTTTGTAATCAGACCACCCATTGGAATCCTTATTCTATGCATGCACTAGCTTTCTGACCCTGGGGAAAGTATTTCAGTTCTCTGAATCCTAATTTGGGGGGTAATTTTTTTGATTGGTATAATTTTGAACTTACAGGAAAGTTGCAAGAGGGATACAAAGAAATCTCATGTTCTTCACCTTCATTTATTGTTAACACTTTCACATCTGCTTTATATTCTGTGTGTGTGTATATATATATATGTGTGTGTGTGTATACTTATAGATTTTTTTTCTGAATCATTTGAGAGTAGATAAGAATATTCTGTTATATAACCAGAGTACATTTATCAAATTTAGGAAATTTAGCATCGATATAATTCTATTACCAAGGCCATATTCGAAATTCACCAGTTGTCTTAATAGTGTCCTTTATTGCCTTTTTCCCAGTCCTAAATCTAATCACAAGGTTCACACGTTTTATTTAGTTGTCAAGACTCTTCCATCTTCTTGAATTCGATTTTCATTAACTTTTTTGAACTTGACATTTTTGAAGAGTACCGGCCAATTATTTTGTAAAATGTTCCTCAGTTTGAGTTTGTCTGAGGTTTCCTTAAAATTATACTCAGGTTAGGCATTTTGGGCAGGAATAGTACCTAGTGATATGTACTCAGGACATCACATCAGGGGGCATGAGAATTTAATTTGTTTCAGAATTGTTGATGTTAACTTTGATCATTGATTAAGCTTTTTACATCTTACACTTACTATTCTCACCTTTGTAATTAATAAGTAATATGTGCCAATATACTTTTTGGAATATGTGGAGCTATCCTGATTCTCATCAAATATCCACCAACCAGGTTTAGAATCCATTGATAATTCTTGCTGGATCAATTATAACTACGGTAGAAACAAAATGGTAGTTTTTTCCAAAATGATGATTTTTCTTTAAACAACTCTATTATTACACCTACATTTATTAGTTGTATTCTATTGTAAGAAAGCTTTCTCTTGTCCCCATTTAGATATTTAATATTAGTATGAACTTAGTATTCTTATTTTATTCAATTAGTTATATTATTATTATTATTAACTTTAATATCCCTTAACCTGGAATCAATTTTCAGTGTCGTAATTTCCAAAGGAAACTTCTTTATCTTTTTGAGACAGGGTCTCACTCTGTCACCTATGCTGCAGGGCAGTGGTGTGATCATGGCTCACTTCCACCTCAAATTCCTGGGCTCAAGTGATCCTTCCACCTTGGCCTCCCAAGTGCTGGGATTACAGGCAGGAGCCACTGTGCCTGCCGAAAGGAAATTTCTTAACTAACCCAGTTTAAGACAGAAGAAATATCATCCCACTATACATCACAAACAGGACTGTGCTCATAGGACAAGTGCCCTATCTAAGCTAAATGATTACTGAACGCCAAGTGAGAGAAACAGATTTTTTTTGGTTTTTTTTTGACACAGACTCTCGCTCTGTCACCCAGGCTGGAGTGCAGTGGCGCGATCTTGGCTCACTGTAAGCTCCGCCTCCCGGGTTCACGCCATTCTCCTGACTCAGCCTCCCCAGTAGCTGGGACTACAGGCGCCCGCCACCACGCACGGCTAATGTTTTGTATTTTTAGTAGAGACGGGGTTTCACCGTGTTAGACAGGATAGTCTGGATCGCCTACCTCGTGATCTGCCCACCCCGGCCTCCTGAAGTGCTGGGATTAGAGGCGTGAGCCACCGCGCCCGGCCGAGAAACAGTATTTTCAAAGCTGTTCTGGGTGTTGCGGGTGATGTGTTTTTTAAAAATTAAGGTATAATTTAGATACAGTAAAATTCACCCTTTTTAATGTACGCTTCTGAGACTTCTGACAAATGTATTGAGTGGTTAATTACCTAAAAAATTACCTAATCCACCTTTATAGTCACACCTCCTACCCTTGCCAACTCAAACCCTGGCAACTGGTGTTTTCCATCCTTAAGGCTTTGCTTCTTCCAGAATTTCATGTAAATTGAGTCATAAAGAAGGTAGCCTTTTGTGTCTGGCTTCTATCACTTGGCAGAATGCACTTGAGATTTCATCCGTGTTTGCTGAGTAGTATTCTACTGTGTGGATGCATCACGGTTTCTTTATCTTCATTGTGGGCCCTGCTTCTGATTACTCGATCCTTCGTTCCTCCCTTCAGTCTTCCTCAATCCTTTCTTCTTTTTTCTTCCTACTCATCTCTATCTCTACCCTCAAGGAGATGAAGTACTCTTCTCTTTGGTTAGATTTGAGGATTCTTATTTGACCCTCTTTTGTGGTTGGAGCCTTGTGGATAGATATAAACTTACACTAAGCCATTTATTTCTCTCAAAATACAATGCGAAAGTTGAAAGAGAAGGCTTTGTCTGTTAGTATCCCAGCTCTGCCACTTACTAGCTGTGTGATATCAATCAAGTTACCTAATATCTCTGTGTCTGTAAGTCCTTATAGGTGAAATGCGGAAGAAAACAGTACCTACAGCCTTGGGCTGTGAGCATTAAATAAGTTCATTCATAATTGTAAATGGCTTACAGCAATGCCTGGCATATTGTAAACTCTTAATAAGTGTTGATTACTTAGAGCCATTTTGACACATGGGAAGGCTTTTGAGTAAAAATATAGTATATATAAAACTTACTTGGAGTTTGGTCTCGCTGTAGGAGAGTGGTCCTATAGTCTTGGGAAGGTGGGTTTGGGCTGAGGGGACAGGAGGTAGAAGCTCTGTACATCAATAAGCTATGTGGTCACCCTATAGGTGGTAGTGGGAAGTTTCCATATTTTTTAACCTCATTTTGCTAGTGGAAAGCTGCCTAATACATCCTGATGCACTTTCCCCATTGTCCCTGCTCTGAGATAATTGGATTGACCTAGCCGGTATAAAAGCTGTGTCTGGGTGAATTACGAGTTTGGCATTTATCTGACTTACACAGCCCTTTTAGCAATAGAAGCACAGGCTTGCTGGAAAATATTGCTGCCTCAATCCTTGTGTGGGCTCTCAGGTCATGTCACTCCTGTGGACACCTTGCCACTACCCTCAACAACATTATTCTGTGCACATCTTTAATCTTTGCTAGATTGCTCCTGGAAAAGGACAAAAAGAATTATGGGCAAAAAAAAAAAAGATCTTCTTTTTCTTTTTTTCTCACCTCTTTCAGGCTGAAATATAAAGTAAGTTCTTCCAGCCTAACTCATAGTTCCCGTGCCTCAATAAGTTTTATACGTTTCACCTACTGTGCCCACTCTACTGGAAAATAATTCCTTATTTCATACTATTCTATAAACCTAGTATTTACTTCATTTATAGAATCTTCCTTTGAGATTTTAGAGACCCATTTTTCTAGATGTGGATCTGTATTTCTTGGGCTTCTATTTTTATAAGCAGTCTAAGCTTCTGCAAACCCTGCGGTAATTATAAAATAGTATCAGAATAAATTATCACTGTGTTTATAAGCTTCTGATATAAAAAACCTCTTCAGTTTCAGCCTTTTGTAAATGATAAAGCATTTTTATACAAGTTACATGAGTATAACTTATATTTTAAACATTCAGATAAACAACAGGAAAAAATTAAAGTGACCCAAAGTGCCACCATCTGATGATAACCCCTTTTATCATTGTTTTTTTCCATAATTACCTATATGTCTATCTATGTGTAAAGCAAGAGTGTCTTACCTTAACTTCTTATGCCAATAAATATGTTTCTACATTTTATTTTCTTTTATTATTATTATTATTATTATTATTATTATTATTATTATTTTGAGTTGGAGTTTCACTCTTGTTGCCTAGGCTGGAGTGCAATGGCTCAATCTCGGCTCACCGCAACCTCTGCCTCCTGGGTTCAAGCGATTCTTCTGCCTCAGCCTCCCGAGTAGCTGGGATTATAGGCATGTGCCACCATGCCCGGCTAATTTTGTATTTTCAGTAGAGATGGTGTTTCTCCATGTTGGCCAGGCTGGTCTCGAACTGAACTCCCGACCTCAAGTTATCTGCCCTCCTCAGCCTCCCAAAGTGCTGGGATTACAGGTGTGAACCACCGCGCCGGGCCTGTTTCTACATTTTAATGGCCTCATGATTTTATGTCATCTTTATCATCTGCTAAATAACATAAAATCCATACATAAATGTGTGTATACTTGAATATGTTTATTGATTTTTTTCTATTCATTTATCTCTCTGTGTATTCCAATGCTACTCCCACGATACTTTAGTTTTTGTAACTTTGTTCTACTTTTTAATGTTTGATAGAGCAAGCACCTTCTCATTGCTCATTTTTAAAATTTCCAACTAAAGAATTATTATTTAAATCACAACTATCTAATCTTAGAAGATAGCTGTAATTTTAAATATTTCCCTCACTCTCTTACACAGATTGTGCAAGTGCACACACATGCACACACCTTAAGGCAGAGCTATTAAAGGAAAATGATGAAGTAAAGAGAGCTGGTTTTCAGCATTTTTACTCCTTTTTTTCATATGGGCTTCTCCTAATGCTGAGAGTCTCTGGAGATTCCCAGTGTTCTTGATCTCTCTACCAATTCCCCATCAGATAGATCTTCCCTTCAGTTAATAGTCCAGCTAGAAAGGAAAGGCAATCCCATGTCAGACTTCCCCCTTAGGGACATTTGCATTTTAATGTTCTTTGCTTCTTTAACCCAACGAAATGAAGCCTTGATTTTGGAATTTCAGTTTTCTAGACATGAACCACCAAGTGAGAAGTTTTTCATCCCACTTGGGTAGCCACATAGTTTACAAACTATGGACCTGGCTCTGACCCTGGAAATCTAGGCTTATATATATTTTGCTATGTGTCAGTTTTTAAGATTCAAAATATTTCCCTAGTATTAAAATTAATATTAAATGCTGTCTATTATACTCAATGATGCCTTCCTCACTTATAGAAGTTACTGCTTAAACAGTTGACAATGGTCCAGTCATGGGGAGCAAGTGAAGGAACTGAACAGGAGAGTGATGTGATAAAAGTTTTTGGGACTTTAACAGGATGTCAATGTGCAGGAGAACTTGCAAGAGGAAGTGGCTAACAGAGACAGGAGTCAGCTGGGTCAGAGGTTAGTAACCCTGGGGACATCTGAGTCATCTGTAGAATGTTTAATAAATACCTATGCCTTCCAGGCAGGGGCAATTAAACAATATCATCTGGAGGTAAACCTGGGGTATTTAAGTTTTATTTGTTTTAATGGTGATTTTTAAAATTATTTATTTATTGTGGTAAAATATATATAACATAAAATTTACCCTTTTAACCATTTTCAAGCACATTTACATTACCAGGAGATTCTATTTTGGGCTCCAAGTGTGCTCTAATTAAAGAGATGGCAAAAGGTATATGTACTGGGGAGGTAGAAAGCTTTCGAAACAATGCCACTTATCCTTACATGTAAATTAATCTATGGCATCAGTGGTTTTTAGCAAATTATCTGATAAACTTGTGAGGACACTTACTAAATGATAAAAAAAAATGAGCTATCAGGCTTAAAAAAAGTACTGAATTAAAGCTAATCACTTATGTAGGCAAAAGCAAAATTTTTGCATAAATGATTTGTTCACCTCAGGGCTTCTTTTGATTTATAAGTGCGTCCCAGCATAAGTAAGCAGGGCTTTTCATGCTTGGTAGCCAACATCATTTTACTGAGTTATAGCCCTACTTTCTGGCAAATGCTACGTTTTAGATCTCACACTGTGTGTCTCTGTGTGCGTGTGCGTGTGTGTGTGTTTCTCTGTGTGTGTAGTTCTCTAAATTATTCCTCAGATTATTAGCACCAAATATAAATCTTGAACTAAAATATCACTTAATGTTGCTACTACTGTTAAAAGTTAGTATGCAAATGCCTTGAAGCAAGTCGTCCCTCCACATATGTTAAATCTGCAAATGTAAAATTTTTCATTTTTTCCCTTTTCTTCCACTTAATTTCCCAGCAGTAGCAACTACCACCTCACAAAAACAGCAGCCAGTATTAATAATAATATTTTTTCCCTCAGGTTCTTTCAGTGGTCGTTAATTGTGCAGCATCAGAGGTTGCACAATAGAAACAAACTTCTATGCCCTGTTAAAATTACCATGTCTGAAATGTGGTAAGGAATAGCTCATTTTGATCTTTGACTTCTAGAATAAAAATAAACATTCTTATAAAGCAAGTAGCCAATGGACCACTAAATTAAGGTCCAAGGAATCAATTTCAGGCAGCAGTTCATCAAAGTTAATGTGAAAAACATGTTATTTAAGATGTAGGAAGTTACAATAGCTAGGTTGATTCTATACAAATCAAGGTCAAAATTCTGAAAACAACTGCTTCTCTGAACTTGTAAAACATCTTGTGGGAAATAGAAAGAAGGTTTTAAAAAATCTGAACCGGGTACTTCCAAATTTTTTCCTAGGATAGAAGTAAGTTCGTTTGATTAAGATAAGAATCTTGATATTTTGATATCTTGTCATGAACGAGACTAGTGTGATCAAAAATCTAAAAACACTTTTTTTCTTGAAGACCTCTGAACATATTCTCTCAAACAACTTAGACAGTTGGGCAAATCCAAAACACAATGTAAAGGATGTGTTTAATCATAGAATGAATAGGTTGAATTAATGGCAAAGAAGTAGATAGCTATCAGAACTCTCCTTTTTTGAGATGATTACAGTTGTATGTGCTTTTAGGGAAGTTAAAATAACTGTGAAAAACGGAATTTCTCAACATTAAAATTTACATGCCATAATCCTCACTTCCTCTGTAATGAAACATTGTGAAATGTCTCAGTGCTCTAGAGTATCTTGCAAAAGACAAATAACCTTAACTAAATGTGGCAGCTTAGGTCCCTGGAAGGCAAGTGTATTTGCCCTCTTGGGCTTTTAGAGTCTCACTGGGAAAATAGGTTAAGAATAAAATCACTCTCAATGACCAAAAATTTCTCCTCTTGTGTTCCCACTCCAAGAGACACTCATTCTGTAGTTGAGTAGAGTCCTTGTTGTTGAAAACTGTGAGAGAATTTCAAGTGGGTGAACTGCATCAACAAAGATAAGCTTTGGATAGAAATGCCAATGAAAAGAAGAGAAGTGGAAAATATACTAGAAAAGTATTGACTGGGGAAAAACAATGGAGAACCTTGAATATGATATTGAGGAAGGCTGGCCTTATCCAAATGATTCAATAGAGAATCATCGCAGTACCTATGGCAGAGGAATGATGAGATAATGCCTTTTTTTTTTTTTCTGAGACAGGGTTTTGCTGTGTCATCCAGGCTGGAATGCAGTGGCACAATCACAGATCACTGCAGCCTTGACCTCCTGGGCTTTAGTGATCCTCCCACCTCAGCCTCCCCAGTAGCTGGAACTATAGGCCTGTGCCACCACACCTGGCCGATAATGCCCTTTTAAGGAGGATAATATGGTATCTTGATGAAGATGGGTTGAAGGGGAATTGACTCCCAGCTGAGTGATCTGTCTGCTCTGAGACATTCTGGAAATGGGATGAATTTTATTGAGGAGCGACTTGACAATATAAACATGAAACACTGAGGTGGCAGACTGTAGAGAGGTCTTTAGCCCTCCTTATTCCTGGCCTGGGAGATTTGGGTGGAGGATGTTTCTTTAGTTCATAGTTATGCCACATTGGCATGTTCAGCAGGTTGTTTGGCTCCCAACCTTGGAAGGATCGAGCCATACAAAATGGTCTTCTCCTGCTGTTGGAGCCTGTGTGGAGAACAAGGCAGACCATTAAGTTCTTTCCTGGACTCTTCCATAACTAGATCTCTGAGTACCCAGATACTCACAAAGTAGACTGTGGAGGTATAACCCAGGCCTCTCAACCTCAATCACTCATCCGACTCAGTAAATCAAAGGCTCAGCATTATTATTCATGGGATAAAGTAAAATCTTTTGTTGAATAACAGTGAATATTATCAGCACCAAAAAAGCAGAGTCATCTTTGCCAGTATGAGATTTCCCTCACAAGAGACAGTGAACATTGAGAATTTGTTTTGAGGCAGAAGAATATTGAGAAAATAATTTCAGGTAAGGAATAACAAGTGAACAGATTAACCTAAAATGGTTGTTGACATTAAGACAGTACTCCATAGAAAAGAAGCCTATATAGACATGGAGCAGACTGCAGGTGCTTAACATACCAGTTGTGGACATGACAGGCAAATATGTGCTTTCAGAATGATCGATCACCACCAGATTTACCTCTGGGCTGATGCACTGTTGAGAGCTCATTAGCATTCCAGTTCTATTGTTGAGTTCTGGAGTTGGAGGGCCTCTGGTGGCTGTCAGCCTCATTAGGAAAAGAAGGAATAACTGCTATGTCATCTGAAGGGTTTTGTGCCTAGAATTTAAAATGTGACATCTCTAGGATTGCCCTCTTTTGTGGCAGTTAAAGAGTTTTGGAATAACTAAAATATGAGTGGATTCTATAATAGAGAAATGACAACACTGGTACTTCTTGACTTTATTTGTATATGTTATTGTGTTAGTAACACAAGAGGTTTTTTTGCTGAAAATAAAAGATGATCAGTGTACACTGCTCCAGAAAATATAATTCTATCATTCTCTCATTCACAACATAATATGCTGGGTAAGTGTTTAAAAACCTTTTAAGTAGATTTAATTTAGTTAATTACATTATCTGCCTACTTCTCATCCATTGCACACCCAGAGAGCCCTAAGAACTTAAAGAGCAAATAGCACAGCTTTTGGTGGGAGCAGCAAAGTGCATCCAAGCTTTTTCCTATTTGACTCTTACTATCTCCTTTTCCCTTTCAGAATAGAAGGTGGGACTGGAGGTGCATTCTGCTGAGAGGTGCTCAAGTGAGGAAAGCTGACAAGAACTAGGTGAGCCTGGACTAAAAAGAATCCTGTAGGGTGGAGCCAAGGTGGCCGAATAAGAACAGCTCCGGTCTACAGCTCCCAGGGTGAGCGACACAGAAGGCGGGAGATTTCTGCATTTCCATCTGAGGTACTGGGTTCATCTCACTAGGGAGTGCCAGACAGTGGGCACAGGACAGTGGGTGCAGCACACCATGCGTGAGCCAAAGCAGGGCAAGGCATTGCCTCACTCGGGAAGTGCAAGGGGTCAGGGAGTTCCCTTTCCTAGTCAAAGAAAGGGGTGACAGAGGGCACCTGGAAAATCGGGTCACTCCCACCCCAATACTGTGCTTTTCCTATGGGCTTAAAAAACAGCACACCAGGAGATTATATCCCGCACCTGGCTCGGAGGGTCCTACGCCCACGGAGTCTCGCTGATTGCTAGCACAGCACTCTGAGATCAAACTGCAAGGTGGCAGCAAGGCTGTGGGAGGGGCGCCCGCCATTGCCCAGGCTTGCTTAGGTAAACAAAGCAGCCAGGAAGCTCTAACTGGGTGGAGCCCACCACAGCTCAAGGAGACCTGCCTGTCTCTGTAGGCTCCACCTCTGGGGGCAGGGCACAGACAAACAAAAAGACAGCAGTAACCTCTGCAGACTTAAATGTCCCTGTCTGACAGCTTTGAAGAGAGCAGTGGTTCTCGCAGCACGCAGCTGGAGATCTGAGAACAGGCAGACTGCCTCCTCAAGTGGGTCCCTGACCTGTGACCCCCAAGCAGCCTAACTGGGAGGCACCCCCCAGTAGGGGCAGACTGACACCTCACACAGCCGGGTACTCCTCTGAGACAAAACTTCCAGAGGAACGATCAGACAGCAGCATTCACGGTTCACGAAAATCTGCTGTTCTGCAGCCACCGCTTCTGGTACCCAGGCAAACAGGGTCTGGAGTGGACCTCTAGCAAACTCCAACAGACCTGCAGCTGAGGGTCCTGTCTGTTAGAAGGAAAACTAACAAACAGAAAGGACATCCACACCAAAAACCCATCTGTACATCATCATCATCAAAGACCAAAAGCAGATAAAACCACAAAGATGGGGAAAAAACAGAGCACAGAAGCTGGAAACTCTAAAAAGCAGAGCACCTCTCCTCCTCCAAAGGAACGCAGCTCCTCACCAGCAATGGAACAAAGCTGGACGGAGAATGACCTTGACGAGTTGAGAGAGGAAGGCTTCAGACGATCAAATGACTCTGAGCTACAGGGGGAAATTCAAACCAAAGGCAAAGAAGTTGAAAACTTTGAAAAAAATTTAGACGAATGTATAACTAGAATAACCAATACAGAGAAGTGCTTAAAGGAGCTGATGGAGCTGAAAGCCAAGGCTCAAGAACTACGTGAAGAATGCAGAAGCCTCAGGAGCTGATGCGATCAACTGGAAGAAAGGGTATCAGTGATGGAAGATGAAATGAATGAAATGAAGCAAGAAGGGAAGTTTAGAGAAAAAAGAATAAAAAGAAACGAACAAAGCCTCGAAGAAATATGGGACTATGTGAAAAGACCAAATCTACATCTGATTGGTGTTCCTGAAAGCGACGGGGAGAATGGAACCAAGTTGGAAAACACTCTGCGGGATATTATCCAGGAGAACTTCCCCAATCTAGCAAGTCAGGCCAACATTCAGATTCAGGAAATATAGAGAATGCCACAAAGATACTCCTTGAGAAGAGCAACTCCAAGACACATAATTGTCAGATTCACCAAAGTTGAAATGAAGGAAAAAATGTTAAGGGCAGCTAGAGAGAAAGGTCGGGTTACCCACAAAGGGAAGCCCATCAGACTAACAGCGGATCTCTCGGCAGAAACTCTACAAGCCAGAAGAGAGTGGGGGCCAATATTCAACATTCTTAAAGAAAAGAATTTTCAACCCAGAATTTCATATCCAGCCAAACTAAGCTTCATAAGTGAACGAGAAATAAAATACTTTACAGACGAGCAAACGCTGAGAGACTTTGTCACCACCGGGCCTGCCCTAAAAGAGCTCCTGAAGGAAGCACTAAACATGGAAAGGAACAACCGGTATCAGCCACTGCAAAATCATGCCAAATTGTAAAGACCATCGAGGCTAGGAAGAAACTGCATCAACTGACGAGCAAAATCACCAGCTAACATCATAATGACAGGATCAAATTCACACATAACAATATTAACTTTAAATGTAAATGGACTAAATTCTCCAATTAAAAAACACAGACTGGCAAATTGGATAAAGAGTAAAGATCCATCAGTGTGCTGTATTCAGGAAACCCACCTCACGTGCAGAGACACATATAGGCTCAAAAATAAAAGGATGGAGGAAGATCTACCAAGCAAATGGAAAACAAAAAAAGGCAGGGGTTGCAATCCTAGTCTCTGATAAAACAGACTTAAACCAACAAAGATCAAAAGAGACAAAGAAGGCCATTACATAATGGTAAAGGGATCAATTCAACAAGAAGAGCTAACTATCCTAAATATATATGCACCCAATACAGGAGCACCTAGACTCATAAAGCAAGTCCTTAGTGACCTACAAAGAGACTTAGACTCCCACACAATAATAATGGGAGACTTTAACACCCCACTGTCAACATTACACAGATCGATGAGACAGAAAGTTAACAAGGATATCCAGGAATTGAACTCAGCTCTGCACCAAGTGGACCTAATAGACATTATAGAACTCTCCACCCCAAATCAACAGACTATACATTCCTTTCACCACCACACCACACCTATTCCAAAATTGACCACATAGTTGGAAGTAAAGCTCTCCTCAGCAAATGTAAAAGAACAGAAATTATAACAAACTATCTCTCAGACCACAGTGCAATCAAACTAGAACTCAGGATTAAGAAACTCACTCAAAACCGCTCAACTACATGGAAACTGAACAACCTGCTCCTGAATGACTGCTGGGTACATAATGAAATGAAGGCAGAGATAAAGATGTTCTTTGAAACCAATGAGAACAAAGACACAACATGCCAGAATCTCTGGGACACATTCAAAGCAGTGTGTAGAGGGAAATTTATAGCACTAAATGCCCACAAGAGAAAGCAAGAAAGATCCAAAATTGACACCCTAACATCACAATTAAAAGAACTAGAAAAGCAAGAGCAGAAGGCAAGAAATAACTAACATCAGAGCAGAACTGAAGGAAATAGAGACACAAAAAAACCCTTCAAAAAATTAATGAATCCAGGAGCTGTTTTTTGAAAGGATCAACAAAATTGATAGACTGCTAGCAAGACTAATAAAGAAGAGAAGAGAGAACAATCAAATAGATGCAATAAAAAATGATAAAGGGGCAATCACCACCGATCCCACAGAAATACAAACTATCATCAGAGAATACTACAAACACCTCTATGCAAATAAACTAGAAAATCTAGAAGAAATGGATAAATTCTTCAACACATACACCCGCCCAAGACTAAACCAGGAAGAAGTTGGCTCTCTGAATAGACCAATAAGAGGCTCTAATATTGTGGCAGTAATCAATAGCTTACCAACCAAAAAGAGTCCAGGACCAGATGGATTCACAGCAGAATTCTACCAGAGGTACAAGGAGGAACTGGTACCATTCCTTCTGAAACTATTCCAATCAATAGAAAAAGAGGGAATCCTCCCTAACTCATTTTATGAGGCCAGCATCATCCTGATACCAAAGCCGGGCAGAGACACAACCAAAAAAGACAATTTTAGACCAATATCCTTGATGAACATTGATGCAAAAATCCTCAATAAAATACTGGCAAACCGAACCCAGCAGCACATCAAAAAGCTTATCCACCATGATCAAATGGGCTTCATCCCTGGGATGTGAGACTGGTTCCATATACGCAAATCAATAAATGTAATCCAGCATATAAACAGAACCAAAGACAAAAACCACATGATTATCTCAATAGATGCAGAAAAGGCCTTTGACAAAATTCAACAACCCTTCATGCTAAAAACTCTCAATAAATTAGGTATTGATGGGACGTATCTCAAAATAATAAGAGCTATCTATGACAAACCCACAGCCAATATCATACTAAATGGGCAAAAACTGGAGGCATTCCCTTTGAAAACTGGCACAAGACAGGGATGCCCTCTCTCACCACTCCTATTCAACATAGTGTTGTAAGTTCTGGCCAGGGCAATCATGCAGGAGAAGGAAATAAAAGGTATTCAATTAGGAAAAGAGGAAGTCAAATTGTCCCTGTATGCAGATGACATGATTGTATATCTAGAAAACCCCATCATCTCAGCCCAAAATCTCCTTAAGCTGATAAGCAACTGCAGCAAAGTCTCAGGATTCAAAATCAATGTGCAAAAATCACAAGCAATCTTATACACCAATAACAGACAAACAGAGAGCCAAATCATGAGTGAACTCCCATTCACAATTGCTTCAAAGAGAATAAAATACCTAGGAATCCAACCTACAAGGGACGTGAACTACCTCTTCAAGGAGAACTACAAACCACTGCTCAATGAAACAAAAGAGGATACAAACAAATGGAAGAACATTCCATGCTCATGGGTAGGAAGAATCAAAAAAATGAAAATGGCCATACCGCCCAAGGTAATTTATAGATTAAATGCCATCCCCATCAAGCTACCAATGACTTTCTTCACAGAATTGGAAAAAATTACTTTAAAGTTCATATGGAACCAAAACAGAGCCCGCATCTCCAAGTCAATCCCGAGCCAAAAGAACAAAGCTGGAGGCATCATGCTACCTGACTTCAAACTATACTACAAGGCTACAGTAACCAAAACAGCATGGTACTGGTACCAAAACAGAGATATAGATCAATGGAACAGAACACAGCCCTCAGAAATAACGCCGCATACCTACAACTATCTGATCTTTGACAAACCTGAGAAAAACAAGCAATGGGGAAAGGATTCCCTATTTAATAAATGGTGCTGGGAAAACTGGCTAGCCATATGTAGAAAGCTGAAACTGGATCCCTTCCTTACACCTTATACAAAAGTTAATTCAAGATGGATTAAAGACTTAAACGTTAGACCTAAAACCATAAAAACCCTAGAAGAAAACCTAGGCATTACCATTCAGGACATAGGCATGGGCAAGGACTTCATATCTAAAACACCAAAAGCAATGGCAACAAAAGCCAAAATTGACAAATGGGATCTAATTAAACTAAAGAGCTTCTGCACAGCAAAAGAAACTACCATCAGAGTGAACAGGCAACCTACAAAATGGGAGAAAATTTTTTCAACCTACTCATCTGACAAAGGGCTAATATACAGAATCTACAATGAACTTAAACAAATTTACAAGAAAAAAACAAACAAGCCCATCAAAAAGTGGGTGAAGGATATGAACAGACACTTCTCAAAAGAAGACGTTTATGCAGCCAAAAAACACATGAAAAAATGCTCACCATCACTGGCCATCAGAGAAATGCAAATCAAAACCACAATGAGATACCATCTCACACCGGTTACAATGACAATCATTAAAAAGTCAGGAAACAACAGGTGCTGGAGAGGATGTGGAGAAATAGGAACACTTTTACACTGTTGGCAGGACTGTAAACTAGTTCAACCCTTGTGGAAGTCAGTGTGGCAATTCCTCAGGGATCTAGAACTAGAAATACCATTTGACCCAGCCATCCCATGATTGAGTATATACCCAAAGGAGTATAAATCATGCTGCTATAAAGATACATGCACACGTATGTTTATTGCAGCACTATTCACAATAGCAAAGACTTGGAACCAACCCAAATGTCCAACAATGATAGACTGGATTAAGAAAATGTAGCACATATACACCATGGAATACTATACAGCCATAAAAAATGATGTGTTCATGTCCTTTGTAGGGACATGGATGAAACTGGAAATCATCATTCTCAGTAAACTATCACAAGAACAAAAAACCAAACACTGCATGTTCTCACTCATAGGTGGGAATTGAACAATGAGAACACATAGACACAGGAAGAGGAACATCACAGTCTAGGGACTGTTGTCGGGTTGGGGGAGGGGGGAGGGATAGCTTTAGGAGATATGCCTAATGCTAAATGATGAGTTAATGGGTGCAGCACACCAGCATGACACATGTATACATATGTAACTAACCTGCACATTGTGCACATGTACCCTAAAACTTAAAGTATAATAACAATAAAATAAAAGAAAAGAAAAAACAAAAAAAATAAGAAAAAAATAAAAGACAGAAGCAGGTATTTGAATGATGCATCTACAAGCCAAGAAACACCAAGGATTCCCAGCAGCCACCAGAAGGTATGAGAGAGGCATAGAATAGATTACGTCTCACAGCCTCCAGAATGAACCAACTCTGCTGACACTTTGATTTTGGACTTCTGGGTTCTACTACAAGAGAATAAATTGCTGTTGTCAAAGCCACCTAGTTCATTGTACAGCAGTGCTACCAAATTAATACAAACTATTATACATTGGTATAAAAAAAAAGAATCCTGTAGAACAAAGTTCTACAATGATAGGGTCCATGTTTGTCCTGTTCACTGTATCTCCTATAACTCACATATAGAAAATATCCAAAACATTTTTTTCCAGTAAGAGAATGAAAAACTACTAAGTGAGTTTCTTAGAACTAGCGCAGTTCTAGGCTATATGGAATGGTATTTCTAGAAAGTTCTTTGTTATATGGCCCATATCACCAGGGTAAGAGACTAGATAAACCTTTAGGGCTTATGATAGTTAGCAGTAGACAGACACACATTACCAATTGCACAAGAATTATAAGTTTGGGGGGATGCTATAACAATCAAAAGGATACTGAATAAAGCCTGAGGCCAACAAGGAAGAGCTTCCTGATACCTAGGAGGCATGAACTTCAAGCTACCAAAAAAACAACAAGAGGTCACTATATTCCTTAGTAGTCACAAACTCAGAACAAATGCCTTTACAGTTTAATATTCCTTTTTACATATCATACTTTATTACTGGGAATGTGAGACTAGCTCATTAAAACCAAAATATGTCAAAATGAGGCTGAGGCAAACCAAGGGATCCTTTTAAAATACATCTCCGACAGTGCTCATTAAAGATGGCCGACTGGACTTCTGTATTTATCTTTTCTTCCTCCCAAGTCTCCATTCAATCAGTAGGACAGGAATAAAAAAATGCATTTGTCCATAACAACAGATAGAAGAAGAGAGAGACTATTAATGGAAAAGCAATTTCAATGTTTCTGGAAGGCAGAAAGATAGAGGTGATGTTGGCTACAGAGACTGTGTGGGAGGAAGCTGCAGCCTAGAATCCAGGCTATATGTGCAGCCACCAAAGAAGCCCACGACTTTTCCCAGGGGACACTGGCAAGGCTTCAGACTCAAGGCCCCATGGAAGGAGTAAAACATGTGGGACTAGTGGAAGGTCTGAGAACAGAGTAGCTGGCTTCCCCACTCTATTCATCCCGACAGCCAGAAAATAGGCATTTATCTCAGAGGGGAGACATGAGGGCTCTTCCCTAAAGATACTGAACAAAAACTGTCTGGGAGAACCACAGCAGCCCATGTGAATATTGTCATACTAAAGGAAAGTACACAGTCACCTGGAATTTGGGGGCTATAAGACATAATGACCAGCTTCTTGCCCATTACCCCTAAAGCAATAATAATTATTAACATATAGCACTCCGGTTCACTGAATCCCAGGTTAGACATTATATGACCTGGTTCTGAAATACAGAATGACCAATTAAAGCTTACCAGGACCTTTAGGAAAGATTTCTAAATGAAGGCAAAAGTAGACAATAAACACATTTTAAGAGTCACTCAGAAAGAAATTAAGATTATTCAGGGAATAGAATGTCAACTTGGCATCTTCAGAGAAATTTGAGAAGATATGTATTCACAAAGCATGAACAGTATGCTATGAAGAAGAAACCATAAGAGAACATGAAGAGATCATAAAAATTAAAATATGATTCAAAAATTCCAAGTCATTAGCAGCTTTTTAAGATAAGGTCAAAAACTTTTCCAAATAGCTTAAATTTTCCAAATAGCCAGGAACAGTTCTAAGTACTTTAGTGACACAGCAAGCCTATTATATAAATAGTATGAGGTTCTTCCTTTATAGCTGAGGTACAGAGAAATTAAGCAACTTTCCCAAGAACACTTAGCTAAGTAGCCAAAATTAAAAGCCAGTCTAGCTCTAGAGTCCATGAGCTTAACTGCTTTGCAATACTATTTCTAGTAGTATTATAATAGCTAACTTGCATTAAGTGATTACTCTGTGATAGGCACTGTTATAAATAAAGTAACTCATTTAGTCCTCTGAACAATGCAATGAGTAGACATCACCATTAGTCCATTCTATAGATAAGGAAATGTAAGCAAGAAAGGGTAAGAAGCCACCATGGGTCACATATATGATAAGTGGGGAGACAGGATTTAGCCCATGAAGTCTTGTTTCAGAATCTATTATGTTACCTAAAATGCAAGGTGGTAAAAATATGAAAGGAAAGATAAGATATGGTATGTAACCATGCCATTTAATATCTGTCTTAGGGTAGTTTCAGAAAGAGCAGATAAAATAGAGGTGAAGAAATCATCAAATAAATTTTATAAGAAAAGGTCCCAAGTTAAAGGAAGACAAAAATTTCATATTGAGAAAGCTTACTAGAATACCATGGAAGCTGTAATAGTCCATTTCCACACACTATAAAGTTACTACCCGAGACTGGATAATTTATAAACAAAAAAGGTTTAATTTGCTCACAGTTCTGCACAGCTAGGGAGGCCTCAGGAAACTTACAATCATGGCAGAAGGGGAAGCAGGCATCTTCCTCACAGGGAAACAAGGGAGAGAAGAGCAAAGGAAGAACTTTCAAATACTTATAAAACCATCAGATCTTGTGAGAACTCACTCACTGTCACAAGAAGAGCATGGGGAAACCACTCCCATGATCCAGTCACTTTTGTCTCTCAATAGCTGGGAGTTACAGATCCCTCCCTCAACACATAGGGATTACAATTGGAGATGAAATTCGGGTGCAGACACAGAGTCAAACCATATCCAAAGCTGATTTTAAAAAGACACCTCAACTTACCATTGTGAAATTTTAAAGCAATAAAAGAAAGAGAATGTGTTAAAATTTCTATTGATGGTAGAGGAATGATGATGGAACAAGGTAGGAAAAAAACACATAAAATGAGACTTGACAGAATAAATATCTCATGTACTGTAGTGGGTGCTAGAAGACAGGGAAGCCAGACTTAAGATTCTGAGAGGAGTGGTGTTCAATCTAGAATTCTGTTCTCAGCCAAATTATAAAAGTGAATTTTGAAGGTAAAGAGGACACAATTTAAATGTGTAAGAAATGAGAAACTTCATCTCTTCTGGTGAGTAGCTACTTGAGGCTCTGTTCCAACCTGGCAAAACCTGACAGTAAATTAAAAACAAAAAGACTTGGGATCCAGGAAATAAGGCTTCAACCTAAGAAAACAATTAGAAAAAAAAAAAGCCCACATGCAGCAGGTGCCAAGATCAATTAGTCTAGCTTGAAGCAAGGGCTAGAGAGCTCCAAATGAGAAGAAGAAAGGAAGAGAGGGAGAGAATAAAAATTAAAAATGGCAATTTTGGGGAAACAAAAAGCTATACAAAAGAAAGGATATATAGTCATAATTGGTTTTCCTATGGTGAATGATACATTGGTGTAGTAATGTAAATGTTTTGCATTACATTTAACTGCTATACAAAACACAAATGATGATGCTTTCAAAGGAGAATGTAGAAGTTAAAAAATGAAGTACATTTGATAAAGTGTGAAGCCAAGCCAAGCCTTCATTCTGCCAGTCTGCATGGCTGCAGGGTTAATACCACATGGAAACCCCCAAGGCTTACAGCCTGTGTTCTCCAAAATGGCAGCTTGAGCTGCACCTGAGTCCCTTTGACCTTGGTGGGAACAGGAGCTGCTAGCCAGAATGTGGAAAGCAGAGTCCCAAGGCTGTGTAGGGCAGTGGGGCCCTGGGCCTGGCCCATAAACAATTCTTCCTTCCTAGACCTCTGGGACTGTAATATAAGGGGATGCTATGAAGGTCTCTGAAATGCCCTTGAGGTCTTTTTCTCATGGTCTTGGATATTCGTACTTGGCTCCCTTTTAGTTATGCCAATATCACAAGTAAGGGGTTGCATCACAGCCTCCTTGAATTTATGTCCTGAAAAAGCTTTTTCTTTCTTTGCCACATGACTAGGCTGCAAATTTTCCAAACTTTTATGTTCTGCTTCATGTTTACATATAAATTCCAAATTTAAATCATTTATTTGCTCCTGCATCTGAGCATAGACTGTGAGAAGCAGCCAGGTTATATCTTTAACACTTTTCAGCTTAGAAATTTCTTCCACCAGACACCATAAATCATCACTCTAAAGTTCAAATTTTCACAGACCCCCAGGGCATGAAGACAATGCAACAAAATTCTTTGCTAAGGCGTGACATGCATGACTTTTGCTCCAGTTCCCAATAAGTTCCTAATTTCCATCTGAGACTTCATCAGCCTGGACTTCATTGTTCATATCACCATCAGCATTTTGGTCACAACCATTTAACCAGTTTCTAAGAAGTTTCAAACTTTCCCTCACCTTCCTGTCTTCTCCTAAGCCATCCAAACTCTTCCAACTTCTATCCATTACCCAGTTCCAAAGTGATGCCCATATTTTTAGGTATTTTTATAGCAATATCTCACTCCTTGATAGCAACTTTCTGCATTAGGGCATTCTTTCATTTCTATATAGAAATACCTGAGGCTGGGTAATTTATAAGAAAAGAGGTTTAATTGGCTCACTGTTCTGCAACCTGTAGAGTAAACATAGCACTGACATCTGCTTCTGGGGAGGTCTCAGAAAGTTTACAATCATGGTGGAAGGTGAAGGGGGAGCAGGAATCTCAAATGGCAAAACTGAGAGCAAGAGAGAGAGGAGATACAGGTGCCATACACTTAAGCAACCAGGTTTCATGAGAACTCACTCACTATCATGAGGAGAGCACCAAGCCATGAGAGGTCTGCCTCTATGAACCAAACACCTCCTACCAGGCCTAATATGGTTTGGCTTTGTCCACACCCAAATTTCATCTTGAATTGTAATCCCCATAATCCCCACATGTCATGGGAGGGACCTGGTGGGAGGTAATTGAATCACAGAGGTGGTTTCCTCATGCTATTCTCATGATGAGTGAGTTCTCACAAGATCTGATGGTTTTATAAGTAGCTGGCATTTCCCCTGCTGGCACTCATTCTCTCTCCTGCTGCCCTGAGAAGAGGTGCCTTCCATCATGATTGTAAGTTTTCTGAGGCCTCCTCAGCCATGTGGAACTGTGAGTCGATTAAAACTCTTTTCTTTATAAATCACCCAGTCTCTGGTATTTCCTTACAGCAATGTGAGAATGGACTAATTCAAGGCCCTACCTCCAACTTTGAGGAGTACATTTCAACATGAGATTTCAGCAGGGACAAATATCCAAACCATATCAGACATGTTTTCTTTGTACCAAAGATCAAAAACCTATCATCCATGCCCATATGAGTTGAGTCCACCTGAAGCAGCGTCTTTTCCCAATTGACACAAATATTCAATATGTATTCATAGGTGCCTTTAGGTGAAAGTAATGTGAAGGGAAAATAAATCTCGTAGCCCCACAATCACTAAGCTAAAGGGAAAAGTCAAGCTGGGAACTGCTTAAGGCAAACCTGCCTCCCATTCTATTCAAAGTCACCCCTCTGCTCACTGAGATAAATGTATATGTGACTGCCTCCTTTGGAAAGGCTAATCAGAAACTCAAAAGAATGCAACCATATGTCTCTTATCTACCTATGACCTGGAAGGCCCCCTCCCCACTTCAAATTGTCCTTCTTTTGCTTCAAGTTGTCCTGCCTTTTCTGGACTGAACCAATATTCATCTTACGTATGTTGATTGATGTCTCATGTATCCCTAAAACGTATAAAACCAAACTGCTCTGACCATTTAGGGCACATGTCGTCAGGACGTCCTGAGGCTGTGTCATGGGTGCACATCCTCAACCTTGACAAAATAAACTTTGTAAATTAACCAAGACCTGTCTAAGATTTTTGAGGTTCACAGTAATGATAGGGGCACTTAACTTAAAAATGTTAAGAGGTACTATTTATAGGTGAGATAATAAAAGGTTAAAGCATGCGATGTAATGTTACAATGGCAATTATTATTAGGTTTGTGCAAAA
Organism: Homo sapiens; assembly: GCF_000001405.40. Taxonomy (NCBI): domain Eukaryota; kingdom Metazoa; phylum Chordata; class Mammalia; order Primates; family Hominidae; genus Homo; species Homo sapiens. The sequence goes on along the minus strand of NC_000005.10, from coordinate 58,530,100 downwards.
GTAATTGTGGTTTTTGTCATTTAAAAGTAATGGCAAAAACTGCAATTACTTTCACACCAACCTAATATTAAATAACATCTGTATATGTAGGAGGTAAAGGAGAGATCATGGATGGTAGTCAAAGTAAGCTAGCACCTCATTGATCACATGAAGACCCAATTAATTATGATATCCCCATATTTAGAAATGTGACAGTATCTATAAAAAGATCTAAAAACTGTTAAAAGTGGTTGCAAGTAGGGAGAGAAAATAGGGCTAGCAAAAGACGTGGGGCCAATTATTTCTTTTTACCAAAAGCTCTTCTATACAACTTGATTTTTAAAAAATGACTTTGGATGTATTATTTTGATAAAGTAGGTATTTTAAAACAGTACAAAAAGTATTTTAAATCACTATATTTTCTCTGAGCAATTTTTTTCTCTTTATTGTTATATTTTAAGTCTAGAAATCTGAAGATTAGAGGATATAGACATAGAGCAGGATCATTTAGTCAACAAAGATTATGTCAGAAAAAAATATGTGAAAGCGAAGAACGTTTAGTGGCAGATTTGTGTAGGAAAGAATAATAGTAAGAGAAAAACACAACAAACAATCTAGACAAAAAAAGGCAGGAAATTCAATTTTTTTTCATGTGATTATTCATGCATTCAAAAGACATTTATTGTGTACTTACTCTATGACAGGTGCTGTGATGATAAAAAAGTTGACCAAGAAATGATTCCAGACCTTTAGAAACCTGTAATTTTATAGGACTGGTAAGAATAGACCCCAGTATGGACAAGACAAGCCATGAAGTAAATATCACAAAACAGGTACAAACATAGTACTGGAAGAGTTCAAAGGAAGGGAATAACTCTTGATGTGACAAATTATTAATACAGCTGTTACTAAAAGTCAGGGAGACATTATAGGACAAGATAACCATGTAATGGCCAAACATCTCTATGAAAAAGAATGTTTTCCTCAATTTTTTAACCAGGGCTGGCTGCAGAATATTTGAAGGCATCTTACAGGCAAATATAAAAATGATTAATACTTTTGAAAATATATGCCAAAATAGTGATAGATGGTAAAAGTTCTCATGCCAGGAATATCTGTTGGACTTTTAAACACTCTTCCCAAACCACAGTCAATATAATAGAAACAATCCTTCTCTAAAGCATCAACTATTAATAAATGTGCCTGAACCAAAAAGTAAATCCAGCTTCTCACCAGCCTCAATGAAAGCATACTTCTGGGGCATCTTCTCTTTTTAAGGCCATGAAGCTTCCCCATGACACTGAGATATGATGTTAAGCAAAATTCAAGGCACCTTTAATGGGGTCAATAGAAGAGTCTTCTAATACAGTAATAATAAATATGGCATCTACTCTAACAACAAGACCAATGGCTAGAATTGTGATGTTGCCTTTCTTTTAACTTCCCAAGTAAAAGCTTCCATTGGTCATTTAATAAGGGTACTTTTATATCCCATTCATTTTTCCTTCTATGTGGATGGAAATTCCTTAGTTCTTCCCTTCCACCCTCTCACTCACTCTTCCAGGGATATTGGTGAGCAGGGAAAGAGAAACTGGACATAAATGTCTCAGGCCCTTTCCTTCTTTTTCCTCTTTAAGATCCAGTTGCTCACAGAAAATCACACATTTTACTTAGAATTTCTAAGCCCAATGTTTACAGGGGCAAGTTCTTACAAGGAAGGTTGGTGGATATCCAGTTGTGTTTGTGACTGGGTGTGTAAATCTTTCAATTTGTGGGTAGAGTATTAGGAAGCCCACTTAACTAACAGGACCCAAAACACATTTCTAATTAACCAATGTCAGTAAGAAATGATGGACTTTACTCTCTGTCTTCCTTATTCTTCTGATCTTCATAATCAATTCATAATTTGGATGAGGAAAGGGATTGGTATTTCTTGACTCCCCTCAAAACCCAACAATTTCTTACCAAATATACACAGGATGAAGCAATAAGCCTGGAACCATCAGAATATTATGTTGCACTAATGATACAATCAGAGCTACAAGCCTAGTTAATTATACATTAAGAGGTCACTCCATTTTTCCTATTCTTCCCCTGCCTTTAATGACACAGACACACAATCTGCTTTTTATTATTCCTGCATACATATATACATAATATACACATATATGTGTACGTACGTTTACATGTAAACTATGTATATATTACATACGATGAAACACTTCAAATAAATAACAAAAGAAGAGAAAATGGTATAGTGAACCCTATATACTTGTCACTCAGCTTCCACAATTAAAATAACTTTAACAAATGACCAATCTTGTTTAAACCACCTTTTCCCTCCAACTTTTCCCATTCATACCACTCACTCCCTATCTCTTCTCTCTGTGACCTCCAGATTCATTGACAGAAAATAGAAAAGTCGGAAAGATGAGAAGGATGAGTCTGGTGGTTTGGATACAAGTAGGCACTAGCTGAACCAGACACAATCCCTGCCCTCAGGCAGCTTACGCCATACAGTGAAAGAGTGTGGAGAGATTTGAAAGAAATTATATGGCACCCAGGGTGTACTTTTATCACCAACAATATTTTGTCCTGCATAATCCAAGTTTCTAGGTAGATTTTTGAGATTTTCCTAGCAGTTGGAATTGTCTTGAAGTTGGTAGAAAACTGTTATAGCCAGCATTTACAGACCTGTGGGAAATATGGTATTACTAACACTGTTTTATATAGATGAGAAAACAGGCTGACAAGGTAAAATGATAGGTTCGAAATTACATAGTTAAGAAAGATCAGGCTAGCACTTAAATCCAGGTCTGTTTGACTTCAAAAGTCATGTTCTTAACCATTCAACTTATTTTCTCCCATTGTACAAAAATAAGTTTGTTTGATTTCCTTAGTGGATGGCCTGAACTTGAAATACAAGTAAAAGCAATGTGGATTACAATAGGCAGTTAGGAGGAGACACATGCTGGCCCCTCCTAATGGAATCCTGGAGTAAGTGTGGATGAGAGAGAAATCCAATGGTGGTAGTAAAGAGAGAAATACTGAGTTTCCGTTTATTTTGAGAAGTGAAAGAAATGTAAAGAAACAAATCAGGATAATAGCACAGTATCACCAACTTTTTTCAAGAGTTTTTTTTACATTATGTAAATTTAATGATGAGTTTTTATATTAAATATTTAAATGATGTGTTCTAGCCACATTTTTGTTATAATGACAACCTCAATCCCTTCTCCAATGAATCTAGCAAGGATTAGGCCCAGCCTAATGCATTGGTGAAATAGTTAATAGTCTATACATTTTAACCAGGGAAAGACACATCCTTTTCCCTGGTCCCAACCCTTTCCTTCTTCCTTTCCTTATTAACTCTCTACCAAGTTGTCAAAGATGTCCAAATTCCACAACTGGTTGTTTAAATCCTTTTCAAATGCAGACTGTCTTTCCTGGTGGCAAACAAACACATTTGATACAGAGGGAGTTAGCATTTAGGCCCAGGAGTTAGAGATGGAAAAGAGATGGGAATATAAAGTTAGAGAGGAAGGAAAAAGATATTGATGCTGAAAGGGAAGATAAGAAATAGAAAATATAAAACTGCTTGCTTCTTTTCATAATTTTGCATAAGATATTTGGATATGTCTGTAAAATAATACACTTTCAATCTTTTTGAGACCCTCAAAGCCACCAAGCGTAATTATTTAGGAAGGAAATCAGAAATGTTAATCAGAATAAAGTTAGTTGGGAGAAGCAGTATCACCAACACTCGGTATGGAGTCCTTTTAGTTGTATCCATTCTAGTGAGCATGTAGGGTAACTTGTTTTAATTTGTATTTCCCTAGAATCTAATAATGTTGTGAAATTTTTCATGTGCTTATTTGTCATCCACATATCTTCTCTGGTGAAGTGTTTCTTCACATCTTTTGGCATTGTTTTAATTGTAATTTTTGTCTTCTTATTCAGTTGTAAGAGTTTATTTTATGTTCTGGGCACCACCCTTTATCAGATGAGTATATTTTATTTATTTTCTCCAACTCAGTAGCTTGCCTTCAAAAATTCAGCTTTCCTCACTGTATCAAAAATTACAAGTTGAGTTCCACAGAACCTCCAAGTTCTGCAGCGCTGCTCTGAGTTGCTGAGGTGGATAAGAGGCAGAGCATTTCTGCTACCTTCCATCTTTCCTCTCTCTCCGTCTCTCTCTCTCTGTATGTTGATCAATCTATCCATTTACGTATTTAGTTTCATTTTATTTATTTTTGAGGCAAGGTCTCACTCTGTGACCCTGGCTGGAGTTCCGTGGTGCAACCATGGCTTACTGCAACCTCTAACTCTTGGGCTCATGCAATCCTGCTACCTCATCTTCCTGAGTAGCTGGGACTACAAGTGTGCACCCACATACCTTGCTATTTTTTTTTTCTTATTTTTTGTAGAGACAAGGTCTTACTGTGTTACCAGGGCTTACATATTTTTAATATTGGGGTACTGCATAAGATTTTGTTTGGGCAAAATATTTGAAATTACCATGACCACATAGCAGGTTGTGGTAATTGTTTACTATGTAACAATAATCTGACTTTCCAAACTCGTATTAAAGCCCTGATGTGAACCTAATGGAAACTTACCCTAATGGGGATATTTGAGGACATTAGTAGACTTCGGCATTCTTAAGTTTGATGGTGTCCACATATTATATGACACATATTAAAATTATCCATTTGCCACATTAAATATATTTTAATTTTGTATAAACGACTTATTTATGTTAGTATGGACTCATGGATATTTATTTTATACTTTAGATTATAATCTAATACTATTTTATTTTGTTGTTCAACTTGTTTGTTTTTGCTGCTGGGAGTTCTTTCAGGTTAGCTCCTATGCCCTAAATATATTTTTTTGCATTAAAAAAACTGAAGTGAATTTTATGACTTTGTTTTTGAAATGATTTGGCTATAGGTAATGCATTTAATTAACATTTGGCTATGATTTCTCAGTAATCATCATGTATACTCTAAAATTTTTGCAAAATGAGGAAAAGCTAAGCTACAAATTACAAATCACATTCAAATGTAATGCAATTTTTGTGATTATTAGTAATAACAAGTAAATTAATATATATTTAGTTAGTTCTTATTAATATGGATTTTGCAGTTTTATTTGGTGCATTTTAGAGTCAATGTTTGTTTCCTTTGTTGTTTGTCTAAGGTCCTGGTTCCTTGCAAAGCTCATAGACCCTAAGCTCTCTACCTAAATGAAAGTTCACAGGAGGAAATAATCCACCCCTTGTGTGGTAAGCATGCAGAATAAATGTCAGCAGGGAATCAAGAACTTCACAGGTGTCCATATGAAATGCTACTTCTGCTTCTGCTTCGCTAGGGTCTTCTGTTCTTTTTCCCCCACAAAAATGACAAGGCAGAACAAAAGAAAGTAACAGCTGTAATTAAGACCAGATTCAGGAAAGAGAAAGGGGAATAAATTATAATGAATTAAGCCCATATAATTACCACAGGAAATAGAGAAATAAATGGGAGGGGTGATAAAATTAGAAATTAGAAATGATTTATTCTGCCAATATTTTCCTAGAAGTTTTAGCTAAGCATGATTATAAGAGCTAAGAGATCTCACATCCACAGTAAATGGGAATAGTAGCTATTAACCTTCTTGGTAGGTACATGGCTGGTGGATTGGAAACAGGGAGAAACTACATCAGGTTAATACCTAATGGGAGCTAAATTTGGTATCACGAGCCTCTCACATCATACATTTCAACAGCCTAATGAAACCTCTTGCTTCATGCTCCCAACCATTTAAAAACAAACAAACAGACCAAGGGAAAAGAGATTTTTTAAAAATACAGATTTCTGTTTCAGCCCAGAAGATTTGAATTCAGTCTGGGGAGTAGCTCAGAAATTTGTAGTTTTAAGTCTCCCAGGGGCTTTTAGTGAGCAGGCAAATATTTAGAGAATTCATGATAGGCTGGTTTATCTGTCTGTGATGAGACATTTTGTACAGGATTTGAATCACAGTGGGAAATTGTGAGTCTCTGGAATTTAATATAATGTGTTATTATTTGGCAGGGCACATGCTAAGAATAAAAGGGTAAAGGAATCATGACCTTAAATTCTAATCTAACAGCTTATGCATTATAGGCAGGACTAGCTATATAATGTGCAGAGCTCAGTGCAAAATGAAAATGTGAAACCTCTTGTTTAAGAATGATTATTAGCTGGGCATGGTGGCATATGCCTATAGTCCCAGCTACTCAGAGAGGCTGAGGCAAGAGGATCACTTGAGCCTAGGAGTTCGAAACTGCAATGGGCTATGAACATGCCACCTCACTCCAGCCAGCCTGGTGAAAGAGTGAGACCCTCATCTCTAAAAAAATAAAAAATAAAATGATTGAAACTTCCAGGATAACAACAACAGAGCCTTAAACCAAGTGTGAGGCTCTTCTGGTTATAAGGCCTGGAGCAAGTGCACAGAGGTCACCCATGAGTGCCCCAGTGGTGGGATTAAGATGCTGGGAAAAAATGCATTCTGTAAATATAGTCATCAGAATCAAAAATTGAATTGCTTAGAATTAAGGTTAGACTTAATCATTTAGCAGGGACAGTGTAAAATGCTCAACATTATCATTAGCCTAAGCATTTTTTTCTCTAACATATAATATCTATCAGGGTTTTTGAACATTAAAATGTCCTTTGTGTGAATGTAGAAGAATGTTTTAGCTGTTTATAAAACTTTATATGTTTAATTAGAAAAATCAGTGTGAAATCATGCATTAAAAAGAAATATACGTGTATACATATATGTATACACACATATAGACACATACACACATATTTTATCTGTTTCACTAATGAAAATGAATCATATGAAGAAGAAACACTTTTGCCAACCACCAACACTCTTGTACAATCCTACTGCCCAGTTTTTTTCATTCTGTTACCATTCTCAACTAAGAGTCAAGGGATATTATTGGAAGGTAATGGATTTCCTGTCTTAGAGGAGAGAGCTATCTGGATATGTCCAATTATTATCAAAAAGCAGGACAGTGCTAAAGGGCAAAGTGCCTGCATAAAGGGATTTCTCTGGTCAAGTTGTGATCATTTGAACTTTAAATAATAATAATAGTTGCTATCGTGTTAATTTGAACAAGGTTTGCTGTGAAATTCAATGAGTTCTTAATGCCATTCCAAAAAGAATAACCTGTATAACCTTTATAAAAAGATGCTCAGAGTATAAAAACAGTGAATATAGTAGAGTATAAGTTTCACATTTATTTTAACAAGTACAGAAAAGTTACTGCTATGTGTAAAGGTACTCAGCTTCCTATGTTTTCTTACTTAACAATTCTTTATGTCTGTTTCTAAGGAATAGACTGGATTTTGCTTCCATCAGTGCATAATGAAAAGAATAAGGAGAAAAGCCTGGGTAAAGCCAAGAAGCTCTGGAAAAATATTTGAATCTGTACAGAACTAGGAAGGAATGAGCAGTACATGTGAACCAACTCAAAAATTAGGTGGAAAGGGAACAAAACAGGTAGTCAGAATCAGTGGTCACAAAAAACCCCAGATAAAGAGTGATATTAACATTGTTTCAGGACAATAAATAAACCAATATTCTTAATAAGGGGAGCTGATTACCTAGAGTTAATCCCTTATCTCCTAGAAGTGAAGCCCCCAAACAGTACCATTGAAGATAATAAAATTCTAGCAAGGAATACATCAGGACAGACAGGTCTATGTATCACAGTGACAAGATAGTGGGTTGTATAATGCTAGCCAAATGAGTGTTTTAAAGTGTATTATGTCTGGGGAAGACATCAGGAGACACAATAATGGTAATAATAATATCTATACCAGAAATGATGACTTAAAAAGAGGTATTGAAATTACAAACAAAATATGTCCACAGAGGAACCACACTTTGGGAAAAGTTAGCCAACTTCTTTGTCCCATTTCATGATAATGAAAATCCTTGGCTGGTCTGAAAAGGTATTTTTCTTTTGGCTTTGGTAAAATTATTCTACCCCAAGAAGTTATCACAATAATATGACCACGGCTCTAGGTATCTAACGAAATTGGTATAGCTATACCCCTAGGAATATATTAACATCAAGGGCGAAACAATAAAGGAATTAATTAAGCCCATAGTATTGAAGCTGGAGGATAGGTTTAAGAGTTAGTCGAATAATAAATGTGCTGAGAGTGTGTGTGTGTGTGTGTGTGTGTAAATTTTGTCTTTTTAGTTTGAAGTACTGAAAATAATAAGTCACAGTAAATTTGAATTTCTAGTTTAAGTTGAAAAGAAGTGTAATTATTTGTGTTATTTATATTTTCATATTTACGAAATTTTTAAAATTTTTGTTTATTAAATATATGTTTTATAAATTGACAGTTAAACCAACTATAAGTAGTCTTGGGTGTCCTTCTCCATAAGGTGTTCCCTTCAGTCATTCACTGGGGCCTAATTGAGGGTGGAAGTTTGGAGGAGTGTGAGGATTGAAAAACTACCTGTTGGGTACTATGCATATTATTTGGATGACAAAATAATCTGTAGACCAAACACCCATGATGTGTAATTTACCTATCTAATAGAGCTACACGTGTACCCTTGAACTTAAATACAAGTTTTTATTTGTTTGTTTGTTTGTTTTAAGAATGAGACAGATCTGTGTGTGCTGGCTGGTATGGCAAGACTCCTAAAATAAATTTTATTTTATTTATCTATTTTTATCTTCAACTTTTAAGTTCAGGGATACATGTGCAGGGTGTGCAGGTTTGTTACATAGGTAAACGTGTGCAACGGTGGTCTGCTGCATACATCATCCCATCACATAAGTATCAAGCCCAACATTCATTAGCTATTTTTCCTGATACTCTCTCTTCTCCCATGCCACCCCCGACAGACCCAGTGTGTGCTGTTCCCCATCATGTGTCCATGTGTTCTCATCATTCAGTTCCCACTTACAGGTGAGAACATGCAGTGTGGGGTTTTCTGTTCCTTTGTTAATTTGCTGAAGATAACAGCTTCCAGTTCCACCCATGTTCCTGCAAAAAACATGATCTCATTCCTTTTTATGGCTGCACAGTATCCCATGGTGTATATGTACCATATTTTCTTTATCCAGTCTGTCATTTATGGGCTTTTGGGTTGATTCCATGTCTGCTATTGTGAATAGTGTTGAAATGAACATATGCATGCATGTATCTTTATACAAGAATGATTTATATTCCTTTGGGTATATACCCAGTAATGGGATTGCTGGGTCAAATGGTATTTCCGCCTCTAGATCTTTGAGTAATCACCACACTGTCTTCCACAATAGTTGAACTAATTTACACTCCCACCAAGAATGTAAAAGTGGTCCTTTTTCTCTGCAACCTCACCAGCATCTGTTGTTTTTTGACGTTTTAATAATCGCCATTCTGACTGGCATGAAATGGTATCTCATTGTGCTTTTGATTTGCATTTATCTAATCATCAGTGATGTTGAGCTTTGTTTTCATGTTTGTTGGTGTTCTTTTGAGGAGTATCTGTTCATGTCCTTTGCCCACTTTTTAATGTTTTTTTTTTTTCCTGTAAATTTGTTTAAGTTCCTTATAGACTCTGGATATTAGACCTTTGTCAGATTGATAGATTGCAAAAATTTTCTCCCATTCTGTATGTTGTCTATTCACTCTGATGATAGTTTCTTTTGCTGTGCAGAAGCTCTTTAGTTTATGTAGATGCCATTCATCAACTTTTGCTTTTGTTGCAATTGATTTTGGTGTTTTTGTCAAGAAATCTTTTCCCATGCCTATGTTCTGAATGGTATTGTCTAGATTTTCTTCTAGGGTTTATATGGTTTGGGGTTTTACATTTCAGTCTTTAATTCATCTTGAGCTAATTTTTGTATCAAGTGTAAGGAAGGGTTTCGGTTTCAATTTTCTGCATATGGCTAGCCAGTTCTCACAGCACCATTTATTAAATAGGGAATCCTTACCCCATCCCTTGTTTTTGTCAAGTTTGTCAAAGAGCAGATGGTTGTAGGTGTGCAGTCTTGTTTCTGAGTTTTCTATTCTTTTTCATGTGTCTATATATCTGTTTTGGTACCAGTACAATGCTGTTTTGCTTACTGTAGCCTTGTAGTATAGTTTGAAGTCAGGTAACATGATGCCTCCAGCTTTGTTCTTTTTGCTTAGGCTTGTCTTGGCCATTTGGGCTCTTTTTTGGTCCCATACGAATTTTAAAATAGTTTCTTCTAATTCTGGAAGAATGTCAATGGTAGTTTAATGGAAATATCATTGAATCTATAAATTACTTTGGGCAGTGTGGTCATTTTCACAATATTAATTTTTCTATCCATGAGCATAAAATACTTTTCCATTTGTTTGTGTCCTCTCCGATTTCTTTGAGCAGTGGTTTATAGTTCTCCTTGAAGAGGTCCTTCACTTCTCTTGTTAGCTGTATTCCTAAGTAATTGATTCTTTTTGTAGCAATTGTGAATGGGAGTTCATTCATGATTTGGCTCTCTGCTTGCCTGTTGTTGGTGTATAGGAATGCTAGAAATTTTTGCACATTGATTTTGCATGCTGAGACTTTGCTGAAGTTGCTCATCAGCTTAAGAAGTTTTTGGATTGAGACAATGGGGTTTTCTAGATATAGGATTCTGTCATCTGCAAAGATAATTTGACTTCCTCTCTTTCTACTGGAATACCTTTTATTTCTTTCTCTTGCCTGATTGCCCTGGCCAGAACTTCCAATACTATGTTGAATAGGAGTGGTGAAAGAGGGCATCCTTTTCTTGTGCTGGTTTTCAAGGGGAATGCTTCCAACTTTTGCCCATTCAGTAGGATAATGACTGTGGGTTTGTCATACATGGCTGTTATTATTTTGAAGTCTGTTCCTTCAATATTTAGTTTACTGAGAGTTTTTAACATGAAGGGATGTTCAATTTTATTGAAGGCTTTTTCTGCATCTATTAAGATAATCATGTGGTTTTTGTCTTTAGTTCTATTTATGTGATGAATCACATTTGTTGATTTGTGTTTGTTGAACCAACCTTGCATCCCAGGAATAAAGCCAGCTTCATCATGGAGGATAAGGTTTTTGATGTGCTGCTGGATTCGGTTTACCAGTATTTTATTGAGGATTTTTGCATTGATGTTCATCATGGATATTGGCCTGAAGTTTTTTTTGTTGTTGTTGTATCTCTGCCAAGTTTTGGTATCAGGATGATGCTGGCCTCATTAAATGAGTTAGGGAAGAGTCCCTCCTTTTCACCTTTTTGAAATAGTTTCAGTAGTAATGGTGCCAGCTCTTCTTTGTACTTCTGGTAGAATTCAGCTGTAAATCCATCCGGTCCTAGGCTTTTTTTTTTTATCAGTAGGCTATTTATTACCGCCTCAATTTCAGAACTCATTTATATAGTTTATTTAAGGACTCAATTTGGTTTATTTAAGGACTCAATTTCTTTCTTTTTTTTTTTGATCAGTAGGCTATTTATTACCGCCTCAATTTCAGAACTCATTTATATAGTTTATTAAGGACTCAATTTGGTTTATTTAAGGACTCAATTTCTTTCTAGACTGAACTAGAGTGAACATGTCCAGGAATTACCCATTTCTTCTAGATTTTTTAGTTTATGTGCATAGAGGTATTTATAGTATTCTCTAATGGTTGTTTGTATTTCTGTTGGGACAGTGGTGATATCCCCCTTACCATTTCTGATCATGTCTATTTGATTCTTCTTTCTTTTCTTCTTTATTAGTCTAGCTAGCAGTCTATTTTATTAATTTTTTCAAAAAATCAGATCCTGGATTCATTGATTTTTGAAGGGATTTTTGTGTCTCTATCTCCTTCAGTTCAACTCTGATCTTGGTTATTTCTTGTCTTCTGATAGCTTTGGGGTTTGTTTGCTCTTGGTTCTCTAGTTCTCTTAGACATGGTGTTAGGTTGTTATCTTGAGATCTTTCTAAGTTTTTGACATGGGCATTTAGTGCTATAAATTTCTCTCTTAACACCACTTTCCCTGCATCCCAGAGATTCTGGTGAATTGTCTCTTTGTTCTCATTAGTTTCAAAGAACCTTTTGATTTCTTAATTAATTTTATTGGTTGTTTAATTTCCATGTAGTTGTATGGTTTTGGGTGAATTTCTTAATCTTGAGTTCCAATTTGATTGCACTATGGTCTGAGAGACTGTTATAATTTCAGTTGCTTTGCATTTGCTGAGGAGTGTTTTACTTTTAATTATGTGATCAATTTTTGAGTAAGTGCCATGTGATGCCAAGAAGAATGTATATTCTGTTGCTTTGGGGTGAAGAGTTCTGTAGACATCTATCAGTTCCACTTGATCTAGAGCTGAGTTTAGGTCCTAAATTACTTTGTTAATCTTCTGTCCTTATGATCTGTCTAATATTGTCAGTGGGGTGTTAAAGTCTCTCACTATTATTGTGTTGCAGTCTAAGTCTCTGTGCAGGTCTCTAAGAACTTGTTTTATGAATCTGGGTGCATATATATTTATGATAGTTAGCGCTTGTTGTTGAATTGAAACTTTTTCAATTATGTAATGCCCTTCTTTTTCTTTTTTGATCTTCATTGGTTTAAAGTCTGTTTTGTCAGAAACTAGTTTTGCAACCACTGCTTTTTCTTGTTTGCCATTTGCTTGGTAAATTTTTCTCCACCCATTTATTTGGAGCCTATGTGTGTCTTTACAAGTGAGATGTGTCTCTTGAACACAGCATACCAATGGGTCTTGGCTCCTTATCCAGCCTGCCATTCTGTGTCATTTTATTGGGGCATTTAGACCATTGACTTTTAAGATTAGTATTGTTATGTGTGAATTTGATCCTGTCATCATGATGCTAGCTGGTTATTTTGCAGACTTGTTTATGTGGTTGCTTTAGAGTGTCACTGATCTGTATACATAAGTGTGTTTTTGTAGTGGCTGATAATGATTTGATTTTTCCTTCCTATATTTGGTGCTTCCTTCAGGAGCTCTTGCAAGTCAGGTTTGGTGATGACTTCCCTCAGCACTCACTTGTGTGAAAAGGATCTTATTTCTTCTTTGGTTTGAAGCTTAGTTTGGCTGGACATGAAATTATTGGTTGGAAATCCTTTTCTTTAAGAATGTTGAATATTGGTCCCCAATCTCTTCTGGCTTGTATGGTTTCTGCTGAGAGGTCCACTGTTAGTCAGGTGGGTTTCCCTTTGTGGGTGACCTGGCCTTTTTCTGTGGCTTCCCTTAACATTTTTTCTTTCATTTTGACCTTTGAGAATCTAATGATTATGTGTCTTGGGGTTGGTCTTCTCATGGAGTATCTTACTAGGGTTCTCTGGATTTCCTAAATTTGAATGTTGGTTTTTCTTGCTAGTTTGGGGAAGTTTTCCTGGATGATATCCTAAAGTATGTTTTCCAACTTGGTTCTGTTCTCCCCATCTCTTTCAGGTACCCCAATCAGACCAATATACAGATTTGGTCTTTTTTCATAATCCCACATTTCTCAGAGGTTTTGTTCATTGATTTTTATTCTTTTTTCTCTATTCTTGTCTGCCTGTCTTATTTCAGAAAGACAGTCTTTAAGCTCTGAGATTCTTTCCTCTGCTAGATCTATTCTGCTATTGATACTTGTGATTGCATTGTAAAGTTCTTGTGTTGTGCTTTGAGCTCCATCAGGTCAGTTATGTTCTTCTCTAAAGTAGCTATTATGGTTTTCAGCTCCTGTATTGTTTTATCATGATTCTTAGCTTCTTTCCCTTGGGTTACAACATGCTCCTTTAGCTCAGCAAAATTCCTTATTACCACCCACTGAAGCCTACTTTTGTCAATTCAGCCATCTCAGCCTCAGCCCAGTTCTGTGCCCTTGCTGGGGAGGTGTTGTGGTCATTTGGTGGAGAAAAGGCACTCTGGTTGTTTGAGTTTTCAGTGTTTTTGTTTTGATTTCTTCTCATCATCGTGGGCTTATCCACTTTTAATCTTTGATGTTGCTGACTTTTGAATGGGGTTTTTGTGAGGTCTTTGTTGTTGTTGTTGTTTTCTTTTTTTGTTTGTTTTTCTTTTAACAGTAAGGTCACTGACTGTTAGCAACCATAGGGCTGCCGTGGTTTGCTGGAGGTTCCACTTCAGACCCTAGTTGCCTTGGGTTTTCTGATACCTGGAGCTATCACCAGTGAAGCCTGAGAAACAGCAAAGATCATAGCCACCTGTTTCCTCTGGAAGCTCCATCCCAGGGGTGTAACTGACCTGTTGTTGGCTGGAACTCTCCTGTAGATGTCTGGAAACTCCTGTTTGGGAGGTCTCACCCAATCGGGAGGAACGGAAGAGGGACCCTCTTACAGAAGCAGTCTGGCTGCTTTCAGTAGAGCAGGTGTGCTGCACTGGGGGGACCCTTCCTCATCGAGACCACCTGGACTCTCCAGAGTCAGCAAGTTGGAACAGTTGAGTTGACTGAACTGCAGAGATGGTGGCTGCCTCTCCCACTGGGAGCTCAGTTCCAGGAGAGATCACAGTTCTGTCCATATAAGCCTGACTTGTAACTGAAGGCCCCACCACAGGGAGGCCCCTCCCAAAGGGGAGGAATGGATTGGTGTCCTGCTTACAGAAGCAGGTGGAGCATAATCTGGCAAAGCAGGTGTGCTGCATTGTGGGGGACTCCTCCTCATCTGGACTACCTGGATTCTCCAGAGCCAGGAGGCTGTAATGCTGAGTCCACTGAACCACAGAAATGGTGGCCACCCCCCTCCCCGGGAACTCCCTCCCATTTCAGGCAGACTCAGCCTTTTGCCATTATCTGATTGGAAGTCCAAGCCGGTGGGTCTTAACTTGAGGTGCTGTGGAAGTGGGCCACAGAACAATGCTGCTTGGCTCCCTGGATTCAGCCACCTTCCTAGGGGAAGGTACAGATGAATCTGCCACCTTGCTGGGAATCCGAGGCCAGAGTATGTAAAACTCCTGGGTCTCTGTGTGTGCCTGAGTAGATGCTCTGCCAAAACTCCACACAGCTCTGTGTATCGGACCCAAGACCCTGGTGGTGTGGGCTCAGGAGGAGATCTCCTCATCCATTGGTTTCAAAGATCTGTGGGAGAAGTGTGGTTTCCCAGGCAAGGTCACACAATCATTTACCACTACCCTTGGCTGAGAGGGCTTCCTTTGGCTCTGTGCTGCTTCCAGGTAAACTGTTGCCCTACACTGCTTTTCTTTATTCTCCTTGGATTCAGTTGATTGCCTAGTCAGTCCCAATGCGAGAACCTGGATATTTCAGTTGAAGGTGATAAATTTACTCACCGCTTTCATTCCTCTCCATGATTGCTGCAGACCATAGCTGCTTCCGATTGGCCATCTTGTAAATAAATCTTCTAAATAAATTTTAAATAATTAAAATGTGCAAAATTTTGGGAAAATAAAATTTAAAAAATTGATCATTGCTCCCTAAAGAAATAATGTTTATGCCACATCACAATGTAACATCTTAGTGCTCTAGAGATTTTTTTTCATTAATTATCCACATGAGGCAGAAAATGAAATATCATAGTCCATTAAATTGTGTGACAGTTCACAAGTGCATGTAATAATGTAAACTCTTCATATTTTTATTAAAAGAGTAACAATCTATGAGCTTCATCTTCTACTAATGTGATTTGCCCCTAATGTGTGAGTTATGTTCTTTCTGGTGTCAAGAGCTGAAAGTGGGAATATGGAACAGGGCTAAAAGAAAAACTTCAGTATAAATTCTATTGTACCTTTTGAATTTTGAACCATATAAGTATATTATTGGGTGAACACGCCCCCAATATTTCAATGTAGGTTCTTTCTATTTTCCATAAGTGTCAGCCAGTCTGAGAAATAAAGAGAAAGAGCACAAAGAGAGGAATTTTACAGCTGGGCCACCGGGGGTGACATCACATATTGGTAGGACTGTGATGCCCACTTGAGCTACAAAACCAGCAGGTTTTTATTAAAGATTTCAAAAGGGGAGGGGGTGTAATTACAGGGAGTAGGTCACAAAGATCACATGCTTTAAAGGGCAAAATCAGAAACTCCTAAGGGTCTATGTTCAGTGGTGCATGTATTGTCTTGATAAACATCTTAAGAGAAAACAGGGTTTGAGAGCAGAGAATCGGTCTGACCAAAAATTTACCAGGCTGGAGTTTCCCAATCCTACTAAGCCTGAGGGTACTGCAGGAGACCAGAGTGTATTTCAGTCCTTATTTCAACTGCATAAGACAGACATTCCCAGAGCGGCTGTTTATAGACCTCCCTCTGGGAATGCAATTCTTTTCCCAGAGTATTAATATCAATATTCCTTCCTAGGAAAATAATTTAGCAATATCTTCCCTACTTGCATGTCCATTTATAGGCTCTCTGCAAGAAGAAAAATATGGCTCTTTTTCCCGACTCCACAGGCAGTCAGACCTTATGGCTGTCTTCCCTTGTTCCCTAAAATCGCTGTTATTCCGTTCTTTTTAAAGGTGCACTGATTTCATATTGTTCAAACACACATATTTTACAATCAATTTGTACATTTAACGCAATTATCACAGGGTCCTGAGGTGACATACATTCTCAGTTTATGAAGATAACAGGATTAAGAGATTAAAGTAAGACAGGTGTAAGAAATTATAAAAGTATTATTTCAGAAGTGATAAATGTCCACGAAATCTTCACAATTTATGTTCCTCTGCTGTGGCTCCAACCGGCCCCTCTGTTCGGGGTCCCTGGCTTCCCGCAATGATATATAACAATTAAAATTTAAAATTTAATCTCTTAAAATGTCACTTTTTAGTCAATTGATGTATAATGATTCTTGTCATGTTACATAAGTGTTAGTTATTATTATGAAGTGAATGAAGTAGTCTGACCAATGGGGTACTGGCCTTGAAGAAAGTGACAGAATAGCCTAAACAGATACCTGGGGCAGAACATTCCAGGAAGAGGAAATAATTAGTTAAAAGGTCTGAAAGACACTATTCTTCAATGTGTGAGGTCACTTTTAGAAATGAGATTATGGTGAGTTCCTTAAAAATGTTGTATCAGTTTGTTTACACACTGTTGATAAAGACATACCCCAAACTGGGAACAAAAAGAGGTTTAATTGGACTTAAACAGTTCCACATGGCTGGGGAAGCCTCAGAATCATGGCGAGAGGTGAAAGGCGCTTCTTACGTGGTGGTAGCAAGAGAAAAATGTGGAAGAAATAAAAGCAGAAACCCCTGATAAACCCATCAGATCTCGTGAGACTTATTCACAATCATGAGAATAGCATGAGAAATACCAGCCCCCATGATTCAATTACCTACCCCTGGGTCTCTCCCACAACATGTGGGAATTCTGAGAGATACAATTCAAGTTGAGATTTGGGCAGGGACACAGCCAAACCATATCAAATGTCCATTAAAAGTCATTGTCATGCAGATTGCCACCCAAGTATCCAATAGGATGATTTTATAACATTGCAAAGTAATGTAAAGTAAGTACTTTTGCTTTATTCTCTAAGTCCTTTCATCACTTGATTTCTCAAACTCAACTTCCAGTCAAGTGGCACCAATTGTCATTTTTAAAATGCCTGAAAGAATACTGTATAGCTGTGTACCATTAGTGTGCTGTCACTTTTTTAAAAATTATATCACACCAAGGAAATAGAAACATAATACAAAAGCACAATTTTTTTACTGTTTTCACCTTAATTTTAAAAATTAATCTTTTAAATAGCAACAAATGTAATTATTTTAAAAGCAGAACTCTTTCACAAATTAAATTGAAAATCCAAACTTCTTTTTTTGGCTACATAATCTATATTGCTCTCCTACTGAGTTTTTCAGTTGTTATTATGCTCTAATCATTAGCCATTTAATCTTCTTTTGAAACAAATGCATCTTATTTTTCTGTCTCAATATGTACAATCAAGCATACTTGAACAACCTATATAGCTGCTTATTAGGTTTAACTTTGTCACATTTTATTATCAGAGATAGTTGGGTTGGAAAAATGCAACTTATTTTCTATGAAAATTTTTAATGGTGGAAGCTAAGCAGATATGATGACCTAGAAAAATGAAAAAGAGAACATAAATTTATAAAATAAGCAAACTGGTGTTTTACTTGTGTTGGTAAACAGATTGGGAATGGAGGAGACCATTATTTTTCTAATAATTTTTACTAGCCTTCTCTACTTGTTTTTAAAGGTTTACTCTTTAACAGCATCTCTCCTATTTATTTAAACTTTTCCTTACTTATTTCCAGTACATACTTAGAAGGATTTCTATTTCTCACAAGTAGACATGACTATGCAGGTAGATAATGATGAAAATAAAAACCAGTGTGTGTGTGTCCTCCGTCTTGCTCTTTGTTGATGGATACCTGGAGGGAGGTGAGAAGGGAGGCAAGGGAAGTGGATTCTTAAGCCAGGACATGTGGCTGCTACATTGTGTCTATTATCTCTTGGCTCTACAATCATTTTTCTATGTCTTCTCTACCACTGGAGATGGGAGCCTACAAACTGTGTTTCTCCAACTCCTTTGACAGTGGGCTTTTTGTTAGATTAGAAGGTGGGATGAAGCAAGAAACCATTAGTTCTGCTTTGTTGGAATTCCCTGTGGTGATGGCAGCAATAGTGGTGGCTGGTGCCTGTCACTTCTTGGGTTCCTGCTCATGCAGCTTGCTTTTATGAGCTTGTCTCAGGATCATGGTAACTGTGGACTCTGATCATGTCCACTTTGCTTGAGCTCTCCTTGCTGCTGTATAGAAGAGAATAGATTTTTTTCAGTTCCTGATCTTTTGAATAAACTCGCCTTCTCCTTTTAGTTCCATCAATTCTCCAACACCTTAGTAACCAATTCCTTTATCAAATTCCCTGTATTTAAAATGCCTATATTCACTTTCATGTACATCTTCTACAAAAAGACTAAGAAAAAAGGTGCATTAACATTTATTTTGCCAGCTTCCCACATCTTCTTCTTGAATCTCTTTCCCACTTTTAGTGTTCTCCAAACCTCAAAACTCCCTCTGATCTCCAGCTAACCAGAATTTATTATCATACTCCTTCTTTGCTCATGATGCCTTGATGGGAGTCCATAGTTCCGATGCTCATATTATCTTTCATATCAAAAGATGTATATCTTAGGCTGAGGCAGGAGGATCTCTTGAACCCAGGAGGCGGAGGCTGCAGTGAGCCAAGATGGTGCCACTGCACTCCAGTCTGGGCAACAGAGCGAGACTGCGTCAAAATAAAAAAAAAAAGATGTGTATCTTTTACTTAATTTTTCCAGAAAGTTCCAAGGTAATAAAGTTTTGTGTTGTATCCCAAACTCAGCTCAACATGAATTTCTTTCTGTAGACATGTTTTACTCTTCAGACAGCAATAGATTTCCTCATCTTTGCTCATGAAGCTATGAGTTTGCACTTCTACTAACAATATCATTTATTACATTGTACTAAAATCGTTGGTTTATTTATATGATATTTGCAGTCATCTATGAGTTATTTGAGATTATCTTTGTGTGACTATGGCCTAGAATGGTTCCTGGCATATGCACACTTGTATGCATGTTGTACTAGAATGCTACTGGGCTCCAAGAGTTTACAGGCTTAACAGTGCAAATCAGATGATGGGTGGCAATATTAGTATATGATATAAGGTTGAGTAGACTGTAAACCCTCAAGAACAGAGACTTGCCCTTCACCTGTCTGTATTCTTAGCTTAATACTGTGCTGAGGAATTGAAAGGGTGAATGGTGTGAATTAGGCAGACATAATGACTAAAGTCAGGGATTAAAAAAAAAAATCCCTGGCAAGAATTTCAAAGCAGTATGAGGACATTTGGCTAAATCCTTTAATAGTATATTTTTACCCCGAATTATCTAATCTTGTATAGTATTCTCGCCTTGAACTAAGACCAGACTCCCAGAAACCCTGCACTAAGCTACCATTTTTCTTAGAAAAAAAGCAGTTGTTTCTCAAATGGTTGATACTGCTTGTCCAAATCCTTGTAACTTACCTGAAACATTAACTCTTCAAAGTAATAGGTTGTGAATAATACTTAAAAAGCACATCGTATGAGGATATGTACATTTAAATAAAGAAATACTGGAGACTCCTGGCAGTGGAGAAAAACTCTGTAATGGCATGAGTGTCAGACTCTGTGATAGGCAGTAGGGATCAGTAAGTGGGACTTTTGACACCCTAAATTACCTAGACTCAGCCAACAACCTCTTCTGCCAATCTTATTCATAGGCAAGCACACACACTCACAGTAGCAAGTCAGCAAGGGGGAAAATAGATTATCACCAGTTGTGATAATTGAAAAAAGTCTCATGCCATCATGTTGTGACCCAAATAAAGGCAGATACAATTTTTTAAATTGCTATTTCAATAGCTTTTGGGATACAAGTGTTTTATGTTATGTAGATGAATTATATAGTGGTGAATTCTGAGATTTTAGTGCACTTGTCACCAGAGTAGTGTACTTAGTACCTAATGTATAGTTTTTTTAATCCCTATCCTCCTCCCCACTCTCCTGCTTCTAAGTCCCTAAAATCCACTATACCACTCTGTATGCCTCTGTGTACTCATAGCTTAGCTCCCACTTATAAGTGAGAGCATACAGTTTTTGTTTTTTTACTCCTGTGTTACTTCACTTAGAATAATGGCCTCCAGCTCCATTCAAGTTGCTGCAAAAGACATTATTTTATTCCTTCTTATGGCTGAGTAGCATTCCATGGTGTATAGGTACCACATTTTCTTTATCCACTCAGTAGTCTATGGGCACTTAGGTTGGTTCCACATCTTTGCAATTGTGAATTATGCTGCTATAAACATACATGTGCAAGTGTCTTTTTCATGTAATGACTTATTTTCCTCTGGGTAGGTACTTAGTGGTGGGATTGCTGGATCAAATGGTAGATCTACTTTTAGTTTTTTAAAGAATCTCCATACTGTTTTCCATAGAGTTTGTACTAATTTATATTCCCACCGGCAGTGTATAAGTGTTCCCCTTTTTCCACATCCATGCCAACATCTCTTGTTTTTTGACTTTTTCATAATAGCCATTCTTGCAGGAGTATGATGGTATCTCATTGTGGTTTTAATTTGCACTCCCCTGATGATTAGTGATGTTGAACATTTTTAAGTGTTTGTTGGCAATTTGTATGTCTTCTTTTGAGAAGTGTCTATTCATGTCCTTTGTCCACTTTTTGAGGGGATTACTTGTTTTCTTTCTTGCTGATTTGTTTGAATTCCTTGTAGATTCTGTATACTAGTCCTTTGTCAGATGCATAGTTTGCAAATATTTTATCCCATTCTGTGGGTTGGCAGATACAATTTTTAAGGTTATTTTCTCTTTACTTATTCTTTCTGCATCCATCAAGAGAAATTCTCAAGGCACTCAGTAATGCTCCAAGAAGAGAAGCTCACATAATGTAACAGCCAAGGAGAGGCAGCAAGGCACACAAAAAGCTGATGACTTTTGAGTAGAAATATAGACCTAACTGTGAATATTTTTGATATAGTTTGTGTTGGAACTCATAAAATAATATGTGACAATTTTCAGAAAATGAGAGTTCATTGTTGTAACAGAATCAGGCCAAACATTTGAGTCAATGACCTAACAGTAGAATCAACAGAAACCTCAGAAACAATGAAGAATACGGTTTTGAGTTCAAATGCATATGATTTTCCTTTGACACATATTGAAACTAGGGATTTAGCTGATCTCTACTGTGCATAGGAACCCAACTGAGGTCCTCAGTGTTATTGGAGGAGCACCTATCTCATCAATCTCCAACCCAGCACCCCTTAACTTTGCTCTGGCATCAGCATCCTTACCCTTGATTTTTTTCCTGGAAAGGAATTTGGACAAGAGCTGCTTTGAAGGGACTGTTAACATGAGTAGTTATTTTGAATGTTTTAAAAATGAAAATAGTAAAAGTAGTTCTTTCTGTTTTTAATGTGAAAATGTATAAAGTCAATGTAATCATGTTGATGAGAAGCTCTGGTTGTGGGTTAAAATTACATAATTATAAAAAATGTTTGAAATATATTACATATTAAAGTTCAGTTTGTAAGAAAACATTTTAAATGATCCATTTTCAAGGCATGATAAATCTAAGCACTGGCAGCCAGCCTGCAAATGTAACAAACCACATGGCTCATGCCCTTAGAAGGTCACAATAAATGAACAGAATGTAGAGGAGGGGTCAGCCCACAAAAGGGAAGAAACTTTTGTTATTCGGAAGTTGAAATTGAAGCAGGGAAGGGGGATAATGAAACTTAGGCGACAGCTGGTAAGACTGTAACCCCATAGTACTTGACCAGTGAGGAACTGTGGGAGGGACTTGCGTGCTAACAGATAAATTACCTGTTGTAATTGCCCAGGTGTGCATGTCTTCCAGACAACTGATCTTGCCAGAACGTTATTAAAAGTCTCACCTTCACTGTTCTTCATGCCTCTAAGTCCATTCTTTGGGTTTGGACAGGTGGGCATATTTCTCACAATTTTATTAAGCAAAATGTTTGAAAGCAAAGAATCTTTGAAGAATAAAATCATAAAAGGTAGTCGTTAGTGGTGAAAAGTCCAACAATAGGTAGGTAATGTAACTGCGTCAAGTAATACAGGAAATTAATGTTTCACATGCATCATTGTTATGAATAACAATAGTGTTTAAGGCATTTTCATATGTTATCTCATTCAATTTTTACAGTAACCTGGCAAGGTTCTTATTATTACCATTTCTTAGCTGTGGATTTCCAGGTTCAGAGAGGATAAATAATTTCGCAAGGCCACATAGCTAATATCCGTCAGGAGTGTGATTCAAATATAGGTCTGCTATATGTTATTCATTAATTTTTTGCACTCTGTTAACACTGCCTCAACATATTTAAGTTCACACCAGACCAGACCTTTAGAGAAAACTAGTCTTTATGAAATTTTCTCAACCAATATTTTTGTTTCTTTCAAATTATTATTAGTAGCAGTTTATAAACCCTTCAAAGCAATTTGAGATTTTGCCCTTTCTTTTAAATAAACAAGCCAACACAGGTGATAAAGTTCTATAACAATGGGCCTCCCCCATAGCAAGCAGTCACTAACTTTTGTTTTCTTTCTAGGTAAATTCTGTTTATATAACTAATACATTAATAATCCAGTTTAAATAGCCTGCCCTGACTGCTTGAATAAGTCAAGTTTAAATTCTTCAATTAAAAGCTTTCAAACCACCAGGTTTATTTTCTTCACAGCATTTACTTCTGCTTCTAATTATGCATTTATTTGTGTGATTTTTTAAATATATATTTTATCTAGGCTGTTGGCATGAGGTGTTCTTATTTACGTTTGAGCCCTCAGTCCCTATCACAATGTCTGACAGCAAATAGGTTCTCAATGAATATTTGTTAGGTGAGTGTATGGCTAGATACATGGAAAAAAATGGATATTTAGATTAAAAAAAGAAATCAGAAAATGAATAGGTTATTTGTACCGCTGTTTTTCAGAAGCCATCATAAATGAGCTGGGATTTAATCTGGACCTTGAAAAGGAGGCAAGAGTAAGACCTCAATATACATGTTGAAAATATACAATCTTTATTATGGTTTTCATTTTTTTCCACTAAGTGCAACCAAGAAGATGCATTCTAAATTGAGCCTCAAAGCTTTCTTTTTAAACATATGTGGAAGAAGGTATTGCTATATTAAGCAATGCAGCTAATTAAAAGAGGAAATGAAAAATCGTTCTTAAATGAACCTCTCACTTCCCCTCTGGTTTCCTTTAACACTATGTATCTTTGAACTATAAAATGTTTTATTACAAATGACTTTTACTAGAAGGTTAAATTAAAACTGTATTTACCCTTTCTGTGCTTGCTTGCTTTCTTTTCTTTGTTCTTTTTTTTTTTTTTTTCTTTTTTTAGAGAGAGACGTGGAGCCTCATTCTATCATCCAAGCTGGAGTGCAGTGGCATGATCACTGCTCACAGCAGCCTTAAACTCCTGGGCTCAAGAACTCCTCCCATCTCAGCCTCCCAAGTAGCTAGGACTACTGGCATGCTTCATCATGCTTGGCTAAGTTTTTTATTTTTTGTAGAGCTATGCTCTCTCTATGTTGCCCAAATTGGTCTAGAACTCCTGGTCTCAAGTGACCCTCCAGCCTTGGCCTCTCAAAGTACTGGGATTACAGGCATGAGCCATGGTGCCCAGCTAATTTGTTTGTTTTTGTAGAGAGAGGGTCTCTCTCTGTTGCCCAGTCTGGTCTCAAACTCCTGGCCTCAAACAATCCTCCCTCGTCTGCCTCCCAAAGCACTGAGATTGCAGGTGTGAGGCACCTTGCCCAGCCCACATTTACTCTCTCTACAGACGTGCATGGTGCATTAGGAATGGCGGAAACAATTAAGTACATCTTGGTTAGAGCTAAGGTACATATTTGCTTGATTATTGTTTGGCTTACATAATGTCTGAAAAGATAATACAACTAGGGCAGCTGTTTTACTTGCTCAACATGCAAGACTCTTTGCACCACTGCCTTTCAGCAGGCCTCTTTCATAACTATATGTCCACTGCCTAGCCCTTGTAGATGTCTGAGTTTTTAATTTTTGACAGAATGTTCTCTTTTGATTACAATCAAAGAGATTATATGACTCCATCAAAGCCTTCTTTATTTGTACATCTCTTCATTTGTCCTTTTCTAAATTTTCACCCTCCCATTTACTTTTCTTATCATCCTTCAAACTTGTGCTCTAAGCTTTAATTGGCTGTTCTAGTAAATGAAACAGAAATTATTGCTTTGCTATAGCATTTTCATCATTTCATTTTAAAAGGAGACTCACCTGGGCATATCACAATATTCGCCTTGATTTTTGTCTGGAACAAAGAGACTGAAGATAGCTTTCAGACCCTCTTCATGCCAGCTTGGAGAGGATATTTACTTTGTCACTAATTGTTCATTCAAATATTCTCTTCAATGTTCTTGTTGCAATGCAGTTGTTATAAACATATTCGCACCCCTCCCTCTTCCCCTCACCAGGAATGTTCCTCTTCTGTTGGTTATGTTTTTCTCTTATCAGATAATTGAGTTTAAAGTGTATATAGTCTAGACAAATACTGCCAGATGAGACAAGATGACAAAGGAGTACATTTTAAGAAATAATGACCAGAAGAGGACATATTGTACACCACTCCACTCCTGATTGATTGCCTTCATTACATAGCTCCAGCAACACAAGAGTCACATGCACTAAGAAATCTGTATACTCAGCTCTCTTACGACTATCTTTACTTAACATTTGGAAAAATCAGCATCATTTCTAGGTGTAGGGAAGAAAACGTCCAGCTAAAATAAAGTAGATAAAAAACAAAGGTCCTTAGAAATGGGATTCAAAGGGATGCTATGAGGAAGACTTGAGTTTAAAAACAAAAAACAAACAAACAAAACAAAACAAACACATTTTGTATTTTTACAGTCAATAGAATAGCAGCAAGATGTACTGAAAATTACCTTGGAGCCAGGAGCCCTGAATTCTTCTTCTTTTAAAGTAATTACTCAGTAGCGGGATTGCTGGGTCAAATGGTAGTTCTATATTTATTTCCATACTGTTTCCCATAGAGATTGAATTAATTTACATTCCCACCAATAGTGTATCAGCATTCCTTTTTGCAGGAGCCCTGAATTCTGATCTGGGTTAGTCATTGATTCAGTGTGTGAACTTAGGAAAGTCACATAAACTTTCTGGCACTCAGTGTTATCATTTTCAAAATAAGAAAGTCAGTCTAGATGATTTCCAAGTTATTTTCTAGATTCAAAATTCCATGATGTGAAGACAAAAGATATTATCATCTACTAATAATACTATTAAAAAAAAAACTCGAGTAAGTCAATCCCATCAGAATGCCTGGATTGAAATATTGCCTCTATTTCTTATTCACTCCAAGATCTTTGGTCCAATTTTAACTTCTTTAAGTTCAAATCATCTCACCTGTAAAACGGGAGTATTAACAATATCTGCGAGATGAAATTGTTGGTGATTTAAGACAGATACTTCACATAAAGCCTAAATACGGTGCTGTTGCACAGAGGGCACTCCAATGCTAGGCATTTAAAGTGAACTACAGTCTTCTTGGAAATACCTAGGAAGAAAAACACCAAACATAAATTTGTATGTTTTTAAATGAGTTTCATATCTCCTAATATGACATTTTAAAACTCATTTGTTAACAGATCAAACCTAGCTCATTGTATTCCTCTTCTATGTCAGTCCAGTTTAGTCTAGGGTGGAGCTGGGAAAGTGAGCCTGAGGCAACAGCTAAACTCTGCCCTTTACTGAGTCTCAGTCTTACGCTTTTGACAGCCTCTGGGCTGCTGGGGAGTTCACCTCAGACCCAGGTAGCCATTGTCTCCGTCACTAACAAGAATTTAGAATACATGTGACAATGGATGATCCAACATCCATAATTTGCAGTCTTAACTATTCTCTAAAGCCAATCTGTCCTTTTAAAGGGAAAGCACTCCAGGACCACCGAGCTTTGGTTTCCATGGCAACAATGTGGGTCAAGAGCTGCAGTCACACCTTCACCAGCCTTGATTGCATTTGGCAATTTACCATCTTCTGTGCTTCCTTTTGTTTGAGGCTCTCTCATTTGCTTAATTCCCTTCTCTATTGGGAGAATCTTAAAATGCAAAACTACAGGAGCTGAATTTAAATTAAAACCTGCAGAGGCTTAAAGAAACACACCTCTGGAGAGCACTATTTATCTTATAACTCATTGACATGTGCTTCTTGAAATCAAGTCTTACGTCCTCAACTTCAAAATCTTGCTTCCCATATTCTATTGCAGCTCGGAAATTCTTTGCTTCCAATGCCTTGTGGGTTTTTTTTGGAAAAATCAGCAGCATTTCTGCCTTCTCAGATCATATTCTGATATCATAAATGTCACAATTACTAGGATAAAGTCCAAATTCCTTAACTTCTTATTTAAAGCCCTGAATCACCTGAGCTTTTCTCACAGCTTACTGCCTTCCTCTTACCCTTCTTTTACACATGATGCTCAAGTGTTTACTTTCTTTCAGATTCTTGAACACGCCCTATGCTCTGGACCCTCACATGTTTTCCTCCCTTATTGGAGGACCATTCCCTCAGCCTCTACCTGGCTATCTCCTACTTGTCCTTCAGATATCAGTTTAGGTGTCACTTTCCATGGGAAAGCTTTCCTACACCCTGGCTTTGGTCTTTTGTTACACCATGTGCTTCCTTATTGTACCATTATTGTACTTCAGTAACCCCTGTAAATAGCATACCTCTTTTGTAGTTTGTGAACATTCTGAGTATTGGGGCAGTGTCCATTTCTCCAACCTTCACCCAACAACCCCACTCCTGAATCCCCAGTGCGCTCCTAGGCCTTACTACGTCATAGGCATTTGATAAATATTTGTTACATGACTGAAAGCACTTTTCCCTGCTAGATCATCTAAGCCATTTGCTGTAAGTCTCCTAATCTTGATATTCTGCAACCTCCTTTCCATCCCACTATGGGTGTTCACTAGCATGTGCTTTTCATTCAAGATATATTTGCAGTCTTCCTATTTTTTACTGATATCTTAGATATTCACTGATACTCAAAGTGAAAAAATTCCAAAATTCTTGGTCATTTTCTTTTTCATGACATATTCCATTGAACGTCAATTTTTAGCTTCTGTTTAATACAACTATCCTAAGAAGATTTAAAAACAAGCAGTAAATGAAAGTGTTGAATTCAATAAAATAAATGGCTTTACTAAGCCATGCACCTGTAGTTGTCAAACAAGTCCTCTAGCCTGCTGCCTAGCAGGCCCTGGACCCCTTCTTGCTGCTACATACACAGTGGTGCATTTTAGAGCTTCTCACTCAGAAGCCAGGGAAGAGGAAAAACACACTGTTTTCCAAATGTGACACCACCTGGCTTCAGGGACTGGGAATCGCAGTCACACACTGTTTGTTTGAGTCAGGTATTGATGTTGAAGATGCCACTACTCAGGACAGCAGTCCCCTCTTGCCTGTGGTTTCACGTTCCTAAGTTTCAGTTTTCAGTGGTCAACAATGATCCATATGTATTAAATGGAAATTTTCAAATAAACAATTCAATAAGTTCTCAATTGTGTGCTGTGCTAAGTTGTGTGATGAAATCTTGCCTCATCTCACTTTGTCCTGCCTGGGATGTGAATCATTCCTGTGTCCAGCATCTCCATGCCATAGATGCTTCCTTTCTCTTTGTCACTGAGTGACAGGCTTGGTTATCAGATTGACTGTCACATTTCACAGTGTTGGTGTTCAATTCATCCTTATTTTACTTTAAAATCACCTAATGCACAAGAAGAGTGATGCTGGCAATTCAGATATGGCAAAGAGAAGCTGTAAAGTGCTTCCTTTCAGTGAAAGGTAAAAGTTCTTGACTTAAGGAAGAAAAAAGTTGTATCCCGAGTTAGCTAAAGTTGATGGTAAAAATGAATTTCTATCCGTGAAGTTTTGAACAGAGTATTGGCGTAATTGTTCCATTTTATTATTGTTGTTAATTTCTTACTATGCCTAGTTTATAAATTAAACTTTATCATAGATACAAACATATAGAAAAAATATAGTGTATATACACATCCACTGGAGGTGCAGGAACATTTTCCCCATTAATAAGGGAGACTACCATACTTGGTATACTGATACCATGATATTTTGAGGTTGATGTTTATGACACTTGAACATTTTGAATGGTTAAATTTTTAAAATTATTATTAAGTAACCTATGCAATGGATATCCTCCCTTTATCTCTGAGTCTTCTATTCCATCACAGTTCCATCTCTATTTCTGAGTGACACTCCAATCTTGACCCCAATCCATTAGTTTGGCCCATGTTGGATTTCAGATATCTGAAGGACATCAGGTAAAAATAAGTAGTAGATGCTGAGCTATATGGTTAAATGCTTCAAAAAAATATTGGAGCAGAAGAGTTCAAATACAAATGTCTTGATCACCGAGGGAAAGAGGAATAGGAAAAGGAGCTGGGAACCAAGGAAAGATCATGAAGAACCACTCCACTGAAGGTTGTACAAGAGAAAAGCAAGCTTCAAAGGATGTTAAGTGGGGAAAAAGAGGGAGCAAGAGTACAATACCAGAAAGTGATCATGTAAGGTAAGCACTAAAAATTAAATATTAGACTTGTCACTCTCTGAATTTAAAGAAAAAGTTATTACGGCTTAGAATAGCAGTTTAACATGTGTCTGCTTGGGCTGCTATAACAAAAGACCATAGATTGGGTGCCTAAAACCATAGACATTTATTTATTACAGTTCTGGAGTCTGAGAAGTCCAAGGTCAAGGTGCTGGCTGATTTGTTTCTTGGTAAGAACCCACTTTCTGGCCTGCAGATGGCTGCTTTCATGTTGTGTCCTCACATGGTGCTGGGAGGTGGGGGCAGGGGGTGGTGGAAGGAAGGGAGGAAGAGAGAGAGAGAGAGAAGGAGAGAGAGAGAGAAAGAGAGAGAACTCTGTTCTCTTATAAGAGCACTAATTCCATCATGAGGGCTGCACCCTGATGACCTCATCTAAACCTAATTATTAATTCCTCTCAAAGCCCCACCTCCAAATACCATCACGTTGGGAAGTAAGGCTTCAACGTATGAATTTCAGAGAACACAAACCTCCAGCCTGTAACAATGTGGATACAGGCATCACCTCCCCTTTTTGATTTCTTTTAGCTCTCCTCCTTGGAGCCCAGTATCCCAATCTGCCCACAGGCCCTGGTCAAAGAAGTAACTGAGAGGTTGTAAAGCAAGGCTTTCAATGGGCTTATCAGGGATCCAATTGTTGTGGAGATCAATAATAGGGTGAGAAGTGAAGTATAAAGCAAATTGCAGTAAAATGTTTCATGTTGGAGGCTGAAAGCAAGGTCAAGACATCAGGTGCTCATTGTTGCTGGATGCTGGCCAGTCTTGAACTGGCTGTAAGTCATGGAATGTGAACACACCTAAGTGTGTCTGTAACAAAGTCATACTCAGTATATTCGATGCTACTGTCTCTTTTCCCCCACCCCCAACATCCTTCCTTTTAAATTGTTTACATGTGGTTCCTTTTTTAAATAGTGTAACCCAAACGAGAAACTGCTGCTTTCAACTGATGCAGACAGACTTTATCATCTTTATTTCCTGTGCACAAGCTTTACTTTTGAGATTTTGAGAAGGCAAAGAAATGCTGTAATAAAGAATGCAGATAAGAGATAGGAATTTGAAGGCAAGAGAAAGATAGAGTTAGAAAAAAGAGAAGAAAGAGGTGGAGGAAGCATATTGATGAAGGAGGAGAAATGAGAGAGGGAGGGAGAGAAGACAGGATAGGAGAGGGGGTGAAGAATGGAGGGTATGTATAGTAAAAAGAGAAACTTGAATGATGTATTTCTTTATTCCCCTCAGCAATTGATAAAGAACTTACAATTAATTTTAAAAGGAAGTCAAGGTAAGAATTAGGTAAAGAACCATTGACTAAATACTTCTTTTACTATCTTTTCTGGTCAAAGAGAGTAAACAAACGTCAAATATTCACTACATCTCTTGTTAAATGAAATTTATGCGAGTCCATTGATTAGATTAGTGAGCTTTTGCACTAGATTCCAACAGACCAAATGTAAATGGAGTCACTCAGGCCAAAGCTCCATCCCACCAAACTGAAACTTGTTTATCTGACTTTCTGAGACATCAGAAGAGAGATAATAGCCAAATCCCCAAACAGACCAGTTTTAGCCTGAATGATAAGGAAGTCCCCTGTGCTTCAGTAATTGCAAGAAAAGTAACCTAAAGTAACCTGATGTTAACCAATCCTCTTTTTTATATTATACTGTTTTATCGTCCTTGCTTAAGTTGCCTTATGAAAATGGACTCTTCTGCCAAGCCCAATGGAGTACCTGTTTAAACCTTCAAATGGGATGCTGCCAGATTTATGAATTGCTGATAAAACTAGCTCAATCTTTAAACTTAATCTATTGAAATTTCATCTTTTGACACTTTGGATAATCAATTATAATGGACAAATGTCAATACATCACATATTTTACAACACAAACCACCATTCTTAGAGATCATAGGACTTTACTTCTTTTACATTTAAGCTTTTACATTTACATTAGACTGGAGTGGCTGTAGCGCAGATAAACACATTGACAATGCTGCCCATTCTTCAAGAAAATGGCACAGGACTTACTGATGAACTCAGTGTGTGTGTTTGGTAGGGAAGGGGTAAGACTGGGAGTGTGGGAAAGAGAAGAGTATACAGGGATAATTGCAAAGTGCTTTACAGAGATGAGGAAGACTTACAGAAGGAACAGGTTTGGAGGCTGTATTAAGAATGAGTTGAGCTGTCAATGATAGAAAACTACACTCCATGGGCTTAGACACTGATAGTCCATTCATTTCACCTAACAAGGAACCTGCAGTTAGGCTTTTGATGGCTAATATCAGCTCAATGATGCCATATAGAGATCTCCTAACTGGCCACTCTTTCTCAGCCACCTATACCAGAGTCTCCTCATTAATTTATCCTCAAAATACTACAATTTCTGGAAAACTTCTAGATTCCTCCCTTTCCTCCTTTCTTGATTCCCGACTCTGTGCTCCCCCTGGTGTCTTCCCAGGAGATGGCATCCATTCTTATTCCTGTAAATACCACCTAAATGCTCATGACTGTCAAATTTACATCTCCAGCCAGGACCTCTCCTCTAAAATCCAAATGTGCACATACAACGGCAAACTGGATATTTCTACTTGGGTCTCAGGACATATTTCAGGAAATGTCAAAATAAATATGTTCAAAACTGAGTTTTGCCCTTGTCGCAAGAATTAGAGGTTGACTGAGTCACATTCTATTTTCAACTCCACTTTTCTTTTTCTGCCCACTCTATGAGGTTACCAAAGGTAAAAATTCAATTGTCCATGCACTCCTACACCAGATGGTGTCTGTGTGACACAATTCTGAGCAATGAGATAAGTAGATATCTCCTGGTTCTGCTCTTTCCCCTCATTTCTTCTTCATGGCTGAAGCATGAATAGAAGGCTTAAAGATTCAGCAGCTGTATGGTGGCCATGAGGCAATAGAGATGAAGATAAAAGTTGAAACACTAAGGGTGGCAGAGAGGAAATAGAGAAAGAGCCTGGGTCTTTCTATATGGTATCATTGAGCTGATGTTAGCCATCAAATGCCTAACTGTAGCCTCCTTGTTAGGTGAAATAAATGGAACTATCAGTGTCCAAGCCCCTGGAGTGTGGTTTTCTGTCATTAGCAGCCCAACTCATTCCTAACTGATGTGGCCTCCAAGCCTGTTTCTTCTTTAAGTCTTCCTCATCTCTGTAAAGTACTTTGCAATTATCCCTGTAGACTCTTCTCTTTCCCACACTCCAGTCTTGCCCCTCCCCTATCAAGCACACACACTGAGTCCATCAGTAAGTCCTGTGCCGTCTCCTTGAAGGACAGGCAGCATTGTCAATGTCTTTATCTGCACTGCAGCCACTCTAGTCTAACTTAAATGTAGAAGCTTCTTAGCTATCCTACCCACTTCCATTTTGGCCTCTTTCCAGTCACTTCTCAACCCAGTAAATCTTTTAAAAATGCTAGTGTCATCATCACGTCTCTGCTTAAAACCCTTTACTGATTCCCGTTGCACCTATAATAGAGTCAAAGCCACGTACTAAGACTTATGAGAAGCTCATGGTCTCCCATTCCCTCCTTCACCAACGCAGCAGGTGTCACTCCAACCCTTCCTCAGGAAACTCCAGCCACAATGGCTTCCTAGAGCACCATAAATTCTCTTAGGCCCCAGATTCTTTTCACGGGTGGGTCCCATTCTTACTCTCTGCCCATCACATTTATTATAGCTTCCTTCTGCCTTCAAGTCTCAGCTTAAATGGTCTCCAGTGAGGCCTCCTTTGACCACCCTATTAAAATTAAAACAGTCTCTCCTACCCAACCCCATTGGTTTCAAAAACAGAAAGAATTTTTTATAAAGCACCTACTACCATTTTGATATGTATCATCCCGGGTACACTTAGAAAACAGAAACCATATCAATTTGTTTTAACAGAGAGAATTTAATATAGATAATTGGCTAAACAGGCATTGGCAGGATGGAAAAACAAAAAAGGGGACACAGGTACCACAGAGATAGTAACTGTAACAATCTTGGCTGAGAGTTACCAGACCTCAGAGGAGGAGCCCTGCCAGGCTGGGACGCAGAACTCTGAGGGTACCACTTGTCTCCTGCACCACTTCAGGAGGTTGAAGGAGAGTCTGGCTGTCAGAGTCTAAGGGAGGGTGCCACCTGGCTGGTGCTGGTGCTTCTGACAGGTTGCAGAGAAGCTGGTCCTGGGAATGATGGAAGAAACTAGAAAGCTGCAAACAACCAGTGATGCTGGAGTAAACCACATGGCAATAAATTCCTGCGGGGGCAACAGAAAGAATAGGCAGGAGCAATTCCCTGTTGCCTCCTACTGCCTTTCGGTCTTCCTTAGTGCCCCCTATTGGTAGAGAATAGAATGGATCCACCTGGCAAAAGAAATGTTTGCAGAGGCCCAGGTCAAGCAATTCAGAGGAGCAAATAAAAGAGTGGATTTAGAGATGAGCTATCATAGCTTCATGAGCAGCATCGTATTCATTTGTTTACTATGTTTTCTTTCCTACTAGACTGTATGTGTTCAGGATCCATGTCTCTCTTTTTAATTTTGTAACCCCTCCACCAACCCATGTCCCTCAGGTGCACAGCACAAT
Organism: Homo sapiens; assembly: GCF_000001405.40. NCBI lineage: Eukaryota > Metazoa > Chordata > Mammalia > Primates > Hominidae > Homo > Homo sapiens. The sequence goes on along the minus strand of NC_000005.10, from coordinate 58,496,394 downwards.
AGCAAGTAGATAGAAGACACAACAAATATTCCTTGTATGGATGAATAACAGATGAATTTATTAGATTTTTTTCTCAAAACTACTCAGCAAAATGTACAATTCAATTCCCGTCAGTAAAACATGAGGCATTTAGTGCCTTATGTGATGTTCTAGGCATTTGGGCAGTTTCTTTTCATTTAGGTGGGAATTTAAGACATTTTCATATGAAGCTAGGTAATAAAATGCTGTGGCAACATTCATATGTTTAAATGTCCTAAGAATTGAAGAGGCATCAAAGCTTATATCAGAAAATAAAAAGGTAAATGCGGGTTTGGAGTGATTCAGGAGATGTGTGGAAGAACTTATGATCTGAAGCAGGCTTGAGAGAAGAGGCAGAAAAGCAAAGCTGTGAAGGAAGGATAAGTTTGGCAGGTTTTAAGATGATTCTGCTGAAGGCAAAGAAATGAGAGATAGTAAGAGAAGTCACTGGAAAAGTGAATTGGAACCAATTGTGGAAAACCATAAATTTTGGAGTTCAAATTATGGGTATTATGTCTTTTGCAAAGAGGGGGCATTAAAACATTTTAAGTGAAAGAAATAATGTGGCTGTTAGGAATATTTTCTGAAGATAAATCTGGCAACACCATCGGTAATTGATTGAGTGGGTAGAAACTAGAAGCAGGAGGAACAGTTAGGAGCCTATGACAATAATTCTGAGCCAGATAAAGATAATGGTAGAAATAAAGGAAAGAGATAACGGGTAATATTTAGAAGGAAGAATCAATATCACATAATACAGATTTAGTCTGGTGCAAGGAGGGTGGAGAAGATATCTAGAATTAATCCACAGCGATACACATAGGATTCAGAAAGGTGGAGATAGGCAGAGACCATCCACTTATCAGAACTTGATTAAGAATGGCATCAGTACAATAAAAATCACAGTGAATTATTTTTAATATTTTAATTATAATTTTATGTTCAGGGGTACATGTTCAGGTTTGTTATGTAGGAACACTTGTGACTTGGGGGTTTGGTGTACAGATTATTTCATCATGTGTGTACTAAGCATAGTACCTGATATTTTTTTTTTCCCTGAACCTCTCCCTCCTTCCACTGTCCTCCCTCAAGTAGGCCCCAGTGTCTGTTGTTCCTCTCCTTCTCTCCATGTGTTCTTATTATTTAGCTCCCACTTTTAAGTGAGAATATGTGGTATTTGATTTTCTGTTCCCATGTTAGTTTTGTTCTTTTTTTACGGCTGCATAATATTCTATGGTGTATGTGTACCACATTTTCTTTATCCAGTCTACAGTTGATCAACATTTAGTTTGATTCCTTGTCTTTGCTGTTGAAAAATTACAGTGAATATTTATCATCCAATAACAAAAGTCAATATTTTGAAAAGCTAATATGAATCTGGAAGAATGTATATATCTTCATCTTGAGGAACTTCAGAAGGACGAGGCTTCTGGAAGTTATAATAGTCAGAAGATGTCTCATTTCCATAGATATGCTCCTCGAAATTAGACTGCCCTGTGTTTTCATATAGTTCCTTATCGGTTTTTCCTTTAGCTTTGGGAGGACCTGCTTCCACATTTTCATAGTTGTCGTGTGTGTTATTTCCCCTGACAGCAGATTTGTGGTCTTGGGTTTCAACTGAGATTTCATGCCTTAAGCCAATGATGCGGGGGCCCAAGAATGTTTTAGTACAGACTTTTCTCCTGCTGCTTCTCCTTTGTAAAAACCTCGGTAAGGTAAATCGTGTGGCAACACGGTGTTTCCAGTGCCAAACACACCCAATTCCACAAACCACTAAGAGTAAAAGAAGCGAAATTCCTACAGAAATGGCCGCTAAATTATTTCCACAGCTTTTCGACATTTCTGTACAAACAGTGCTGTTTAGTGATTTGGTGTTACCCTTAATGAATTCACAGTGTAATTCTTTGTAGCCTAGTATTATTCAAAAATGAGTTTGGAAGCTCTTTTAGGCATTTTCCTTTTCAGATCTGGAAGAACATTATCTGGTAAAGTCCTGATGCAATTAGAGGAGAGAGTGTATAAACTTATTTCTGGAAGATGGCTCTCTTCGTGTGTGATGCTCTTCACATTACAGCCATTAATGTATAATTGTACTGTATTGGGGGATTTTATTCCATTCCACTTCCTTTTCTGTTAACGAATCACAAAATGAAGCAGAAATGAGTGGAAGATGACAGCAGAGTAGAAAACTCAAGAAAAAGAAGGTTGAATGATCTGCCATCCAGAAACCTGCTATAAATTAAAAATATGTTAATTGCATACTTATTATCTAACATAGAAAAATTACTGATTTTCACCAATGCATTAAACACCAGCATATAGTGAGCTTCTGCTTTTAATATAAAATATACTACCCGTTGTGATGAAAGGAAAAAGAGTTAGAAAAATCCTGTCCCTGCCCAACCCTGAGTGGTTTTATCACTTAGATCTCCACATAGTTTTTGACAATTAGGATAACAATTTTTGAGTGAAAGATAATGTTCTGAGCACAATAGAAAAAAAGGGACATATACAGACACGTGCAATCATCTTTATTACCTGTCACCTCTTCTGTGAAGCCCTGCTTATCCTTTTTTGGAGCAGTCAGAGGCCATGTCTTTTTCTTAACCATTCCTTCCTCTGTAATCCCATATTAATGAGTCCATTCTCTATTATAGCGTGATAACCTAAATGAGAGAGAATTGTATTCTTACTTGGTTAAATGGTGGGCAGGGTTCAGGTCATTTCATCTGTATGTTCCCAGAGAATGGCACAACACCTAGCACAGAAAATGCATCCAATCAATATTTATTGAATGAAATAATGCATTTAAAAATGACTGCAAATGTCAGCATCTAATTGCTTAAGATGATAGTTTAAAACTCAAGGGTGTAGTTTATACTTAAAACATGAAATGAGATCTTTAAAGTAAACCAATGTATTTTCAAAATCCTTAGTATCACAGGTTTTCTCATAGCTTTCAGAAAATAACTTCCATGCAAGATGATTTTACATTGTTTTCTGTTGATGCTTTAAAATGGCAAGGAGACAAGAAGGGGAAGTGTTCAACTGGGCTGCATGTTCCATTGTGATTTTATCAACAAAACATTATTACTGTATATTTTCAGTCTAGACATAGACATAGATCCAACAGTGCCTGTGAAATGATTATTATCATCTATGGAATGTTATTATCATCAATAATGTTTAGTTAAGAGTTTCAGCTTTTAAAAACTGTTACAGGGATTATCTCATTTAATCCTATAGCTGCTATATGTAGTGGGTACTATTCATATCACCATTTTATAGATAAGAAGAGAGGCTTAAAGAAGTTAAGTAACTTCCTTACAACCAAAATGTGACTGAATGAGAATTCAGGTAAAAATTTCCCCAAAATATTATTTATCCAAATATCTGTAACATGCTACTAAGTGCATCAGTCAGAAAATTTGTATAGCTTGATTAGCTCTGAGGTTCTCGAAGGTTGGAAATCATATATTATTTACCTTTGTATTACCAACACCAGCATTAGACACAGAATGACTAATCTATTAGACATTTGTTAATGAATGAAGTAATCTCCTTATGGGATAATAATAGTAACAATGAGAAGAAAAATAGAAATTCACAAAGTGGTGCTCTGCTTTCAGTGAGTTTTCATGAAAAGTTTAATGGTAATGAACGTTCATAAATTTGTCCAAGGTTAGAATATATTAATATGCAAATATTTAATTTGACATTTCATAAAAGAAAATTAAATAAGATGTGCAGCTAATTTATACAATTTTTTGATAAAAATACAGGGACAAGCACCCCAGATGCAGAAACATTTTAATCTCCTTGGAATTTTTGGGAGTAATATTGAGGTTGAGAACTGTATGGTCCGCCACATAAGATTTACAATCTGCAGGGTCCCTCCTTTATAAGGCCAGCCGTGCTTGTGTTCAAGGACAAAAGTTTAGCCAAATGACTTTAATCATTAGGACCTCATTTCCTGTCTGAAACAGATGAGCACCAATTATCTGCAAGATATTTTATGGTATACATGGTTAATGATTTAAGAAGTTATTTGCCAGAATATTTGAAATAAATTTACAAAATACACTTTAAGTATTGATTGAAATTAATCAACTTTTTGAAAGATACTAGGCCTGCAACAGAAGTCACGGTGAGGGTTGAGGAAGGCTAACTATTGTCACTTCTGTAGCTGAGGATAAGGCAATAAATTACTCTCTTAATTTTTAAGAAGAAAAGGCATTTTTACCATCTATGTTATTCTATGTAGAGTAGAAATTCTGGTACATCCAAAATATTAAAATTGTTTGTCTAAGAGATATTTACCAAGATAAAGACAAGAAGACTTTTTACAGAAAAAGAAATGCATCATTTTCTTCGAAATAACATTAGAGGAAAAAACCTGTGAGACATGAACAAAGACCTACTATAATGAAAAACATATTTTAAACAATAACCATTCAAATATAGTTTAACACTTAAATAATGTTCACTTTGACCAGTTTGAAAGAAGACTCTGTTTTCATTTTGGAAAGCAGTTCCAACAGGTTACCTAACAATTTGACATTTTTCTTAAAATCGCAAATTGTTGAGAAACTTCAGGAATTTTCAAGTAAGAGAATGCCCTGCTGTTTGGAAACAAGGTAACAGCAAAGCATAATCATATTGTAAAGAAACATTAACATCACTCTCAGTTTGTAAATTGGGTTTCCCCCTTACAGCTACGTAAGGCATTTTTTTCTAAAAACTGTAGTAAGATAAAAATCATTGATTAATTAAAGACAAACTTGTTTCTTATAGTGTTTAATCATCCAAATACCTTAAATCAGGTTCTTACTTACCTCAAGATTGGTGTGTCAAGCTCTCTCTTTTGTTCTTTTGGTTATGTTTTAAACCTGCATTGGGTTAGAACTTGTTCCTCTTTTTCACTTTGGTGGGTTACTTCCTTCTTTCCCTCCTTCGTTCACGCTATTTAATACTTGCAAAGTTTCCTGGCTCTAGAGGAAGTCAGTATCAGATGCAGCAGAATTAAGATAAATGGCGTGAGGTTTTGAATAAGGAAGTCTGGCCCTTCATCTTTGTCAAGTAATAGTTTTTTAACTGTGTCAGAAAATAATACGTAAAGCCTACATGGTTTTTTATTTGGGCCATATTTGCAGTTCCCACTTTAATATCAATAAAAGTCACTTCACTTGTACTTTGATTTTTTAAAAAAAGAAATATTTTAATTGTAGTAACACATAGGTCTTGGGCTTTTATTATTATTATTATTATTTACTTGTGTTGCTAGACCAGTCCTCTCTTCAAATATTAATATTATGTACCAATGCTCCCAAGTTATAGCCATACAGGTCAAATCAGTGTCCCAATTTGGGTTTGGAAAATGTTAACGTTCTTTTAAATTTATAAATAGGAATTTCCTAAGGTATGTTTTGAGGCCCATTACCCCTGAGATATGCTAGCAGCTCTTCCATCAAGTAAATGTGGGGAATACTGCTTCCCTGGAGATTCATGGGTACATCAGCATGCTAAAGGCTCTCAGCAGTCTTACAGCCAGCAAACAAAATAAAACCAAATAAGAAAAAGAAATTGTTTAACTTTGCTTAATAATAGTAGTCAGTATGTTCCTAGCACTAAGTACTCCAAACCTTTTGTGTAATACTCAGCAAATCTTGGCAACAACCCTGTGAGGGAGAAAAACTGTTATTAGTCCTATTTTACAGAAGAGGAAACAGAAGCACACAGAATGATCACTTGCCCGACAGAGCCTGCAGTTTGCCCCCAGCACCTGTGTGCTAAACCACTGCACTGGCTGCCTTGCTAGATTGAGTAACATGTTTCCCACATAGATACGCTTACCAAGAGCATCTCTTGGAGTCCAACTCATGGGAACACACACAGTGGGAGATGCTGAATTAGACAAATTACAGATGAATTCGACAGATGAGATGACAAAGTAATGGAAAATTTGTCTTTTAAGTTGTCTTGGAACTTTTTGAACCACAGAGGATTAACTTTGCATAAGGTGGTTTTAAAAAAGAGGATTTAGTTACTGAAATAACTACTGGACATTGGAAGGACAGGACGTATTATTAACACTTGCTGAGCACTGACATTATGCCAGGCATTGTGCTAAGAGATGAGGATGCAAGAGTGAATAAGCTCCCTGCAGCACTTAAAGCCAAGTAGAGAGGCTGCTGCGCCCACAGAACATTTCAGATCAAAGTGATAATGCCTAAGAAAGACAGGATTATGGACAGGGACAGTGGAGGTAAAGGAAAGAGGCATCCAGCTCAGAGGGTGGTCAGGGAAGGCAAGACCTGAGCTAAGCCTCATAGAATAAGGTGTTAAGGCAGAATAGGGGTGTCCTGGACAAAAATCTTACAGTGAAGGAGGTTATGAAGTTGTGAAGCTATGAACTTGATGTGCTCCACATTCTCACCACTATATTTAACTTCAGTATTAGCCACCCCTCCAAATAATATACACACTCACCTGCCTAGGCATACATCTGTAAGAAAGGCAATTTATACAATGTTTGTATAAAATTATGATTTTCTCTAGAAGGCAGGACAACTGGTGCTCATTCAGCTTTTGCCCTTTGAAGTTAAAAAAGTTGCTTAACCCCTTATTACTTTAGTTTTTCTAACGGAAAATAAAATGGAGGGAAAATGACTGGCACTTTCCTCAAATAGAATTTTTTTGATGTAATGGATATAATTATTCTTCAAGTTTATAAAAGAAATGCTGTATATATTCAAAATAGAATTATTGGATCATTGTCATTTGTAGGGATTATGTTTTATGTCTTGAATTCTATATTTTCCTACTTCCCAATCTTTGGCCTCGCAAAATACATATTTATTGTCTCCTTTCAGTTCCTTTTTAATCACAGCAATTATGTCTAGGTTTTCTTTTCCTGCTTTTTCTTCTACAGTTATACGGTTTGGGTAGTAAAGGGCTTAGGAAGTAGTTTATTGTTCTGTAGTGTAATATGGACTGGATCTTTCATCTAAGTAAATCTTCCTCTCCTATTAATTGGTGATAGCAACCACTTTACTTAATTGTGATTTAAGTTCCCAGCAATTTCTTGTGTGTCAGTTAGTATCCATTTCTTTTAACCCATGCCCTTTTTCAGATACTTGAACTGAGTAACATTAGTGACGGTAAAAATGAACAAATGTTTGTGTATGTGAATTTTATTTGAAAGCTTGCCAGACTAAAAGCATCTTTCTGGCTATTTTGGAAGGAGCCGCCAAACCCCATGCTACTTGTTAAGGGTATCATGGGAATTTACATTTTAGCATAAAGCATTATGTTACCTCGGAAAGGTAATGCATTTAGTAGCTAACAAATTTATTAACACTAATCGGTTTATGGGATTAACCAAAAAGTAACTAGAGTTTTAATAGAATGTGTCACTACCTTCCAACTAAAAGTTTTTCACTCTGTGGCCCAAAGAGTTATAAAAATTTTAAAGCGGCTGGGTGCAGTGGCTCACGCCTGTAATCCCAGCACTTTGGGAGGCTGAGGCGGGCAGATCATCTGAGGTCAGGAGTTTGAGACCAGCCTGACCAACATGCAGAAACTTATCGCTACTAAAAATACAAAATTAGCCAGGAATGATGCAGCATGCCTGTAATCCTGGCTACTCAGGAGGCTGAGGCAGGAGAATCACTGGAACCTGGGAGGCAGAGGTTTCGGTGAGCTGAGATAGCGCCATTGCACTCCAGCCTGGGCAACAAGAGCAAAGCTCCGTTTCAAAAAAAGAAAATTTTTTTTTAAAGCAAAAAAACTGAGCAGCTAAAGATGAAGAGAGAAAACATGAATAGGAACAGGTAAAAATAAAACCATTGTTGCTTTAGTTATGCTTAGGGCCAATCCTGGTAGCAGTTGGCAAACTTAAATCACATAATTTGTAGAGTGTAGGGGATGGATTTTACTGAAATGGGTCTCAGATGTTCATCAAGAGATTCATTCCCAAACTTGAATGTTTATCAAAATCATTTATGAAGTTTTAAACAAATACGTAAATTTCTAGGACCTTGAAGATTCTCCTTCATTACTTCTGGAGTGGGGCCCAGAGATCTTTATTTTAAAACCTTAGAACAACATTTAGGAATTTATGGGTAGGAAAATGAGATATTATGCAGACTGTGAGGGGAAAGATGTTTACATTTTATTTTACAGTCTTTTGTGTTATTTGATATTTTCCACTAACATATGCCACTTTTGTAACAAAACAAACTTTAAAGCCTCCCCAAGTGATTCTGATTTGCAGCCATGTTTGGAAACCACTGATGCAAATTAACCCCCTGGCTGAAGTGCAGATAACTGATGTGATTTAATCCATAGCCTCCAGCCTAGAAAGCAGAAGCCTGGTCTGGATATAAAAATCCAGTCCCTTCATTCTGACCCAGCACTTCTCTGTTGTACTACAACACTATCTCAATGCGGAATAGATGAGAAAAACATTCTTAGATGTCCCCTTCAATAGTCTATCTTTTTTTTTCTTCTTCTTCTTCTTATATCATGAGGAGTTGGGGAGATATACATACACAAATAACAAGAAGTTGGGGAGAAGGAAAAAGGAGAGCAAAATCCATCAGGGTTCCCATAGGAATGAGCTACGAAAAGCATAACCCTACTGGCGGACCCTTTTAAGACATGAAATTTGCCACCTGGAACACTTCTCTGGCCTAAAATGATAAACATTATTATGGTTCATATGACAACTTAGAAAGGTTAAATTATGGTCTGGGACTAAAAGAGAAGATGCCGAAAGAAAAAGTAAAAAGACCCAGGAATTTCATTCATTGAGTGTACACACCCAATAGAAATAAGTATCACTTCTTTTTATAACAGCTTTAGGCATAATAACTCAAGGCTCTAGAAATAACCCAAAGGTCCATCAATAGTAAAATGAGTGAGTAAAGCATAGTAAATTCATGTGATGGAATACTACACAGAAATGAAAAAGAACAAACTATAATACTAATATACACAACATCAGGATGAAGCTCACAAACAATGCAGAATTAAAGAAGCCACATACACAACACTATACACTGTATGATTCCATTTATATGAGATCAAAATTACATAAAACTTATCTATGGATATATGATAGAGGTCAGAAGAGCTGTGGTTACTATAGATCTAGTGATGCATCAGAGAGCCTTCTTGGATGCTGGGAAAGTTCTGTATCTTGATCTTTGTAGCAGTTATGAGATGTATTTTATGTAACCATTCATTAAGCTGTATATTTAAAATTTGTGAACTGTATGTAAGTTGTATTTTAATCCAAAAAGAAATTGGGAATGAATAAGAGAATTCTTATATGTTATAAAAATGGAGATAATTAGATATATATTTTTATTCATCCAGATTACCATCTTCTTTGGCAAGCTGGTCTACTAGTTTGAGCGAAGGAATTCTGTGCTGAATTTGAGGTAGACTTTAAGCTATTTGAATTCTAACTTTATTTGGAACTTCCTGAGCCTCGGCCTTGGTGAGGCTGGTATGAAGATGAATTACTAATGAGTTACTAATGAATATTGAGCTTCAACCCAGTCAAAGCAAGGGGTCCTATTTTCTGAGATCAAAAATATGATCATAAATACTTTGACTTACTCAAGGGATATGTTCCCCAAGATCACATACAACCCAAAAACATATAGGTATAAAACGATTTATACCTATTTCTTTTTCATCTTGATTAAGTAACACAACTGTGAATCTTGCTTTCTTTGTCCATGAGATAGCAATGGATGGGGTATCCCTGAGCTTCCTTCAAATCTACTAAGTACATAACAGAAATTGGTCATCAACACAATCAGAACAGAATGTTTGAAATTGGTTTTCGTGTTTAGTATGTACTTCCCTTTAGTCCAATTCCCTTTTTTTTTTGGTCATAAGTCTTTCCTAATTGGTATGCAAATCAGATAACATGGAGTGAGGCTTGCTTTAACTTTAGTTGAACAACACTGTCTCTTCTTCCTTCAGTATTTCCCCTTTTATTCCTTCAGATAAAACTAAATGCACATTGAAGAAATTGAATAACCATTTAATATGAAACAATTTTTGAAACATTTTACTTCTTCATGAATAAAACTGAAAACTGCATCATTCAGTATTCCTATAGCAGATACATCATCCATCTCAGGCTGTGTATATAATTTCACAGGTCATATAACCCATAAACTATTACAATGACAAGTTTTTTTGTTCATTTTAGAAGAGTTCTGTGAACTAGTACATAAGACACCAAATAAGTCATTGTTTGATTCTGCCAACTTCTTCAGTAAATGTTGAAAGGCATAGTACAACATATTATAATTTTTTTTTTTTTTTTGAGACAGGGTCTCCCTCTGTCACCTGGACTGGAGTGCAATGGCATGATCTTGGCTCACTGCAACCTCTGCATCCAAGACTCAAACAATCCTCCTGCCTCAGCTTCCCAAGTAGCTGGGACTACAGGCATGAGCCACCACGCCTGTCTAATTTTTGTATTTTTTGTAGAGATGGGGTTTCACCTTGTTGCCCAGGCTGGTCTAGAACTCCTGGACTCAAGCGATCTGCCCACTTTGGCCTCCCAAAGTGCTGAAATTACAGGCTTTAGCCACCGCACCCAGCCACATATTATAATTTTTACATAACTAGGAATGTTTTGAAACTGCGCATGTAGCCGGGCTAGATGAGAAAACTGCTGGATTCCCAGGAACTTTTCTCCCACAGAGAGCGTCAATCACTATTACCATTTCAAAGTGGCTGCGTTTGGGGGCTAGCTCATTAAAGAAAAATATTACCCTAAACCCTTTGCTTTAAGACCCTGCATGATCTCAGGTGTACACTGATTCCGAGAATCAGTGAAAGGGAGGCAGAGAAAAGTAACAGCTTTAGATCTTCTCTTTTTACAAAATGGGATGGTGCCCTGCATAAGTCTATTTTGATAAGGAGAAACAGAGGGTGAAGAAAATAAGAAAACAAACACTAAAAGAGTGGGTGGGGCGGGAGATCTGTCTAAATGGGACCTGATAATCAGGCCCCCGCCTTTTATTCTCCCATGGGAAACATGCTTTGAAAGCCAATTCATCTTTAGATGAACACTGGTAAACATTCACCCAGAACTTGAGAGCACTGGTGTAGAGCATAAATGTTCCATGGTCTCAGGCAAGCCAGTGTGATGCTCCTGCTAAACCTGCTTTGTGCTTCCACGTAGACATCACCTTCTCCTTGGATATATTAACTATAGATTAGGCTAAAGTCACAATGGTCTTTCTTAAGAGATGTATCACTTACTATGACGTGCTCCTTTTATTAATGCATTAGAATTTTAAGACTATCTCTGTGTTGTCCTCAGAGTCTATTTCTATCCCTGACATTGATTAATTTGGGCCAGTCATTCAATCACAGAGTATCTCAATTTCCTCATCTGTAAAATGGATTTTAAGAAGTCAAAGATTCTTAGGTCCAGTTGCCCACTGGAATCTCCTGAGGAATTTTTAAAAATATGAGTGCTTAGGTTACAGACCATAAAAATGAAAGCAAAATCTCTCAGGGTGTAACTCAAGCATTAGTATTTTTTAAAGTCCCTTGGGTATGTAGATGTCCCCTGCTAATATTCTGTGACTCTCTGCCATACCTTCTTCAGTAAACCACTTAACTCTTTACTTTGGGTTTCCTCACATGAAAAGGGAACTTGAGAGACAGTGTTGCAAGAAAAACAACCTGCAAAGTGCTTAAAGTTCACCAGAGGAATATATATCACTGAAAAGAAAGAACCCAGGGCCGGGCGCAATAGCTCACGCCTGTAATCCCAACACTTTGGGAGGCTGAGGCAGGCGGCTCACCTGAGGTCAGGAGTTTGAGACCAGCCTGGCCAACATGGTGAAACCCCGTCTCCACTAAAAATACAAAACATTAGCCAGGCATGGTGGTGGGTTCCTGTAATCCCAGCTACTCGGCAGGCTGAGGCAGGAGAATTGCTTGAACCGGCGAGGCGGAGGTTGCAGTGAGCCGAGATCCCACCATTGCACTCCAGCCTGGGCGACAAAGCGGAACTCTGTGTCAAAAAAAAAAAAAGAAAGGAAGGAAGGAAGGAGGGAAGGAAGGAAGGAAGGAAGGAAGGAAAGAAAGAAAGAAAGAAAAAAGAAAGAACCCAGGAATTTGCATACTGGTTAAAATGGCACTAATACTTCACATTTATTGGGCACTGAACATAAGTCAAACATTTCTCTAATCCCTTTACATGGGTTTCCTTTTTTAATCCCCACAACAAGCACGTGGATGAGTATTATTCACTAGTTTGGAGATGAGGAAACTGACACACAGATCAGTTAAATTACCAACCCAAGTTCACACAGCTTATGCCAGAGCTTAAATTCCAACTTGGATCACACAATTTGAGTCTAGAGCCTGTGCTTTTGAGTCTAGAGCCTGTGCATAGTACCTCTGCGGTACTATGAACTACCCTCTTATTTTTACTTTGTTTATCTAAATTCCTGTAAAGAAGTCCCAGATTAAAATCTGCTTTATTCCAAAGGGGATAAAGTCAAATTCCTATTTATTTCACACCATCCAATCTGAGCTAAAGACAGTGCCCTGACTGTGGAATATTGACGGACTAGAGCAGGGCTCTTGCCCACGTTTTAAGAAAGTATGAGAGGTTTTAATAAGTAATTGAGGAGACATAAAAATGAGAGGCTGAGCTGTAAGATCATGAAGCTCGTGATTAGAATTTTTTTTCTCTACAGTTCACAGTTGGGGAGTGACATGCTCAAAACCGGGCTTAAGTATGGCCACTCTTGCTACTATTATGCAGAATCATGGAAACGACCTCATGTTTACCTTTGACTGGACTTAGCAAGCTGCTGCAAGTAGAGGCGGCCCATGTCTCTGCATACGCAAGGACATGTCTGTACCTCACATCACACCATCTCTTGCCTGCACAACTGCAATAGCCTCTTCCTGCTCTTCTTACACTGGCGATGCTACAATACCTCATCCTTCGGCTGGCAGAGCGATATTTCCCAAATTATAAATCAGATCACATCAGCCCCCCTGCATAAGACCCTTTACTGGCTACTCATACTCTTAGAATTAAACCCCAACCCCTAATACAGGCTATAAGGCTCTCCATGCTCTGGCGGCTGCCTGTTGCTATTATTTCCTCCTGTGTCCTCCCCAGGTCACTAGCCTCCAGTGACCCTTGTTTTCTCTGCACCTCCTGTGCGCCCAGTTCTTTCCTGCCTTAGGCCCTGCACTAGCTATGCCCATTACCATGCTGCTCTTCTCCTAAATCCTCCCATGCCTGCATCCTTCTCACTGAGGCTTCCTCTTCCATATCCCCTCCCCAGCGAGGATTTCCGTGACCTGCCCAGTTTGAAGTGCACCCCAACAGATGCTGTCACTCACTATCAACCCATACACACTGTCATGGTCACCCACACACAGACTGTCACTCACTCTCAACTCTACATACATTATCATTCCTACACATGCTCTCATTGTTATCACTACACATGCTGTCACTCCATCTCACCTTCACACACATGCCCTCACTGACACCCCTACACAGGCTGCCCCCCTCTGTCACCACTATACATGCTGTCATTCACTGTCAAACCTACACATGCTGTCCCTCCCTGTCACCCCTACACTTGGTGTCACTCACTATCATTCCTACACAGGCTGTTCCTCACTGTCACCCTTATACAGGCTGTCCCTCACTGTCACCTCACATATGCTGTCCCTGTCATCTCTATACATGCTGTCCCTCACTGTCACCCCTACACATGCTGTCATTCACTGTCACGCCTACACAGGCTGCCCCTCTCTGTCACCCCTACCTAAGCTGCCCCTCACTGTCACCTCTACACATGCCATTATTCCCTGTCATCCCTAAACATACTGTCCCTCATTGTCACCCCTACACATGCTGCCCCTTATCATCACCCCTAAACATACTGTCCCTCACTGTCACCCCTACACATGCTGTCATTCACTGTCACTTCTACATGTTTTCACTCACTGTCACCCCTACACATGCTGCCCTGCACTGTCACCCCTACACATGCTGTCATTCACTGTCACTCCTACATGTTTTCACTCACTGTCACCCCTACACATGCTGCCCTGCACTGTCACCCCTACACATGCTGTCATTCACTGTCACTCCTACACGTTTTTGCTCACTGTCACCGCTACACATGCTGTCACTTGCTATCACCCTAACACATGCTGGTCGTCACTGTCACCCTTATACACGCTGTCCCTCACTGTCATCCCACATATGCTGTCATTCACTGTCACTCCTACACATTTTCACTGACTGTTGCCCCTACACATGCTGTCCCTCACTGTCACCCCTACACATGCTGTCATTCATGGTCACTCCTACATATGCTGTCCCTCACCGTCACCCCATACATGCTGTCATTCGCTGTCACTCCTACACATGCTATCACTCACTGTCACCCCTACACATGCTGCCCCCTCTGTCACCCCTGTATAAGCTGCCCCTCACTGTCACCTCTACACATGCTGTCACTCCCTGTCACCCAACATACTGTCCCTCACTGTTACCCCTATAGAGTCTGCCCCTCACTGTTACCCCTACGCATGCTGTCACTTCCTGTCACCCCTACACATGCTGCCCCTCACTGTTACCCCTACGCATGCTGTCACTTCCTGTCACCCCTACACAGGCTGCCCCTCACTGTCACCCCTTCACATGCTGTCCCTCATTATCATCCCTATGCATGCTGCCCCTCACTGTCACCTCTAATCATACTATCCCTCATTGTCACCCCTACACATGCTGTCACTCACTGTCACCCCTATACATGCTGTCCTTCACTGTCACCTCTACACAGGCTGTCACTCACTGTCACCCCTACACATGCTGTCCTTCACTGTCACCCCTACACATGCTGCCCCTCACTGTCACCCCTACACATGCTGTCACTCCTACACACATTATCACTTGCTGTCACTCCTGCACATTCTCTCATGCACTGTCAGTTGTACACACATTGTCTCTCACTGTCACCCCTATACACATTGTCACTGACTGTCACCCATACACATGCTCTTACTCACTGTCACCCTACATATACTGTCATTCACTGTCATACCTACACACACTCTCACTGTCACCCCTACACAAATTGTCTCTCACTGTCACCCCATATATATTGTCACACATGGCCACCTTACACACACTGTCACTCCCTGTCACAGCTACACATGCTCTGTCACCACTACACACATTGCCACTCACTGTTACCTCTACACACACTCACTCACTGTCACCTCTAAACATACTGCCACTCACTGTCACCCCTACACATACTCTCACTTCATGCCTATGCCGATTATCATAGTTAGCCCTACACACAAACACGTCACCCCTACACACATTGTCGCTCTCATCTCCGCACATGCTCTCACTGTCACCCTGCACATGCTGGCACTCCCTGTTACCCCACACACACTGATGCTCACTTTCATACCAACTTGTTCCATTTTTATAATAGCTTGTAGCACTATCTAATACTTTGATATTTTGTGTTACTCTTATCCCTCCTAAACTTAGTGCTAAGTTCATGAGAAGATGGGTTATGTCTTTTTTGTTCACTGCTGTCTGATTTATCAGGGTCTGTCATATCATGTAAAAGGGGTTCAATAAATGTTGCTTATTAATAAATGAAAAAATAGGGATTATTCTTGGAGAGTAATCTTGGGCTAAAATAATAGACTTTATGGTGCTAAACATAAATACACATCACACAGCATATGCAGCACTTGTATGTGTATTATATATATACACACAAATATTTACACACATACAAATGTACCTATATAGTTTAGAGAATAACAAATAAGTACACTCAGGTAAAGAAATTGAAAAATCACCACTACTTTGGAAACCCCAATTTGCCCCACCCTATGATGTTCTCATCTTTCGTCTCCAGAGTAACCATCATCTTGGTTTCTTTTTGTTCATCATCCTTGTTCTTTTTAAGAATTTGATCATCTAAGTGTGTGCCTGTAAATTGTTTTGGAAAACTAGAGGGCAAGTGCAGGCTTGGATAGTGTAGAAATGGCAAGATCCCCACTCTTTGATGAGGCTCTCAGGAGAAGTGAATCCACACTGAGCTTTGAGACCAGCTTGTTGAGAAATTACAAAGCCCATTCAGGGGGGCTCCGAGGTCAGCAGAACAGGTGTGGAAAGTGCCATGAGAAATGCACAGCTTGTCAGGAAGCTGGCAGGGCTGTAGTGTGGACCAGACACTGGATGGCTGATGGAGACAAGGTCAGAGCCAGGGGTTGTTTCGTATTTTCTGCTTCTAAGTATGGCCTTTAGGCTTGGTCAAAAAAGAACATTTCTGTGGAATAAAAAGGGCTTTCAGCTGATTCAGGCAGCAGAATGTCAAGACAAGACAATTGTAGGCAAGTATAGGGGCCAGGGTCACTGGGACCTCAGGTTTAAAAAGGGTGCAAAGTTGGCTGGGTGCAGTGGCTCACTCCTGTAATCCCAGCACTTTCAGAGGCCGAGGCAGGTGGATCACTTGAGGTCAGAAGTTCAAGACCAGTCTGGCTAACATGGTGAAATCCCATTTCTACTAAAAATACAAAAAATTAGCTGGGCGTGGTGGCACACACCTGTAATCCCAGGTATTTGGGAGGCTGAGGTAAGAGAATAGCTTGAACCTGGGAAGCGGAGGTTGCAGTGAGCGGAGATGGTGCCATTGCACTCCAGCTTGGGCAACAAAAGCAAAACTCCATCTAAAAAAAAAGGTGCAAAGTTAGCTGGAATAGGGTGCATTATTTCCAACAAAAACTCTCTGATACCCTTTGCTTTGATTGGTTGATTCATTTAATATTTATTTAGTTTTACACTTTGCCTCTAGATTGTCTTTTGGACAGGCTTTATTGCATACATATAAACTCCGTTTGAGTTCTTTTGTTTCAGGGGACAGAGCCACAACTCAAACTGACTTACACAAAGTGGATTTACTGACCTATCTAACTAAAGAGTCTATGTGCTTACTTAGTTTCATTGGCAATCTTTTATTTCTCAAACTGCCTGAAGAGTACATGGGTATTCATTATAATAATCCTCTTGAATATCTGAAATATTTCATAATAAACTAACATAAAACAAACATGAAATGATTGGATCCAGGGTTTCAGAAATGTCATCAGGTCTTGGTCTCTCCTTTTTCTGGTTGGTACCCTTTCCTCTAGGAAGTCCCTACAGCTCCAGGCTCCATACACTGGCAGGATAGTAGCAAGAATGCTTGTCTTCTCTACACTTCCAGAAGTCCTAGAGTTGGTCACTGGCCTGAGTCAGGTTCCAAGCCAACTGTTGGAACATCCTGTGGCTAGAGATGTGTGATGCTCTGATGGGTTGAGCCAGGCTCACACACCCACCCTGAAGCTAAGGAATGAGGCCAACAAGTCCTCCCTACTCCAAAGCATGGTTTGCCAACAGCTAGCAATGACATTTTGACTATAAGAAGGGGAAGGGATGCTGGATAGGAGAAACACAAGTGACCACTTCAATTCTTGAGGGTTGTTTAAAGGGATAAGGGCAAGACAAAGAGTTCCCTTAAGAGAAAGATAATAACTATTTCTCAAGTTGTCTCCCAAATTCTGTTGAGGACCTAAGGCAGCCCCTAAGCAGAATTACTGTCAATAAGTCATAAAGAAGCACTAATATTATCCTATTGGTAGAAGGAAATGGTGGAATTATGCTTTTGTCAATAAAACTAGTATTGATACTCTCCACTGTGACTAAGACTCTCTTCTTGACCAAACTCTCCCCAGGCTTTGTTGGGCCTTTTCTCTACTAGGTACCAGCCTTGGCCTATGCAGACTTGGAACAAACGCTAACAGTTTCTCACAGCTCAAGGCCACATCCCTAGGATGACCCTAGCTGCCCCTTAAAGTGTTGCCTGAA
Organism: Homo sapiens; assembly: GCF_000001405.40. Lineage (NCBI taxonomy): Eukaryota > Metazoa > Chordata > Mammalia > Primates > Hominidae > Homo > Homo sapiens. The sequence goes on along the minus strand of NC_000005.10, from coordinate 58,478,414 downwards.
AAAACCTCAAGCTACCAAAAGAATCCACTGTTTGTTCCAGCCAACACCTGAAGATAGAGCCCTTGTCTCCTAGTCTCTGTGGAAGAGTAGGAGCTTAACTTTGATCATGTCAGTAGCAAACTCAGATGGGTTTCACATGGAGCAACTCCCCTTTTCCTGCTTTTTGTAATTTTTTCCCTTTCCTGGCTCTGCTGAGCCTCTGCTCACTCACTCCCTATTCCCTCATTCTCCCTTAAGATGCTGAGTCAACTTTGTGCAAATCAAACTTGACCACAGTTCACACTGGGCTCTTTTCCTCATTGCTATAGTATATTACTGATTAGAAATCTGTCTTTTTCACTTTACTAGTGCCCAGTGTTGTTTATATCACCTGCAGAAAAAAAAAAAAATTACTGTAGAAGTTAAGGGCCAGGTTGCTTTGGGAGCAAATGTTTTAAAACCAAAACTTAAGAGAAGGCTGCCCTCTGCTGCTTAAAAATCTTGGTTTGGCAATGTGTGTGTGTAGTTTTGTTTTTGATTTCTTTCGTTTGTTTTTTACTTTCTCACCCCCTATTTTTGTACATATGCCCAGTTACTAGTGTCTTTGTTATAAACATGATTTCTATGAAGCTGATTTTTAGAAACCATCATACTCTGGACCAATACAACTTAAGCAAGATTGAATGGCTGACCCTTTCAGCTGGTTTGCTTGGCTATGGATAGACTGCCTGAAAGTACTAGTCGATAATTTAAAAGGACATCTCTATAAGCACTTAAGACTGATCAAATGAACTAAAAAACATTGAGTTACTCCATATAAATGCAATAAACTCTTCCTTTACGTTACAGTACCAAGAGAGCTTGCTCGTGACACTGTTTGTCCACACCTCCTTGATCTTTTTCTTTGGTGAGTGTGAGGAGCCTTTATTTAAAAAAAAAATTATTTCTTCCTTTTTCACTATAGAAAACTGGACAAATATAGAAACCTTAAAAGTGAAGTGTTGATAAAATTTCACTTTAAAAACTCACCAGAAAGCTAGGATGAGCAATGATCCTGAAGTGGTCCTCTCTCCAAATCCTCTGTTACGGATTTCTTGGCAAGTTCTTCCAAATAGTCCCTTCACTACTTCTCTGCTCTCCACCCAAATAGCTACTCTCAGCACATGACTTCATTTTGTGCTTTACTGAGAAGATGGTCACCTTGTGGTGGAGGCTCTGGCTTCTTCCTTCCTCTTCAGCTGTCTCCAAACTCCTCTTCTCATTGCCAGCTTCAGAGAACAGCTGTCTTCCTTGTCCCAAAGGTGAATTTTTCTCCTTCTGCCCATTCCCCCAGATCATATTCCTTCAGTAGTCCTCACTCTTCAACATATTGAAGTGCTTTTTCTTTTTTAAGCAGTTATAACCCCAATGATCTTGCTGGATAATATTCTAGATAGAACTCAGTTTTCATCACCATCACTTCCCAACTTTTTGAATGACCTAAATAGACTGTTCACTCTGTCCCACCTACAGAAACTGCATTCACACAGATTAGATTACCCTCTAATTATTGTTCTACTTGACCTCCCTGCAATGTTTTACACTTTACTTCCTGGAGTCTTTCCTGCCATCTCTTCTGGTTTTCTTTTATGCCTCTGACATTTTCTGGTTATTTTCTGTCCCTTCCTATCTTCTGACTCATAGGACTTTACATGTTTTGTTTACTGGACTCCCTAATAAAATACTTTTGAAAATTATGTACCTCTTCACACACTTTTAAGTTGACATGTAGATTTTGTCATAAGATTAAAGAGTGATATGGTTTGGCTGTGTCCCCACCTAAATCTCATCTTGAATTGTAGCTCCTATAATTCCCATGTGTCCTGGGAGGGACCCAGTGGGAGGTAATTGAATCATGAGGGTCGGTATTTTCCATGTTGTTCTTATGATAGTAAATAAGTGTCACAAGATCTGATCTAAAGGGGAGTTCCCCTGCACACACTCTGTTGCTTGCCACCATGTAGGAGATGACTTTGTTCTTCATTTGCCTTCTGCCATGATTCTGGGACCTCCTCAGCCATGTGGAACTGTGAGTCAATTAAACCTCTTTCCTTTATAAATTACCAGTCTCAGGCATGTCTTTATTAGCAATGTGAGAACAAACTAATACAGTAAATTTGTACCAGTAGAGTAGCGTGCTGCTATAAAGATGCCTGAAATGTGGAAGTGACTTTGGAACTGCATAACAGGTAGAGGTTAGAACAGATTGGAGGGCTCAGAAGAAGATAGAAAAATGTGGGAATGTTTGGAACTTCCTAGAGACTTGGAAGGCTCAGAAGATAGGAAGATGTGGGAAAGTTTTGAACTTCCTAGAGACTTGTTGAATGGTTTTGAGCAAAATGCTGATAGTATGGACAACAAGGTCCAGGCTGAGGTGGTCTCAGATGGAACTGAGGAACTTTTTGGGAACTGGAATAAAGGTCATTCTTGCTATGCAAAGAGACTGATGGCATTTTGCCCCTGCCCTAAGATCTGTTGAACTTTGAACCAGAGAGAGATGATTTAGTGTATCTAAAAGACAGTTAGAAATTTCTAACCAGTGAAGCATTCAAGAGAAAGCAGACCACAAAAGTTTGGAAAATTTGCAGCCTAATGATGCAGTAGAGAAGAAAAAAACATTTTCTGAGGAGAAATTCAAGCTGGCTGCAGAAATTTGCATAAGTAGCAAGGAGCTGAATGTTAATCACCAAGACAATGGGGAAAATGTCTCCAGGGCATGTGAGAGACTTTGTAGCAGCCCCTCCCATCAGAGGCCCGGAGGCCTAGGAGGAAAAAATGGTTTCCCAGGCTGGACCCAGGACTCCCTTGCTGTGTGCAACCTAGGGAGTTGATGGCCTGCATCCTAACTGCTCCAGCCACGACTTAAAGGTGCCAAGGTACAGCTTGGGCCGTGGCTTCAGAAGGTGCAAGCCCTAAGCTTTGGCAGCTTCCAAGTGGTGTTGAGCCTGTGGGCACACAGAACTTCTGCCTAGATTTCAGAGGATGTATAGAAACTCCTGGATGTCCAGGCAGAAGTTTGTTGTAGGGGTGGGTCCTCATGAAGAACCTCTGCTAGGGCAATGGGAAGGGAAATGTGGGGTGCAAGTTCCCACACAGAGTCCCTACTGGGGCACTGCCTACTGGAGCTGTGAGAAGATGACCACCATTCTCCAGACCCCAGAATGCAGATCCACTGACAGTTTGCACCATGTGCCTGGAAAAGCTACTGACACTCAATGCCAGATGTGAAAGCAGCCGGCGGGGGAGCTGTTTCCTGCAAAGCCATGGGTGGAGCTGCCCAAGGCTGTGGGAGTAAACCTCTTGCATCAGTGTGACCTGGATGTGAGACATGGAGTCAAAGGAGATCATTTTGGAACTTTAAGGTTTAATGACAGCCATATTGGATTTTGGACTTGCATGGGGCCTGTAGTCCTTTTGTTTTGGAAAATTTCTTCCTTTTGAAATGGCTGTGTTTAACCAATGCCTGTACCCACATTGTATCTAGGAAGTAACTAACTTGCTCATAGGCTCATAGGCAGAAGGGACTTGCCTTGTCTCAGATGAGACTTTGGACTGTGGACTTTTGAGTTAATGGTGAAATGAATTAAGACTTTGGGGGACTGTTAGGAAGGCACGATTGGTTTTGAAATGTGAGGACATGAGATTTGGGAGGGGCCAGGGGTGAAATCAGATGGTTTGGTTGTGTCCCCTCCCAAATCTTATCTTGAATTGTAGCTCCCATAATTCCCACATGTCCTGAGAGGGACCTAGTGGGAGGTAATTGAATCATGGGGGCAGGTCTTTCCTGTGATGTTCTTATGATAGTGAATAAGTCTCACAAGATCTGATGGTTTTATAAAGGAGAGTTCCCTTGCACACACTCTCTTGCCTGCTGCCATGTAAGACATGACTTTGCTCCTCATTTGCCTTCCACCATGATTGTGAGGCCTCCCTAGCCATGTGGAACTGTGAGTCAATTCAACCTGTTTCCTTTATAAATTACCCAGTCTCGGGAATGTCTTTATTAGTAGCTTGAGAACAGACTACTACAAAGAGTAATAAAATATATATCTGATATGGGGAAAATTATATGTGCCTCTTAAATATATTTTGCCCAAAACAATGGAGCTGCACTTTCAATTTATGAACAACTTCCACTATAATTTAATTGACAAACATAACCTTCATTGTCAAACTAATCAATCAGAAAATATGACTTTGTGTTTCAACTCAAACAAATGTGCTAATACCCGTATCTGTGACAACCATCTTGTTGCCAAATTCTGTCTTGAGGGAAAAAAAAAGAAAGGAACAACAACAAAAAAAACCAAAACAAAGAATGAAGCAGGAAGTCTTGCTATAGGTTTGTCACTCAGAGGAAGTAAGACCCATGCACTTTAATATTCCTTAAAGAAACTCTACAGTTTCAAATTTTCCCTTTGTTCTTGGGGCTCAAATGGTGTTTATAGCTAGTGAAAAAATGCACCAGGGAAAAATATTGTATGTTTCAATGAATAGATGGATGAATGGATAGATGGATGAACAGATGGATGGGTGGGTGAAAGGTATGCCCTCCATTTTTTAAATTAAAGAAGGATAATTGTGGAAAATAAATTGGGAAAGGAGAAAAAGCAGACATGTGGTACCATCAGATCAGTTTTAGAAAAGAATACGTAACAGCTGATTATCTGTAAACTAATTCCCTTAGAAGTCTCTGTGGAGCCCAGTACGCCTTGAAACATTTTCAGAGGTGTGCATATCCTCATTCAAAGGGACTTTTCTTTCTTTTTTTTTCTTTTCTTTTTTTTTTTTTAGATGAAGTCTTGCTCTGTCACCCAGGCTGCTGGAGTGCAGTGGCATGATCTTCGCTCACTGCAACCTCTGCCTCCTGGGTTCAAGCAATTCTCCTGCCTCAGCCTCTTGAGTAGCTGGGATTACAGCTGGGCTAATTTTCTTATTTTTAGTAGAGACGGGGTTTCACCATGTTGGTTGGTCAGGCTGGTCTTGAACTCCTGACCTTGTGATCTGCCTACTTCGGCTTCCCAAAGTGCTGGGATTACAGGTGTGAGCCACTGAGTCCAGTCTCTTGTTTTTTCTCTTTATTTTTTTCTCTTGGAGAATTGACTCAGTCTCAGAAATCTAATGATCACCTCTAGGTAAAGCTGAGAAATCTACTGATTCTTTCTTGCATTTAAAAGCACCAACAATGCCTGGCTGCAGTGGTTCATGCCTGTAATCCCAGTACTTTGGGAAACTGAGGCAGGTGGATTGCCTGAGGTGAGGAGTTCACGATCAGCCTGGCCAACATGGAAACCCCATTTCTACTAAAAATAGAAAAATTAGCTGGGCATAGTGGCTCGTGCCTGTAATTCCAACTACCTAGGAGGCTGAGGCAGGAGAATAGCTTGAACCTGGGAAGCAGAGATTGCAGTGAGCTGAGATCATGCCACTGCACTCTAGCCTGGATGACAAGGTGGGACTCCATCTCAAAATAAATAAATAAATAAATAAAAGCACCAACAAGATATTTCTATTTGAAGATCTCACACTTAACTGCAGACTTTCACCCCATAGTCAGCATGATAATAAAATCTATAATTTTTGTGGAAAGGTGTTTTTCAAGTCCCAGTAGTCTGAGATAAAATTTAACTATAGCACCAACAACCTAATTATCTCTTCCTTGAAGTTGCACTGGATAACGCATAGTCTGACTGTGTCCCCCAGAAGTCCTCTGTTACAGCTTTATTGTGAATGTGATAGTATTTATAGGTGGGGCCTTTAGGAGGTGGTTATGTCATGTGGGTAGTACCCTCAAGGGATTAGGGCCCTTATAAAAGCACTTGAGGGAGCAAGTTTGTTTTCTTTTGCCTCTCCATCATGTAAGGACACAGCTTCCCTCCCCTCTGGAAGATGTACCAACACAGTGCCATCTTGGAAGCATAGAGTGGTTCTCACCAGACACTGAACCTGCTAGCGCCTTGATATTGGTCTTCCCAGCCTCCAGAACTGTGAGAAGTAAATTTCTGTTTTTTTTTTTTTTTTTTTGAGACGGAGTCTCACTCTGTCGCCCAGGTTGGAGTCCAGTGGCACAATCTTGGCTCACTGCAAGCTCCGCCTCCCAGGTTCACGCCATTCTCCTGTCTCGGCCAGCCTCCCCAGTAGCTGGGGCTACAGGTGCCTGCCACCATGCCCGGCTAATGTTTTGTATTTTTAGTAGAGACAGGGTTTCACCACATTAGCCAGGATGGTCTCGAGCTCCTGACCTCGTGATCCGCCCGTCTTGGCCTCCCAAAGTGCTGGGATTACAGGCATGAGCCACCGCGACTGTCCCAGAAGTAAATTTCTATTGTTTATAAGTTACCCAATCTGTATATCTTATTACAGTAGTCCAAGTGAACTAACACAAGGGCAAAATCCCAGTCTTTTAACAGGCCCTTCTGTCTCTGAATAACTTCTGAGTGATTCAAGAATGAGCCTCAGGAAGATGCAGAGAGACTAATAGATATGTTATCTTGTGTGTGAGAAAGGAGGAGAAATAAGGAGAAATAAAAGTATATTTATGTAAGTATAATATACATGCATACTGGTAAGTAAATAGGCAGAGGTAGAGTGGTGGATCTGCTTATGTTTGCAGAAAACAACAACAACAACAACAACAACAAACACAAACAAACACTGGAAGGTAGACCAGAAACTAATGAAAGTACTTACTGTTTAGGAGTGGGGGTGGGGACATAAATAGGATTAAGTGACCAGAAATGAAAGCCAGGCTTATTGGAGTATACTTTTATGCAATTTTGACTTGAGTATGTAAATATTTTACATGTTCCAAAAAATCCATAAAATTGAAAATATTAAAAGAAGACACTATATATCAAAATCTAACATAATCATATAGAGGAAATAATTAGATGAATCTAGAAAATAGTATTCTTTCTGAAAACTCTTGTAAAGCTATATAGTCTAAGGACAGAAAGGGCTTTAAATTCAATAGTTTTATTGTTAATAATGATATTGGTATTGTTATTTTGAAATCGGTTTGTGTATGGTATATAGATAAAGCAAATAAATGATGGTCACTATTATTATTCATTTTAAGAGATAGTAAAAAAATTCAAAAGAATTAAATAAAATTCTATAAGCCAAATTTGAACCAATAAATACCAATTTAAACCCTGATTTTAAAAAATGTACCTCCTACAGAGCTATAGAAACTAAAACAGCATGGTACTGGCATAAGAACAGACACAATGACCAATGGAACAGAATAGAACACCCAGAAACAAATCCACACACCTACAGTGAACTCATTTTAGGCAAAGGTGCCAAGAACATATATTAGGAAAAAGACAGTGTCTTCAACAAATGGTACTGGGAAAACTGGGTATCCATATGTACAAGAATGAGACTTGATCCCTATTTCTCACTTTACACAAAAATCAAATCAAAATGGGCTAGAGACTTAATCTAAGACCTTAAACTATGAAACTACTGTAAGAAAACATTGCAGCTGGGAGTGGTGGCTCACGCCTGTAATTTCAGCATTTTGGGAGACCGAGGCAGACAGATCACAAGGTCAGGAGTTCGAGACCAACCTGACCAACATGGTGAAACCCTGTCTCTACTAAAAATACAAAAATTGGCTGGGCGTGGTGGCAGGCACCTGTAATCCTAGCTACTCAGGAGGCTGTGGCAGGAGAATCACTTGAACCCAGGAGGTGGAGGTTACAATGAGCCGAGATCGGGGTCCTTGCACTCCAGCCTGGGTGACAGAGTGAGACTTCGTCTCAAAAAAAAAAAAAAAAAAAAAAAAGAGAGAAAAAAGAAAACATTGGAGAAAATCTGCAGGACATTTGTCTGGGCAAAAATTTCTTGAGTGACACTCCGCAAGTACAGGCAACCAAACAAAAAATGGACAAATAGGATCACATCAGGTTGAAAAGCCTCTGCACAGCAAAGGAAACAATCAACAAAGTGAAGAGCAACCCACAGAATGGGAGAAAATGTTTGCAAACTACCCATCTGACAAGGGATTAATAACCAGAATATAGAAGGAGCTCAAATAACTCCACAGGAAACTCTAGTAATCCAATTAAAAAATGGGCTAAATATTTCAATAGACATTTCTCAGAAGAAGATGTACAAATGGCAAACAGGCATATGAAAAGGTACTTAACATCATTGGTCAACAGAGAAATGCAAATCAAAACTACCAAGAGAAATGCAAATCAAAACTATCTCACCCATTTATATGGCAAATATCTAAAAGACAGACAGTAACAAATGTTGCCAAGGATGCGGAGAAAAAGGAAGTCTTATACACTGTGGGCAAGAATGTAAATTAGCACAACCACTATGGAGAATGGTTTGGAGGTTCCTCAAAAAACTAAAAATACAGCTATCATATGATTTGGCAATCTCACTTTAGGTATATACCTCCCCAAAACGAAATCAATATATCAAAGAGATATCTGCATTCTCTTGTTAAAGCACTGCTCACAGCAGCCAAGATTTGGAAGCAACCTAGGTGTCCATCAATAGCTGAATGGATAAATAAAATGTGATACTTATAAACAATGGAGTACTATTCCGCCATAAAAAAGAATGAGATTCTGTCATTTGCAACAACATAGATGGAACTGGAGGTCATTATGTTAAGTGAAATAAACCAAGCACAGAAAGACAAACGTCACATGTTCTCACTTATTTGTGGGATCTAAAAATCAAACTCATTGAACTCATGGAGATAAAGAATAGAATGATGGTTGCCAGAGGCTACGAAGGGTAGTGGGGGGATACAGGGGGTCGGGGGGGAAGGTGGGGATGGTAAATGGGAACAAAAAAAATAGGAAGAATGAATAAGACCTAGCATTTTAGTATTTGATAGCATAAAAAGGGACTATAGCCAATAATAATTTAATTGTACATTTAAAAATAACTAAAAGTGCATAATTGGATTGCTTGTAATGCAAAGGATAAATGCTTGAGGGGATGGATACCCCATTTTCCATGATATGATTATTACACATTGCATGCCCTGTACCAAAATATATTATGTACCCTATTAATATGGGTACCTAGTATGTACCCACAAAAATTAAAAATAAAAAAATAAAAAATGTACTTCCTATTTCTGTTGTCTGAATGGGCCTAGACTAAAAAATAGCGAATAGAGTTTATTAAAACACTTGAAAAGTATAAAAGTCCATGAAGCCACAAATGATATTAAAAAAGCAGTAAATGTGAAAACAAAAAGTTTTTGCCCACATTGGATATTACTATCATACCAATCTTTATTTGAAAAATTGGTAATTAAAAAGAGTGAATTAAACATTTATTCTGTTTGTAGTGCAGGGTAATAAAACAGCCTCAGTTGCTGAGGAAATACTTTTATTGAAGAATACTAAGTAATAAATGGACAGTATCAGAAAGTCACCATTTTGCAACCACAAATGAAATAACTGATTCCATTAAGAATTATCAACATGGGATCAAGTCATCTGATGAATGGCCAATGGAAACATTTTCCCACATTAGCTCACATATTATCTGCCAATAACAAGGGAGGCACTGCACATCTACAGTGGTGAGACTGGGCTGCCACCTTCCTAATACTGTAATCAAATTGACTCTCAGGAATAGTAAGACACTATATATCTCCTGATGGGATATTGTGGGAATTATGGAGCGTTCTCTATGACATATACTTACTAAAACGTGCTTAACCCAAATCTAAATCAGTCTGCATTTCTAACTAAAAGTTTAAAAGACATACAGAATACAAAACAATACATTAAATTAAACCAACAGAAAGCAATAAAACAAATCCAGAAAATGAACATTTTGCAAGGTATCTGGCCTGGTCTCTTTGAAAAGTCAAAAGCAGGGAGTAGTGACTCTTGCAGATTGAGTTAGGAGTCATAGCAGAATGCAGTCTAGGGTCCTTCATTGGCTCTTTGAACAAATCAGTTATAAAATGGACTTTAGGAACAAGTGGGAAAATGTGAATATGAACTAGGTATTAGATATTTAGGAATTATTGTTTATTTTATTAATACAAGGTGTGTAAAAGGTATTATCGTTACATGAAAATCTCCTTTTTTAAGAGATGCATGCTGAAGTATTTAGGAATAACATGTTATGATGTTTGTAACATAAGTTTAAATGAGGAGAGAGAATTGTTGACTTTGGAGGTGGATATATGAATATTCACTGCACCCTTCTTTCAACTTTCCTATGCATTTTAATAATTTTCAGAATTTTTTTTAAAGCCTCTCTGCTGCCTTCTTGTCATTGCAGCTCAGCTTTATTATTACTGTGAAGAGACCAGCAGCCCATTCTTTCAATCTCTGCCAAGTCCAAGTCACTGCCATCCTCAGAATGCCATCCCTTTTCCACATATCTGTTTGGTCTTTGTAGTCCTGAAGTCCCAAAGACTCAGTTGGGTATGGAAGGAAGAGGGGAACACTGTTTGGCCAGAGTGCATTTGGGTTTCCCACGTACAGCAGATCATGTCTATAAAACCAAAAAGTATCTGAAGCAGGTCTTAATCAATTTAGAAAGTTTATTTTGCCAAGATTAAGGACATGCAACTGGGAGGCAGGTCTGTACCTTTCTTCAAAGATGATTTTGAGGGCTTTAATATTTAAAGGAGAAAGGGTGGACATCAGGGAAAGGGGAATAAACTTTTAAGAGTTGTGGGTAGATAAGAGACAAACGGTTGCATTCTTTTGAGTCATTGATCAGCCTTTCACTGAATATACAATTTACATGTGAAAGGGAGGTAGAGGAAGAGTCACTTATGCCTTGTCTAGCTCAGTGAATCTACATTTTTTACATCAGCAATCAGATATGCATTTGTCTCAGGTGAGCAGAGAGGTAACTTTCTGTCCTGCACCTCTGAAGATAAACTATCAATTTACACTGTCAGGGTAAAATTCAACAAAACTGTTTTAAGGTAAAGATCTTGGGGCTCACAAGGAATTTCCTAGTGGGCCAATTGTGAGGGAGGTATGTAGCTTCTTTTTTTTTTTTCTTTAATCTCTGTAGCTATCTTATTTAGGAGTAAAATGGGAGGCAGGCTTGCCTGAAGCAGTTCCCAGCTTGACATTTCCATTTGGCGTAGTAATTTTGGGGCCCCAAGATTTATTTTCCTCTCATACGTCCTATTCACACAACCACTCACAGGCACATACTCATGGCCACATGTTCTTTAAGGCTCACTCGAAGCCTGTACCATTGTGGCCTCCCAGGCAGAGACTGAGAGTAGCACACCAGCCCCTCCCCTTCCCTCACAGCAGCTAGGAGGCAGCTTCCTTCACTTTCGAGGTCCAGAGCTGAGTCATCTTCTTCATTGCCTGGTGGTGACAGCCTCCTAGGTGCTTGTCCTCTCACTGTCTCTCTCTTGTCAATTCCCCAAGTCAAAAGCAAATTTTTAGAAAGGCAAACAAAAACAGTGCTTATTTGTTGTTCTTTCTCCCTGTCAGTTCCGTTCAGTTTTGTTGAATTCCTTTCAGTAAACCAGATGCTGGGAACAGTATCTCTCCACTCTACCTTGGGTTAAACTCCTTCTTGTCCATCTCTCCTGCCTTTGGTAGTTTTTCTTCTTGCCCCTTCCTTTCTCCTGAATATTAAATAATAACTAGCATTATAGATTTCCCACCATGTGACAGGCACTGTTCTAAGCACATTCTATGCATTGGCTTGTTTAATCATTATAACAATTGTCTTAGCCCCTCTGGGCTGCTATAACAAAATATCACAAAACTAGGTGGCTTATAAACAATAAATTTATTTCTCACAGTTCTAGGAGCTGGGAAATCCAAGATCATGTTGCTAGCAGATTTGGTATCTGGTGAGGGCCAACTTCCTCACAGATGGCACCTTCTTGCTGTGGTCTCACATGGTGGAAGGGGCAAGGAGTATCTCTTCAGTCTCTATTATGAAGGTATTAATGCCATTTATGAAGGCTCTAACCCCATGAGCTAATCACCTCCAAAGACCCACCTCTTAATACCATCACAATGTAGGTGAGAATTTCAACAAATGAATGTTGTGGGAACAAAAACATTCATACCATAGCAACAACCTTATAAAATGTTGTCATCCTCTTGTTACAGAAGAAGAAACTGAGACATAGAGAGTTTCAGAAATTTGTGCAAGATCAAATCTAAGAGGTATCTTGTTTTCTCAATAGTTTTATATTTATAAATGTGTCTATCTAACAAATAATTGAGTTTTTACTCTGTCATGTACTATTCAAGGCATGGGGAATATAGCATTAAACTAAGAAATGTACCTGTCCTCATGAAGCTTTCATACCTGTGGGGAAGAAAAGTAATAATCAATTAAGCAATATAAAGTATTTTCGCTGCACCCTATACTTATAGTATAAAGTGTGTATTGCAAACCTTGATGAGATGATAGAATGTAACAGAGAGTGGAACACAAAGTTCTCTTTGATGAGCCAAATCACATCCTTAAAAAATGTTTTTATATGTATTTTTAAATAGTAATGTATTCTTCTGGTTCAGACATTAAAACACATAAAAATGATCAGAAAAGTAAATAATCTTCTCACAAAAATATGTAAACAAGTAAACAGAAGAAAACCTATTATTATTAGTTTGCTATTAATCCTTCCCAAAAGTTTATGCTTTATGCATAATTAAGGCTATAAAAATATGTTATTTTCCCCTCATTTTTTATTCCAAGGAAACATATTTTACTATACCATACACTATCCTATACTTGCTTTCCACAGTATTTATTTTGGAGATTTGTGTGTGTGTGTGTGTGTGTGTGTTTTGAGGCGAAGTCTCACTCTTGTCCCCCAGGCTGGAGTGCAATGGTGTGATCTCGGCTCACTGCAACTTCCGCCTCCCGGGTTCAAGCGTTTCTCTTTTTTTTTTTTTGTATATATATTTATTGTACTTTACGTTCTAGGGTACATGTGCACAACATGCAGGTTTGTTACATATGTATACATGTGCCGTGTTGGTGTGCTGCACCCATTAACTGGTCATTTACATTAGGTATATCTCCTAATGTCAAGCGATTCTCTTGCCTCAGCCTCCTGATTAGCTGGGATTACAGGCACCTACCACCACACCTGGCTAATTTTTGTAATTTTAGTAGAGACGGGGTTTCACCATGTTGGCCAGGCTGGTCTAGAACTCCTGACCTCAGATGATCGGCCTGCCTCAGCCTCCCAAGTTGTTGAGCCACCGCGCCCGGCCTATTTTGGAGATTTTTTTCATATCAATACTTAAAAAGCTTCTTCATTTTGTTTTTACAACTGCCTACATTTTCACGGCATGAACACATCATCATTTAACCAGTTTTCTATTGATGGCCACTTAGGTTGTTTCTAATCTTTAATTATTACAAGCAACACTGCAGTGAATAACCTTATACATGAGGGGTCAGCAAACTGTTTCTGTAAAGGGCTAGGTAGCAAATATTTTAGGCATTGCAGGCCATTTGGTCTCTGTCACAGCTGAACTCTGCCATTGTAGCATGAAAGCAGCCATAGACAATATATCTACATAAGCAAATGGGCATGGTTGTTTTTTGAAAATTATTATTTTTTCTTTTAATAGGTTTTTGGTGAACAAGTGGTATTTGGTTACATTAAGTCCTTTAGTGGTGATTTCTGAGATTTCGCTGTACCCATCACTCAAGCAGTGTACACTGTACCCAATGTGTAGTCTTTTTAAAAAAAATTTTTTTATTATACTTTAAGTTCTGGGATACATGTGCAGAATGTGCAGGTTTGTTACATAGGTATACACGTGCCTTGGTGGTTTGCTGAATCCATCAACCCGTCATCTACATTAGGTATTTCTCCTAATGCTATCCCTCCTCTAGGCCCCCACCTCCTGATAGGCCCCAGTGTGTGATGTTCCCCTCCTTGTGTCCATATGTTCTCATTGTTTAATGCCCACTTATGAATGAGAACATGCAGTGTTTGGTTTTCTGTTCCTGTGTTAGTTTGCTGAGAATGATGGTTTCCAGCTTCATCCATGTCCCTGCAAAGAACATCAACTTATCCTTTTTTATGGCTGCACAGTATTCCATGGTGTATATGTGCCACATTTTCTTTATCCAATCTATCATTCATGGGCATTTGGGTCAGCTCCAAGTCTTTGCTACTGTGAACAGTGCTGCAATAAACATACATGTGCATGTGTCATTATAGTAGAATGATTTATAATCCTTTGGGTATACACTCAGTAATGGAATTGCTGGGTCAAATGGTATTTCTGGTTCTAGATCCTTGAGGAATGGCCACACTGTCTTCCACAATTGAACTAATTTACACTCCCACCAACAATGTAAAAGCGTTCCTATTTCTCCACATCCTCTCCAGCATTCGTTGTTTCCTGACTTCTCAATGATCGCCATTTTAACTGGCGTGAGATGTATCTCACTGTGGTTTTGATTTGCATTTCTCTAATGACCAGTGATGATGAGCTTTTCTTCATGTTTGTTGATAGCATAAATGTTTTCTTTTGAGAAGTGTCTGTTCATATCATTTGCCCACTTTCTGATGGGGTTGTTTTTTTTCTTGTAAATTTGTTTAAGTTCTTTGTAGATGATGGATATTAGCCCTTTGTAAGATGGATAGATTGCAAAAATTTTCTCCCATTCTGTAGGCTGCCTGTTCACTCTGACGATAGTTTCTTTTGCTGTGCAGAAGCTCTTTAGTTTAATTAGATCCCGGCAAATGGGCACGGTTCTTTTAAATAAAAACTTATTGACAAATGTAAGAATTGGGCTTAATTTGGCCAGGGTTTTTATCATTTGTTGATGTGTCATGCATCATTTTATATATGAGATTATATCCATAGGATAAATTCCTAAGTAAGAGAATACATTCATTTCTAAATTTGATAGATTTGGCCAAATTACTTTTCACTGAAATTATATCAATTTCCATTCCCAACAGCAATATATGGAGTGCTGCTTCCTCAACACTTCAGCAGTTGAGCATGTTCACGGCAACTTTTGAGGGTTTTGCCAATTTTGTAGGAAAGGGTGCCTCAGTATATCTTTCATTTCAATTTCTCTTCTGAAGAGTGAAATTGAGCAAATGTAAGAACCATTTGTTTTCTGTTGGATAATTGGTATTTTATCCAATTGTAGGAGTTTTTATATAACAGGAAGATAAGCTCTTTCTCTGTGATGAGTTGAAAATAATTTTTCCAGTGTTATTTATCCTTTGACTTTATTTGTGGTGTTTTGTTATTTTAAATCAATGAAAGGGTTTTGTTTCTATATAGTTACATTAATGAATCTTGCTTTTTTTTTTTTTTTAGGGATTCTAGATTTTGTAAATAGTTGAAAGTTCTACCACATTCAGGCTATGAAAGAATTCTTTCATATTGTCTTAAAATTTCACGTATTTCAAACTTTCATTTGCTTGAAAATAAGCCAGATATGAAGCATGGATCCATTTTTTCCTTCCTACTGGTTACCAAATTGACTCCATGATATTTAGTAATTAGTCTACTTAATAGAAAGCGCATTTATTTCCTTTTTTGTTCTATAGACTACAATTTTGGTTCTGTCCACATGATGGCACCACAACCCCAAAAAAATCATGTTCTCAGTCGGAAAGAAGACAACATAAGATTTACACAGCGTTAATATTTTATTAAATGCCTCCATGTTGTGGCAGACAGACCTGAATTTCACATGGAATGTTCAACAGTTTATCAAATACTGAAGTCCATTTGGTAAAGATACATACCATAGTGTATGCTAATCAAAGAAGAAATTGACATTTAAAAAAAAATCATGACAATCTATTCTTCAGTTTTTTATCTTAGGCCACAAATGAATACACATACACATACACACATATGTATACATATACAGTTTATTATCAACCATAAAGACATGGTGTGTAAACTAGCTTTGATAAATTCTAGTAATATTTTCTAAACCTGCAAGCCTTCTACATCTTAGAGAGTAGGTTTGCACAAATCTGGGAAGCAAAGGTCACCCCTGGGCTTATGAATAAAGAGGATAATTACGTAATTCTGAATTTCCACCCCTAAGCCCCACCCCTTATTCCATCCCTGACAATCTTGGGGTTAAAGTCTATTGTCACTTATGAGAAACATGCCTGGACTTGCCCTGCACTCTTTAAAGAATCAAAAACGGAAGTGACAGCAAAGACTTTCCCTTTCTCCTCGCTAATGGCAAAGCCTTTCCCTTTCTCCTCTCTAATGGCAATAAGCCTCTTTTCCACATTATGCTGGAAGTATTTGAGACACAGTATTTTTGTAAATGTTCGATTAATGTTGATACCACACATACCTAAATTTGACAGTGGACTGCAGCAACTTTTTGTATGTACCTTCCAGGGATTCAATAATCTGGTATTCTAAATTTCTCTGGAATTTAGCTTCAAAAAACTATTTACCATATCCTGTTAACATAGGTAAAAAGATTCAAGTGTGCTGCTAATTAACCTAACCTCGATGATCTAGTAAAAATATACAATAATTACCTAAGTTCTCCAAGCCTCATCTATAAAATGGGAATAATAATGTAGGAGATGAGAATATGCCACCCCAAATATGGCCCTGGGATAAAGATTATTTTAAGATAATTATTTTGAGAACCAGCAGACCCAGGAAATGCTCTAAAAATGGCATATTACCCTTTCGTAAGGGAAACGTACATTCACTAAAAAAAAAAACAACAAAAACAAAAAACAAAAAAACCCCACAAAACTCCATTTGTAAAAGTGTCTCCTCTGTACCAGGAAGAATGACTCTAAATCATGAAAAACTTATCAATGAAGAAATAAGAAACCCCACTCCTGTTTACCGTACATTTCCTGGTCATGATTCCTTAACTTGCCTGCCCCACTCTTTTCTTTTGGTTTAGCTAAAGATAGTATTTAAGCCCGATTTTAAACCATCTCTAATTTTCCTGGTTATCTCCCATGTATATATGAGACGTATATGTTAATAAGCTTCTTTGTTTTCTTGTTAATCTGTCTGGTTACAGCGACCCAGGCCAAAACTTTGAAAGGTGGAAAATTATTTTTCCTTCCTTACAATATTTCTCTCAGAATTGTTGTAGGATGAAATAAGGCATTTAAAAATACTGCACAGTCCTCAATAAATGTTACTCTATCGTAATTAGAACAAGAAAAACAAACAAAAAAACGTGTTCCTAGATTAGTCAAACTGCACAGCAAAATCTGGAAATGGGAAACTAAGCTGTGTTTGCACTCACTGGCCTACGCTCCTCTCTTCATCCTACCAATCTCCCTACCCCAGAAAGTCTCAGATTGACTCTCCAGGAACCAGGGCAGCTCATGAGCCATCTCAACAGATGCATTCGGAAGAAGTCATAGATGACTCTGATTGGAAACTCACAATCGGCATCGATGTTTAGTACTAGTAACTGTCAAAGGCCCACGGTTGTCAACCGCTGCCCACTTCGACACCTAACGGCATTCCGGAACATTCCACAAGATGGCGCCCTTGCTTTCCAATCTTCGGGCTACGGGCGGAGGACGCCTTGCCAGGACGCCGACCTCGCTCTGCAAGGTTCAGGGGCCGACCTCAGACAGAGGCTCGCTCTAGGGGCATGGGCGGGGGCCAGACGGGCCTCGAGTGGGATCCTGGCACGGTTGGCCGATCGGCCCGGGATCCCGGCTGCGGGCCCGTGTCTGCCCTAGCGCGATGGGCTCGAATGCCCGGCTCCACGAATCCCGGCCTTTCACCCCCACGGCCTCTCGGCACTGCCCCAGCTAGACACCAGCGAGCTCGTCACAGCGCGGGCAGGCACTGCGGGGCAGCTGCAGACGAGCCCTGTCATACGGCCGGAGGAGGCCTCGCCTGCCCGTGCGGCGGGCTCCGGGCACCCTGATACCTTGACACAGGAGGCCCCGGGCGGCCGGGAAGGGCTGTGCGGGGGAGGGACTGCGTCTACACCCGCGCCCGACTCGCTCGGGTCACGGCACTGCCCTGCCACCAGGCGGCTGGGGCGGGGGTGAGGCCAGGCGTCGGCCCTCGCGATTCTGTTTTGTACGCTGAGGCTCGGAGCCTTCGAAGAACGGGACAGCGGGGCCCACGGACGGCTCTGAAGGCCTTCCCGCGGCCGCAAGAGATCTCGGCGGCCGGCGTTTGAGGCGCGCGGCTCCGCTGGGAAGCGAGACCCGGGTGGCGGGACAAGACTTGCTTCCCGGCCACGCGCGCTCGGCCGGCCGTGGGGCGGGGCATAGGCCGTGACGTGATGTCGCGTATCGAGTCTCCGCCCCCTTCCCGCCTCCCCGTATATAAGACTTCGCCGAGCGCTCTCACTCGCACAAGTGGACCGGGGTGTTGGGTGCTAGTCGGCACCAGAGGCAAGGGTGCGAGGACCACGGCCGGCTCGGACGTGTGACCGCGCCTAGGGGGTGGCAGCGGGCAGTGCGGGGCGGCAAGGCGACCATGGAGCTTTTGCGGACTATCACCTACCAGCCAGCCGCCAGCACCAAAATGTGCGAGCAGGCGCTGGGCAAGGGTTGCGGAGCGGACTCGAAGAAGAAGCGGCCGCCGCAGCCCCCCGAGGAATCGCAGCCACCTCAGTCCCAGGCGCAAGTGCCCCCGGCGGCCCCTCACCACCATCACCACCATTCGCACTCGGGGCCGGAGATCTCGCGGATTATCGTCGACCCCACGACTGGGAAGCGCTACTGCCGGGGCAAAGTGCTGGGAAAGGTGACAAGCGGAGGGCGCCGGGCTGCCGGGCGGGCGGGAGGTCTGTCCGGGCGACCCCAAGCCGGGCAAGCCCGCGGGGTCCCTCGCCCGCCGCTTCCGGGTTTTTCGGGGGTCCGATCCCAGCGCGAGGTGGGCTCCTCACCTGCCCTCTGGCTTTTGTGCGCCGGCAGCGCTGGGGATCGGCTTTGCATTCTTAGCCTCAGAACTGTGTGTCTCCCGCAGCCCAGAGAAATGCATCTTGAGTCTGGAAGCGAGGGCTTTCTACATCAGACCTCTCTCCCTCTATCTGCTCCCAGGGAATTTTCCTGACAAGTCTCATCAGAGATTATTTTTCATGTCTCCCCGTTCCAACTCCCTCCATAAAGCTCCCCTTTATAAAAGAAGAAGAGAAACTGTTTGAACTTGCTGTTTCCAGCAATGCATTTCTCTTCATGAGGGAGCTTTAACGAAGTCGAATGCCTCCCTCTGTCCACCCTCCTCCATTCCTCAATTTTTTTTTTTTTGCTTTTCTTTCTTCCCATTTATTTATTTATTTAAAATATCTGCCGTCCATTTTTGTGCCATCCTCAATTCCGTCTCGGCTTTGTTTCCTTTCAGGGTGGCTTTGCAAAATGTTACGAGATGACAGATTTGACAAATAACAAAGTCTACGCCGCAAAAATTATTCCTCACAGCAGAGTAGCTAAACCTCATCAAAGGGAAAAGGTGCGTATGACTCTTGAGTAAAGTATTTTCTTTGTGTGCAAGGATGGCCCTTCCCTGTTAGGAAAATGTCTTCTGCATGTGTAATCACTGGCTTTTCCGAGGTGACTGGAAGCTAATAAGCCTTACCTTGCTTTTTCATTTAGATTGACAAAGAAATAGAGCTTCACAGAATTCTTCATCATAAGCATGTAGTGCAGTTTTACCACTACTTCGAGGACAAAGAAAACATTTACATTCTCTTGGAATACTGCAGTAGAAGGGTAAGTGTCAACTCCTATTTGAGAACATTTGCTTACCCCGAATTAACATGGTATTCAAAGAGTATTTTATCTGGGATTTTAGCTGTGGCAGCACTTACACTGCAAAGTTAACTTTCATTGCTCATCCTGCAAAGGGAAACCAGTGATTTTGATAACTGTTTTGACAGATTCTCTTTTTTCCTTCTCCTCTTCTTAGTCAATGGCTCATATTTTGAAAGCAAGAAAGGTGTTGACAGAGCCAGAAGTTCGATACTACCTCAGGCAGATTGTGTCTGGACTGAAATACCTTCATGAACAAGAAATCTTGCACAGAGATCTCAAACTAGGTAAGTCATTGACGCCAAAAGCTGAGTTTTGTGTTAGAGTTCTTTTTTCTCTCTCTGTTTTTTTTTACATATTAATGTTCTTAATTGGGATCTCGTGTCTGCAATCTTGCTTTTGAATGGGCGACTTTCATATAACAATTGGCTGCCTGGCTCCAAAGTGGATGTGTGTGTACTTGGTTAGAACGCATTTTCAAAGGGATTCACATTTTGTTTTGTTTATCGTCTAGGGAACTTTTTTATTAATGAAGCCATGGAACTAAAAGTTGGGGACTTCGGTCTGGCAGCCAGGCTAGAACCCTTGGAACACAGAAGGAGGTAAGAGTCAGAAAGATGCATCCTAGTAGACTTTTGTGGAGACCAAATATGCCTTCATTATTTTGCATTTAATGTTTCAGAGGTCCGGTAATAAAATCTATAAATCATAGCAATGTTAATTTAAAGAAATACTTATTAAATGCCCACTATGGACTAGACAGAGCACCCTGTGCCTCTAAATTGATTATGAAAGCAGTCAATGAAGTCTTTTCTTGGCTTAAAATGTATAAAATGCCACGACGTCCCTGGCTTTAGTTGGTTAACAACACTTTGCATGTGGGCTAAAACAACGTGTGTGCATTTTTAAAAATTACCAAAACTCATTTGGTCAGATCTCAATTGAATTTTCAGATGCCAAAAGTCAAATGTTTCCAAATAGAAATTCAGTATAGATTTTAAGATTTTGTTTAAGATTTTGTCTCCCATCAAGTCATGTCAAGAGAACCAAGTTTAAGTAGTGGAATAGTTCCTAACACGATCTCAATATTTTGTCTTTCCAGAACGATATGTGGTACCCCAAATTATCTCTCTCCTGAAGTCCTCAACAAACAAGGACATGGCTGTGAATCAGACATTTGGGCCCTGGGCTGTGTAATGTAAGTAAATGCAGCAGAATAATTAAAAAGCAAATTCGGATTTAGATTTTAACACTTGAAAAGAGTTGCTTTATGACCATTGCTAAAGATGTGTTTCTTTGCACACAGGTATACAATGTTACTAGGGAGGCCCCCATTTGAAACTACAAATCTCAAAGAAACTTATAGGTGCATAAGGGAAGCAAGGTATACAATGCCGTCCTCATTGCTGGCTCCTGCCAAGCACTTAATTGCTAGTATGTTGTCCAAAAACCCAGAGGATCGTCCCAGTTTGGATGACATCATTCGACATGACTTTTTTTTGCAGGTTGGTGCACTATCTTTTTTTTTTAATTACCTGGTATTGATCCCAGTTACCTGACAGGTTACTGAAGGCTTTTTCTAATATTCCACAGGGCTTCACTCCGGACAGACTGTCTTCTAGCTGTTGTCATACAGTTCCAGATTTCCACTTATCAAGCCCAGCTAAGAATTTCTTTAAGAAAGCAGCTGCTGCTCTTTTTGGTGGCAAAAAAGACAAAGCAAGATATATTGACACACATAGTAAGTTAACAAGACTTCTTTTCCTTTTTCGTACCCAATATTATATTTAAATTTGGTAAATTAGTTAAAAGAGAATTTTATATTAGCATAACTTGGCCATATTTGCGTATTCTTAAATGTTGATATTTATAGCATAATAAATCCATACCTTGAATTGTGATTGATAGCTTTTTATTTTGCAAACACTAAAGAGGGCTTTTGGGGGTAGCTGCAGCTAAAGGCAAAGGTAAAATGCTATTTTTGCCCAGGATGCTCATAAGTTGGTCAATAATGCAAGAAGGAGAAAATATGACTAACCCTGTTCCTACCTTGTTAAGATAGACTAATGTTTGTAATTCTGTTTCTTGATATACAGATAGAGTGTCTAAAGAAGATGAAGACATCTACAAGCTTAGGCATGATTTGAAAAAGACTTCAATAACTCAGCAACCCAGCAAACACAGGACAGATGAGGTGTGTTGGGAAAGAGTAAAGTAGATACTCACGCTTTACGTTATTTCCACTCTTTATTAATTAGCACTTGGACTATGATTATCATGGTTCAAATATGTCATATTTACTTAAAGTTTTTCTTCAAACCCTTTGAAAGGGAAGTTAAAACTAAAAGGAAGTCTTTTAGTTTTACAGTGCATGCAAGTGAGTTTACTGCGTTATCTTTTATCTGGCTTGTGTCCATTGCTTTTTGATGAGCTTTCCCAGCAATTGCCTCACTCTCATCTTAATCTGGAATTCTCACCCTTAAATGAATTTAGATGCTTGACTCATTGCATAAATCTTCTCTCTTCTAAGGAGCTCCAGCCACCTACCACCACAGTTGCCAGGTCTGGAACACCCGCAGTAGAAAACAAGCAGCAGATTGGGGATGCTATTCGGATGATAGTCAGAGGGACTCTTGGCAGCTGTAGCAGCAGCAGTGAATGTAAGTGGTTGTCAATCGTATTTTAAATAATGAAACTCGAAATGCCAGTGCTAAATACATAATAATTTAAGTCAATTTACTTTGTAGCTTAATTTAACATAGAAGTAGTAAGATTACAGGAATTGGAAAATAATCTTGAGTTCTATGTCTTTCGAATTAATGGAGTGAAACTTAGCATCTACCAAAGCCTGAGGTTTTATTGCTAAAATATTGTATAACTTGAAACATTTCTGTCTGACTTTTCAGGCCTTGAAGACAGTACCATGGGAAGTGTTGCAGACACAGTGGCAAGGGTTCTTCGGGGATGTCTGGAAAACATGCCGGAAGCTGATTGCATTCCCAAAGAGCAGCTGAGCACATCATTTCAGTGGGTCACCAAATGGGTTGATTACTCTAACAAATATGGCTTTGGGTACCAGCTCTCAGACCACACCGTCGGTGTCCTTTTCAACAATGGTGCTCACATGAGCCTCCTTCCAGACAAAAAGTAAGTGTATCAATTAATGAAATCCTGTCAGTTCTCTAGTCTTGCACTAAAGAAATCTAAAAACAATGATTAACTGCTTCTATTTTTTTTTCCTCTTCTCTCCCTTTCGTTCCTGTTTTTATAGAACAGTTCACTATTACGCAGAGCTTGGCCAATGCTCAGTTTTCCCAGCAACAGATGCTCCTGAGCAATTTATTAGTCAAGTGACGGTGCTGAAATACTTTTCTCATTACATGGAGGAGAACCTCATGGATGTAAGTACTGTGGCTTTAGAGTGGTGACATTTGAAGTGTAGGCCACAAAGCAGTAGTGTCTGCATCACTTTGAAGCTTGTTAGAAACAGATTCTCCTGACCTACCGTTGGTGTACTGAATCAGAATCTCCGGGAGGTGGAGGCAGGGATTTCCAAAGCCATTCTGATGCTTGCTTAAGTTTGAGAGGATTTTCTTAGAATAATAATAGAGTGCATGCTACAAAATCTTTGTAGGCACTAACTCACTCTCCTAATCTCTTCCAGGGTGGAGATCTGCCTAGTGTTACTGATATTCGAAGACCTCGGCTCTACCTCCTTCAGTGGCTAAAATCTGATAAGGCCCTAATGATGCTCTTTAATGATGGCACCTTTCAGGTAAATGAACTCTTCAGGAAAGTGCACGTTTAGGTCCTAAACAGAAAGATTTGTACCTAGACAGTTTAGTGATTGACTGAACTTTTCTAATTCTCGAATATTTTGAGAGATCTAATGTCTATGTTTATTTTTTAAGGTGAATTTCTACCATGATCATACAAAAATCATCATCTGTAGCCAAAATGAAGAATACCTTCTCACCTACATCAATGAGGATAGGATATCTACAACTTTCAGGCTGACAACTCTGCTGATGTCTGGCTGTTCATCAGAATTAAAAAATCGAATGGAATATGCCCTGAACATGCTCTTACAAAGATGTAACTGAAAGACTTTTCGAATGGACCCTATGGGACTCCTCTTTTCCACTGTGAGATCTACAGGGAAGCCAAAAGAATGATCTAGAGTATGTTGAAGAAGATGGACATGTGGTGGTACGAAAACAATTCCCCTGTGGCCTGCTGGACTGGTTGGAACCAGAACAGGCTAAGGCATACAGTTCTTGACTTTGGACAATCCAAGAGTGAACCAGAATGCAGTTTTCCTTGAGATACCTGTTTTAAAAGGTTTTTCAGACAATTTTGCAGAAAGGTGCATTGATTCTTAAATTCTCTCTGTTGAGAGCATTTCAGCCAGAGGACTTTGGAACTGTGAATATACTTCCTGAAGGGGAGGGAGAAGGGAGGAAGCTCCCATGTTGTTTAAAGGCTGTAATTGGAGCAGCTTTTGGCTGCGTAACTGTGAACTATGGCCATATATAATTTTTTTTCATTAATTTTTGAAGATACTTGTGGCTGGAAAAGTGCATTCCTTGTTAATAAACTTTTTATTTATTACAGCCCAAAGAGCAGTATTTATTATCAAAATGTCTTTTTTTTTATGTTGACCATTTTAAACCGTTGGCAATAAAGAGTATGAAAACGCAGAAATAATGGTCTCCTGTCTTTAGTAGAACTCTTCACCACATCGTTACATTTTTTGATAAGATCGTGCCAAGCAGTGCCAAGAAGCCACTGAGTATAGAAGCATACTAGAGAGTTAGATCTTTAATTTTTTCTAACTACAGTTTCTAGGAAGTCTAATACCTGAAGTACAATCATAAACTTTCAGAGTAGATCTAGCTTAAGAACACCATTCTTCTTACAACCAAAATATAAGCCTCCTACAAAATCCAAACCCAATTTCTCTCTGTAGTATTTCTTCAAAACTTGTTTAGCTTGGAGGTGAAGCCAGATTAAATAGATCTCTGTTATTCAGTGTCAATAGGTACAGGAAGTTTATCTTAATATGGGCAAAACTCTGAATTAGAATACATGCACCACCTAAACATATTACTCAGCATAAACCTGCCTAAACACTTCCAGTGCCACTGGCAGTACTAGCACATAATTCCAGTAGTGAGAAATACTTTGTGAATAAGTCATTTTATTTTCCTTCTGGTGCATGGTAGTTGAGGAGTGGTATGGGAACCAAGTTGTGGTTTGGGGTCCATCTTTTAATCTATTAAATTAAGAGGTAAATTTGAGGTTTTCTTTTTCAGTGGGATCTACTCTTTGACAGGTGTAGTAAAGGAAAGCTGCTCATCCTGTTACTCTGAACTTACAGGCATCTGCATAAGATGTAAATATTTTTTGTTCAATTGTAATCCCACTATAAGGAAAATACTGTCCTATGAAAAGAAGTGCTTTGGTTTGTTAAGGCTGTGTTTACATTGTGGTCCTGTACAGCATAGTATAGAGATGCTAGTTGCACTTTTACATTTTTCTAAAATTGTTAAAACTCCACTTGGT
Organism: Homo sapiens; assembly: GCF_000001405.40. NCBI lineage: Eukaryota > Metazoa > Chordata > Mammalia > Primates > Hominidae > Homo > Homo sapiens. The sequence continues at coordinate 58,453,120 of NC_000005.10, read as the reverse complement.
ATATTGTATTAATAAAAGCCAAATCCAGGGAATATGTTATGAGTATTTCACAACTCCTAGATTAACTCCTGCTGGCTGGAGTTCTCTGGCCATGTATACAAATTCAGTTGTATTTTTATAAGCAGAGAAGAAACAATAGTTTCCAAACAGAAAATGTTCCTTCCTTTTGAGTTTCACAGTGGAAGATTGTATACTACCTCATGATTTCAAAATACACACTTACCCATTCTTATATGTACTCAGCATCTGCTGTGTGCCACATCCAGGGCCTGGCATTGGAGACACAGAGTGAACCCGAGGCCCCCCTGCCCTCAAGGAAGTCACAATGGAGTGGAGGAGACAGTGCATTTACCTATTAGTGTGACAAGTGGTGTGATTTTACGATAAAGGTATGTACTGGGTGTTGTGGGAACTCAGCAGGAATCATGAGGAAGAAGCCCCAGGCATGGGCTGGGCTCAGTGAATAGATTCCAGAAAAGAAATTTGTTTTTACTGTGTTTGAAAGATGAGTGGGGGTTAAATAGAAATATGCGATAGGGAAGAGTGTTATAAGCAGTGGGAATAGCACGTATAGAAGCCCGGGGGATGAAAGAGTTCACAGAAGTGGGTGTGCAATCTGAAGTATTATAGGAAAAGGCTGGAAGACATGAATGGTGCAACCCATGGCTTTTAGGCTGCATTTTGAAGGCTATGCCAAACTACTGAGAAATTTCAAGGAGGAAAGTGACATAGTACTTCAGATTCCTAAAATTTATTCTGGGAGAAGAGGAGACGGGGTGGGGAACAAGATGGAAACGGCCCAAACAGTAAAGAAATTAATGCTGTGACTCAGGTGAGAAGGGACCTGAGACAATGAAAAGGAGCAAAAGAAGAGCTAGGCAGTACCTCATTTGGCCCTCCTGATTCATTTCAACGTTCCCAGTACTGAGCACCAGATCTGGTACTGGACAGTCAACTATCGAATGAGTAAATGAAGATTGATTTTGGAGGAACTTAGAAAGTTGATTTTAACAGGATCTAGAGCCCGGTTGAATGTGGTGCCTAAGAAAGTAGATGAGGTGCAGAAGGATTGGCTGAGGCAGTCAGTGGGGGACGGGTTGCATTCTTGGGCCATTAACTATAGTAAATTAGGAATATGGAAGGAAGAGCTTGATGGAAAAATATAGTGAGTTTTAGACATATCTAATCAGATTTGTATGAGGATGCCCACATAGGTCCAGTAAACAGTGGATATGCAGGTCTACATCTCAAGAGAAAGCAACATTTGGAAGTAACTAAGTTTTGGAAAACATCATGGGAGTGGATGAGAACACATAAGGATGGATTTCTGTCACCCCTTCTACCCAACTGCATTTCTGGGGGAGGAGTACAGAGGACATCTCCATAAAACATAACAGTGTTGATAAATCTTTGCCATGGGAGAAGGAGAATAAAAAATTCCCAAATAAATTACCCTTCCAAATAAGGGTACCCTGAATTCCACAAAAAACAACTGTAAAATAATAGATTTCTTTAATGAACACCTTTGATCCCCAGGAACGTTTCTCCATTAGCCCTCACAAATTCTAAAGATTTAATAGTTTTGTTGCATGTCTCGGCTATGGGGGAGGCTGAGGCAGGAGTGTCGCTTGAGCCCAGATGTTTGAGGTTGCAATAAGCTATGACCATGCCACTGCACTCTAGTCTGGGTGACAGAGGGAGACCCTGTTTCTTAAAAAATAAAATAACAGATACCCTCAACTAAACTTGGTGTGGCCATGACAGTGAACTTGATCTTAGGTTATTTAACATTTACGACTTTTATCTCTTAGTCCCATCAAGCCTTCAAGAACTATTTCTGAATGTAATCTCATGTCAGCTAGGGAAATCATACTCCAGTGGAAAAGCTTTGGAGTCAAATCTTGAGTCCAAATTTCTGTGCAACCACATGTTAATAATGCGATCATTAGTAAATACCTAATCTCTCTAAGCTTCTGTTTTCTCATCTGTGAAGATAAAACGATAATAAAACACTTGCACAACAAAGGTACTCAATAAGTATTTCTTCCTGTTCTTGTTCTGTTTTTTTTTCTGCCTCTTTCCACATCTGTAATGGCAGGGACCGTAATTATCTAGAAAAAAAAAAACTGTCTCATTCTTGTTTCTCCCACTTTCAGTTCTGTGTAAGTTGTGATCGAGTCTTCAGTTCTGTGTAAGTCGTGATCCAGTTGGGATCATTTTGGGACTTTCAGAGAGAAGGAATCTAATGGAGATTGTTGGTTATACAGATGATGGAAGAACTCGGTGGTGAGGCAACCCAGAGATTCACTGCAGCAGGAAGGCACTACTCTCCCAATGGCTAGAGAGACCCAGAGAAAACGTCATGTTACCAGAGCCCAGAACTGAGTCTTCTGGCAGAAACTAGAATCATGATGGTCACTGCTTACCAGGATTTTGAGATCATGGGACAAATGTCATCACTGCTTGAGATGACCCCTGTGCCTTTTTGGGTGAGAAAAAAGGGGGACAAAATATTTTGAATTCTTTCTTCCTCTTGGCCTCCAATCTCCCATTGACCAAATGAGCTGAAAGGCAGTCGAAAAAAATAGCCTTGGAAATACAGTTGTTAGGGTCATTGTAATATTGCAAAATAAAGCAGAAGAAGGGCAGAGAATGAATCTGAGCCTTAACCAGCATATTAACTGCCTACCTTTCTTTCTTAGTTTTTCTCTTCCACGAATTTTCTACCATTTCTACCTTCTCCTTCTCTTAAATACCAAAGTGACATAATTGCTAAGAGCTATAGTTAGCTAGGCAGCAAGATGATAGGCAGTAGAAGGTTGGAGAAGGAACAAAATTGCGTGGGTGGGCATGAAGAATGGAGTCATTCCTGCTTTAGGCCTCTGTGATTCGTAACATCTTCAGACCATTTTTGCCTTGTAGAGATTTTAATCTACTGAAAATAGGTGTGACTAAAAATGCATAGCTGCATCTCCATAAGGTACACAGAAAAACCAGTGTTGGTATTTTATGGCTATTCAATGCATGAGAGAATCAGTATATTTCTAAACCTTGTAACAAACTGTTGTATAAAAAGAAACCTGTAGATTCCACTTTGTTTTTCCTGACTTGGGAGAGACTCTGGTCTATATGTTTAGATTCATGCTTTGTTCTAGCCCTTCGTTATGTCTTATTAACTTTACTAATGGAAGGCATCTCTTTGTTTGAATTGCCACAATTTAATTATATTAGTGAACTCAAATTAAAACGGTAAATTTCCATATGCAGTGTTAGAAAATAATATCATGGTTCATCAATGTCTGGAATTCAACTGAATAGAATAAATAGATTTTGCTCTAGGATTAGCCTGATAATATGTTTATATGTAAAACAAAATTGATTTTAATGATTGCAGTACAAAAACTTCACTTCTAAGTTGAGTTAAATTAACAAACTCCTGATCTATCTCTGCTATGAAATACTAAATGATTAGATATTTTAGCCCAGCCATGCAAGTTGGAACACATTCTCTGTTCCAAGCCTATAAAAAAATTAGTACTGTAAGAAATCAGACAACAGACCTAGGCCAGGGGCGGTGGCTCATGCTTGTAATCTCAGCACTTTGGGAGGCAGGAGGATCACTTGAGACCAGGAGTTCAAGACCAGCTTGGGCAACACAGTGAGATCCCATCTCTACATAAAATTTAAGAATTAGCTGGACATGGTGGTCCATGCCTATAGTCCCAGCTACTTGAGAGTCTGAGGTGGGAGGATTGTTTGTGCTCAGGAGGTTAAGGCTGCAGTGAGCCATGATCACACCACTGCACTACAACCTGAGCGATAGGGCAAGACCCTGTTTCTATAAACAAACAGACAATAAATAAGCAACAGGCCTCAGTGAAATAACTAAAATTGTCTTTCTTTTATACCCCTTTGAAATCAGTGGCAGCAGGATGACCTTTAAACTTATGATCATATAGACATGTCAAAAGAGTTTCAATGAGACATAAATTTATTATGTGATTTATGTGATCCTACTAAATAGAAAAAATATGATAAGTACAGAACTATATGAATTTTGAAGAACTTTGGAGCTACATAGAAGATCTTTAAATATTTCAAGAGATAAAGAAATGCAAAATCCAAACGTGATAGGGTATTCTGGAGGGGAGTGCAGACAAAGAATTAGATAATAACATAACTACTGATATACTAATAAATGTTTAGCAGTCAGCTTTTTCAGAGGTGGCCAGAACCTTGATTTGTTTCATTTGCCAATTTCTGTGGTATAATTTCTTTTACCATGATGGACTTCTCACTACCAGAGTGATGTCGCTGAATGTGGAGTTGGAAAGAGATGCACAGCAGTACATCATTATAAAGTATTTCCAGCATATGGATGTAACAGACATAAATAACCTCAAGAAATAGATAATAATAAAATGTAAGGAAACAATTAGTGATGAGTTTAGAGTATTTATTGCCTTTGTTTTTAACATAATTTATTTAATTGTAAGTTTCTATAATTACATAATGGTTGTGTTAACAACTGGCTTGCACAATTCCTGAAATTTTAACAATCACTCCTCACGAAACTTTTAAAACCAGCTCCAACATAGCAATAATAATAATTTAAGCCTGGGGATGTGAACTATATGTGCTCTGAGAAGAAGGACATCACTCCTATATTCTGAATAATTAATAGGGCTTGGTATATTCTTTTAACATCTCAGACGGCACTGCAGTAAATATCCCGGTCTACAGCTGTGGTTGTGTATATAAAATCTCAGCCAGCCTAGGTTACAAACAAAAAGTTTAATTTAGATAGCATAATAGCTTCTTTAGCGAAGTACCATTTCATCTTAAGAAGACTTAGTTAAGTATTTAAGATAATCTGAATGATTGAATTGATAATTGTTGTTACAGAAAGAATCTCTATATTTAACCCTAACATTGAAACTGTGTGTTAATACTTCACATATAGTAATGTATTAGTATTATAATCCCAATTAAAAACTGAAATTTAAGTAACTGATATTGCCTTAGAAATTTAAGCTGAAGGCTTGTGACATTTAAATTTGGTATTATAATATATGATAAATTTATCATCTTTTAAGCTTAATTTACTCAATTTATAAGAATGTTTATATACTTAAGAATACTTGTTATAGCAGACAATTGCAAAACAGTATTTAAAAAGGAAGTCAAGTATATTATAAATGCAATATAAAATAGTAAAGGGAAAGTTATTAAGTTTTAACTGGGATCCTATAATACAGTCCTCTTAAAGTCTTTTGTTGAGATATAAAAACAGAATGTAAATTTTTAAAATTAAACTTAAAAATGCAAAGAAGAACTAGATGTTTAAGTATACTGAATGTCAGATTTTTAAAACCAAATCCACTTCTGAGCATAAAAGTCAATCTCAAAAAAAAAAAAAACCAAAACCACAAAACCTCATTTGCAATCTGTTTTCCTGGGAATTTGTGTTTGTAGATGAATGTCAATACAATTTTCTGATACAAGCATGTAATTTTATTCCAGTAATATTCTTTTGAGAACATGACATGAGTAGAAATGAAAGGCAAAGATGGAATCCATGTAGAGAATAAGGCAAACCTTTAGAGCTGAGATTGTATATTGCCAGAGAATAGACATCTGCTTGAAGTACAGCGAGTTTTAGAGTGGGTTTTAAAATATTTTCCAGCAATTGTCATCAGTTAGTCATTGGGAGCATTCAGATGAAAATTAAAACTTCTGACTTCCTTTGCAAAACTTCATGATCAGACAATATGATCAGACATTTCTACATATCAACAATCAGCTGGAGCTGAGAAGTGCCTGCCCCCAGAGAAGAGACAGCCCTCTCCATGGACCTTGCTTGCCTGATTCACTCAGCTGGTGCCTCAGACGTTTGAATGTGAGCCTAGTGCAGAGTCAGGTGAAACTTTCAGGGGGCCTGTCTATTTCCAAGTTGTTTACAAACGCTGATTTTAATTCCAGAAAGTGTACTTTGGGTGATTTTAGGGAAAGTGTGGGCTTCATCCAAAGCTACCTTCTGCCATTTTTAAGCATTATTGGTTTAAGTGGAGTTAAAGGTCAGGTACTAAATCGGGCTTGGGGCACGGAAGTACTGGATAGAGAAAGGCAGGTCCCTGGCCCATGTGTGATTTGACTCTTTTGGCTAGGGCTCCATATCTAGGCCTGTGCCCACGGACTGAGGAGAGGACAGACATTTCTGTTTTCCTGCCCAAATGTCACATTTCTCAAGACCACCCTAGCCCACCACACCCCTATCCTGTGCCTATAAAAACCCCGAGACCCTAGAGGGTACACACACAAGCACCTGGATGTGGAGAGAAACACACGGGCGGAAGAAGACACAAGCAGCTGGATATTGAGAGGAACGCACCCGGAAGATCACATCAACAGGCACCAGCAGAGGCTTGCAGGCCATCCATCCGCAGAACGATGAGGAGTTTGGCCGGGTGGTCAGAGGAGGGCCACTGAATGGCCCGACTCCAGGGGATGACCACCTTCCTACTCCATCTCCCTTCTGGCTCCCCCATCTGCTGAGAGCTACTTCCACTCAACCCTTGCACTCTTTCTCCAAGCCCATGTGTGATTTGACTCTTTTGGTACACCAAGGCAAGAAACCCCAGGATACAGAAAGCCCTCTGTCCTTGCTGAGAGGTGAAGCCAGCTGGACTTCCTGGGTCGGGTGGGGACTTGGAGAACTTTCCTGTGTAGCTAGAGGATTGTAAATGCACCAATCAGAGCTCTGAGTCTAGCTAAAGTATTGTAAATGCACCAGTCAGCACTCTGTAAAAACGCACCAATCAGCGCTCTGTGTCTAGCTAAATGATTGTAAATGCACCAATCAGTGCTCTGTAAAAACGCACCAATCAGCCCTCTGTAAAATGGACCAATCAGCAGGAAGTGGGCGGGGCCAAATAAAGGCATAAAAGTTGGCCACCTGAGCCAGCAGCGGCAACCTGCTCGCGTCCCATTCCACGCTGTGGAAGCTTTGTTCTTTCCCTCTTCACAGTAAATCTTGCTGCTGCTCAGTCTTTAGGTCTGCACTACCTTTATGAGCTGTAACACTCATGGCGAGGATCTGCGGCTTCATTCCTGAGATCAGCAAATCCACAAATCCAGCTGGAGGAAGAAACTCTGAACACATCTGAAGGAACAAACTCCGGACACACCATCTTTAAGAGCTGTAACACTCACCGTGAAGGTCCACAGCTTCATTCTTGAAGTCAGCGAGACCAAGAACCCACTGGAAGGAATAAATTCCGGACACATTGCCATAAGTCAGGGGGTCTGATTGAGCTGCTAAACACAAGCCACCTACAGATGGCAAAACTAAAAGAGCACATGGTAACACATGCCTGCGGGAGCTTCCGGTGCTGTAAACATTCACCCCTAGATGCTGCTGTGAGTTCAGAGCCCCAGAGCCTGTCTGCATGTTCCCCCTAGAGATTTGACCAAAGAAGCAGGACACACCCCCACCGCACACCCTGCAAGGGTGACGAGGGAACTTTTCCTGTTTCGGTAGCACTGAAAAGAAATGGAAGAATAAGTCTGACAAATAAAGACCTACCAAAGTTTTCATAAGCCAAGGCATCCACCGCGATGTAGACGGCTTCTTTTCTTCCTGAATTTTCACCTGATCGACATAAGGTTATTAAATTCAACTCATATCATTCTCTTAAATTCATAATGAAATTTAGGATAAAGGTGAATTTTGCAGTTTAGTCAACTAGGAACAAGAGATCATCCCTCACTTAATTGTATTGTTGGTTGAAATATAAATTTCATTAGCAGTTGCCATAATCTATCCTCATTTCCTTTGTTAGGCTTGTGAATAGACTCACTTTACTGATTCTGAAATACCTGGACTATGTGAGCTTATGTGGCTAATCTCTTCATTCTTTTTACCACATGGGGAGAGAGAATAAGATAATCATCTGAGGCAAAGCAACATATATGGGTGGCAAAAGGGCAGCTATAGCAGCAAGTTGCACCTGCTACATATGGATTTAACCTCATGAATTCTTTAATGAGGCAAACCTTTCATGTTTCTATTCACTATCCTGTAGGTATACCTGGCAGTTTTGCTACAGAGTGACTCAGGATTAAACTCCAAATATCCTCAATATAGATTAGTCATAGGGAAGGGCCAGTGACTGACAATAGGCACAAGAGAAGCACTAGGCTTTTTGGTTTTAAATAAATAATATACTCTGAGTTGAAGCAATTAAATCTTCCTCCAAATACAACTTTCTACCTAGATATTAAAGAAACAGAATAACAGTTGAGTTTTGTAGAATCTGATATATTTCTCTCAGATTTTTTCTCCTTCAGAGGTACACACACATATGCTTATTTTAAGTCAATCATCCTACAATTGCTCAAGTTAAAACCATATAGCAGAAAACATTTGGAATTTCAATTAGATATGTCAAGATTGAAGCAACTGGGTCAATTGCTTGCTGAACAATCATGAACATGACACTGATCCTATTTTTTATATTATAAAACAAATATAATAATAAAAAGTGTCTTAGAATTCATTAGATAGAACAATATAATATTGAGAGTATTTGACCATTTTGACCTACAACAAAAACCATTTCTTATTCGAAAATATAGCAAGAGGAGAAATTAGAAAGTAAGCTTCCTCCCCTCTCTAATTATTTTAATATTATATCTTTATTATTTCTCTATTCATATTACCTCTTTGTTTTATATTGATGTCAGTAGTTATTGATATTTATGTCATATTATACTGTTGTCATTCAATAAAGAGAATATCTTATACTTAATTTATCATTAGAATTTTTCAATTATTAATTGTTTCCTTCATCATGCTCCTGGGGGAATCAAATTGAGGAATATCCCAAAGAGAGAGCAATTTACTCTTTTTTCCTTTTTTTTTTTTCAAGATGGAGTCGCGCTCTGTCACCCAGACTGGAGTGCAGTGGCACGATCTTGGCTCACTGTAGCCTCTGTCTCCTGAGTCCAGGCAATTCTTGTGCCTCAGCCTCCTGAGTGTCTGGGATTACAGATGCATGTCACCACAACCAGCTAAATTTTGTATTTTTAGTAGAGACAGGGTTTCGCCATGTTGGCTAGGCTGGCGTGGAACTCCTGACCTCAGGTGATCCAACCGCCTCAGCCTCCCAAAGTGCTGGGATTACAGGCATGAGCCACCACACCCAGCCAGTTTACTCTCTTATGACTGACAAAATCAAAGGTAAGTCATATAAACATTTCCTACATTTTGACTCCTTTTATGTTGCCTTTTCTTATTATTGTCCCTTCTCAACTATCTTTAAAAAATTTCCCCAACTGTATTTTCAGGAATTCCAAATATCTTTGATATTATAAAATGTTTCCTGAAAAACATATTAACTGGCAAATTCTTTTGGGAATTGGTGGCTTCAATAAAATGAACAGATTTCTTTAAGTCAAGATTTTTCTAGAACTTCCATATCCTAAATTTGCGTTATGAATCTCCAAGAGAGAAATAGAGTGCAAAAGTTTTTCCAAACTTATACACACTGACACATTATTTTGCTTTAGAGTGCCTTTTAAGATCACAAAGAATATTCCCTGGAACATAGTTTGTCGATATATGTAAGTAATTGTCCTTTATAAGATACATTTAATTTAAAAAGATCCTGAACCTGTCAGATAGATTGGAATGTAAGTTCAGATCTTTCTTGTAGTAGGACAATAATTAGGTAAACAGGAAATTTAGCACCAACTTTGACATCATATATCTTAGTCTGTTTTGCATTTCTATATTGGGATATTACAGACTGGGTAATTTTTAAAGAAAAGGAAGTTATTTCTTACAGTTCTGGAGGCTGGGGAGTCCAAGAGCATGGAGCTAGCATCTGGTGAGAATCTTCATTCTGTGTCATAAGATGCGGAAGGCATCACATGGTGAGAGAGCAAGAGCATGTATATAAGCTCAGGTCTCTCTTCCTCTTCTTTAAAGCAATCAGTTTCATCATGGGGTCCCATCCTGATGACCTTATCTAATCCTAATTACCTCCCAAAGTCCCCACCTCTAATTAACATATGAATTTTAGGTTTCCAACCATGAAATTTGGGGGATGTATTCAAACCATTGCATTGTGGTTCCAGAGCTGTTACATGTTTTATCCACAACCTCACTCAGCAAGAAAATCTCCCTTCTAGAGGGAGAAATTTATGGTGCAGAGATCAACTGGATGGCCAGGTAGCTAAGGTAACTTTGCAATGTAGATATTCCATCTCCAGATCATAAAGAGTGGTTTCCAGTTGCCTTTTGCAAATTTCTATTTTCTTATAATGGCAGAACTGAAATGTTTTAAAATAAATTTTTGTCCATGTCCACTTTGGTTTGCAAAAGGCATTTTGTGTTTAAAAGAGAGCATGTTGGTAGTCCTTTACACTGAACAGGACAGATGTAGAAGCTATAAAGACTTCTTCATAAACCACTTTTGGGGAAGAACCTAACAAACAAAGCATGAGGATATATCACACTGAGTACATTAGAGCAAGACTTTTACACTTGTTCTTTGCCAAAAGGCCAAGAAGTGATTAAAGCAAGATTTTTTAAGTTAAAATTTAATATAGTTGTAGAAGAGTAAGCTTCAATTGATTTACTTTAATGGCATGAAGAAAGGAGTTATTCCTCCTCTATGTCCAAAAGTGACATAGAAACAAAATTTGGTAGGAAAATCAAGAAATCTTAATTGAATAATTTTTAAACAGTTTATTATACAAAATTATAAAGCATAACTTTACAGTTATGCTTTATTCAATTCAACTGAGATGCATCCTTCAATATCCACTACATGGTTTGGAACATGTTAAGCTTGCTATTGATAAAACAGTCCGTTTTTTTTTTTTCTCACAGTACTGAACAGCTGTGTACTGCCAAAGGCACAGTGCATATATACGGATGGTGACTACACAGTTTACCTGGGAAACTCTTAATCATGCCTTGTGTCAGTTAAAAATCTTTGTATTTGGCTGGGATTGGTGGTTTACTGCATAATATCAGCACTTTGGGAGGCTGAGGTGGAAGGTTTGCTTGAGCCTAGAAGTTCAAAACCAGCCTGGGCAACATAGCGAGATGCTGTCTCTCCAAAAAAAAAAAAAAAAAAAAAAAAAAATTACCTGAGTGTGCAACTGGTGTGTCAGGAGCCTGAGGTGAGAGGATTGCTTGAGTCCAGGAGGTGAAGGCTGCAGTGAGCCAAGATCACACCATTTTACTGCAGTTTGGAGGACAGAGAGAGATCCCATCTCAAAAAAAGTATGCATTTCTAAGATGAATTATATGGTTATCCCATGAAATACTCATTGCTATCCCATGTGAGTTTAATGTAGCTAAGATGCATTTAGCATGACCCACTTATGTTACCACACCTTTGATTTCAATTGCTTTTCCTATAAAGGTAGGTTAAATTTTTTTCATGCTATAAGCATTTATGACCTTATTTTTAGGCTTTATTAAGCACAACAGCAGAAAAATGAATTCGGGCTATGTACATTTATTCAGATCCTACTACACATTATATTATTTTTTTACTTTATCTGCTTTGTTGACCACTATGACTGTGGTGGTAAAAATTGTTAATGACAGTCAGTGACACAAGGTACCATCTGGTTTATGAGAATGAAAGAAATGTATTTAAGCAGGATATGGTTTCTCTAATCACCAATCTTTTGCAGACTGACTCATAATCAATTACCTGTCATTTCAACTTGGAAGTATATGGTTTGTTGTATTACATCGCAACGTTATTTCATCCTGGCTTCAGAGAGGAAGGACTGAAATAGAAATATGAAATCTTTGTTTCAAATAAAAGTGATTTGCTACAATTTTGGCAGACATAACTGGAAAAACAATTTGAGAGGAAAAATGAATGAATTTGAAGTGTGCTCTGGCAATAATAGGTCTCATTCATTATAAAATACTTAAAATGTGCTGTGATGTGGTGGTGAAACTCTGACAGAGTTTAAATATAGCCACACTAGCTTCTTTGGTCAATATTAGCTGAAATGCCAATGCTAACTAAACACACAAAGACGTCATAATTATTTATCTAGGAAAGGAAGTTGTAAAATAATGTTCTTCTGGATTCCTAGATACTTCAAAAGAATTTCTCCTTGAACTTAGTAACATTACCAATTTGCTAATACATTTAGAATTGCAATTGAATTGATATATTTTATGGGGTTCCTTGAGAAGTAAAAGTAAGAATGTGCTTTATGCCAGGCATATAACAAGTGGTTTGCTTTAGTGATGTAAATAATACACTAGTGTACTACATCACAATTTAAAATATTCATTTGGTCTTCCCTGATTCTAAGTGGCTTTTCTCTTAGCACTCATGACATAAGAATGGCATATTATGATTTCTTGAAGCCACATTTTAATTTTATTTGTGAGAAAAACAAAAACAGAAATGAAGACTGGGAGCTTTAATAACTTAAAATGAGACTTTCATTGTATGTATTTAAAGATTTCCAAGAATTAATAATCAAAAATATAGTCTTAAGTATCTTTAGGATATGTCAATATATTTATTGAAAATTAAAAAAAAATTGTTATTTTAAAAAATAGCAGATACTATAGGTTGTATCACAGTACCCCAGATTCCTGTAAAGCAGACTCAAGCTCTCATTCTTCTGCTCCATTAGTGAGTTCAGCATTGAAATGCCTAAAGTAACTGATTTTTTTAAAAAAAATCATTTATTTCAGTTACACAGGCAGTGTCTTAATTTCTCTATGTGTTTGAGTGACTTTTTCAGTGAAGCACAATGAGCTTTTCAGAAAAAGTATTACACATCCTGATATTTGACCTAGCACTATTGCTGTAGTACCAGTCTGATACTAAAACACACCAAATGTCTGTAGGGCAAGTTTCTTGTGACCCTGAAGGAATTTCAGGTCAATAAATTAGAGAGAATCTCAACATTTGGTTATATTCTAACATACTGATCCCATTGAAATTATTGTAGATTGTTTTCCAAACATCGTGTGCTTGTTTTTGTGGGCATGAGATGAACAAAAGAACAGTTTCTTGACAGGTTAATGGAAGAATGTTGCTCACTTTATAAAATAAAACAAAACAACACAAAAAACACATCTCTAACCAAAGCATGCAAAATATGACTGGTGCCATGAGGAAGAATCATTTAAGCTAGAACTTCCTGTATTTAAGAAAGTTAACAAAATTGTTTGAGGAATGAACTGGTTTTGTGTGTGTGTGTGTGTGTGTGTGTGTGTGTTAGACACTGCTTATTACAACTAAGTGAAGAACTTTGACAGGTGCTTTGCAGAGTAAAGTTAAAAATTACTTTGCAGAGTAAATATAATTATTTCTTAGAAGACTTTTAGCAGTGTATTAGTTTATTGTCTTCCTTAAAACAAAAGAAGGAAAAGCTAAATGATACTAATTAAATTTAGAAAAAAATTTCCTCCCCGATATAGTTGATAAAGTATAATATTCACAAAAATTCTTATTTGTGAATTTCAGATTCTTTGAGAAAAATGCTTTTGTATCATTTCAAAGTCAACTTTGATAGCCAATAACATCTTTATGGAAAACATTTTATTTGTTCAGGTGCTTTGGACAATCCAACCCAATGTGGAAGTTTGCATTTCTTATCTTAAAATGTCCTCTCAAGAGTTAGCATACCACATCAAATTTAAAAGCCATAGCTGTCTCTGTGGCTTAATGGTTTTATCCCTGCGAACTCTGGCTTGTTGAAGTATTCATTAGGAAGACCTCAGCTGTCTGGCTGCTGTACCTCAGGGACTGTTTGGAGAGCTTACAAACTCTCTAGTTCCCCTGCGCAGAAAGCCTGCCAGCCAGTCTGACTAATGAAGACAGTCAGACTGTCCAGTAAGCCTGTTGTGCCATTGCTGGATTATTTAGCGAAGTGGCGCTTTTAGTGTCCAAGCAAAGCCTGTTTCATCATTTTATGCAATTTTCTTGGCCAGTTTCTATAGAATATGTTGTTACCTGTGCGGAGCAAATGATCAATGTTTATGTCTATAGCTAGAACAAATCAGGTAAAACAAAGCTTCGGTGGACAGTATAAGATAAGGGGATTGTAGCCCTCAGCAGTTGTCTGTAAAACGGTAAGATCTATAAAATTGGAAAGTCTATTTGCTGCATTGGCATTCAAAGTAAAACAGGAAAAATAGTAATAATAATAATACAAATTGTGATGAGTTCAGTGTAGCAAGAATCTTTGATAAAACCATAATTTCAGTTAAAAAGCACATTTAAATGTGTTCAATAAAAGCCTCATATTTCTATTTCTAGAGCATCTCTTTCACAACACTTTAGAAGCATTAGTTCCTTCATTCTAGTGATGGTAGTGGGTGACAAGTATTATCCTCTCCATTTTAAAGACAGAAATTGATCATCAGATAAGCGAACAATTTATTCATCATTGCAGAGTCAGAGGTAAATAGAACCTGGAGACAAAGAATATGAATAAACTGAGTTTATCTCTTTGTTCATTTCATCCATAATTTTTTGAAGAAGACATACTGCCACTAATTCATCTGGAAAAAAAACATAAAGATGAGTCCTCCCAGCAGCTTAGATATTAATTTTTTAGAAGCTTGCCCACAGTTAGAAGGGAAGCATAGGACTGTGGCAAGGGAAGTCTCTGGAAGTCTCCAGAGCTGCTTTGCCACTCACGAGCTGTTTGACCTAAACCAAGTTCTTCCCTGGGTCTGTATCCTCAACTGCAAATCAAGATAATACCACCCTAACTCTACATTAGGAGTATTGTGAGGATTGCATTGGATACCAGGTTTGAAATATTTTGTAGAATGCCAAGTGTTCTACCAAAAGGAGGTACAGTTAACAATGCTTATGGCTGTCATAAGTGAAGCCAAGGTAGGCAGAAGCTTCTGCTATTAAGGGATCTAATGTAAAGATATCTTTATAGAGCTATGAGGAATCCAAAGTTCATGTCTCCATTAGGGCCAAAGAAAGGCTGGGCCAAGAGGGGCAGGGTCATTCTTCCTTGGCCAGGCCTCATTCAAGGGAAGTACATGGGCAGGTAGTGTGGATCTAAAGTAAATCCCAGACCCTCACTTCCATACCTGTGGAGACTCTGAACCTTGGCATTATTCCTGGGAAGTCAGAAAACTCTCTTGTGGGTTCCTTTGTCTCAGCTCCCTATCAGGACCAGCATGCCACTCTGGTACTCCTGACTCCAAGCCAAGAAAGCTGCCTGCCTTCCAAGACACACACAACCATTCATGTGCATGAGTGTGTGCGCATGCATGTATCCTGTGATTATTCTCCTTAATGTGTCTTGTCACACTTTGCCTACAATTTCAGCCTTGAAAATAAAATCCTTCAGGCTATGCCTGTACTTTCTTCTTCCTATCAAGAATCCCCGAAATGGTCGTAGTCATGAACAGCCACAGTAAAAGTTCTCATCCATAGGCCCCTAAAGATATCAGAAGCATAAAATTATAAAGCAAAACACAAAACAAAACAAAACAAAACAAAAAACAATGATAAGGTTTGGGTAACAGCTCCTGTCTAGCCCATTCTTGGCACCTATGTGGCTGCTATTGTGTTGACCTGTTTTGTTCGGATTACTTCCTAAACCTATGTATTAACTTTGAATGTGATCTCAATGTCAGTTGGCTACTTTGGCTGGAGTCAATTTCATGCTGTATTAAGGAGATAATCTCAGGCCTTGCTAATCATAGTATGATATACCACTGATAATGCACAGTGAACCTACATATAATGAAAAACTGGAAATCAAAGACATCAAAAGTAGAGTGAAAAATATTTAAAACACTATCAGACAGTATATAAAAGACATTTTTGAGAAGATACACACACACAGACACACACACACACATATATACCTCATTTTATCGCACTTCATAGATTCTGCACTTTTTACAAATTGAAGGTTTGTGGCAACCCTGAGTTGAACAAATCTATTGGTGCCACTTTTCCAACAGCATGTGCTCACTTTGTGTCTCTGTGTCACATTTTGGTAATTCTTGCAATATTTTAAACTTTTTCCTTATTATTGTATCTGTTATGGTGATCTATGATCAGTGATCTTGGATGTTACTATTGTAATTTTTTGGGGGGTGCCATGAACCACGTCCATATAAGACAGCACAACTTATTTGATTAATATGTGTGTGCTGACTACTTCACCAATAAGCCATTCCCCCATCTCTCTCCCTCTCCTTGGGCCTCCTTATTTCCTGAGACACAACAGTATTGAAATTAGGCCATTACAAACCCTACAATGGCCTCTAAGTGTTGAAGTGAAAGGAAGAGTCACATATCTCTCACTTTAAATCAAAAGCCAGAAATAATTAAGCTCAGTGAGGAAGGCATGTTGTAAGCAGAAACAAACCCAAAGCTAGGCCTCTTTTGTCAAAGAGTTAGTCAAGTTGTGACTACAAAGAAAATGTTCTTGAAGGAAATGAAAACTACTGTTCTAGGCCCGGTACAGTGGCTCATGCCTGTAATCCCAGCACTTTAGGAGGCTCAGGCAGGTGGATTGCTTGAGCCCAGGAGTTCAAGACCAGCCTGGGCAACATGGCAAAACTCTGTCTCTACAAAAAAATGCAAAAATTGGCCAGGCATGGTGGCGCATTCCTGTAGTCCAAGCTACTTCGGAGGCTGAGGTAGAGGATTGCTGGAGCCCAAGAGGTGGAGGTTACAGTGAGCTGAGATCACAACACTACACTCCAGTCTGGGTGACAGAGCTAGACCCTGTCTCAAAAAAAAAAAAAAAAGTACTATTTCAGTGAACACAGAAATGATAAGAAAGCAAAACAGCCTTATTGATATGGAGAAAGTTTTAGTGGCCTGGATAGAAGATCCAACCAATTACAAGATTTCACTAAGCCAGAGCCTAATCTAGAGCAGGGCCCTTCAATTCTATAAAGCTTGAGAGAGGTGAAAAAGTTGCATAAAGTTTGAAGCTAGCAGAGGTTTCTTCTTGAGGTTTAGAGAAAGAAGGTGTCCTCATGGCATAAAAATACAGAAAGAAGCAGCAATTGCTGCTGTGGAAGCTGCAGCAAGCTATCCAGAAGATCTAGCTAAGATGACTGATGCAGGTGGCTACATTAAACAACAGATTTTTCAGTGTAGATGAAACAGCCTTATCTTGGAAGAAGAGACCATTAAGAACTTGCATATCTAGGGAGGAAAAGCCAATTCCTGGTTTCAAAACTTCAAAGGACAGGCTGATTCTCTTGTTGGGAGGTGATACACATGGTGACTTTAAGTTGAAGCCAATACTCATTGACCATTTTGAAAATTCTAGAGCCCTTAAGAATTTTGCTAAACCTATTCTACCTGTGCTCTATAAATGGATAAAGACTGGGTAACAGCATTTCTGTTTATGAGATGGCTTCCTGAATATTTTAAGCTCCATGCTGAGACCTACTGCTCAGAAAAAAAGATATGTTTGAAAATATTACTACTCATCGACAATGTACTTAGTGACTCACAGGCTCTGATGGAGATGTACAAGGAGAACAATACCTGCTCAAACAACATCCTTTCTGTAGCCCATGGATCAATGAATAATTTTGACTTTCACATCTTCTTATTTAAGAAATACATTTCATAAGGCTATAGCTGACATAGATAGTGAGTCTTCTGATATATCTGGGCAATGTAAACTGGAACCTTCTGAAAAGGATTCACCATCCTAGATTCCACTAAGAATATTCATGATTCATGACAGGAGGTCAAAATATCAACATTAATAGGAGTTTGGAAGAAGTTCATTTCAACCCTCATGAATAACTTTGAAGTGCTCAAGACTTCCGTAGAGGAAGTTACTGCAGATGTGGTGGAAACAGCAAGAGAACTAGAATTAGAAGTGGAGCCTGAAGATGTGATTAAATTGCTGCAATCTCATGATAGAACTTGAACAGATGAGGAGTTGCTTCTTATAGATGAGCAAAAAAAGTAGTTTCTTAAGATGGAATCTCTTCCTGGTGAAGATACTGTGAATGTTGTTGAAATTACAACAAAGGATTTAGAATATTACATAAACTTATTTGATAAAGCAGCAGTGGGATTTGAGAGGATTGACTTCAATTTTGAAGAAAGTTCTACTGCCAGTAAAATGCTGCCAAACAGCACTGCATGTTACAGAAAAATCTCTTTGACGAAAGATTTTTCTTTCATGAAGGAAAGAGTCAACCGATGTGGCAAACTTCACTGTTGCCTTATTTTAAGAAATTACCACAACCACCCCAGCCTTCAGCAACCACCAATCTGATCAGTCAGCAGCCATCAACATAAAACGAAATCCTGTACCAGCAAATCGATTATGATTTGCTGAAGGCTAAAATGACCATTGGCATTTTTAACAATAAAATATTTTAGAAGTAAGATATGTACATGTTTTTAGAGGTAATGCTATTGTACACTACTTAATAGACTACAGAATAGTGTAAACATAATTTTATATGTATTAGGAAAACAAAAAAATTGTGTGACTTCCTTCATTGTAATATTTACTTTTTTGCAGTGGTCTGTAACTGAACCTGCAATATCTCCAAGGTATGCCATACAAATATTTTGTGTGTATTAGAGAATACCACATATTGGGTAATTTATTTAAAAACAGAAATTTATTTCTCACGGTTTTGGAGGATGGGAAGTCCAAGATCAATCAAGTCACTGGTATCTGGTAAAGGCTATTCCCTGTTTCCAGATGGTGCCTTAAATGCTCAGTCCTCTGTTCTCTGGAGCATAGGAATCCTGTGTCCTCACATGGTAGAAGGGCATGACAGAGTGAACTCACTCTTGCAAGCCCTTTTTATAACACCATTAATCTGTTCACAAAGGTGGACCCATTATGACACATCTTTCGAAAAGTCCTATCTCTCAACATCACTGTTCTGGGTATCAGGTTTCCAACACATGACTTCTGGGAGACATACTCACACCATTGTAGAGACAAAAGCCACTTTTTGTGTAGTTTGTGTTTTCTTATGTTGCTCCAGTCTTGAGAGAGGGAGGAAAATGTAAAATTAGAATGAGATAAACCGTTATGATGTTGGTTTTCTGGGTTTTCACCGATACTTGTTATTGCAGAACCTTTATCTTCCAGTAAAATGCTTCTCTCCACTTATTTTTGAAGTCTGCAGGGATATCTCTCTGGCATATGTCCTTCAGAATTCACGCATTGGAAACTTGATACCCACAACAGTGATGTTGAAAGGTAGGACTTTTCGAAAGATGTGTCATTATGGCTCCACCTTTGTGAATGGATTAATAGTGTTATAAAAGGGGCTTGCAGGAATGGGTTTGCATCTAGTTTCTTTAGCTAGAAACCACTTTGCTTCTTCTGCTCTTCCAGCCTCTAGAAGAAATGCCCAGGCTTCCGTAATGCCCATCCACTCAGTACTACTGCTCCTAGGTGCCATCAAGCAATATCCTGCTCTTGTATCAAAATTTTCCAGATGCCAAATTGAGAGTATATATTCCAGAAACTTCAGTGGCTGAATACATGGTGCAAAGGGTTCATTGTAAACAGAAGGGGGAGGAAGGACTACTCATCTTCATTTCGCATGGCATGGAGTCATGTGAATATCAAAGTACTGCTGTTTTACGAGATTTTAGTGAAAACAACTATTTCAAGTTTTACTCATAGCATCTTCTCTACCTGATACCAAGTCATGAGTCTATCAGGTCAGAGTTGGGGCAAATCTGGTGACAGATATCATGCTGAACTCTGTTAAAGTATGCACATTCTAAGGTCAGACCACAGAGTCTGAGACCCAGATATGTCCTAACTAGTATTTTGACTTTGAGCAAGTCTCTCTCTGGCCCTTATCATCACCCTTAGAAATAAGAGATAAAAATCCATGTCATAAGACTATGAACTCTCTGAGGATTAAATATAATAACCCATGAGAGTGGCTCCATAAATATTAGCTATCATTTTTCTTCAAAATATTTACAGTCGAGGGAAATCTAATTCTTAATGTGAAAAAGTTAAGATAAACAAACTTCAAATGAACATAGTAAAAACTCCTTTCGTAGAGTTTTTTTGTATGCACATAATGAAAATTATTGCTTATATCTTTAGGGAGAAAAAAGTAGCCTTCAGAAAGCTAACTTTTCCCCATGAGTTAATTCATATGCTGGGCAGGAGCTGTGTCTGAAACACTGTTGTAACAACTTACATATTGTAATCATAGTCAGTTAATTTAGGTGATTTCTATAAACAGGTATATTTACTTTCTGTTTGGTTTTCTTTATTGTCCACATAGTGCCAAATGTCTTGATTAAGCAGCTATTTTTTTTTCCTGCATGACCAGATGAGCTGCACTGACAGAATGAAATGAGTACTTTTGGCACAGATTAAACTATAGCCTTAATACTTCTGTTTAAAATTTTCTTTATATATCTAATGAGTGTAATGATACAACTGTGAAGAATATAATAAGAAATGACTAGTAAAATTTAACAAAATATTTCAAAATCCAAAATGCTCTGTAAATAATGATGCTGTATGATAGGGACAACACTGAGCATTGACAACCCTGTCTTATCCCCCCAAATAAGCATTTTCAGTAAACTAATTAATATTATAGAAGATGGAAATTACCTTATGCTTATGACAGGCTTGAAATATGATCCTTTTTCATGTATACTGAAGATATATGAATTGTGGTCAGAATGAAAATCTAGACATTTCTATTTGTATATTACAAACCAGAGTATTTTTTATCTTCTGAATTATAAATGCAATATCGTCTCAAGGAGAAATTCATGAAATAAAAATTTAAGAACCACTAAGCTTCAAAAATAAATTTCATCTTCTTTTCAAATAGGTACTTTGAAGCATTAAGTTTAGTTTCCAAAATGTGCCTTACTGGTGGAAGGTTTTGGTTGAACAAACAAACCTTTGTGTTATGATAATTGCCTCAGAGGATTTTATTGCATCAATATTCTTTTATTCATGAGTAATGAGTGCCAAAACTTATTTCAAAGTATAATGATGAATATGCTAATATAAATTTATGTTTCTATCCACAAGTAACTGGATATCCTACAGACATAAACTAGTTCATCATTACATTGTGAATACTGAACTGAGTGGGTTGTTACAGATTTTTCTTGACCTCTTTTGCATAAACAAGATCATGTGGAATCAGATTGCTACACGTACATTTGTACAATGTCTATTTTTCCTCCATTTGGGCAAGTTGAAACCGTTAGATGTTATTTGCTAATATCAAAACTTATATTGTAAATTCTTCCCATTTTTTGTTACAATAGCAGTTATAGGAATTTAAGATAGGATGTCATGAGCTAAGTAAAAACCACTGATATTTACCATTGAAAGATATAATTCTATAGCAAAAGAATGAAATCAAATTGTTCATACCCAATCTGATAAGGTTTTGAGATGTTCTTGAAAACAACTAAGAAGATTGAATGATAAACATAATATGAACAAATGAAGAATTATAAATTTTATCAAGATAATAGTTAACATTTATTAGAAAGAAAAACAAGTAAAAATATTCTTTATATGATACTGAAAAATCTGGTCCTTGTCAAAATAACACTGTACTCTTTATAGAATGATGTACATTTTACATTTTTTTTAGCATGGATTGTAGATGCCAAATACATGCTCCTAAATTATTGTCTTAATAGTTCAATTGTCTTTTAAATTTTGAGGTTCAAAAATCATCAGTGAATTAATCAATCAGATTTCATGTTTTCATATTAAGCAGTGGGAAATTATACTGATTGTATTTTATTAGAGTCAACTGTCAGTTTCACAAGTTTAAAGAGAAGCTATTATGATTTGAGCAAAGAAAAGCTGTCTCTTGTTTGTGGGTGGTTTTAACAGAGTGATAAGAAAATGTACTCAGATTCTCTGAGTCAGACTGTATCTCTTGTTCTAAAATGGGTATTTACCATTTCCAAGATTAAAGGCCAAAAATTTCTCTTTCATACATATAAATCATTTTGTTCAGATCTTCTTATCACTTATCATACCTTCTAACACATTGACTGCGATGTTCATTGTGAAGGATTTTGCCATTCTTTGTGTTCAACTTGCTTAAAAAGTAATGTTCCTATTTTAGAAGACAATTAATTTAAAACTATTAAACTTAAGACATTTATGGGTTTGATTTACAGCATTCATATTAGCATTTTTTAATAGTTTCTTTAAAATCCCCAATCTTATCCAGAGACTTGAGCTTATTTTTAGACATGTTCTCCTTGAGTAAATGCTAATGGTGAGGCCACATTTTGGAAATTTAATGCTCAGTTACTTTTCTCATTTGTAATGGTAAACTACACCAAGATATTTGTCTCTTTTAGTAAAAATTGACTGTGAATCTATCTCTTCTTGTTAATTGAGACAATATTTTTGTAAATGAAACATTTTGCAATAGAAAGATGCTTTATATTCAGACTTCCTTTTATAAAACCTATATTGGGAAAATTGACTCTCACTTTTCTTCTATACTATCACTGAAATAGCCAGCTCTTATTTTACAAAGTGGAGCAGAATGTTAAAATTAAAACACCTTCAAAACCATTGGCTCCAATCTATTCGTGTGTAGCAAGGAATTTGGTTCAGAAGGTGTGATTTGATACAGGGAGAAATCAGATCTGTGTGATCATGCACAATGGAAGGTGCTGCTGGGATTTATTTTACCTGAGTGAAATTGTACTTGAAGGTTAGTCTAAATTCAGAGTTGAAATTAGTTAAGCTTCACTAGTAAGGGCCCTTTCCACAGCCTTGGTAGTAGCATAATGTGGTCATGTGAGTGCACGTTTTATAAAGTTAGCAAAATACTTTAAACATAATCATTTAAGGACACTCTTTCCACCTCTACTTTGCCTGTGTTATCTTTTCCATCTTGTCAGGCAGGATTGGAGTGGCCACAGTTGGGGGATCTGGCAAAGGATGTTGATTTGGGCATATGTTTATTATAAAATGGTTATATATATATAGTTCACAGAAACTTTGAATTATTTTTCTTAAACACATTCCCCCAATTTATACAAGCTTCAAATCTGATGCTGAGTTTGTTTTCTATCTCTACACTGTTTATCAATTGGAGTTCTAGATTCTAGAACAAAATGTATCAAAATATTTGAAAGATATTTGATTTGACAAAGTTTTGAAAATAATATTCTTCAGTAATCAATGGAAAGTATGGGGTAAATGGGGGTATAAAGTGAAGAATTTGCAGCTGGCCTAAAAATTGATAAATATTCATCACTTGTGGGTCCTGTCTTTATTTGTAATTTTAATATTGTGTTCATCATGAAATTTCATATTAATTTTGATTTTTTTAAAATTGCATTGAAATATTCATCCTGATTATGGAGTTTTTTGGCACCTCCTTACATTTTGCTTCTGAGGTGAGTACCTCATCCATCTCACCCTAGCCACTCTATATTTACTGACTTTTCCTGTTCGAAATATTTAATAATAACTTGAATATAAGTGTACACATTATGTTGATTAATTTCTAGGTTATCCAAGTATGGAAAGCGAAAGGCTTACAACATTTTAAAGGCTGACCAAAAGTCAAATGATGAAATCAAACAAGATAAAGTAAAGCCCTTACTTGCATTCAAAAAGTTAATCGGCAAATACAAAAAAAATAAAAGAACCTGTTTGTTAAGAGTTCACATGAAAAACGGCCTGGGTCTAACTTAACAATGAACTTAATATAAATTAGAAGTATGATGTGGTCATCAAGAAATTGTGCCTCCAATAGAGTCAGGTTGTTCTCAGATCCACTTGTCACTCTCCCGTGCCTGTGCTCTGTAATTCAGGAACCATGTTTCCTAAGTTCCTTTGGACTCTTGCTTCCAGTTATGTTCAGCCAATGCCAGAACTGACTGAGGACTGGAGCGCGGGAGGGGAGGAGGAGCAAGAGCATGTCTAATCCCTACATCTGTTTCTTGTGGCCATCATTCTCACAGGAAGTCCATGCTAGGTCTTAATTTACAGCTTCCATTGTGTAGCCCTGGTTCCTGGACTCAACTTCTGTGTCCTAGGGATGGTAATGAGTTCCTGCTTTTGCTAATCTCTTGATGGTCTTTGCGTCTCCTGTTTGGCTTCTTAACTCTTTCATCCCATACATAACCAGATTCCTTGTATGGTTCCCACGTTTGAAAGTTGTAGAGTGATTTTTTTTTTTCGTGGTTGAATTCTGACTAATAATAAACTTAAGTTACAGCAATAAAATAATGCAACTGAAGACATAGGAGATTCCTTCAGTGTGCAACTGCAGTATTGCACTTAAGGCAGGCACTTTAAATAGAAGTGGTATAGAAGAAAGAGACTCGGACTAGACATCCTGTGTTTAATTCTCAGCACCACCACCTTCTAGAGGTGCTATTTCATCAGTCAATTACCTTTTCAAGCCTAAATTTGTTGACCTATAAAATGATGATGGTGGTAATATTTACCCTATGTACTGAGAGGCTCAAGTGACATAATATATGTGATAGAGCTTTATAAAGTGTAAGGCAAGTGTTACTGCTCTTGCTGTTTTCCATTTGAGGAGCTATTTACCAAGCAGAGGAGAAGCCTGAGAGAAGAAGTGGTAGTAGTTTGCAATATTGTGCTGTAATGGAAGGAAGAGTGTCCAATGGAAACTCAAAGGAAGCATATTTCATCTCAGCATAGGGCAGAGCTTGTCAATAAGTGACTTGTTTAATAGTCTAAAAAAACTGTCATAGAAAGTGAAGAGCTCCTGATCTCAAATCATATTCTAGAAGAGCCTGGTGACTCCCCGATGGGATGACACAATAATTATTTATAAAACAGCAATAATAGTTACAGCTAACATTTACTGAAGGCTTATCAGCTTCTATTCAAAGTTCTGTTCTAATTACTTACCAAGCATTCTTTCATTTAATTGTCACAATAACCAAATAGATGCAGTTGAGCCACTTTGCAGGTGAAGAAATGGATGCACAGAGATATAGTAATTTATCCAACACCACAAAACTAATAACTAGAAGATCTACAGTTTACAGTTCTAGGAATTTTAGCATCTACGTAGGAGATGCTTAATAAATGCATTTTGGCTCAATACATTTTTCTGTACTTGACTTTTATGAATGCTTTCGACTTTCCTTGTAGAATCTGCCTTAGCTTTGTTTCTAATACTATTTTTTATCTGATTACAAAAATGCGTATTTATTATAATTTGAAAAATACAGACAAGTATCAAAAAACTTAGAAATCACCAGTAATCGTAAATCCCAGAGATCAAAACTATGCTAAATTCTCCAGTTTTATTTCTATACATAATCTTTATTTTTTAACAAATGTATGTTTGTTACATGGCTGTATGTTTTACAAAAACTTGAAACATTTCATTTAGCCATTGATTTGAGAGGACTTTACATTGCTTCAGACTGTTTCCAAAAGAAGAGACCAATAATGATGTGATTTTCTGCATATCTCAAAAATTGTCCCCACTTAGAGGGAGATAGTCATTTAAGTAAATGAAGTATGATCCCTTGTCAGCCCTTTCCACTCCATTGCCCCTCAACCCTGGCCACTAGGCTAATTCTATTCTTTGTTTCTTCAGATTGCAGTATTCCTTTTGTAATACCTCCCTGATATTGGCAAAGTTAATAATTCTCTCTGTTTCTCTGAATGGAGAAAGTGTTGTCTCTTTGTTCTCCCAGTAACCCCAGCACCTGGTACAGGACCTGGGGTTACTGGGAGAACATACATATGGTACAGAACCATAATGTGTGCAATCGGATTTGCTGAATAAATAGTATTTAAGGCATATGGGTTCATACATGTTATGATGCAGGCCGTGCACTCTCACTAATGTAGTGACACTACATCACTAATGCTGAAGACTGGCTGGTAAGAGGTGAAAACAGATTTATGGCCATCTCTACTTTCTGCGTCTTCATTGGGGAATCAGGCTGTGTTAAATATTCTCTTTTTTTTTTTTTTTTTTTTTTTGAGATGGAGTCTCTCTCTGTCGCCCAGGCTGGAGTGCAGTGGCACGGTCTCTGCTTACTGCAACCTCAGCCTCCCGGGTTCATGCCATTCTCCTGCCTCAGCCTCCAGAGTAGCTGGGACTAAAGGTGCCTGCCACCACGCCCGGCTAATTTTTTGTATTTTTAGTAGAGACGGGGTTTCACTGTGTTAGCCAGGACGGTCTCGATCTCCTGACTTTGTGATCTGCCCGCCTTGGCCTCCCAAAGTGCTGGGGTTACAGGTGAGAGCCACCGCGCCCAGCCAGGCTGTGTTAAATATTCTAAGTGTTGCTGTTCTGCTTGCAATCTGTTTAAGTGTCATTTGCAGACCTATATCAGAGTCACCCTGGGTACTTGCTGAAATTGTAGATTTCCCAGCTTCATCACAGACATACTAAATCAGAATTTCTGTACAGTGACCCAGGTACAAATTTAACACATTCCCAGGTGATGCTCAGGCACACAAAAGGTTAAGAACCACTGCTCTTGCCTTGTTAGCCAGGGAAGAAGGCTAGAAACCCCTTCAGGAAACATGGAATCATACACAAAAGTATCACCCACTCCTGAGTGCCTGACCCTCACTGCTTATGGCCTGTAGATTTAGGGAGGTAGAGAGAGGAAGGGAGGCAGGAGAATTTTTCCTTGAACTAATCTCAGATGCCCCCTGATGTCTCTAAAAATAATTCTTTAAGAGCAGGGGCCATGTCTTTTGCCACTTAGAAACAGTTACTTAATAAATACTTCTTGATTATATGAAAACAAGATTGTTAACTTCTGACGGAAGCATTCAGCCACAGTGTTCTTAGAAAGCAGAGGATAGACTAGGTTGAAAAGACACAGTCCAGTGCTCTCTGACATGAGCTTTGATAGGGAAGCCAGCTAAAGGAGCTACATGGTAAGAGAACGATAGGTTTCCTTGGCCATAATCTTATCATAATTGGTCAGGTGAGAGTATGTATAGATGTCACAGAACAGCAGTTGTAGGGAGATGATATTCATATACAAAATAACAATATCCCAAGTGGTTTAGAGCTACACCAGTAGATCTAGAAACTTAGCATACATCAGCTAACCCAATGGCTTGTTACAATACAGATTTCTGGGCCACACCCTTAGAGTTTCAGGTTCAGTAAGTCTGAGTTGGGGCTCAAGATTTTACATTTCTAACAAATTTCCGGGTGTTGCTAAGTCTGCTGATCCTAGATCACTCTTTGAAAATGACTAGGCTAAATTATTTGGTCATTTGGTAAATGCTGTATATATTCAAGAAAGGATTAATAAAAATCATGGAAGAATTTCTGAAAATAGGGCTTTGTATGTAAGGAAGGTATAGATGTTCATGATTTGGTAGGTGCTTGGCTTAACTAAACGTGATATGTAATTGTAAGACATAGGGTTGGATAGGCAGCTTGACATCATGTCTGCCTACATCATCTCTTCTTAGAGATTAACATTGCCTGCTCTCTCAATCCTCCTTGGTACGGCAGGGACTTCAGACTCTTGGTTATCACCCTTCAACATCTAGCTGCCTTTCTCTGGGGGTCTTTGTCTTGTTTATTTTGGTTCAGATGAGCACAGTTCTCGAGCTGGGATCTAAGCAATGCGTACCATAATGACACTGTTATCCCTGAAGTTCTGAGCACTGAGTACATATTAATATTAAGCCTGCCTAAGAACATTTTCAATGATTATGTTATATTATTAACTCATACTGAGTTTATATCAAGCAAACCTCTGTCTGCTTGAAAATCTGTTAGGACATACTAACATCATGGAGTTAAATTTCTGGGTTTAAATACAGGAATTTATTTGATCACATTCCCCCTAGCCCCCACACAAGAGTGAATGTAAAAACTGATGAAATCTGAATAAGATCTGTTGCCTAGTTCATAGGAATGTGCCAAGGTCAATGTCCTGTGTTTGGTATTGTGCTACAATTATGTGAGATGTTACCATTGGGGGAAGCTGGGAGAAGGGTACACTTCTCTGCAGTTTTTTTCTTTTTTGGCAACTTCCTCTAAGTGTGTACGTATTTTAAATGAAAAGTTTTAAGAAAATTAGTCACTCACAATATTTAAGAGCACCCACAACATTTTGGCTCAATTTCTCTGGCCATGTCTTCAGTAGTTTTAGGGGTGCCCTTTCTTGTCTAAACATGATGACTTCTGGTTTTATCGCTTGGTCATTCTGTGATCTTAGGCAAGTTGAATTAGCCTCTCTTGGCACCCATTTTCTCATTTTTTTACAGTAATAGCACCTATAAATCATTGTTTTAAGGATTAAATGAGTTAATATGTACCCAGAACAGTACCTGACACAAAATAAGCACTCTATAAATACTGGCAATGAAGATAGTGATGGTAAAGATGATAAGAGGATGCACTGGTGCTCATGCCAATCTTTAGACAACTCTGCTCCTGCTCACTGTCTACTCCGCCATCCACTCCCATATTTTCCTTCCTGCTCTCAGTTCAGTTAAAATGCCATGTGTAGGAATTTTAGGTAGAAAAGGGTATAGATGCTTGAAAGGACTGCATGAAGTAAAGGTCCAGGAAAGCTATTGTTAGTTTTTAGGTTTTCCATTAACATTCTTAAAATCAGGAAGGTCAAAGACCCACAGAAAATTGCCAGTGAAATTCACTGCTGCCTGGAGTGGGAAAACAGGTTCTCAAAAAAATTCTCAAACAATGCCAAAAGTCACTAAAAAACCTCAACTATAGTGTAGCTCACCCACAGCTTGCTACTGTCAAAGGAACGCTAATATGGTTTTGTGTCTCTTTTGCTTCTGAATTTTACGTAAGTTCCTGTCTTTGGCAGAGTCTAACCTAAAACCTTGCTAGCAAGGGATTCAGGAAATGTAGCTCCTAGTTTTCTAGGCCCTGAGGTGCAGAGGAACAACAGAAGAGAACAGAAAGTGATCTAACCTGCCAATGAGCAATAGACATTCTGCTTTTCTTGCATAGTCTAGTCATCAGCCCAGCCACTTCTCTAAAATAGTAAAGTATCTCCTTCATACCCCATTTTTTGAACTTGATATAGCACCTTATATTGTAGCCATTTGTGAATGTGGATTATCTCTCATGACACATAAGTTTCTAAAAATTTAGAACAGTGTCCAGAACACGACAGATTCTGACCACGTATTTATTAAATTAATGAGTACATTAATATATCTTATTCCTATTTTTAGTCCTTTATTGTTTGATATTTATGGGAAGTTACAATTAAGCAGAACTTAAACTCTGAAGGAC
Organism: Homo sapiens; assembly: GCF_000001405.40. Lineage (NCBI taxonomy): Eukaryota > Metazoa > Chordata > Mammalia > Primates > Hominidae > Homo > Homo sapiens. The sequence continues at coordinate 58,423,842 of NC_000005.10, read as the reverse complement.
AGAAAAAGAAAAAAATCATTCAAATAAAAAAATTGAGTGATCTATTTAATGACCTTTGAGAAGTACTTTAAATGTTTTTCAATGAAACCAAAGTATTTAAAACAAATGTTGAAACGTTTAGAGAGATTGAGAAGCAACATGTGGTAACGGCCATCTAGCAGCCTCTTCCCCAAGCACCTGTAATGGTTTAGAAGGTTCTCAGGGCCCCTCCAGGCTCTATCTCTCATTCTAGGGACTGCAAAACTGCATAAAAAAAGTAAGGTGCTGAGTTCAGGATAATTAGTAGAACAAGCCTAGGGCTATGTGAGAGCATTGCAGATGGGTCACTGAATCACATACGTAGCTTTGTAGCTTTACTGACCTACATGATGAGACTGTATTTTAAAACTACAGTGAAGTCACTTGAAGGATGACATGTTCTACTTTTGGAATTGCCATGCTATGTACAAGGAAGAGCAGTCTACTGTAGTTCAGAAGCAGTCACACATCTGAGAACTGTAGAAGTGCAATTTACAGCTGCTTCTCTAATATTTTTTCCTATGGGACTAAAACTCTTCGCTGAGGCAGGTGTTAATTTCCAAATCAAATTCTGCTGAGTAGAGGGTGACTGTTTTTGGAGGTTTTATTTGGGAAATTCTGAGGAAAAACACTAGCTAGAACTGACATTCTCTGGTCATGAACTTATTCTGCTCTTTTTTTTTTTAATCATAACTTTGGAAAAATCAATGTAGTTCAGAGTTAATGAAAGGATTGTGGATGGTTCCATCTGTGTAACTTGCACTCTTATCGAAGGCAACTTACCCAGGAATCATTATGCCTTGGATTAAGCTTGTAGCTTCAGAAATGGAGAAAAATTATTTTGGACACTGTGTGAGGGGAAAATATTGGTACTAACTTGCTAATTGTTCCAGGTGGAAAGAATGTTCCATCAGCAACACAGTGACTCGGCCCTCTACAGTGTCAGCTGAAGGCAATATTTGAGGAAATTGTCTTTGGTATTCCAAGGTCCTTTTTGATCCTTTCTTTCCTTATTCCGTGTCCTGTCCCTCCCAGATGCCCAGTGAAATTTTATCTATCTTATTTTAACCTACTTATAGGAAACAATCCAATGTCATGACTTTTCACCCAAATGCATTACCTCTTTAAGTCTAATTTAGAATGGACATGTATCCCCCATACAGAAGAACTCAGACTTTCATAACCAAGTAAAGATGGTATTTGAGGTGAAAGAACATTCTTCCAGGCAGCCTTAAAGCTCTGTGTGGACAGTGTGATATAGAGTGAGGTGTATGAACTCTAGCTCAGAGGTGTGAAAACACTTACTGTTCCTCCTGGAGTGGAATTCCATTCAGAATCTCACTGTCTGTATCCGTAAGATGAGGTAGACTAAGACTAAATTCATGAGTTTACCATGAGGACTAAATGAGGTGTCCATCATAGAGTGTCAAGCTTCATTCTTGCTGTCAGGCAGCTTTTCGAATAATGTGGCTCCCTGGCCCTGTTCCTCCTCACTCCATAGGAGAGGCTGTCCCTGGCCGAAAAAGTAGATAAAGTTTTACATAATATATGTTTTACAGAAAGTTTTACATAATATATGTAAAATACCATATACCAATATGGTATAAAACACCATATACCAGTATGGTATAAAACGCCATATACCAGTATGGTATAAAACGCCATATACCAGTATGGTATAAAACGCCATATACCAGTATGGTATAAAACGCCATATACCAGTATGGTATAAAACGCCATATACCAGTATGGTATAAAACGCCATATACCAGTATGGTATAAAACGCCATATACCAGTATGGTATAAAACGCCATATACCAGTATGGTATAAAACGCCATATACCAGTATGGTATAAAACGCCATATACCAGTATGGTATAAAATGCCATATACCAGTATGGTATAAAAATAAGTGAAAAAGAAGGAAGAGGATCAGGAAATACACTATGTAATAAGAAAGATATCAAAATTTTTTCCAAATATCATTTTTCATTTAGTTGGAAAGAGCGACCCAGTATTTCTTTTGAAGATGAAATGTGCATTTTTTATTGCTTTCCATATAAATTCTGGTTTGTCTGATTCAAGTTTGTATGTTATTTTCCATTATTAAAAAAGCACTGTGTCATAAGCATTGAGCACCAGGAATAAGTTAAACTATTACAATACATCCCAATACCTCACAACAAATAAAACAAATGAGGATGATCTAGAGTTTTCTAATGATATATTTGCCTGTATCATTCTTTAGCTTTCTCCCTCCCTTTCATTTTCCTACCCACACTATTACAAATTGTTTCTCTAATTGTTAGGACTTTTAGAAATATCAGGCTTATCTTTATCTACATTTTCAAAATGAAATCAGCATGATGACTATGGGTGCCTTAAAATTTAATGTAAATAATCGGATAAAATCATAACCTACAAGTACTATTTTCTATGTTTGGGAAAAGTAGTACTGTGCATCCTTCTGAATCTGAATATATTATACCAAGCCTCCTATGGTCTTCCGTGGTGTTTCTAAGAGGTTAAAAAGCTTCTTAGCCTTCTCATAAGTATGAGATTTAGGTAGTTAGTAAAGTAAAACCAAAATCCTCTGGAAGAGAAGCTTTATGAATTCTATCTATTTAGCACAGAAGAATCCATTCTTCATGTTTTCTTCTTAGTGCATCTTTCGCGAGTGGTTAACCCAATGACGACTTCATCCTTAAAATAATCTTTCTTCTTGACTTCCAAAACCCAACATTCAGTCCTGATTTTCCACCTATCTCTTTGGCCATTCCTTCCCAGTGTCCCTTACAGGACTTTTCTCTCTGTCTCATCTTTAAATATTGGAGTTCTTTAAGATGCAGCCCGATGTTCACACATCTGCACCCCTGCTTCAATTATTACATACATGTACAGATAACTCACAGCAGTGCTCTCCAGCTCTGACCTTTTTTTTTTCTGAGCTTTGTACCCATCTATTTAACTGTTTATTTGAAAAGTCATCTTAGAGCCCCCCAAATTAGATTAAATTCAACATATCCAAAACTGAACTTATGATCTTCTTGCCTAATTCCCAGACCGATTTTATTATTCCATTTCTCAGTGACTAACCTTTCCAACCAGTTGTGTTAGTCTGAAAGCTCAAAGCCATCCTTGACACCCAACCCCCCATACATTGAACACTTGATCGAAAAACTCCACCCACTTTTTTCCATGTGACCCCTCTCATCACCCAGCTTGAGCTGCCACTCTACAATTCTAGAGCATTCTCTGCATGAGGTCTTGTTTCTTAATCTCTATTGTAAGTGTATCACCCAGAATTGGACTAATTGCTCCAAGAATGGCCTACTCAGCGCAAAGAGCAGAAGAATCAATTTCTGATCAATGTTGTCACTCTTACGTTTTGGTGAAGCTTCAGTGGACTTTTTCTGCCCCCAAATCACACCAATATCTTGCATGGAGAGAGTTGAGGTTTTCCAGGTCCTTTCACATATACTGATATATCAGGCCAGGCTTTTCTTAAAGCAAATCTATAATCTTCTCATTTATCTTAATTAATATTTATAACCATCTCTTCCCTGGATCACTGCAATAGTCTTTATGCCTGATCATCCTGTTTCTACTCTTGTCTCTTATATTAGTTATTTATTGCTATGAAACACATTAATCTAAAACTAAGCAGCTGAAAACAGCAAACACTGATTATACCACTCAGTGTATGGTGGGTCAGGAATCCAGGAGAGGTTGAGCTGGATGATTTTGGCTGAGGGTAACTCATGAGGTTGCAGTCACACTGCCGGTCAGTGCTGTAGTCACCTGAAAACTTAACTAGGGTTAGATCCATTTCCAAGAGAGGTCACTCATGTGGTTATTCCACACCATGTAAGCCTCCCTACAGGACTGCTCATAGCATGACAGCTGATGTTCTCCAGAATGAGTGCTCTTAGAGAGTGAGAGTGACCAAGATGGGAACAACAGTGTCTTTAATACCTAATATTGGACATGCCATGCCATCATTTCAGCTGTATTCTACCGATCATGCAAACCAACCCTGGTACAATGTGGGAGGGGACTTCCCAGGGTATGAACTCCTGGAAGTGGGAGTCATTAGGGACTACCTTGGAGAATGGCTACCACATTTCCTTGCAACCCATTTCCTATCATGGGGATTATAGCACTCCCTGCTTAAGACCTCCCAATGTTTTCCCAACACACTTAACTTAAAATCTCCAATTTCCCCTTCTCAGGTAGAAGTCCAGTGCTAATGACCCAGGGGCCCAAGCTTCTTCCATTTTGTGTCTTTACCTTAGTCTAGGTTCTTGGGGACTTCCACTGATCCAGCAAACAATGAGAAAGATAGTGCGGAAGGTGTGTCCACATCTTAAACTTTTAAACTTCTAAATGGTACACATAATTTCTGCTTACATGTCATGGGCCAGAGATCAGTTTACAAGGCCACAAATAACTACAAAGGGTACCTGGGAAATATTATCTCAATATGTATAGTGGAAAAAAATGAAATGAAATTGTTTATGATGAACTGGCAACAGTTTCCATCATCTTCCCTTCTAATCTAGAACTTTAAAGGGTATAAGCTGTGAGAGTGAATTATACAAGTTACCATTATAATAAATTATTTATTACTGAATCACATAAATGCTTTATATATAAAAATGAATTATAAATTTATTTAAATGTACTAACACATTGAAAAGATGCAATTTAAGGGTTCATGATAACACAAATTTGCAAAACTCATGATATTGAAAGCTGTTGTTACAATGAAGTTCATTAGATTTCAGGACAGGTAAAACAATTTAGTTTCAATCTTTAAAAATATTGTGTACTCAGCACTAGCATACAGACCAAAAGAATGCAAAATCTTCTTTTCTGGATTATTTTAGATAAGAATTGATAACCTGAAAGTAGAATAATGATTTATTTATGAGTTGGAGACAAAAATACCTTTAATATGGTCTTCACTTCCCTTGCTAGATTAATCTGCTGAAATAAATACATACCACTTGCAAAGTGAAACTTGGATTAATTGAGTTCATATTAATAGAAAGATGATATACCAACTTCTATTTAACTGCCAGAGTTCTACGCACATTCTAAATTTTTCTATCAGGCTTCAGTGGTAATATCTATAGAATAAGTTTACCAAGTTTTTAAAATAGCTGGAGATAGGATGAGCAAAATGATATTATTAATAATAATGATTTAAAAAGTGAAAGAAAGAATCCTAATAAAGACAATGCAACCATAAATGTGTTGACAACACGATCAAAAATTGAAATTATTCAAGATAACAATTTCTTTGTTATGCTTTGAATTTTTCAAGGTTTTAGAAAGATGTCTGGAGTCAAGTGATATTTACCAATATGAATACTGATTCACCTAAGAGGTAAGCTTCAGATTCCGCAGGCATCAGGAACACATAGTGAGTACTACTGGTTTGTGGAATTGGCTGATATCACATCCTGGTATGGATAACTATTCTATGACAGTTAGGACCCAAGCCTCATTGCCACTGAAAGGAAAGGAGAAGCCTAAAAGAGTGGGAAGCCAAGTTCAAACACAAAGGTCAAAAGTATTGTGATTAGAATATATTAAATATCTCCAAAGCCCAATGGCTGAATAGAGCCTTTTTCATATTTAGAGGCACTGTTTGAGGTTTTCTCTATTTCTTTAGTCAAAGGAAAAGATCTGTGTAGTAACTAAAGGTCTTTAGTAAGTGTCTAGATGGGTATAGTTCAAGAAATGTGCTAAGCATATTTCTTGTGTTATGGCATGAAGCCTTTACAACAGCCTTGTGAAGCACATGCTGTTGTTAGAATTACATTTTCACAGATAAGAAAATCAAGTCTCAGGAAAGGAAAATTAATTTACTCAGTCACACAGCTAAAAATGACAGAGACTGACATCCTGGTCTACATGAATCTCAAATCCAAGCTCTTCACCACTATTTATAATGCCTCTAGTGAAGTGGCTACTCTAACCATCATCTCAAATATGAGCCCTAGAACTGAGTCTGTATTTGCACCTTATATGGTATCTAAATCTACTAGGAAGTTTAAAAATACCAAATGAGGTACGTTTAGACAGAACCTGAGGACAGCTGTGTTCCCCCACCTCTCTTGAGTAATTTTGCCTGTTCTGCAAGTCTGGTTCATTCCTCAACAGCTCTCAGTGTGCTCCCTGACCCACCCCACTGGGTCTGTGTCCCTCCTCTCTGCTTCTTTCATTGGTAGTGCATATGTTAGGACAGAATTGATTATTTTTTATTGCAATTGTCCTCTCGCACTATGTCATTCCCCCATATTATCAGCAGGGTCACTGAGGGTAGGTTAGAGCCTTGGAGAAAAAGAAATTTGGGGCCTCAGAAAAGACAGATTTGTACTGACATAAGTCAACTGCCATGTATTTTTATGCCTTCCCCAACATCCTTCTCACCTCCCCACAAATTTTAAGGAGGAATTTTAAAAATTCAAGCACTCTCTTTCCTCTGTGTTTCCACCATCTAAGATAGTATCTGGTATATATACCAGCAGGCAGCACATTTTGGTTCAACTGGTAAATATGATAATGGTATGTTTTAGATAGGTCTATAAGTCTGGAATAAGAGTAAATTTATTCTATACCATTGACTCAAGTTTCTCATGATCACTAAAACAAATTTGGCGGTGATTTTGTAATTGATCATTTCCTGTATAGATGTAATAGCATAGCAAGGTAGTTTCAAGCACTGTGTCTTAGTAGTATTATCTGTGAAATGAGGGTAATAATAGCATTTTTTCCTTAGATTTGTTAAAAGGATTACATGAACTAAATATTGTAAACTTTTTAGCATAGTGACTGACACATAGTAAGTAACAAATACATAAATATTAAGTAAAATTTGGATGAAGTCTGTTTTTCTACTAGACTGTAAGTTCTGTTATAGTAGGAACTGGAGTTGTGCCTGTTAGTGCTCATAATTTTGTTATGAGTACCTAGAAAAGACCTTCAGTAGGTATTGATTAAATAAATAGCCTTAAAAAACACACACGGTGTTACTTAAATCAAAACTTGTATTTTTTTATTGTGTAAATTTTCTAGCACGTCCTCAATGACGCCACTGCCCATCTAATATACTTTGAATTTCACTTGGATACAGTGTTAATGAGAACAGGCTGCTAAAAAGCAATTACATTCAGATATTCATGAATGTTTAGGAGAGAGAGCATGAGGCCATGACGGGAGGTGGAAAAGAAAAGACTAGGACAAATTTGAGACTTCCTGTGATGAAGAGAAGAGGCAGGGAGCATGCTGGCACACTCAAAGGGTTTAGCTGAAGAGAGTTTCATGAATAAACTCTACTCCTTGCAGAGGTGTGGCTGAATTAAGGGAAGGAGCAATGGATGGTGAAGCTCTCAGGAAATGGCAACAGTGGAAAACTATTAGCATGGGGTGGGATGGGGAGTGGGAGGCAAGTGGAAGCAGTGTTATTGGATCCCAAGAGAGCTGGAGACCTGGAGACACAGAGGTGAGACCACCTGAGAGTTCAAAAGGTATAATCCTAGAAAACCACCAAATCCAGCAAACAGGCAAGCAGGGAGATGTGAGTGGTGGGCTTGGGAATCAATACCTCTATCTCTCTTTTACTTCCAGCCTTTTCATCTCTCATTGGTCAAACCCAACAAGAAGGACAAGGAGACCTGGATTACACAATCAGAAAAGGTGAGCCCTTTGGAGCTGGAAGCAGGGCATAGAATGATGGAAGGTGGATCTGGAGGGGTAAGGACCAGCACAGCAGACACAATCTCAGTAATTGATAGGGTTAGGTAGGGGAAGCAGAGCTGAAGTATAGGGTGATGCTAGTGCCAGTAATTAAGGTAGAAAAGCAAATGCTTTGTCCCAGGGCCTTGAAATTCAGAGAACACAAAGACTTTAAATAATGATTTGTAAAAACAGATTAAATTGTGAAGTCATCACCCTCAGTAAATTTATCATTTTGATGACTGGGCCCCATACAGAGTGGTGGGTTTGTGCTCTGCACAGAGGTGCTCCACTAAGGAGGTAGGTGAGGGTTGACATCCTGCCCTCATTTGTGCTCTAATTCACCCTCCTAGAGTTAGCAGCACTTCGTAATTTGCACAAAAGTGCCACAAAAACAAGCTGCAAAAAATTGGCAATTTGCTCTGGCTCCTAAAGCTGATGAATAAGCCCAGAGATTCGAGGTCAAGTCTGAAATGAATAAAGGCATCAGTATACCCTTCAGTCTACTCATACTTGTAATAGTATTTATATAGAATAGACTGTCAGAAGTGGAATTCTTAATCAAATGATAGGTTTATTCATTTTTTTAATAGACTGGGGCCAATATATGGACTTAAAAGTTTTCCAATAAGTCTATTATTTTGACTTTGACTCTAGTGTAGCCTAGAGTAACTTATCAACTGTTACCTTGCCTTGATTTTCGATTAATAATTGATATCAACAACAACAGTTCATTTCCCAGCTTTATAACTGCTGGGTTTAAGAGATCTTCAAAGCTTTACGCTTGGTACATGTCCTTCTAAGGATAGGTTAGTATTCCAAATCTCCAGATGAATTTAAAATTACACTAGTTATGGGGAAAGGAATGTTTGAAATTGGTTCTTCTCAGGTTTCCTGGGCATTGGACATACATCCATTACATTTCCAAAAGGTAGAGGAAAAAGAGATGAATGGACAAGAGTCTTTATTCTACTCACTCAGGCCACAATTTAAAGACCACAAAAAAGAAAGAAAAAATATTACTTTGACTTCTTCCAAACTATAAGAGTAGGTATTTTTCACATTTGTTTATACATTCTCTTCTCAGTAGAACATGGGCTTTCCTTCCAAGCTGCTGGAGCTGAGATTTTCCAAAGTAGAAATTTGTAGTCAGGGAGCAGAATATCGAATAACGCATAAAAAAGGATCTTTCTGGTTGAGTTTCTTTTATATAGCTTGCAAAAACGGATTTGAGCACATGTATGTCTGTTCTTGGCTTAGTTTATATAATCAAAAGATTATTGAAAGAAAAGCCATTTTGGCTTGCTCATCTGTCTAGATGGCATTACATCTTATGGAAATGTCTGGTACAGGTCTTCAATTCCTTTCCTCCAATTCTGAAATTCAAAAGATCTGAAAAAATGAAAAGATTTTTGTAACTTGTTCGGTGACAAAACCTTATTTGGCCTGAATCATTTGGCAGTAAATGTTGACATGAATTGACACAGGTCTATTTATAATGTTTTTTCATTCCTCTCAGAGTGAATATTAGCATATTTTAATGTAGTAGTGTGGTAATTATAAGATGATGCCCTAGACCTCTGATGGATCACTGCTGAGGATTCTTTGTAATATTTGGTAGATGCAATATATTGTGATTCAAAAATTCTACAAAATCACATAGTACAAAAACATCTGGCTCTCAAATTGTCAGATGCTTAGTGTTAGCTGTCGGGCTGCAGGCCAGTGTTGATAGGAGACATAATTATCAACCAAAGTCTAGCTTCTTTCTCAAAGAAGAATTGAAATGCCTGTGTTTTTTTTTTCTTGTGTCTCTTATAATGGATCTCTTTCTTATATGCTAAACATAATAGATGTTCAGTGTATACTGCTGATTTAATGATAATTGGGCAATATAGCTGGAAGCAAGAAAGATGAGGCATGAATGGGATAAACGAAAATGTGGAGAGAAAAAGATATATCTCTAAGGTGACAGAAGCGGAATAAATTTTCCAGAAGAGTAAGGTTTTGAGGAGGTAGAATTCTAAGAGGTGAGGCTTCCAAATGTAAGGTCTTTTAAAGATGCTCTTTCTTGCAGAGAAAACTAAAAATGATTTTTTTATCCTGTGCTTAATATTAGTCCAGGATACCTGTAATGTATTAAATACATTGTTTTCTTAAGGATGAAATAATTGAGCTACCTAAAATAACTAAAATCAATTAATCAGATAGCAATAATTTAAATCATTCTAGCTGAGTACAATATTCATAATTTAGTTTAATCTTCACAAAAATCATATGAGGAAGTATTGTTTTTCCCATTTTAAAGATGAGGAAGTTTCTAGATAAGTCAAATAACTAGTTCAAAGTAATATAATAGTAAATAGCGACAGAACATTCAGCCCAAGCCGAGCTCAGATACTTTGTGTTTAATTTACTGTATTGCACTTGATTCTGTCACACTATGAAATTCGTGGTTAAAAAAAAGTGGACAGTCCTTTGAATAATATAATACAGTATAATATGTGCTGGGTTTCATGTCTCATGAGGACTTAGTTAAGAGTTATCAGAAAAAAAAAAGATTGTTCAAACAGGACACATGCAGTGAACAGAAAGTCCTAAAACAGTGCTTACACAAATAGGAATTTATGTTTCTCACAAAACAAAAGGTCTGGAGGTGGGTTGTTCTCAGCATTAATTTAGTGGATTAAGGATGTCAGGTTGAATTTTTGTGATTTCTTGGCTTTTCCCCTATGGTCCAAATTTTCTGCTGCAGTTCTAGCTTTTATGTCTCCACTCAAGGTAAGAAGAAAGGGTTGGTGGGAGATAGAGCAGCTATGATTTCTCTTTTATCAGGAAAAAAAAGGTCTCCTTAAAGTGGGGAAGCCCAGCAGTTGCCTAATTATGTGGTCTCATGGCTGCCCTTAGGCGAGGGGGGGAGAGAAAGTGAAAAGCAATGTTGTGATAATTAGATCAGTCCAATAATAGCCCATCATTGAGGGCATGAGTCAGTCCACTTGCAAAGGGCCACTTAGTAAGTATTTTAGACTTTGCAGTTTAGATGTCTCTGTAGCAGCTACTCAACTGTTGCAGTGGAAAAGGAGCCCAAAAACAATATGTAAATAAGTTAGTTCCTCTGTGTCCAAAAAAGAAAAAAAAGAAACTTTGTTTACAAAAACAAGCAAGGGAAGGTCAGCATGGTGGCTCATGTCTGTAATCCCAGTACTTTGTGAGGCCAAGTTGGGCAAATTGCTTGAGCCCACAAGTTCAAGACCAGCCTGGGCAACGTGGTGAGACCCTATCTCTACAAAAAATACAAAAATTAACCATGCGTAGTGGTGTGCATCTGTAGTCTCAGATACTTGGTAGGCTGAGGTGGAGGAATAACTTGAGCCCAGGAGGTCGAGGCTGCAATGAGCAGTGATTGTGCCACTGCACTGCAGCCTGGGTGACAGAGTGAGACCCTGTCTCAAAACAAACAAACAAATAAACATAAAAACCAAAAACAAGCAGTGGAGTGGATTTGACCTGTAGCTGTAATTTACCAATCTTTAACCTAGAACTTGGTGCATTGCTGCCAAGTCAAATTGGGGTTTAACTATTAGCAAGGAAAAGGATTGGGGGTTATTGAGTAGAAAATAACAGTATCTGCAATTGCAGATAGAAACATTCTCTGGACTTTCTCTTTTCCTCCTAGTTTTCCAAGTTGCAGTGGGAGGGTTTACACTGTTGCACTATACAGTTGTAAAGTGCTAGACTTCACAGCATTCCATCAGGAGAACTTGCCGGGAGTTGGTTAGACAGGCTTGAGGCTGGCTGTTGGCCCACACAAACTGAACTCTCTGCTTTTGGTAATGACTGGCTGAGTGCTGGGTACCAGGGTGTGGTAGACAGTGATTGCTGCTTGCCCATTATCCATTCCCCTCTTTCTTGCTCACTATTTAGCAAAAGGAATTAATATGCTCAGAGACAGAAGTATATTTCCAGCCTCCCGTGCAGCAAGAAGTGGTCATGTGGCATCATTCTGGCCAATGAGATACACATGGAAGCCTCTGGTTGGGAAAGTTCTTTATAGTGGTAGCCTCACTTGGCAAAAGCTTTTGACCTTCTGTCTCCTTTTGCCTTTCCTGCTTGGACAGAGTTATCTTGCAACCACAGTGCAACAGGTGTGAGGGTAAAAACTATCTGCTAAAATGACCAAACAGCGGGGTCAAAGAAGCCTAGGTATCCGAATGACATTGTGGAGCTGCTGTACCAATCCTGGGCTGCCTGCCTCTGGACATGTTATTACAAGAAGAAAGGAAAACCCTTAAACTGTTTAAGCCATTGCTTGGTTAGAGTTTCTGTTGTTTAAAGCAGGATGCATTCATGACAGATATACATCTTGTCATACTCGACAGAAAAAAAGAAATGGCTCTCCTTCCCACCTAGAGGTCAGGAAAAACAAGACTCCTCATTTCTGCTAACTCTGTGGTGAGACATTAAAGTTACTCTTAGTCAGGGTTAGTCTCCTGTACTTTTTGCTGTGTTTTGATTAAGATTGGCTTAGTGTATCCCATTGCAGAGAACATGCTGTTAGGTGGTGGCTGAGATCCTGATTTTCCACTTTGGTTCCCACCACACCTTATTTGTTTATTAGGTCACAGAGGTTTATGAAAATCCATTCAAGCAATTTAAGTTATGGAGACTGCATTTTCTCAGCTCATGTGTTGAATGTATTTTGAGGTGCCAAGCAACTAAATTTACTACAGGATTAGGAATATTTCATCATATTTCAATTGGCTTACAGGTTGGCCTTATATTTTCTCCACATTTTTTTCTTAAGTCATATCTGCACTGTGAGCAGTAAACTTGGTCATAAAGTCTCTCTTGCTTGATGCATGCTGTGTCTGTCATTGAATTGCAGCTTTGTACTCCCTTAATGATGTCTCTCAAAATCCTTCAGTCTCAATGCAGCATGTTTAACTAAACGTTTTAAACTGCTTTTTGAAACTTAAATATTCTATCTCCTTTCTTCAGGACTTCGAAAGTGGTACAATTTACTTAGGAATGTTCATAAACGATAGGCATTAGGCATTTGTTTAAACCTGTTTGATGGCTGTTTAATTTCCTTGAAGCTAAAACAAAGTCTTAGATGAGAACATAATATTCTACATTTTTATTATAATCACATATTATAAATGAGATTACTGAAGTACCTTGCTTTTCTTAAACCTACTACTTTAATTACCTTTGTTTTCACAAAAAGGTTCTAGAATTTTTGAAGAGCTTATGTCAAGTGTATACTTTTTAAAAGTAACCGTTTTCCAGAGTTTAACAATTTTACATGCTAAAGAAGTTGCATATTCTGATACTGATTGCATCTGCTCCTCATTCTCCTCTGACCAGCTCTATCAACTAAGGACTCTGCATTGTGAAACCAGAAACCGATGATGTCATGTCTGAGAATTCCATTGTACAGCATTTACAGTGGGAAAGGAAGTATTTTTTTTCTTGTTCCTCTTTGTATAAAACACCATACTATTTCTCATTTGCCTAAAATAAATGTGTTCTATGCCCAACTGTTACTCTGAGATGCCTATATGACTTAGAGCCAATTATCTAAATTGGCAGATAACTAAGTCAGAGAGATTATTTTTCAAAATTACAATAAGAAATAGATTATCTTTAAAGGAAGAGTCTTGTTTTAAAAGCTTGAATAAAGGCAACAATATAAAGGAATTATTTCTAGCTAGTTTATGGACAATAAAAATAGGATCAATGAGAAGGTATTTGGTTAGATTACAATGTACTTCTTTTTGGTTGTCTGCTGGATGTTTCCATCAACTTAAAGCCCTGACTACTTGGTATTTCAGTATTATGTTCTGAAACAGACTCTTCAAGGCAGTCACTATTTGGACTCAGTAAAAACAGTTAAAATAACCAGGATTTATCAAACACTGACCATGTCCTAGCATGGCCTTACTGGCCCACAGGAGCCTTCATGTATCTTGGAAAAAAAGCCCTCTAGGTGGTGGGTGTAGGGCTTGACAAGCAATAGTACCAGAGTTTTGAAAGGTACCTCATCCTCTGAGCAGATCCAGCCCCATGCCCATGTTAGGCTTGGAGAAGAGTGCTGGATTTTAGCCCCCACTTGCTCCCTCAGCAAAGCACCCTGCTTCAGAGTGCAATAGACACATTCATACACAGTGTGAAGGGCTTTATGTGGATTAACCCACCTGATTGGGAGGATAAAAACTCTATGACTGGAGAACTGTTATTGGAAACATAGTGAGCTTAAGTAATTTGCCTAAGACAGTGTGGTGAAGAAGAAGGGCAAAAGGGACTTTCTAGTTTCCAGGGTAGGGCCCCGGTTGTCCTGAGAACTTATCCTGCAATAGAAGAAAACTGTCAGTAATCTTGATATTTGTATGGAAAATTTAACAGAGCTAGAAATGCATCAGAACTCAGGTCCAGATTTTATAATCATGGGAGGAAAGAAGCAGAACTTGCAACAAACTGAGAAAGCAAGCCTAATGAAAGAGGTATAACAACAGTTCCTACTAGGAACCCCAAATATCTGAGACAGTTCTCTGTCAATTTAGAAAGTTTATTTTGCCAAGGTTAAGTGTGTACCTGTGACACAGCCTCAGGAAGTCCTGATGATTTGTGCCCAAGGTGGTCGGGACTACAGTGCTTTTATTTGTTTTAGGCAGATATGAGACATCAATCAATATGTGTAAGATGTACATTGGTTTGTTTGGGTAAGGTGGGACAACCGGAAGTGGGGGCTTCTAGGCTAGAAGCAGATAAGGGACAAAAGATTTCATTCTTTTGAGCCATTGATCAGCCCTCCACTGAATACACAATTTAGTCTGGCTCAGTGAATCTGAATTTTTACATAAACAATAGGGCAGAGGAAGCAATCAGGCATGCATTTGTCTCAGGTGAGCCTCAGAGGGATGACTTTGAGTTCTGTCTGTCCTTTGTCCACAAGGAACTTCCAGTGGACAAATTGCGAGGGAGTTATGTAGCTTCTCATCTTTGTGGCTATCTTACTTAGGAATAAAATGGGAGGTAGGTTTGCTTGACATAGTTCCCAGATTGATTTTTCTCCTGGTTTAGTGACTTTGGGGTCCTGAGATTTATTTTCCTTTCACACTACTATCCTCAGAAAGAGGATGGTGAGAGGATATTGAGGGTTGTATCACTATAGCCATCTTTCCCTTTCACTAGTTTGATATGTCTAGAACTGAAAAGATCAAGATGTGAGGAGCATGGAGTTATATCCACACATCACCCGTGGGCTCCAAATTTCCCCAGGATTATTTAGTGTCATTAGACATGACAATGAGAAGGGGACAGAGTAAGGAAGGAGTGCCAAGGGCCATGCTGGGGATGAAAGATGTCAGATGGGCAGCTAGAGAAACCACACAGTGCCACACAGGAATGGTGGCTAAGGTGAGGACAAGTGACTGTTGGGGTTAGGCAGCAAGCATTGGGATCTCTGGAAGAGAGAGGGTGACATGGTCCCATCTGAAAGACACATGACCCCACAGTCTTCTGCCAGAACTAAGAAGCATGTTTGGGAGCAGCTCAGCATTAAAGACTTTAGACTCTTTCCCATGCATCCTGTTTGAACAATATATATGTATGTATTTCCTCCTGGAGGGCAAAAGCAAGAATTGAAAAAACACAGGCTGTGATAAATCAGAAAGATTTGTATAATACAATAAATAAAAAAGGGTTGGACATCTTTAGGAAGCAGGAAAAACTCCAGCAGTTAAAACTGAGAACAGAGTGTTCAGGAGGTAATGAATAGGCCAATCTGGCTGAGGCAAAAAACTTGTCTGGTGAGATAGTAAAAGACAAGATTGAAAGGTAGGTAGGAGCCAGACTGCAGAAGAGTATGAATTCCAGGAAGAAAATCTACATGTTTTGAACATCTTTTATCTGCTAAGCAATTTAACATACATGAAGTCATTCCATCTGCACTATAGTCACCAGTTTTATTTTTAAATTTATTATCGTAGTTCTCATTTTACTGATGAGGAAAATGAACTTCAGAGAAGCTAAGTAACTTATCCAAGTTTAGAGGTAGACAAGAGATTTGAACCCAAGTTTATCTGAGTCCAAAACCTGAATACTTTTTGCTGTCCCAAGATAGTAGAATTTAACGAGGGGGTTCTTCAGAAATATCATGAAATTAGTGTCCCAGGAAGATTAAAGTATCTATGGTGAACTGAAGCAGAAAGCCAAGTGGTATGGAGCATTTTTAGAAAGTCATTTCGGAGCACAGCCTAGACCAGGGTGGTGGTAATGGAAAGGGATTGACATCAGAGACCCTCCTAAAGAAGAGTCTGCAGAATTGGTGTCCGACTGAATAGCTGATGAAGAAAAGGGAAGAACCAGGCTAAGCAGTGAAAGGAAGACTTGATATGAATTTCTGAGACTGAGTGTCAAGCCTGGTTCTGTTTGTAATGTGAATTTGCCAAAAGCAGGATCTCTTGAAACTGCATGGCCTTGTCTGCAAAGCAAAGATTGGATTAAGTATCCTTTAAGACTTTACCCAGCTCTGAAATTCCTGACATCTCTGACTCAAAGATGACTCAAGGTTGCAAGTTTGGGTGGCTGGAAGAACATTGTTTGATTGATGCAAATACACTGATATTTCCTAACAGTGTATTATAATGTTTTGGGATGGAGAAAAGGGTTTTCAGCCTTGTTTGTGGCTTTCACTCATATGCACCTGTGGGCTTCACCTGATTTTTGCACTGTGAAAATCCCTCCATCCCCTTTCCATTTACCATCCCTCTGTCTTCTAGCCACAGCTCTGCATTCCAGTTCCTAGTTTCCCCTGCCTTTTGCTGATTCCACACTGACTAATCACTTTTAGTCTTGCAAAGTGTCTATAGTTCACTAGTCTGTAGCTACCAATCTGCTAACTTTTTCTTGTTAGGATTAACAAAAGACAAGACCAGAAAACCTTTTCATATAAATGATTTGCCAAAGAAACCTTTCCAGTTCAACAAAAGAAACGGTGTATCTTGAAGTCATCACCACAATAAGATCTAGAGTATGGATAGAAACTTTTTCATCACCACGATAAGATCTAGAGTATGCATAGAACTTTTCTCCAAATAATTTTAATCCTCTTTAACAAAAATACAACATATGAAAACATAATTGGTAAAATTAATGAATTAGGAAACCATTTCCTTCTTGGAAAGAGCTTTTCAGAAGAGACTCTCTTAAATAGTGAAATTATCTGAAGCATTTAAAATATGACTCAAATGTTAAAAAATGTTATTAGCATGACAGTTTAAAGCATTTACATACATGTAACATAGGGTACACTTGTGAAAGGGAAGGTAACCATTGTAATCACATTAGTAATCAACCTAAAACAATGTTTGGAGAAAGTAGGCTGCACCTAATGTTCCAAGATTTTTGCTGACTGAGAAGCACCACAGGAAATATGGTAATAAACTCTTCCCCAACATTCTAGTTGAGATGAGATTTGCAAAACAATAGGGAGCGCTGGTCATCAAGGTGAATTCTTAGACATCTCTTGACCAAGTCATTTTCTTCAATGAATCAGGTAACACTGCAGACAAAAAGGCCTAAATTTTCACCACATTCTTGCAAAGCAGGGCTGCAAGGCAGCGTTGAATCCTTTAGTGAGACTAAGTGGGCCACTGGCTTGTTATAGGTCTTCAGGGATTTCAGAAAATTCCCCTGTCAGCCACACGTGTCTCTCAGACCTGACATTCCATTGTTAGAAACTTTCTTTAATGTTAAGGAATTTTGATTCCAAGAATATTAGTTAAATGCAAATACATGACCTGGATAACAAAACACAGATATGGCATCAATTCCTGCCTCTACCACTTAGTGTCTTTGGAGTTTTAGATCATTTATACAACCCCTTTTTGTCCCTCTTAACTTCACAAATTTGTCTTTGATAGTATCTTCCTGTAATGGAGTTCATTATAGAATTATTTAATTTTCAAATGAAGAAATTAATGTCACCTGTCATGGAATCATAGAATTGGATGAATGTCTAAAAATCTCTTTTATACTACAAGTGATGGATCCCATAAAGGCAAAATAACATACCCAAACCCCAATCCAATAAATGCATAATGTGCTGAGCAGGTCAGCTGGGGAAGAGCAGAGGAGCTTGGCATAGCTCTTATCTGCTACTGCCAATGCTTAGGAAGTCTTAAGTAACCATAATAAAAATAACAAAAGAGTGTGTCAAAAAGGCAGAGAGAAAGCGAAGACCCAAACTTCTGAAATTTAGTTATAGATCCCAAATTCCTAAGCTAAACTTAGGAGAAGGGCTAAGAGGTGCAAGCTCACATGCAGACATCTCACAAAGTCACAAAGATGCTCTTTTTGAGACCCACTCAGGAAGGGATCGTCTAGGTGGGTTTGAGTACTGTCCATATTACAGCAATTATCTTCTTTGCTTAGGGATTAAAGCAAATGTTTTATTCTGAATCTTTTTAGTGGAAGAGGAAACATCAAGACTCTAAGACAGCAATATTATATAATTTTTTTCCTCTGACATCCACACTCACCACTGCCATTCCTACCTCAGTTGTTGAGTTACTTTATTGTTGCCTCATGCACATGCTTTTCTTGGCAGTAGAGAAAGTTGAGAAAGGAAAAGGGAGTGGAAATAAGGATGAAGAGAGAAAGACTGAATAGCTGGTTCTTCCCCTGCTGCAGGCATTATATATTTCCTCACTGAAGTCAGCGATTGCCTGCTCAGGCAGGCAAGGGTGAAGCTCCCTGACAAGCTAGGGCTCCTCAGCTTGCCAAAGTCGACTCTGAGGATGCTAACTAGTTTCCCAGTCCTTAATCTACAGAAAACATCCCCAGAAAAACTTGTTATTTCTAAAAGCCTTCAAAAGCTGTTCTACTAGATTTTGTGTTTCGTAATGTGGATTGGGAGAACTATCTCCATTGCCAGTTCCTCCGTTATAAATTGATTACAAGTTGCCATCCAGAATTGGAGTTGAAGAGCTACCAATGGCCATTTCTCTTTTCCCCGTTCACCAAACGTTTACCATTGCAATTGACAGTGTACTTGGTTTAATAGGCTTACCTGACTTCTTCTGAATCATGTGCTGCTGAAATGGTTGAACTTCTATTCACAAAACCATATGGAATTCACATTCCAAAGAGGCTATTCCCTGAAGTAGACAATCATCTTTCCAGTAAAACACTGTGTCAAGCTACAAAGTGATGATTACTCTTGGGTGGGGCTTTGAGTTTCTAGTTGGCAGATAGTTTGTTTTCTTAGTCAAAATGGCAGTACCTAAGCAGCCTTATTTTTATCAACAAATTAATTGTTTAAACTTCTTCAAGTAATTAAAAACTAAACATCAGAAGAGTAAAATGTGACATTTCCTAACATGGTAGATCACACTGTATCTGCACCTTCTTGTGCCAAACCCAGGTAACCACGTTTGCAATCTGACAATAATTGCATACAGTTACTTGCATGCAAATAGCAGTAGTCTTTGAAATACCATTCGATGAAAAGACATACAAAAGAATATATGATACCAACACAAATTTAACATGTGTTAAATAAGAAAAATTTTGATGCAGATAAAAGCACAAATCTAAACAGGCTTTTCTTGAGAGTATGGTGGGGGTGGGGAGGGGTACAGAATAAGAAATATTTATTACTATTATGCACCTAAAAGGTTTCAGTTAGGTGTATATAGTATTTTTTACAAAACATGTTTTTAAGGGTTCCATACCTATATATTTATACCGTAGAGTTGTATCCATGTCACATACATTCTTTCCATTAGCGATCTGAACACTGAGATATGTGAATTATTTCATAGTGGTTCATGTTCCAGCATGTCTCATTACGCAGGTACAGTTTTACAGTAAGAATCTACTGCTACTCATAAAGCTCTGTGATTTTTAGATGTTTAAATTTCATTTGGATAGGCAAATCTAAAGATCTGTATCAGTCTTATTTTCTAGAGTCACAATTATAATGCACTGTATTTCCTCTTTGTGTCTAAAAGGCTTACCGTCCTGTAATACCTGTATGTCTGCCTGGGTCAATGACTGAGCTGCTGTCCTTGGAGCTGAATAGGTGATATGAGCTCATCCACACTGGTACTCTCCAGGACTACCAAGGGCAGAAAAATACACAGAAGAATGCCCAATTTGGGGATAACCTGTCAAAGTCTTCCTCCCAATAATCATTCCTAGAACAGCGACAATGTTTTTTGTAGCTCTCACAGAATATATTTTTCCTCCTACTGATGGTCAGTGCTCATTATATGAGTGAGACATTTAGGAGACCAAGAAGAGCATCCAACACTAAGCTTCTTCTTTATCTGTATGCAAATAAAAATTTAGAGTTGATAAGATTTTCTAGTAGATTTAGGTTGATAGTTTAAGGACCACATTCCAATGAAACTTTGGGGAAGGAGGGTTTCTAAGCAATTTGTGGAGAGTTGTATAAAACCATAAGGAAATCCATTGACTCCATAGCTTGGGGATCTGGAGTCTTCCAAGTGCATGGCACCCTCTGTAGTTGTGCAATTTAGTGGCTTTAATTTTGTGAGAGTCACCCTGAACAAACAGGTCTCAAAAGTAGCCTAATAGAATTAACTAAATCGTACCAATGGAAAGTATTAAAAGCAAAAAAGCTAAAAGATTATTGGAACAGGATCCATAAAACTGTGTGGTTTTATGTCATATTTTTTTGGGGGGAAATCTAAGCTTTCCAGAGGTAGCCAGCAAGGTCTGCAAGTATTTTAAATAAGCACTTAATGACACAGGAAATAAAATTACCTAATTCCTTAAGATTGTCTCTAAGACATGAATGTAGGACTAGCAAAGCAAAAGTCTTTGAAAATAAAGCCAAGACATGACTTAGTGGGAGACTATTTGATCCTGAGATGGATTTACGTTAGTGGCCTAATAAGAGTCGAAATGATTAGATACTTTATTTCTTCTTTTTCATTCAGGGCTACTTTGGGTCACTTCTACTTCTCTAGTTGGCACAAATGTATGGAACCAAGAAGTATTTTTAATTACTTACCAGATGTAAGTAGTTTATTTTCCATGTCAACTATGTGCATATAAAGAAAAACAGCTTAATAAAACAGATTTCACAAAATGAATTTTGTAACAGCTTATTAACATCAGAAGAGGAGAAACTCCCTTTTCTTTCTGCAGTTTTCTATTTGTTTTTCCTGAGATTTCCTCATCTGTACCAGCTGTTCTTCTGTCCTACCTCTTCACGTTTACTCTGAATTTCTGTAAAGGACTATTCCCTAAGTAATTGTGTAATCTAGGGGTCTTGCTCTCTTCCAAATACATAATGACACCGGTTCTGGGACTATTGGATGTGACCAAAGAGAGGGCATGAGGAGAGAACTTTGTAATGATGTTTGAGGGGCTGGTGTAATCTATGGGTTAAACATCATGCCATTTTAATGTAAGGAAAAACTGTTGGAGAGAAAGACAAAACGAAGCAAAACCAAATCATAATCTTCCTCATCTATCTGCTCAATTTATCTGTCATAAACTCTAAAACAAGCATGCTAGCATTCAGGTATTCGTTTATTGATGAAATTCAAAAGTTTTCAATAGTTATGTTGCAGGATAAGAAACAAAAAGATAAGTGAGGCACTCTGCCTGCTGTGAAGCTCATCAGAAGTTTGATTATCAAGCCTCTTTATACCTATTCCTGAGTCCTACACCCATAACTCTCAGAATTCTGAGGAAGTGCAGTTTTAAGAAATCTTGATTACAGAAAAGAAACCTATTTTTCAGGTTTGATTATAGAAAAGAAACCCATTTTTCAGGTTTTCATATTTTTGCTAAGGCAGGGGTTGGCTCAGGTGTACTGGAAAAATGCTCTCCTTCTACCTTTAGGTTTTTCTCAGGGACAGGGTGTACAGGAAAGGGGCTCGTTAAGCCATGCCCAAGGGGGAGCCTTCAGTCAGAGGGCCTGCCCAGCAGAGCCAGTGGAAAGAGCTGGTTTCTGGTCCCTGGAACCTGGTTAAACATAAGAGGCCTGTGGGAGCTTGAGAATCATGGGCAGAGGAAGGAGTTCTTTCCCTTTTTCAGGGTGGGAGACATAAGAGCCTCCCTGCTGCCAAGGCTCCTGCTCACTGAATATCACCTCTGTGATCAATCCTGGCAGGCTTCCAGACCATTCTCGAAGAATGCTACCTGCTCCAGGGATCTGTGAGATGCCGACAGCTGAGGTCAGACCCAGAGTGGTCATGGCTCAGGGGAGTCTAAAGGCTGGGGTGCCAACCCTGGTTCTCTCTAAATTTCTCTGTGACCTGGAACATATCACTTGGGCTGTTTCTGAGATATAGTTGACTTATAAAATTTAAGGTTGTTTGGGGGACAGTATCAATACAACCTGTGAGCATATCTGGTACATAGAACATGTTCAATAAATATTTGCTTTGAACTAAAGGATCACTGAGCAGAACCCAAATCTAGCCCGCAGCTGGAGGAAGAAGCCCTCCTCTTGGCTTTATGACAAGATCAGGTGATGCTCATGACTTCAATACATGGACTGGCCACTAAACCAGGATTAAGGCCACCTACTAAAGGGTTAGGGTGGTATGGTGCCACCCCAAAACAGGTAAGTGAATTCTCCAGTTTTATATTTTCTGAATTATTGTTTCTCTTCACTAACCTTGGATAATCAGAGTTAGATTGTATATAGTTATTTCATTCTATGTTTCTTCCCAGTTCTGATTCTTCATCAAGAGAAATGTGAGAATTCTAACACGTATTTCTTTCTTTTGAAGTTGTTATTTTTTGTAGAGACAGGGTCTTGCTAAGTTGCCCAGGCTGGTCTTGTACTTTTGGCCTTAAGTGATCCTCCTGCTTCAGCCTCTCAAAGTGCTGGGATTACAGGCAGGAGCCAATATGTCTGTTCTGTCTTTCTTATTCATAGTACAATAACATGTTTTCAAAGGAAATTGTGGTGGCATTTGCTAAATAAATTTACAAATTCATAAAACTTGTAGTGAAACATTGGCATATAAATAACCTGAATGGAAAAAGTAAGGGCCATGACCTGGATGTTTATTTGTTTTTTCACAATCTGGTCTAAGCGCATTATCAGAGTATCCATGCTTCTCTTCAGGACAAATAGTTCTGTTGGAATGATCTATTCCTGGCAGAATTTAGAGCATGCAGAGACTTAACACTCTGGAAATAGCTCATTTTAATCTAATTGTTGGCATAGGTAGATTTTTCCTGAGGTTGTTGAAAGTGCTTTGGTCACTTGGATAAAACTGTGCAGATTACTTGGAATTTCAACAGCTTTTCAGGGGCATTTACGTACAGCCTTGATTTTTATAATACTTCATGCCTTGTAACCAGCAATAAAACTGACCACTATTTGTAAAAAATAAAGCTCAAAGACTCCTCTGATAATACCAGATAATAGATACTCATCTGCTCTGAACTAAAGGATCACTGAGCAGAACCCAAATCTAGCCCGCAGCTGGAGGAAGAAGCCCTCCTCTTGGCTTTATGACAAGATCAGGTGATGCTCATGACTTCAATACATGGACTGGCCACTAAAAAAGGATTAAGACCACCTACTAAAGGGTTAGGGTGGTATGGTGCCACCCCAAAACAGGTAGGTGAATTCTCCAGTTTTATATTTTCTGAATTATTGTTTCAGAATATTGTTTCAGAAATCTGAGAATTTCTGAATTCTCAGATTTCTATAAACTGTAAGTATATACATAATTCAATGAATCAAATCAACAAATATTTATTGAGCACCAAGAATTGCCGGAAGGGCTGAAAACAGAGCAGTGACAAGACTAAAGAAGCCCCTGCCTTCTTGGAGCTTACAGTCTGGTCAGGAAGGCAAACATTGAATAAGTAATCATCAGTGTTAACAAGAACCACCTTCAATGGAGAAAGCAGCCTGCTTTGGGAATGCCTGGTAGGAATTTAACTGCCAGAGAGGAAAGGTTTCCCAGAGGAAATGTGAGACCTGAAAGGTGAGTAACTGTTAGCCAAGAAATGAGGAGGGGCTAATAAACAGATTTGGGTTTTCTTTTTCCTTAAGGGTTGTAATATGCTTTAAGCATGATCACATGATCATGTTCCCTTTATAAAATGATTACCTTGATGTATAAAAAATGGACTAGAAGTCATGCAAGAGCAATTACAAGGAGTGTAATTAGGAGGATATTACTATAGCCTAGGAGACAGGATTGTGGATATAAATATGAAAATACATATTTCCTATGCATATGGGAGTAAAATGAATATGACTATGACTTGGTGCCTAACTGGATGCAAAAAATGAAAAATGCCATGCAGGGTCCAGGAGGTGAATCAGGGATTATGTCCAACAATCTGTTTATCACAAAATAAAGCAGTAAGTTCAAGGTAATTTGGTTAACCTGATTAATGTAGTAGGTAATAAAGTTGCTTAAAACCAAATTCAGCAAAATTTCTCTTACCTGAGTTGTTTGTGTGTTTTAATGTAATTAGAGAAGTGCTGATTCTGAGCCTTATTTAATGATGTGCATGTAGTTTCAATTAATGAATGGAGTTAAACACTAAACATTTCAAATATCCATTCTAAAATTTCAAAGCAGGTCCAAACCAAAGATTTCCACTTCGAAGGGCCTAAGTCAAATATAAACCCTATTTCCATATTTTGAAAATTTCTTCCTTTCCAGGAATTATTAGTAGTAGAGTATGAAAATTATATCTTTTTTGGCTTGTTTTTAAATCAAAATTTTAATCCCTAGCAAATTTAAGAGGTAGAAGATTATAGTGCTAAGTGCTAGGTTTGGGAATCTGACTTGGATTGAAATCCCAGTGTCATCACTTACTATGTTGACCTGGACATGTTAACTTCTCTGAGCTTCATTTTTCTTCATTAAGCAGGGTCTATTATTTCAAAAGTGATACTCCACAGTGTCTGTTTTCTTTCTTCCAATTTACTTCTCTTCTTCTGGCATTGGCTATAGGTGGAGTAAAGTGCCAAGTTTAGTGTTTTATGGTTATTCCTCTCTTGTTACTCAGGATGAGTATTTCTTGCTTCTTAACTCTGGTAAGGTTGCTTGTCAGCAACAGTGTGCCTCTAAAAGACATTACATAAAGCAATAGGATCAGCTGCCCTATGGAACATTAAAGATACTCCAGGACATATTTGGTAATGCTGATTAAGTCTCCATTCAGGCATAAGTGTGCTTGGGTGAATGTGGAGTACTATCACCTGGTTTGGAGTTTGCATGATCACCTGGACTCCTGTGTGCAACTTTACTGGGCCTACTGCCTGACCTTGACATGTCAGAGTTCAAAGACAAAGGCTAGAAACGGCCGTGGGTTATCCCTGGTATTTTACAGCTACCTTCTCTAAATTCTGTAGCCAGGCAAAAGGGGAGAGGGGCCAAATGAGAGAGTTTTATCTGACATTCTGAAAGACATTTTTGAACAAGATTAAAGATGAACTTTTACTAAAGGCATACACATAATTTACATATTTAACACTTCTGCTTTCTTTTATTTTTTCTTCTAGTCAGCTAAATTAACATTAATCTTTTTCAGCAAATCATATGAAGAATACTTAGGAAATTTCAAAAATACTTGGATTTTTTATGCCTCACAAATTAATGGTAATGATAACAGAGCACATCTTTTGGCAGTAATCATGGATTATGCTTCATTGTGCATCAAGAATTCATACTTTTCAAGAAGCTAATTTCAGGTTTCATGGCTGAAATTTATTCTTGGCCTGGAACAAACTGTATTCTAGAAGGCAAACTCAAAAGTCAATCACTTGATTATTCTCACCAAAGAAAGAAAATACTGGTACAAAACAAAACTAAGATCCTTATATAATCTACTAATCTAAATGACTCCAGTTATCAATGCCAGGAATGAAATGCATCTGTTATTGCTTGACTAGTTAAGATTAAGAAAGTAGCATACTTAAATATCTTTTCCCCACACACTCACCTCCCATTTTTGACTATTATAAATTCTGCAGTCTTTGTACCAATTAATTATTATTACATTCTTATAAATACTATGATATTCACCTTGTTTTATAAAAGAAATATGTGAGTAGATTCCATCTGTAACTTTAAAGGTAACTTACATGATTTTTGTGTTCAACACTAGTTCTTCATCAATTATGCCATTTGTGAGTACTTAATTTTATCCACTTTTTTGGGCTAAATTTTTGGGCCAGATTTTGAAGATTTTCTTCTGGAGTCTTTGCAAGTACAGGAATGTCTTTCCGTTGCTTATACACAGCAACAGTAACTTGAATGAATGTAAAATTTTCAGTTCCTAGTCTTGTCTTCTCAAAACTTTGCATATTGATCTATTGTCTTCTCATATCTGATGTTCTACATGAGGTGTCTGATTGTTTTTTTCTCTTTGATGATACACAGGTGTTCTTTTTTACATGTAGGTGTTTGTATGTGTCTTTAGTTTTCTTGATCCTATATATTCACTGATTTTCCTAGGTTTTGTTTAAATGTCAGTTGATTATTGTAAAATTTGCCTGATATGAAGAGTCTTCTTTTCGACCAAAGGGTTCTTTTATCAGATTGATGGGCGGGATTCTACTATAGCTTTCCATATTATTTTCATGTCATTTATTCTAATATTTTTAGAAAAGCAAATTATTTCTATGTTTTTACTGTTTTTTATGTTTATCATCTTTTCTCTGATGTTCTAATGATCTCTTCATATTCTTTCCTATGAAATCTAAGTGATTGTTTTCAAGGCAGTATTTATCAGTACTTTAATTTTCTGCAATGTAGATTGTGTTTTCTATTGATACTATTGAAAATTCTGCATTGGTTTTGCTTTTTAAAACTTTATCTCAGCTCTGCCTACTATCACTTTATCTCCAGCCTCTGTGTTATCATCTTTGTTTCATTTTACCATGCTTTCTTTAATTTCTTTGAGAAGCCAAAGCATTTTCTACCTAAAACTTCACTTACGTTTCCTTGAGTAAATCTTTAAAAGTATACTCTTGAGAAATCAAAATAAACTTTTAAGCCCTTCAATGGACTGAACAGACCATCCCTTGGCCAAGGACCCCAGAATAAGCTTGAAAACTGAGTTCTCAGCCATGAGAGCATGGGAGGTTAGACACGCCTCATTGTACCTCCTCCCTCTCTAACCAGGATGAGGCTTTCTTCTCTAAGGGCTGAACAGAAACCAGCCCTTTCAAGAGTCCACCACTGATATCAACCAACCAGCTGACACTGCCCCTCCTTTTCTGCCTGATAAGAGACCACCAACCACAGAACGATTCTGGTTAGTCTATGGAGAATGTGCAGTAAGGGTGTCCTTTGCTTCACCTTTTGACATAGAAGAACTGAAAATGCCACCCTTAGATGATGCTAATGCAGCCACTTTTGTACATGGGACCCACGAAGGAGCATTGAACTCCATTGCGTATGTGCACATTTCTCCTCTCATAAATATTCATAACTCCTCCTATAGTTTATTGAATATGCATATTTGTCCATCTTGTTCCTATAAATTCCTGTTCCCTTTGCCCCTTCCCAGCTTCTGGCTGAGGCTATGCTTCCTAGCCTGTCAGAATAGCCAACCTGCAGGTTGCAACACTTTATGAGAAATCAAGGTCTCCTTTCGAAATTTATAAACTTTGTCATTCTTCAGCTGATACTTTCACCTGATCTTTTCATGCTTTGTCTTCTTTTGCATTGCAGAATCCCATCATAGACTCAAAAGTGTTCTTTTTTTTTTTCTTCTTCTTCTTCTGGTTACTCATTCTTGAATAAGGACAAGCTTATCTGGGCTTAGTAGATGCCCCCAAATAATCTATGCTGTTTCTTATGGTTTCTTCCTGGTTTTCCTGGGCTCTGACAAGGCCTTCCTTTTCAAAATTAGTTTGGAATCCTGAATGAAAATTAAGAAAAAAAGTCTTTGTATTACCAATTCGGAACTTGGGTGTCTATAGTTGGAGGGGAAATGAGAGTGAGGATGTGGTATAGAGTCTCAGGAGGGCAATTTTTGCTCTGCATGTTTTTTAAAAAATCTTGGTTAAGACCCCTGCACCAGGGACCAACTTTCTGTCTCTGGCTTTCAGTTTGGCCCAATCTGTACTCCAGATACAAAGTGTGGCTATGTTTTTCTGGATCTCCCTCATGGAGGCTGTAGATTTCCTGTTGAAGCAGAGGATTCTCTCTTCCACCGGGGATCTCTCTATTTTTAAAAAGTGGTCCTCGCAGATCAGAGCAAACTGGTCGCACTGGGGAGAAAGTCCGGTCGCAGAGAAGCAGTGACCTCGTCTCCCTCCAGCACAGCTGCTCCTGAATGCTCTTCAACTGCAGCAGCTCTAGGTAAGCTGGTCCCCACCTCTCTGCAGTCTAGCATCATCTTTAGCTTTCCCTCCTTCAGATTAGGGGATTCGTCTCCATTTTTGAAAGTACCATCTCGTGTTGGAATCAGTTCTTGACTCCACTGAGAAGCTGGGTCATAAAGACGCACACTTCTCCCATGGTGTTCACTGGGTATAGCTGCTACTGTTTCTCAGAGTGCTGCTCCTGGAGACTCGAGCTGCTGTTAATCCATGGCGGTGATACTTTATTCTCTAGTGCCCTTTGGGACTTGGCCAAGCCCTCCAAAGTAAAGTCTTCTGGAATATTCTGCCAGGGTTTTCATTCCTGGGGTCGCCTTTGCTTATTCTCTGTAATATTGCTCCATTCTTTTGAAAAGAGGATTTGTGAGTCAGTCTTTGATATTATTCTAAACACACTCCATCTAAACCAAAATCATCAACTTTTGTCGTAAAGGGTTGCACAGTTCCTTAGATCCAATTCTGATGAAAGTTTTTCATTAAATTTTTTTTCTTTAGCCTTGTTCGTGGGGGTGGGGATTGGTTGTAAGCTTCCGCATATCACAGTCTTGTCAGGGATTGCAAGCTTCCTTCTTTAAAAAATTCCTTCATTCTTCTAGCAACATGTTCTAAGAAGTTAATCACAAGAGTTCTATGTGATATTTAAGAGATTTATTTAATTTTAGAGCTGAAAGGCTGTTATATAAGTAATCTAGGTTGGAAGCAAGTACTATGATTGATTTGCTCTCCTCTTATAGATGAGATATATGCAGTCTGGACAGTAAGGTCAGGTATAGTGCTTGTGAATACTCAATACTCAAGCTCAAGCATCCAGATGCTCTCTCTGGCTCTTCTTGCCTCACAACCTTTGACTAAGATCAAATATGTACACATTTTCTGTGGATCAAATAAGAAATTATCCATTTTGTCAATATCTTATATTCTTGATTGTATTTGAAAGATTAAAATAAAACTATAGTAAATTCAAAATGATCATTATATACCTATGTCTAATAAAAATGATCAAATAAAAAAGGATAGAATAGTAAGACCTAAATTGTCTGATTATGTTTATGCTTTGCTCTCTATGGTGATTGCCTGTGGATCACACATCACCAAACATAGATTTTCTAGGTTACAGTATTGATGTACAGCAAATTAGCTTATGCTTGATTTCCATAGTTGTTGTTACTTAGTCACCTCCCCTCAAGGCTTCTTTGCCGGATGTTCCAGCATTAGAGGTAGAATTCATGTCTGCCAGTTGTTCAAATAGACTTTTCTTTCTGGAGACATCTGCTTGCCTGTCACAGTGTTCTTGCGTGAAACTTCTGTACCTGCTGCTTGTCTGTGGTTTGGCTGAAGTATTGCATTGTAATTCAAACCTGTGCATACAGAAAATGCTCTGAAATGCTACATTTTACAATTATCTTATTTAACCTTGCAGCATATAGCCACGATGGCTACTCTTTGTCTCTTTAAACTCGACTTTTCTGATTTCCCTGATATCTTTAAGGTTCAAAAAGAGCGTATGATTCTGGAATCATACTGTCTGAGTTCACTTCTGCATCAGTTAGCTATTCCCTCAAAAATGCTGTGTAACAAAATAACCATATACTCTTCATGGAATACAATAATAAGAATTTATTTCTCATATGTCAGAACATCAGCTGGGATGGTTCAGCCAGATTTAGTCACGTGGATCAGCTGGGGATCTGCTAGGTGAGTGTACCTCAAGCTGCAGATCCAGCTAGCTGCAGATAAAACTCAGGTAAACTCCCTGCATAATCATTCTAGGAACCAGGCTGAGGACGCAGCAAGCTTGGTGTGATGCCAGAAACACAAGAGAGCAAGTGGAAGCCTGGCATACCTCTTAAGTCCTAGTTTGAAACAGGTACGTTGTTATCTCTGCCCACATTCCTTTTGTCTATAAAACTCAAATGACCAAGCTCAAAGTCAGTCAAGGGGTGAGGAAGTACACCATGCCTCCGGTAAGAGGGACCGCAAAGTCACATGGCAAAAGGTGTGAATACAGGGAGTTGTGAAGTGGAGCCAATAGTTTCATCCATAGAACCCCAACAGGACAATCCTCAATTCTGTGGATTAGGCAAATTACTTGCTGTTTCTGACTTATGTCTGTTTAAGAGAGATCATAATTCCTATCTCACAGGGTTGCTGTGATAACTAGGAGAAAAATGCATATGAAAAGATTAACACAGAAAGTGCCAATAAATGATAGGTGATTTTGGTAGTGGTGTTACTTCCTGCTTTTCTTCCCACCCCTCTGAACATGTCCCTTGCAAGCTGCTCTTCTCTGGCCTGATTCTTACATATAGTTGCTTCCCAGGATTCCAATCAGAGTCCTCCTCCCTTCTCAGAACTCAGGTAAGCTCCCTGCATAATCATTCTAGGAACCAGGCTGAGGAGGCAGCAAGTCTTCCTCCCTTCTCACACGCTGCCTGGGTGATCACTTTTGTATCCATAATAATTCATGCTAGAAAACCATGCTGATTATCTCAAACCTCTTTCCCACACTTATGTATGAAGTCTCTAGGCATATATCTTGGGTTCTATCTTCCCTCCTTGTTTTAATTTTCCTGCCATAGCAGTTTTCCTGGAATTAGAGCAGCACCTATAATCCCAGCTCCCTGTGCTGAAATAGGCAGCACCTAAATGATGTACCTTAAGGGGCCTAAGAAGCAACTGAGCGAAGAGCTCCCTCCTTTGCTTGCCCGTGAGAGAAATAAAAACAATCACTCTTTAAATCTATCGAGGGCTTTATTATTTTTCACATGCATGAGCTGACTTTAGCCTCCCTATACCTGCTCTGAATGAGATATTTTATTTCCATATTAAAGTCAGTTATTTGTATGAGTGGGGACTGCTTAAAATTCCCTTTAAAATGCAAACATATCAAGGAGAAGCAGCAAGACAGAAGCCCACTTTCTACCCAGCACCACAAATCAATGCAGATTGGTTTATCAGGTTAATTTAGCGGAATGATTCAGACAGGGAATAGAAGATGGACTGCTGCATTTTGAGGTGAAGGGACGTGGAGGCTAAGAGCTGTGCCCCGGGAAATCTGGGGTGGGGAAGCAGTAAGAATGAACAGATGCTGGGAAACACAGCAGGGGGAACAGCAAAACCCTTTCTCATAAATGCTGTTGAGAGCCAGTTCTGCCAATCAGTGTTTCCCAAAGAGGAGCTTGGAAGCCTCTGAATATTTCTAGAGGCAGCCTCGGTAGTTGTTTCTATGATTGTCAACAGAAATCAAGAAGGAAGAGTTAAGGGACCAAAACTGACAAAAACAATTTTTAAAAATCTGTTTTTTTGTTGTTGTTGTTATTTTTTTAATCCCAAGTAGCTGGAATTACAGGCATGCGCCACCACTCCCAGCTAGTTTTTGTGTTTTTAGTAGAGATGGGGTTTCACCATGTTGACCAGGCTGGCCTTAAACTCCTGACCTCAAATGATCCACCCACCTTGGCCTCCCAAAGTGCTGGGATTACAGGCATGAGCCACCACGCCCAGCCAAAAAATCTGATTTCTTAAGGAGCAATTAAAGAAACAATTACTGAAGAGGATGACTAAAACTTGATGTTTAGAGAACTATTAAAGAATTTCTTTTTAAAAAGCACTGTGGAGCCTAAGGAGAAAGAGATTATTTGTTAAAAATAAAAATGGGAGCTGACATAGTGTAGCCCCAATTCAGGAATACTCATGGCAAAGATAGAGTTCTGAAGGAGAGTTGGAGGGGTGTGGAGGAGCGGCCAGTGTGTCTCCCTGAGCCCAAGTTTCCTGTCTAATGACAAAAACACAAGTCTCTCTCGTTATCCTAGCATAGGCTGATGTTGGCTGCCTGAACTAAGCAAATGGCCTTCCTGAGAACCCGATTAGAAACAGCTTGTATTTTCTTCTACTCGTAAGGTCTTGAAGAGGATTTAGCAGACATATTCCATCAATGTGCTCTGTAGAATTCCACCTTGTAACCTGAAACCTGTTCACTAAGTTTCATGAGGTTACGGTTTATACTGAAAGGAAAAAAGGGGAGTCCTTCTGAAAAGGACATAGAGACTATTTTTATGACCTCAGGATAGGGAAAGGTATGTTAAACAATATAGAAATCACAAACCATAGATGAAAAGAATGACTACATTAAAAACAGTAATATTTTTAAAAGAAGGTACATTATAAAATTCAATTTTTTGATCAGCTTTGGCAGAAAATAGCATTATAAAACATAGGTCTACAAAATATCTTGTTGCATGGAATTTATAAATTAAGTTGGAATTACTATGTCAATAATACTGACTCTTTACATCCATGAATATGATATAGCTCTTCCTTTACATAGGTATTTGTTTACATTTTTTAAAGCTTAACATTATTCTTAATAAGCTCTTGCATGTTTTATTAGATGTATTTATTCCTAGGTATATAATAAATTTTGGGGGCCCAGGGCGGTGGCTCATGTCTGTAATCCAAGCACTTTGGGAAGCCAAAGCAGGAGAGTCAGGGATTTGAGGTCAGGGATTTGAGACCAGCTTGGGCAACATATTGAGAACCTCATCTCTACAAAATAAAAATAAAAAATTAGCTGGGTGTGATGGCGCATGCCTGTAGTCCCACCTGCTCAGCGAGGCTGAGCCAGGAGGATCTTTTGAGCCCGCGAGTTTAGGGCTTCATTGAGCAATGATTGCACCACTGCACTCCAGCCTGGGCAACCAAGAGAGAGGCTATCTATGAAAAAAATCAAATCAAATAAAATAATATTTGTCACTATTGTAGCAATCCTTTTTATTTATTTTCTGTCACTGGTATATAGGAATTCAATTGTATATTTATCTATGTCTATACATCTAGTATTTTTAGTTCTAGTAATTTCTTCATAGGTTCTTTTAGATTATTCCACAAACCGATTGTCTGTAAATAATATCTTTCCATGGTAAATAATGAGGGTTGCCTCTATAACCATTTTTGTGATCCTTATGATAGCTTCTAATTTTGTTCACTAAAGCCAGATATTGAACTAAATTTTCTAAATTCCTTTGTAAGTAAAGGAGTCAAGAGTACAAAGTTCTGATTAATTTGTCGTAAACAGAAATCTTCTGGTGGTCTGGGGGTGTTTTGAGAGGGACAAATGCATTGGGCATCTTTCCCTTTGCCTTTTGCCCTTTTTTTGTTTTCTGCCTGGAATGTGTATGTGATGCCTAGGAGTGCAACAGCCATCTTGTGAGCATGAAGATGAAAGCCCCACACTGAGGATGACAGCATGGGAAGATAAGACGTGCCTAGTGACATTCCAAACCTCTGTAAAGGCCTGGGACTACCTACTTCTGAACATCTTCTTATGTGAGAAAAATAAACCCACATTTGGTTAAGTCTCCACTTGAGGTTTAAAATAGATAGCCAGACAAACAAACCTTGAATTTGTTAGCTTTCATTTACTTTATTCTGTTCTGGTGTTTTTTTTTTTTTTTTTTTTTTTTTTAGTATTTGATTGTGTATTTATACCACATTTTCTTTATTTTTTTTTTCTTTTTTTTTTTTTTATTATACTCTCAGTTTTAGGGTACATGTGCACATTGTGCAGGTTAGTTACATATGTATACATGTGCCATGCTGGTGCGCTGCACCCACTAATGTGTCATCTAGCATTAGGTATATCTCCCAATGCTATCCCTCCCCCCTCCCCCGACCCCACCACAGTCCCCAGAGTGTGATATTCCCCTTCCTGTGTCCATGTGATCTCATTGTTCAATTCCCACCTATGAGTGAGAATATGCGGTGTTTGGTTTTTTGTTCTTGCGATAGTTTACTGAGAATGATGGTTTCCAATTTCATCCATGTCCCTACAAAGGATATGAACTCATCATTTTTTAAGGCTGCATAGTATTCCATGGTGTATATGTGCCACATTTTCTTAATCCAGACTATCATTGTTGGACATTTGGGTTGGTTCCAAGTCTTTGCTATTGTGAATAGTGCCGCAATAAACATACGTGTGCATGTGTCTTTATAGCAGCATGATTTATAGTCCTTTGGGTATATACCCAGTAATGGGATGGCTGGGTCAAATGGTATTTCTAGTTCTAGATCCCTGAGGAATCGCCACACTGACTTCCACAATGGTTGAACTAGTTTACAGTCCCACCAACAGTGTAAAAGTGTTCCTATTTCTCCACATCCTCTCCAGCACCTGTTGTTTCCTGACTTTTTAATGATTGCCATTCTAACTGGTGTGAGATGATATCTCATAGTGGTTTTGATTTGCATTTCTCTGATGGCCAGTGATGATGAGCATTTTTTCATGTGTTTTTTGGCTGCATAAATGTCTTCTTTTGAGAAGTGTCTGTTCATGTCCTTCGCCCACTTTTTGATGGGGTTGTTTGTTTTTTTCTTGTAAATTTGTTTGAGTTCATTGTAGATTCTGGATATTAGCCCTTTGTCAGATGAGTAGGTTGCAAAAATTTTCTCCCATGTTGTAGGTTGCCTGTTCACTCTGATGGTAGTTTCTTTTGCTGTGCAGAAGCTCTTTAGTTTAATTAGATCCCATTTGTCAATTTTGGTTTTTGTTGCCATTGCTTTTGGTGTTTTGGACATGAAGTCCTTGCCCACGCCTATGTCCTGAATGGTAATGCCTAGGTTTTCTTCTAGGGTTTTTATGGTTTTAGGTCTAACATTTAAGTCTTTAATCCATCTTGAATTGATTTTTGTATAAGGTGTAAGGAAGGGATCCAGTTTCAGCTTTCTACATATGGCTAGCCAGTTTTCCCAGCACCATTTATTAAATAGGGAATCCTTTCCCCATTGCTTGTTTTTCTCAGGTTTGTCAAAGATCAGATAGTTGTAGATATGCGGCATTATTTCTGAGGGCTCTGTTCTGTTCCATTGATCTATATCTCTGTTTTGGTACCAGTACCATGCTGTTTTGGTTACTGTAGCCTTGTAGTATAGTTTGAAGTCAGGTAGTGTGATGCCTCCAGCTTTGTTCTTTTGGTTTAGGATTGACTTGGCAATGCGGGCTCTTTTTTGGTTCCATATGAACTTTAAAGTAGTTTTTTCCAATTCTGTGAAGAAAGTCATTGGTAGCTTGATGGGGATGGCATTGAATCTGTAAATTACCTTGGGCAGTATGGCCATTTTCACGATATTGATTCTTCCTACCCATGAGCATGGAATGTTCTTCCATTTCTTTGTGTCCTCTTTTATTTCCTTGAGCAGTGGTTTGTAGTTCTCCTTGAAGAGGTCCTTCACATCCCTTGTAAGTTGGATTCCTAAGTATTTTATTCTCTTTGAAGCAATTGTGAATGGGAGTTCACCCATGATTTGGCTCTCTGTTTGTCTGTTGTTGGTGTATAAGAATGCTTGTGATTTTTGTACATTGATTTTGTATCCTGAGACTTTGCTGAAGTTGCTTATCAGCTTAAGGAGATTTTGGGCTGAGATGATGGGGTTTTCTAGATAAACAATCATGTCGTCTGCAAACAGGGACAATTTGACTTCCTCTTTTCCTAATTGAATACCCTTTATTTCCTTCTCCTGCCTGATTGCCCTGGCCAGAACTTCCAACACTATGTTGAATAGGAGCAGTGAGAGAGGGCATCCCTGTCTTGTGCCAGTTTTCAAAGGGAATGCTTCCAGTTTTTGCCCATTCAGTATGATATTGGCTGTGGGTTTGTCATAGATAGCTCTTATTATTTTGAAATACGTCCCATCAATACCTAATTTATTGAGAGTTTTTAGCATGAAGGGTTGTTGAATTTTGTCAAAGGCTTTTTCTGCATCTATTGAGATAATCATGTGGTTTTTGTCTTTGGCTCTGTTTATATGCTGGATTACATTTATTGATTTGCGTATATTGAACCAGCCTTGCATCCCAGGGATGAAGCCCACTTGATCATGGTGGATAAGCTTTTTGATGTGCTGCTGGATTCGGTTTGCCAGTATTTTATTGAGGATTTTTGCATCAATGTTCATCAAGGATATTGGTCTAAAATTCTCTTTTTTGGTTGTGTCTCTGCCCGGCTTTGGTATCAGAATGATGCTGGCCTCATAAAATGAGTTAGGGAGGATTCCCTCTTTTTCTATTGATTGGAATAGTTTCAGAAGGAATGGTACCAGTTCCTCCTTGTACCTCTGGTAGAATTCGGCTGTGAATCCATCTGGTCCTGGACTCTTTTTGGTTGGTAAACTATTGATTATTGCCACAATTTCAGAGCCTGTTATTGGTCTATTCAGAGATTCAACTTCTTCCTGGTTTAGTCTTGGGAGAGTGTATGTGTTGAGGAATGTATCCATTTCTTCTAGATTTTCTAGTTTATTTGCGTAGAGGTGTTTGTAGTATTCTCTGATGGTAGTTTGTATTTCTGTGGGATCGGTGGTGATATCCCCTTTATCATTTTTTATTGTGTCTATTTGATTCTTCTCTCTTTTTTTCTTTATTAGTCTTGCTAGCGGTCTATCAATTTTGTTGATCCTTTCAAAAAACCAGCTCCTGGATTCATTGATTTTTTGAAGGGTTTTTTGTGTCTCTATTTCCTTCAGTTCTGCTCTGATTTTAGTTATTTCTTGCCTTCTGCTAGCTTTTGAATGTGTTTGCTCTTGCTTTTCTAGTTCTTTTAATTGTGATGTTAGGGTGTCAATTTTGGATCTTTCCTGCTTTCTCTTGTAGGCATTTAGTGCTATAAATTTCCCTCTACACACTGCTTTGAATGCGTCCCAGAGATTCTGGTATGTGGTGTCTTTGTTCTCGTTGGTTTCAAAGAACATCTTTATTTCTGCCTTCATTTCGTTATGTACCCAGTAGTCATTCAGGAGCAGGTTGTTCAGTTTCCATGTAGTTGAGCGGCTTTGAGTGAGATTCTTAATCCTGAGTTCTAGTTTGATTGCACTGTGGTCTGAGAGATAGTTTGTTATAATTTCTGTTCTTTTACATTTGCTGAGGAGAGCTTTACTTCCAACTATGTGGTCAATTTTGGAATAGGTGTGGTGTGGTGCTGAAAAAAATGTATATTCTGTTGATTTGGGGTGGAGAGTTCTGTAGATGTCTATTAGGTCTGCTTGGTGCAGAGCTGAGTTCAATTCCTGGGTATCCTTGTTGACTTTCTGTCTCGTTGATCTGTCTAATGTTGACAGTGGGGTGTTAAAGTCTCCCATTATTAATGTGTGGGAGTCTAAGTCTCTTTGTAGGTCACTGAGGACTTGCTTTATGAATCTGGGTGCTCCTGTATTGGGTGCATAAATATTTAGGATAGTTAGCTCCTCTTGTTGAATTGATCCCTTTACCATTATGTAATGGCCTTCTTTGTCTCTTTTGATCTTTGTTGGTTTGAAGTCTGTTTTATCAGAGACTAGGATTGCAACCCCTGCCTTTTTTTGTTTTCCATTTGCTTGGTAGATCTTCCTCCATCCTTTTATTTTGAGCCTATGTGTGTCTCTGCACGTGAGATGGGTTTCCTGAATACAGCACACTGATGGGTCTTGACTCTTTATCCAACTTGCCAGTCTGTGTCTTTTAATTGCAGAATTTAGTCCATTTATATTTAAAGTTAATATTGTTATGTGTGAATTTGATCCTGTCATTATGATGTTAGCTGGTGATTTTGCTCATTAGTTGATGCAGTTTCTTCCTAGTCTCGATGGTCTTTACATTTTGGCATGATTTTGCAGCGGCTGGTACCGGTTGTTCCTTTCCATGTTTAGTGCTTCCTTCAGGAGCTCTTTTAGGGCAGGCCTGGTGGTGACAAAATCTCTCAGCATTTGCTTGTCTATAAAGTATTTTATTTCTCCTTCACTTATGAAGCTTAGTTTGGCTGGATATGAAATTCTGGGTTGAAAATTCTTTTCTTTAAGAATGTTGAATATTGGCCCCCACTCTCTTCTGGCTTGTAGGGTTTCTGCCGAGAGATCCGCTGTTAGTCTGATGGGCTTTCCTTTGAGGGTAACCCGACCTTTCTCTCTGGCTGCCCTTAACATTTTTTCCTTCATTTCAACTTTGGTGAATCTGACAATTATGTGTCTTGGAGTTGCTCTTCTCGAGGAGTATCTTTGTGGCGTTCTCTGTATTTCCTGAATCTGAACGTTGGCCTGCCTTGCTAGATTGGGGAAGTTCTCCTGGATAATATCCTGCAGAGTGTTTTCCAACTTGGTTCCATTCTCCACATCACTTTCAGGTACACCAATCAGACGTAGATTTGGTCTTTTCACATAGTCCCATATTTCTTGGAGGCTTTGCTCATTTCTTTTTATTCTTTTTTCTCTAAACTTCCCTTCTCGCTTCATTTCATTCATTTCATCTTCCATCACTGATACCCTTTCTTCCAGTTGATCGCATCGGCTCCTGAGGCTTCTGCATTCTTCACGTAGTTCTCGAGCCTTGGTTTTCAGCTCCATCAGCTCCTTTAAGCACTTCTCTGTATTGGTTATTCTAGTTATACATTCTTCTAAATTTTTTTCAAAGTTTTCAACTTCTTTGCCTTTGGTTTGAATGTCCTCCCGTAGCTCAGAGTAATTTGATCGTCTGAAGCCTTCTTCTCTCAGCTCGTCAAAATCATTCTCCATCCAGCTTTGTTCTGTTGCTAGTGAGGAACTGCGTTCCTTTGGAGGAGGAGAGGCGCTCTGCGTTTTAGAGTTTCCAGTTTTTCTCTTCTGTTTTTTCCCCATCTTTGTGGTTTTATCTACTTTTGGTCTTTGATGATGGTGATGTACAGATGGGTTTTCGGTGTAGATGTCCTTTCTGGTTGTTAGTTTTCCTTCTAACAGACAGGACCCTCAGCTGCAGGTCTGTTGGAATACCCTGCCGTGTGAGGTGTCAGTGTGCCCCTGCTGGGGGGTGCCTCCCAGTTAGGCTGCTCGGGGGTCAGGGGTCAGGGACCCACTTGAGGAGGCAGTCTGCCCGTTCTCAGATCTCCAGCTGCGTGCTGGGAGAACCACTGCTCTCTTCAAAGCTGTCAGACAGGGACACTTAAGTCTGCAGAGGTTACTGCTGTCTTTTTGTTTGTCTGTGCCCTGCCCCCAGAGGTGGAGCCTACAGAGGCAGGCAGGCCTCCTTGAGCTGTGGTGGGCTCCACCCAGTTCGAGCTTCCCGGCTGCTTTGTTTACCTAAGCAAGCCTGGGCAATGGCGGGCGCCCCTCCCCCAGCCTCGTTGCCGCCTTGCAGTTTGATCTCAGACTGCTGTGCTAGCAATCAGCGAGATTCCGTGGGCGTAGGACCCTCTGAGCCAGGTGTGGGATATAGTCTCGTGGTGCGCCGTTTCTTAAGCCGGTCTGAAAAGCGCAATATTCGGGTGGGAGTGACCCGATTTTCCAGGTACGTCCGTCACCCCTTTCTTTGACTCGGAAAGGGAACTCCCTGACCCCTTGCGCTTCCCAGGTGAGGCAATGCCTCGCCCTGCTTCGGCTTGCGCACGGTGCGCACACACACTGACCTGCGCCCACTGTCTGGCACTCCCTATTGAGATGAACCCGGTACCTCAGATGGAAATGCAGAAATCACCCGTCTTCTGCGTCGCTCACGCTGGGAGCTGTAGACCGGAGCTGTTCCTATTCGGCCATCTTGGCTCCTCCTCCGTGTTTTTTGTTTTTATGTGTTTGTTTTGTTCTCTTTCTGCATTGGCTGGGTCTTAATCACTTCTGAAGGCCAATAATAGAAGGCATCTTTTAAAGTTACATTTTTTAAATTAAGTTTTAAAGGCAAACAGTAGGCATAATCTTTACAATGAGGTAAAAGCAGAATGTATTTCATATATCTGAGTATGAGCTGATTTATAGATTAATAATTTAAGATAACTAAATATATTTACTCAATCTTTATTAAAGAAGCCAGCAGGGATTTATTCATTTTTGAACAAGAGTCGGTAAGAAAAACGTAACAACCTTTTTTGTCTCTGTCTTGTATGTATACAAATTGCATGCATACTTGCCTAATTATTGATTATCATATAAGTGATAGCATTGCATAGTGGTTAAAATACTTTTTTTTTTTTATTCTGCCAGTTTAGCTTCAAATCCTTGTACTGCCATATACACCCATGTGAACTTAGGCAAGTCACTTAGTCATCCCTTCCATAATAATCCTAAGGTCTGGCAGGGGAGAAGAACATGGACACACCCAAATATGGTTGAATATGTTGAGTGATGTAATAAGGTGAAAGAGAAGCCAAGATTATAATCCTAGGTTTGATAAGGGTGCTGTAGACTAAGTGCGGTAGGTTTCGGAGCCAAGGGAGAATCAAACAACTGCCTTAACATTTTCTCATTGCCAACATTTGGGCTTAATTTTTTTCTTATTCCTCTGCTTCCTATGTCTCAATCTTGAATGCCAAAATAACATATGAACTCCTTTTCTTAAGGCTTCACCTTAAGCTTGCCTTTGGATATAGTGTGTTCTACAGAGAAAAGTAAAGAATATCTAGTTAGAAGTCCTACCACAGCATACTGACTCTGGGGTCTAGGATAAATTAACAGATTCTTTGAACTTTATTTATTGATTTGTGATTTAGACTTTCTATTTGCTTTAATTACTTCATAGGAATTTCATGAGAATCAAATATAATAGTTCACATAAAATATTTTGTGGTGCTACACAAATGTCATATTTTATACAGCATTTAGCCCCATGATGACAGGATTTTCTCAATAAAAATCTATTGATGAGGTTTTTGCATTCTGAGTTGTTTCTTGTTTTTATGTTCGAGTTAGTTGCTAAAATAAGTTACCTTGAAAGTAGAAAGATGTAGCATCCTGGAATACCCAACAGGTTGACCCCTGTGATTTCTCCATTTTTGCCATCTTTTTTTTCTACACTGTACTTTCAAGTTTCTTGGCATGAGACAAATAATTAGAATAACCCAAATCCCAGCTCCTCACAGAGGGGGAAAATGACTTTACCACATTGTCTCTACTACATTTTAGTTTCATGGGAATTAATCCTACTTCTTATGTAAACTCAATCAACAACTAAAATATCCAGGTGGTACTGTTACTGGAAAGGGGTCTCAATCCAAACCCCAAGAGAGTGTTCTTGGATCTTGCAAAGAATTTGGGGCGAGTCCATACAGTAAAGTGAAAGCAAGTTTTTTAAGAAAGTAAAGGAATAAAGAATGGCTATTCCCTCGGGGCTGCTGGTTGCCCATTTTTATGGTTATTTCTTGATTATATGCTAAATAAGGGATGGATTATTTATGAATTTTCTGGAAAAGCATGGGCAATTCCCAGAAATGAGGGTTCCTCCCCCTTTTAGACCATATAGGGTAACTTCCTGACCTTGTCATCGCATTTGCAAACTGTCATGGCGCTGGTGGGAGTGCAGCAGTGAGGACAACCAGAGGTCACTGTCATCGCCACCTTGCTTTTGCTGGGTTTTAGCCAGCTTCTTTTCTGCAACGTGTTTTATCAGCAAGGTCTTTATGACCTATATCTTGTGCCAACCTCCTGTCTCATCCTGTGTTGTAGAATGCCTAACTATCTGGGAATGCTGCTGGTAGTTCTCAGCCTTATTTTATTCAGCTGCTATTCAAGATGGACTCACTCTGGTTCAAACACCATTAACATATTTTCCTCTTCCCTTTTAAAAGAGAACCCTTAATCCTAAAAGTTGTAGAGGGAGGAAGATCCATCTTCTGTCACTTCTTCTGGCTGAATAGGGGCGATGATATTCCTGCCTAACCATTAAGGTGTCTTGCATTTGGAGTAGAGAGGAGCTCAGTCAGAAAGTGTCAATATGTTGAGGTCTGAGTTCCAATGAAAGGTGATATCTGGAAGATTAATAAGTGTTCCATTCAAGAGAATATTGAGTAACCTTATCTTGCATTCCTACACAGAGAGTACAACAGCAATATATTCAACAACAGTAAAGCAAAATAGCAAAATTATCCCAAATAAACTAAATAAGAAGGCTTCCCATGAGTTAGGCAATTGTTGGAACCAAGCTGATGTGGGATTGCTAGCTGATTCCAACATGTGCCCAGAATTAGAATTTTGATTCAGATTTTTGTTTTTACATTACTCATCCCTCTTGTTTTTCTGAGTTGCAGCCAGAGATCACTGGTTGGTTCATAGGAATAAGCAGGATCTGTGTAAATGGCAGGGAAAAAATTCAAAAACAACCAGTGAGACCAGAATTTAATAACAGGTGTAACATAGTACATAGTACATAATTTTTCTCTCTCTAGTTTCCCATTTTTACTAAAGACAAATCATGGTATGACTGATTTGCTGTATTATACTTGGCGTGATTATTTGTATAAAGTGCAGCAAAAATAATTATTTTTCACACTGGCTTTTTAAATTGGCTTTCATGGAACTCTGCTCCATATAAGGAATCTTAGATAAGACATTTTTAAAGACGAGCCCAGCCATGGGTTTTTACCCTCAAATACCTATGAACAGGGTTAATTCCTCTCCTCTCAAGGTTTCAAGATAACCTGAGGCTCCTAGGCCTGTCAGAAAGTGACATTCCTTACTTACTTACCACAGGTCAGAAACCCTATACAGGGACTGTGTAGACAAGGTATGTGGACAGTTTTTCAAAGGGGGTTTGATGGGCTCTACAAGTCAAGTTTGATTCCTTAAAGAAAAGCATACTATTCCAGTTAAAACCTTGGTAAAATAATCAGTTTCTCTAATTGTGTCCTTTAACAAATGAAAACAGATTCTTATTGCACTTATGCAGATAACTATATTGCCATTAGTTAAGAATACTCACAAATAGTCTCCAAATTCTGAAGAAATAAGGGAGAGAGAAACAAGTATGTTTCCAATTTTGTTCACAGGAGTATACTTTACTCAATTGTTAAAAGTTGTGAATAGCTCAAAAGAAAAGTTTTCTTGACTCTGAAAAACAAAGGATCAGTAACATTTTAAGCAAGGTCAAAAAGATTACTTCAGTCTTCTATTAGTTCAATCCATGCAGTTAATTCCTGTCCTGCTTGATATTCATGAACCTTTCAGCCATCCATGGGTCCTGAAAGTTTTTTCCTCTATTCTAATGTCACATTTTCCAAAGTTATCAGAAGTCTGACTTCAAGAACACCTGTTAAGAGTCCTATAGCTGATTATAAACCAACTTTTAAAAAGGATCAAAATAAGACAGCAATTGTTGATGGATGTCAAAATGCTTTAGGGCAACCTCTATTAAAGTCACAATTAACTAGGAAATTTTGGTTACTTCTGTGGCATACAAAAATTTTACTTAAAATTATAATTATTAATAATATCTACTAAGTCATATCAGAATTATAGGAATTTCCCATAATTTTGGAACACATATCAATAACATATTTATATGAATAAAGCCCAAAGGAAGCCAAACACTATTTCATATTTGACAA
This sequence comes from Homo sapiens, assembly GCF_000001405.40. Classification (NCBI taxonomy): domain Eukaryota; kingdom Metazoa; phylum Chordata; class Mammalia; order Primates; family Hominidae; genus Homo; species Homo sapiens. Next base: position 58,380,413 of record NC_000005.10, on the reverse strand, counting down.
TGCTTCCTATATGATTTTTATACCTAATAAGTGGAATTTCACCTTTGCATTAGTGTACTGTTAATGTTAAACCCAATTTTTAATAAAACCTTATAGATAAATCTATTCAATCTTAATCAGTTTGACCATAAGGTAAGATTCTTATAAACCTTTTATAACCCTTTAAAATTTTTGTTAAACACATCAATTTTCTAAGAAAGCTTTGTTATTTGGACACATGAGCCCAGATTCTGGCCCCAAATCAGTATGCTTTCATTTTAATGTTTTAACTTATGGGTAGAAAAAACAAACTAAATAATCCTCTTTAAATCTTGGTTAATTCTGTTATACGCACAGAATCTTTTTTATAAGATTAACCCTTCACAAACCCTTTCCAACTTACTTAAACCTTCAGTTTTATTTCACTACTCTTTTAGGTTAAGACAATCTTTAAAACCCTCTGAACTCGACAAAATAACATTCCCTTTCACAAAAACCACATTCCCATGGCTTCTTATAATCTCCCACCAAAACCTCATTCTACTTACCTTCTATACCTTGCAACATTGTATGTAAAACTGTTTCTCCAGTAGTCTCAATTACATGTTACAATGTTAACTCTTAGCAACTCTTATTTTTAAGCCAATTAATCAGAGCTCTTTAATATATAAACATTATACATAAAACACATATAAATATGCAGACAGACAGAAGATCCAGTAGTTTGTAAGGTTTTTCATTTGCCAGTTTCTTAATTGGATTACTAGCTTCAGAGCAGAGTCCTTGGAGGAACAGGGCCAGGGAAGCATGCAGTTTCTACAGCCTAATAAGCAGGCACAGCTGAAAGGCAAAACAGATCCCCCAAGATTAAGGGTCCCATTTTATATAATGCAGTGTGAACCAGAACAAAGCCTTAGATTTTGAGAGGGACCTATCCACTTTCAGTTCCTGGGGTTTCATGAGGAAAACAGTGGTTTTTCCCAAAACAGGGTCTGTGGTGTCTCCTGTTTTAACCAAGGAGTCCCAGGCTGTTAGAGCTTGACTATCTACTTTTAATTAAGCTGACTTTTAACCATAGTGCTCTTTAAAAAAAAAAGTCATTTTAAATCTCTTATTACCTGAGGTTAGCTGTGCCAAACAGCCCATATTTCTGTGCTCAGAGAAAGAAAAATTCAAGACTATTCATGGAGGGGAAGTGAATCAACAAATGGTAAAAAGTAACGCAGATATAACACCAGAAATGACTCATTCCCTAAGCTGGGAATTGAATCCAGCTTGCGTGTTGTTAAATGGCAAACCCTCACCTACTGAGCTACAGTTGGAAGTCATTATATTGAAAGCTGTAAAGGCACAGGACAGATAAGACCACTCAGGAAAACTATATGGAATGAGAAGGAATAGTATAGGACCTAGTCTTGATGTAATTATAAAACTTCCAATATTTGAAAAGACTCTGTGTGGGAGAAGAATTAATTTAGCATGATTAGGACCAATTGGAAAAGGTATAGAAAATCTGCTCTTATGCCATTATTCAGGAGAACTATATAATAACTGAATCTATCAATGGCAGTGATTGCCCCGTTCTAGGAAGCACGAGAGCATGGGCTGACTCACCACTTATAAGTATGTTGGAGTCACTATTCATCAGTATATTGCAGAGAAGATACCTCCATAGAGTAATATGTTTGATTAGATAGCTTCTCAGGTCCTTTCAACTCTGACATTTTGTGATTCAACATATGTCGTATTTTTCTTTTCAGTCTGTAAACACCTTGAGCACAACGATTATTCTGTAGAACACTGAGAAGTATTGGGCAAAATGTGGGATCTCAGTAAATATTATTGATCACCAGAACTTTGGAAGTCTCTGTAAGATTAGATGAACAAATGCTTTTTAACTATACCTGTTGAGCCTTGAAAAAAGTAGATAGAATAGGCTGGGCGCGGTGGCTCACGCCTGTAATCCCAGCACTTTGGGAGGCCGAGGCGGGCGGATCACAAGGTCAGGAGATCAAGACCATCTTGGCTAACACGGTGAAACCCCGTCTCTACTAAAAATACAAAAAATTAGCCGGGCGCGGTGGCGGGCACCTGTAGTCCCAGCTACTCGGGAGGCTGAGGCAGGAGAATGGCGTGAACCTGGGAGGCGGAGCTTGCAGTGAGCCAAGATTGTGCCACTGCAATCCGGCCTGGGCTAAAGAGCGGGAATCCATCTCAAAAAAAAAAAAAAAAAAAAAAGTAGATATAATAGGGTAAAGGAGAAGTGGTGGTAAAGACGAAAAGAGTAGGGAACAGGTGGTTGAAGGAATCAGATTATCCCCAGTAGAGGGGAAATTTATGGTTGTTTGCTTTAGAATAAGGAGTTAGTTGCTGAAATAAAAGAGCATTCTAATATAAGTGCTAGAAGCTATTTTAACTGTATGAAATGGATACTGAGCCAAGATGGCTGAATAGGAACAGCTCCAGTCTACAGCTCCCAGCATGAGCGACGCAGAAGATGGGTGATTTCTGCATTTCCAACTGAGGGACCGGGTTCATCTCACTGGGGAGTGCTGGACAGTGGGTGCAGGACAGTGGGTGCAGAGCACCGTGCATGAGCCGAAGCAGGGCGAGGCATCACCTCACCTGGGAAGCACAAGAGGTCAGGGAATTCCCTTTCCTAGTAAAAGAAAGAGGTGACAGATAGCACCTGGAAAATCAGGTCACTCCCACCCTAATACTGCGCTTTTCCAACGGGCTTCCCAAATGGCACACCAGGAGATTACATCCTGCACCTGTCTTAAAGGGTCCTACACCCACGGAGCCTCACTCATTGCTAGCACAGCAGTCTGAGATCAAACTACAAGGTGGCAGTGAAGCTAGGGGAGGGGTGCCCGCCATTGCTGAGGCTTGAGTAGGTAAACAAAACGGCCCGGAAGCTCGAACTGGGTGGAGCCCACCACAGCTCAAGGAGGCCTGCCTTCCTCTGTAGGCTCCACCTCTGGGGGCAGGGCACAGACAAACAAAAGGCAGCAGTAATCTCTGCAGATTTAAATGTCCCTGTCTGACAGCTTTGAAGAGAGTAGTGGTTCTCCCAGCATGCAGCTTGAGATCTGAGAACAGGCAGACTGCCACCTCAAGTGGGTCCCTGACCCCCAACTAGTATAACTGGGAGGCACCCCCCAGTAGAGGCGGGACACCTCACACGGCCAGGTACTCCTCTGAGGCAAAACTTCCAGAGGAACAATCAGGCAGCAGCATTTGCGGTTCACCAATATCTGCTGTTCTGCAGCCACTGCTGCTGATATCCAGGCAAGCAGGGTCTGGAGTGGACCTCCAGCAAACTCCAACAGACCTGCAGCTGAGGGTCCTGACTGTTAGAAGGAAAACTAACAAACAGAAAGGACATCCACACCAAAAACCCATCTGTACATCACCATCATAAAGACCAAAGGTAGATAAAACCACAAAGATGGGGAAAAAACAGAGCAGAAAAACCGGAAACTCTAAAAATCAGAGCGCCTCTCCTCTTCCAAAGGAACGCAGCTCCCCACCAGCAATGGAACAAAGCTGGACGGAGAATGGCTTTGACGAGTTGAGAGAAGAAGGCTTCAGAAGATCAAACTACTCCGAGCTAAAGGAGGAAGTTTGAACCAAAGGCAAATAAGTTAAAAAGCTTGAAAAAAAATTAGGCCGGGCGCAGTGGCTCACGCCTGTAATCCCAGCACTTTGGGAGGCCGAGGCGGGTGGATCACGAGGTCAGATCGAGACCACGGTGAAACCCCGTCTCTACTAAAAAAAATACAAAAAATTGGCTGGGCGCAGTGGCGGGTGCCTCTAGTCCCAGCTACTCGGGAGGCTGAGGCAGGAGAATGGCGTGAGCCCGGAGGGCAGAGCTTGCAGTGAGCAGAGATCGCGCCACAGCACTCCCGCCTGGGTGACAGAACGAGACTCCGTCTCAAAAAAAAAAAAATTAGATGGCTGGATAACTAGAATAACCAATGCAGATAAGTCCTTAAAGGACCTGATGGAGCTGAAAACCATGGCACGAGAACTACATGATGAATGCACAAGCCTCAGTAGCCGATGCAATCAACTGGAAGAAGGGTATCAGCGATGGAAGACGAAATGAATGAAATGAAGCGAGAAGAGAAGTTTAGAGAAAAAAGAATAAAAAGAAATGAAAAAAGCCTCCAAGAAATACGGGACTATGTGAAAAGACCAAATCTACGTCTGATTGGTGTTCCTGAAAGTGACGGGGAGAATGGAACCAAGTTGGAAAACACTCTGCAGGATATTATCCAGGAGAACTTCCCCAATCTAGCAAGGTAGGCCAACATTCAAATTCAGGAAATACAGAGAATGCCACAAAGATAGTCCTCGAGAAGAGCAACTCCAGGACACATAATTGTCAGATTCACCAAAGTTGAAATGAAGGAAAAAATGTTAAGGGCAGCCAGAGAGAAAGGTCGGGTTACCCACAAAGGGAAGCCCATCAGACTAACAGTTGATCTCTCAGCAGAAACTCTACAAGCCAGAAGAGAGTGGGGGCCAATATTCAACATTCTTAAAGAAAAGAATTTTCAACCCAGAATTTCATATCCAGCCAAACTAAGCTTCATAAGTGAAGGTGAAATAAAATACTTTACGGACAAGCAAATGCTGAGAGATTTTGTAACCAGCAGGCCTGCCCTAAAAGAGCTCCTGAAGGAAGCACTAAACATGAAAAAGAACAACCAGTACCAGCCACTGCAGAAACATGCCAAATTGTAAACACCATCAAGGCTAGGAAGAAACTGCATCAACTAACGAGCAAAATAACCAGCTAACATCATAATGACAGGATCAAATTCACACATAACAATATTAACCTTAAATGTAAATGGGCTAAATGCTCCATTTAAAAGACACAGACTGGCAAATTGGATAAAGAGTCAAGACCCATCAGTGTGCTGTATTCAGGAAACCTGAATACAGAGACACACATAGGCTCAAAATAAAGGGATGGAGGAAGATCTACCAAGCAAATGGAAAACAAAAAAAGGCAGGGGTTGCAATCCTAGTCTCTGATAAAACAGACTTTAAACCAACAAAGATCAAAAGAGACAAAGAAGGCCATTACATAATGGTAAAGGGATCAATTCAACAAGAAGTGCTAACTATCCTAAATATATATGCACCCAATACAGGAGCACCCAGATTCATAAAGCAAGTTCTTAGTGACCTACAAAGAGACTTAGACTCCCACACAATAATAATGGGAGAGTTTAACACCCCACTGTCAACATTAGACAGATCAATGAGACAGAAAGTTAACAAGGATATCCAGGAATTGAACTCAGCTCTGCACCAAGTGGACCTAATAGACATCTACAGAACTATCCATCCCAAATCAACAGAATATACATTCTTTTCAGCACCACACCTATTCTAAAATTGACCACATAGTTGGCAGTAAAGCACTCCTCAGCAAATGTAAAAGAACAGAAATTATAACAAACCGTCTCTCAGAAAACAGTGCAATAAAACTAGAACTCAGGATTAAGAAGCTCAATCAAAACTGCTCAACTACATGGAAACTGAACAACCTGCTGCTGAATGACTACTGGGTACATAATGAAATGAAGGCAGAAATAAAGATGTTCTTTGAAACCGATGAGAACAAACACACAACATACCAGAATCTCTGGGAAACATTCAAAGCAGTGTGTAGAGGGAAATTTATAGCACTAAATGCCCACAAGAGAAAGCAGGAAAGATCTAAAATTGACACGATAACATCACAATTAAAAGAACTAGAGAAGCAAGAGCAAACACATTCAAAAGCTAGCAGAAGGCAAGAAATAACTAAAATCAGAGCAGAACTGAAGGAAATAGAGACATAAAAAACCCTTCAAAAAATTAATGAATCCAGGAGCTGGTTTTTTGAAAGGATCAACAAAATTGATAGACTGCTAGATAGACTAATAAAGAAGAAAAGAGAGAAGAATCAAATAGATGCAACAAAAAATGATAAAGGGGATATCACCACCAATCCCACAGAAATACAAACTACCATCAGAGAATACTACAAACGCCTCTACGAAAATAAACTAGAAAATCTAGAAGAAATGGATAAATTCCTGGACGCATACACTCTCCCAAGACTAAACCAGGAAGAAGTTGAATCTCTGAATAGACCAATAACAGGCTCTGAAATTGAGGCAATAATTAATAGCTTACCAACCAAAAAAAGTCCAGGACCAGATGGAAGATGGATTCACAGCCAAATTCTACCAGAGGTACAAAGAGGAGTGGGTACCATTCCTTCTGAAACTATTCCAATCAATAGAAAAAGAGGGAATCCTCCCTAATTCATTTTATGAGGCAGCTTCATCCTGATACCAAAGCCTGGCACAGACACAACCAAAAAAGAGAATTTTAGATCAATATCCTTGATGAACATTGATGAAAAAATCCTCAATAAAATACTGGCAAACCGAATCCAGCAACACATCAAAAAGCTTATCGAACATGATCAAGTGGGCTTCATCCCCGGGATGCAAGGCTGGTTCAACATACACAAATCAATAAACGTAATCCAGCATATAAACAGAACCAAAGACAAAAACCACATGATTATCTCAATAGATGCAGAAAAGGCCTTTGACAAAATTCAACAACCCTTCATGCTATAAACTCTCAATAAATTAGGTATTGATGGGATGTATCTCAAAATAATAAGAACTATCTATGACAAACCCACAGCCAATATCATACTGAATGGACAAAAACTGGAAGAATTCTCTTTGAAAACTGGCACAAGACAGTGATGCCCTTTCTCACCACTCCTATTCAACATAGTGTTGGAAGTTCTGGCCAGGGCAGTCAGGCAGGAGAAGGAAATGAAGGGCATTCAATTAGGAAAAGAGGAAGTCAAATTGTCCCTGTGTGCAGATGACATGATTGTATATCTAGAAAACCCCATCATCTCAGCCCAAAATCTCCTTAAGCTGATAAGCAACTTCAGCAAAGTCTCAGGATATAAAATCAATGTGCAAAAATCACAAGCATTCTTATACACCAATAACAGACAAACAGAGAGCCAAATCATGAGTGAACTCCCATTCACAATTGCTTCAAAAAGAATAAAATACCTAGGAATCCAACTTACAAGGGACGTGAAGGACCTCTTCAAGGAGAACTACAAACCACTGCTCAATGAAACAAAAGAGGATACAAAGAAATGGAAGAACATTCCATGCTCATGGGTAGGAAGAATCAATATGGTGAAAATGGCCATACTGCCCAAGGTAATTTATAGATTCAATGCCATCCCCATCAAGCTACCAGTGACTTTCCTCACAGAATTGGAAAAAACTACTTTAAAGTTCATATGGAACCAAAAAAGAACCCGCATTGCCATGTCAATCCTAAGCCAAAAGAACAAAACTGGAGACATCACGCTATCTGACTTCAAACTATACTACAAGGCTACAGTAACCAAAACAGCATAGTACTGGTACCAAAACAGAGATATAGATCAATGGAACAGAACAGAGCCCTCAGAAATAAGGCCGCATATCTACAACTATCTGATCTTTGACAAACCTGAGAAAAACAAGCAATGGGGAAAGGATTCCCTATTTAATAAATGGTGTTGGGACAACTGGCTAGCCATATGTAGAAAGCTGAAACTGGATCCCTTCCTTACACCTTATACAAAAATCAATTCAAGATGGATTAAAGACTTAAATGTTAGACCTAAAACCATAAAAGCCCTGGAAGAAAACCTAGGCAATACCATTCAGGACATAGGCATGGGAAAGGACTTCATGTCTGAAACACCAAAAGCAATGGCAACAAAAGCCAAAATTGACAAATGGGATCTAATTAAACTAAATAGCTTCTGCACAACAAAAGAAACTACCATCAACGTAAACAGGCAACCTACAGAATGGGAGAAAATTTTTGCAACCTACTCATCTGACAAAGGGTTACTATCCAGAATCTACAGTGAACTCGAACAAATTTACAAGAAAAAAACAAGCAACTCCATCAAAAAGTGGGCAAAGGATATGAACAGACACTTCTCAAAAGAAGACATTTATGCAGCCAAAAAACACATGAAAAAATGCTCATCATCACTGGCCATCAGAGAAATGCAATTCAAAACCACAATGAGATACCATCTCACACCAGTTAGAATGGCAATCATTAAAAAGTCAGGAAACAACAGGTGCTGGAGAGGATGTGGAGAAATAGGGACACTTTTACCCTGTTGGTGGAACTTAAACTAGTTCAACCATTGTGGAAGTCAGTGTGGTGATTCCTCAGGGATCTAGAACTGGAAATAGCATTTGACCCAGCTATCCTATTATTGGGTATATACCCAAAGGACTATAAATCATGCTGCTATAAAGACACATGCACACGTATGTTTATTGCGGCACTATTCACAATAGCAAAGACTTGGAACCAACCTAAATGTCCAACAATGATAGACTGGATTAAGGAAATGTGGCACATATACACCATGGAATACTATGCAGCCATAAAAAATTATGAGTTCCTGTCCTTTGTAGGGACATGGATGAAGCTGGAAACCATCATTCTCAGCAAACTATTGCAAGGACAAAAAACCAAACACGGTATGTTCTCACTCATAGGTGGGAATTGAACTATGAGAACACATGGACACAGGAAGGGGAACATTACACACCGGGGACTGTTGTGGGGTTGGGGTAGAGCGGAGGGATAACATTAGGAGATATACCTAATGCTAAATGATGAGTTAATGGATGGAGCACACCAACATGGCACATGTATACATATGTAACAAACCTGCACGTTGTGCACATGTACCCTAAAACTTAAAGTATAATAATAATAAAATTTAAAAAAACTGTATAAAATGTCTTTGCTTTGATGGTCTATTGGAGTGCCTAACTTATTAGGAGCAAGTAGTACACATGCACACACATATCTACATTTGTGGAAACTCTTAAGTTTGAGTTTCCCTTTTCTTTTTTTTTGCCCCGTGATAGTCTCCCTAGCCTCCCAAAGAATATAGTAAAAGGAAGTATCCTACTTGATACTACTATAAGCTAAATACAAATCACACTACACATGCACACACACCCTAAAGCTTTAGTAGAATTTAGAATATCACGTTTTATGGTTAAGTATGGACCTCTTCAGCTTTCAGCTTCTTAAAGCACCACAGTTGGTAAGTACTTGAAAGAAAGGAGTGCAGTCCACAGAAAATTGCATTTTCAATCAGCATCTTTAATTACATCTGGTGCCAAAAGAAGCAGTTGGTTCATTACTAAAATCTCATTATTTAAAGGTGTTTCTCTAGCTGCATTAATTGAAGCATGTACCTGCGAAGGCAAATTGCAGCTGGAAATGTGTATTCGCCTGTTTTTCCTATGTTTAAAAGGGCCCATTAGAAAGAAAACATAATTTATCTCGCGTTGTGGATTGTAAATGCCACAAAATGTCTGCTTTCATTCCCATCATTGCTTCTTTTAAGATAATTACAATCACTAAAGCAAACACTTGTGTTGATGATCTTTCGGAGGAGAAATAATCTCACTGAACTGGGTTATTTGCATGTGTCTGGCAGCCATTTCCAGGGCTCATTTCAAAGGCAAATAATAATATGCAAATTCCATGTAATAGAATTAAAATTAGTCTTGTATGTCCTAATATTTTGTACTCTGAAGCTGCCAAAAATGATCTTTTCTTGACACTGAGCTAAATTGGGCTAAGTCCAATTCAACAAAACTATGGTGATTGTATTTGGATTGGCTGTTTGGAGGAATACCACGTCGTCTTTTCAAAAAACCAAGGCACCTACAAACAATGGCTCCTAACCCTTCTCTGTCCTATAGCTTCAATTGCAAAAATGCCTGGGAAGGAAGTAGATTTCCTACCGAGGAACAAGTGGCCTCTCTTGCATCAGGGGCCCTGCTGTAAGCAATAGCAGTCCTGGTGGGGTGCCTGTCACTTCAAAATATCTGTACCTTGTGACTGGAAGTAATGGGTGAGATTGTCAGATGACTTTCTTTATAAATCAATTCCTTAGAATAATAGGGTTCTCAAAACCACTGGCTTGATCCCCAAGAAGAACAGAAGTATATTCCTATCCCCCACACCCCTGAAAAAAAAAAAAACAACCAATAACAACAGCAACAACAAGAAGTATTATTATTACCAGAAAGTGGTCCCAATCCAGACCCCAGGAGAGGGTTCTTGGATCTCATGCAAGAAATAATTCAGGAGAAGACCATAGAGTAAAGTGAAAGCAAGCTTATTAAGAAAGTAAAGGCATAAAGATTGGCTACTCCATAGGCAGAACATCCCTGAGGGCTGCTGGCTGTCCATTTCTACAGTTATTTCCTGATTATATGCTAAACAGGGTGTGGCTTATTCATGAGTTTTCCAGGAAAGGGGTGGGCAATTCCCAGAACTGAGGATTCCCCCTGTTTTTAGATCATATAGCGTAGCTTCCTGATGTTGCCATGGTGTTTTCAAACTGTCATGGCACTGGTGGGAGTGTCTTTTAGCATTCTAATGCAGTATGATTAAAGTATAACGAGCAGTGAGGACAACCAGAGGTCACTCTCACCACCATCTCGGTTTTAGTGGGTTTTGGCCAGCTTCTTTACTGCAACCTGTTTTATCAGCAAGGTCTTTATGACCTGTATCTTGTGCCGACCTCCTATCTCATCCTGTAATTAAAATGCCTTAATCCCCTGGGAAGGCTGCCCGGTAGGTATCAGACTTATTTTACTCAGCCCATATACAAGATGGAGCCACTCTGGTTCAAACACCTCTGACATTATCATCTTCAACAAATTCCAGCTCTATAATATTAATAGCAGCCAAGATTAATTAATGCTTGCTTTGTACCAGACACTGTTCTGAACATTTTATATGTACAAACTCATTTAATTCTCACACAGCCCCTTCTGATAGAGACTACCCTAATGTTTTCCCCCATTTTACGTATGGGGAAGCTGAGGCTCAGTGTCGTTAAAGAAGTTGTCCAAGGTTTTCTCTTATTCTACAGGTTGTCTCTTCACTTTGTTGATTGTTTCCTTTGCTGTGCAAAAGATTTTTAGTTTAATATAGTCTGATTGGTCTATTTTTGTTATTATTGTCTGTGCTTTTGAAGTCTTACACATTAAAATCTTTGTCCTGAAACATTTCTCCTTGTTTTCTTTTAATGATTTACAGATTTAGTTCTTACATTTATGTCTTTAACCCATCCATCTTGATTTTTTTATATGGTGAGAGATAAGGGTCTAGTTTCATTCTTCTACAAAAATTTTGAGCGAATGGAAGTAGAGAGTAGAATTGTATTAGAGGCTGGAAAGGGAAGTGGGGATGGGAGAATGGGGAGAAATTGGTTAATGAATATAAAATTACAGCTATATAGGAGGTATGAGTTCGGGTGTTCTGAGGGAGTGTAAGGTGAATATGGTTAATTGTATCGTATATTTTCAAAAAGCTAGAGGAGAGAATTTTGAATGTTCACAACACAAAGAAATGGTAAATATTTGTGGTGATAAGACATACCAATTAGCCTAATATGAGGATTACCTGTTGTATACACATATGGAAGTATCACTCTGTATCCCATAAATATGAATAATCATTAAGTGTCAACTAAAAACACAAGGGAAAAATTAATTAAAAAAAAAAAAAAGAAGTTGCCCAGGTTAATATAGCAAGTAACTTGTAGAATCGGGATTCCAATCCAGGCAGCAGGGTTCTAGTATCCCAGCTCTTGATCACTGTACTAAAGTGACTCCCATTTTTCAATGTCTGATAATCCTCATTATTGAGAAATGTTTTTTTAAATCTTTCTCCAACCTTATTGCTATTTAGGCTGTTTCCCTGTGAACATATTTTCATCTTTTTCTCTCTCTGGTTTAATAATTTGGATTCAGTCTTTTAGTCAGTGCACATGTACTAAGCCCTACCCTGTGCACAGGCTTTTAATAGGCACAATACTGTTCCATTTCCATATGAACCAGGAGCAAGCTTTGCACTCATGCCACACATTTATATATTTGGCAAGTATAGTAAAAATCGTATTTGTATCACTGGTATGGACTTACTTCCAGTATGTAGTTTTTCTCCTTTTTTTAACTTCTATCTTTTAAAAACTCCTATATTATAGTTCCTTATTCTTTTTCCCCAGCTTTGCCCCACCCCCACCCCTGAGTTATTTTATTTTAACTCCTGGGTGTTTACTGAATGCTTACCTCATGTTATGGACTGTTATTTTTCAGGTAGAATAATTATAACAACTTCAATTAGAAGTCCTTTTTCCAACTTTTCTCCTAATAAGTCTCTAAATCTTAAAGATTATCCTGTCATGAAGCCAGGCTGCCTTAATATTTCTCAAAACTGTTCCCATCATCCCATTATTCACACTGTCACTTTGTGCGTTCAGTCCTGTCTCATCCCTCACCTGCACAGCTGTAACAAACTACTAACTAGTGTCCTTACTTCTAGTTGTATCACTTTTAAATAAATTTCCCACCCAGCTCCTATAATGATTGCTCTAAAACACTAATCTGTCTTTATCATAAACTTCTTAGAGCCCTTCAGTACCTCCCTAGTACCTATGGGATAAAGCACCATTCCTTATTAGGGACCCTCCAACATCATTCCCTACCTACCATGCTTTCCTCAAGTTCAGCTTAATCTTCTGCACATGCTCTGCAGCTTTTCATTGCTGTCCCATTGCTGGTTCTTCTCTCCATCAGAACTTTTCCCCTCTTCTTTACCTGGTTAATGACCTATCACCTTTGCAGGGTCAACTCACAAAGTATTTCTTCTAGGATGCTGACCTGCTTTGGTTGCATCCCTACCCAAATCTCATCTTGAATTGTAGCTCCCATACTTCCCACATGTTGTGGGAGGGACCTGGTGGGAGATAATTGAATCATGGGGGCAGTTTCCCCCATAATGCTCTCATGGTAGTGAATAAGTCTCACAAGATCTGATGGTTTAGGGGAAACTCGTTTTGCTTGGCTCTCATTCTCTCTTGTCTGCTGCCATGTTAAGATGTGACTTGCTCCTCCTTGCCTTCCGCCATGATTGTGAGGCCTTCCCAGCCATGTGGAACTGTGAGTCCATTAAACCTCTTTTTCTTTATAAATTACCCAGTCTCAGGTATGTCTTTATTAGCAGCATGCAAACAGACTAATACAGATGCTTTGCCTCTCTTTCCTAAAGATTCTTCCCTTCAAACTACCCCCGCTGGCTTAGCTAGTTCCTTTTTGTGTTTCCCTCAGTTGTACATTTATTACAATGATTCAAAATGACCTGTCTCTTTACTTGGATCCTCCACTTTATCAGGTCTTAGTCAACTTTTGATCTATTAGGTTATATTCATAGTGAAGCACTTAGCTCAGTGTGGATGTAATAAATATTTGTGAAACTGAATGGTTTTCCCATATCTTTCAACAAAGGAGGAGACCAAGAGTAGACCCCATTCTCCTATCAAGGGTTTAATTTTGGTGGAGAAAAAAGGAAGGCTGTTTCAGAATCTCACAAACTCTGCTTCCTGTTGTGCATTTTGAAGCTTTACTTGCTTTAACAATCCTGCCACAGGACTAACTCACCCGGGAGAAAATAACAAAACGGTGACGTTGGAGCCCTATTTGATTTAAATTTAAATCTTCTTTTTACCAGGAAATGTCAGTGCTGATGCTGTTGGAATCAGAGGGCCGAGCTTTTACAGTTCTCCTGCTGGACTTAAGTGAGCCACAAGTAGGTCAAGTGTCTCACTCTGTGAGTCAATGGCTCTGCCTGAAATAGAATGCAGATGGATAAATCACTTCTCTCAGGCACTGCTCAGTCAAAGCCAGGATTTGATGTAATACCAAGCATAGCTAGAAATTAACAAAGATGCCAATACACCTGTTGAGAAAAAAAAATATCTGGGGCAAGGATTTATGATGAAGTGAGGGTTTGGGCATATGCTAAATGGATTTCAAATAAATCAATGCATTTTCAACATTGGGGAAAAATAATTTAATTAAATGTGTTTGGGCAAAGGAATATACTTGATCCATAAATATGACTTAATTCATCTTCTACAAATATGCTCCTGGTATTCTATTGCAACACTTACTTAAACACATTCTTTTATGTGATGCTTTTTAAATGCTGCGACTAAGGTGTGTGTATGAGGTAAATTTATTTCTCAAGAAGAAAACAGAAGTTTGCCTTTCACGATTTGGTCCTTATCTGTTACTACTCTTGGCCATGACCTTTAGATACCAGTCACACTGAATACTAATATTCATATCACGCCATTTCTTGCCTCTATGCCCTACCTAATTCTGTTCTCCCTAGCTTTTTGTCTGTCTTCATCCATCCTCTGTGCTTACATAATGCCCCACGCAATACATTATTATCATATCCACCATGTTGATTGCTGCAGACAGTTTTGATAGTTGCATCTGATGGGGGCAGGGCGTTGTGTTACTGACATCTCATGGGTAGAGGTGAAGGATGCTGCTGAGTATTCTCCAATGCACAGGTACAAAAAAAAGTTATTCAACCCAAAATGTCAATCATGCTGATGTTGAGAAATCCTAATTTAGAATTCCTGTTACAATAAGTAAGGTGAGTTCATTTCAAATGTTTTAGGAAGAAAATAAGTACCTATTCCCCTAAAAACTGTATTTTTTTCCAATTTTGTAATGATAATTATAACTTTTTTAAGAGAAATTCTCAATTACTAGAGCAGGTCTACTTAGGTTAAAGCTTTAAATGTAGAATACAATCACAATAAACCCAAGTTTGCAATTTTTTTTAAATCAGCATTTTAGAATAGCATGCTTATTTCAATTCCAGATATAATATCTTGAAACTTTGATTACAGCATCTAATTTTTTTTCCAAGAAAAAGAAATGTTAGATTCCAAGAGGAATACATCTGAAATCAACACATTTCTATTTGGAGAGAATCTGGATTTTCTAAGGATTTGGAATGTAGCGCCATGCCTTCTTGAGCAAAGCTTGTATTAAGAGACCTATAGTTAAAGGAATCTAGTTCAAGAAGTACATATGCTCTAAGAACCACCCCTAAAATCTTCCACCAGTGTTAGGCCAAGGAATGTGGTATATCTGGTATAATTACCCTCAAAGGAGGAATTCTTTTCCTATTGTAGGTATCCATTCTTGTCTCATGCCTTTTGGAAAGTGGCTTTTGGTTCTCCTATTTAGCAGAAATACAGGGCAAAATCTATTACTGAATAACCACAGCTCAGAAGTTCTTCATTTTTCATCATGATAGGCAAGGGACATATCCAGCATGAGCTTTATTGTACAAACAAGACATGAAGAAGTTAAGTTCTACCTTTCTTGGTTCTAGTCTAAATGTCTAAAACTATTTTTTTAGATACCAGGCTTAGATCAAAATTATAATATCTTCAACACTATCTAGCATAATCAGATGCTCAGAAAAAAAAACTTACTGTGTAGAAAATGTATGAGCGTCAATACATCTTCAAATTGAAAAATTCTTAAGAGACGTTGGAGTCCTACCCATCTTGCATGCTTATTTGAGGATGAAAGAGGAGAATGGAAAATTTACAGCCACCTTACTAACTAGAATTCTGTATTTAAAAAGTCCTTTAGGGGCATCTAATTCTATTTTATAAAATGGCTTTTCAGTGAAGAGGGGAACTCCCTTTCTACTACCCATTTCTGAATTTGATTCGTAAGCCCTTTTAGGGTATGAGGGCATTGGCAGATACTTAATAGTTCTGTATCAGCCGTATGAGCAATGGAAAATCCCACAGACATTAAAAATGCCAAGCCAGGGTGGATGTGAAGGGTGGGGTTATATATGTGAAGGGTGGGGGATGTGAAGGGTGGGGATGTGAAGGGTGGGGACAGGGTGGGAGAGGGAGAGGCCAAAATTCTGAGGCACGTTAGTGCAGAATTGCCTATCCTTGTCCTGTCTACGTCTTTCCAATCCTGCTCAGAGGGCCCATGTACTGATCTGGGCAAGGAGCAAAAGTCAATCTGAAGGATCTGGAACTGAGAAAGGGTGAGAGGTTGGAGGTTTGGCTCTGTTTGCATGCAACTCAGCTTTTTCTCTAGAGGGAAGGGAGTAGTGAGTGAACTTGCGTTCTTCAAACACCAGCTACCCACTTAAACAAAATCAGCATGTCTACGATTTGCCAGTAACGTACAATTTTTAAGTTCTAGTTATCATAGGTGGTGATGGGATAAAAGGTAGGAGAAAAATTCTGAAACAAACAATTACCCACCCAAACTCATTGATAAAACAAAGCTATGTGAATCAGGAAAAGAGCAAGTGCATGCAAATGAAATTACCTCAGTGACAAAAGACAGAAATGCGTTACTAAAATTTAATTTTGTGCCGAGAGAAATGATTGCCAGCAAAGTGATGATATCACTAAGATAAATGAAATCCATGGAACAATGTGAGGCCTTTGCTCTTCTCTTCCTCTCTTCCATACAGAGTAATCTAGATTAGAGCAACACTAGTTGCTCCAGATAAGAGTTTCTGTTTAGAAATGGATTCATGTACAACAAGATACCTTGCTGATATTACTGTTGATAGGAGAGTATTTTGTTTTAATAGTTTTATGTAGAAGAAAGCATATCCTCTTTATAAGGAATAGCGGTATTGGGGCCTTGCGATTGCTGTTTATTTAGTGTCCTTAGGCAGGAACATGACAGATTTGCACTCT
This sequence comes from Homo sapiens, assembly GCF_000001405.40. NCBI lineage: Eukaryota > Metazoa > Chordata > Mammalia > Primates > Hominidae > Homo > Homo sapiens. The sequence goes on along the minus strand of NC_000005.10, from coordinate 58,363,720 downwards.
ATTGTTGCCTTTTTTCAACAATGCATGCGTCATCTAAAGGAGTGAGTGAGGCTGGATTACACCACCTTCGGTATCCCGGCTTGCTTTGCGTTCTTGGTCTTATACACACCCAGTCAGGTTAAGGCTGAACCCTTTGAGTGCTGTAAGAAATGAGCATCTGGATAATGATTCATGGAAATTGACCTTGTCTACTAAATTGAATTCCATACAACATGCAACTAAGTATACATTTCATCACCAAAAGTTTGACCAAGCTTTGGAAATATTTAAGTGTTTTGTATTTATGTCCTTTGCTTTGAAAGCAATGTTGATATGTAAGATTTGTATCTAAGATTTTCTCTGGGCAATTGGTTGACTCCACATAAGGAATTTGAGTGAATTGGCATGTGTCTGCTGAAGATTAATTTTTAAAAATTCTTTAGTTTACTTAGATATTATGTATGAATAGAGTCATCATATAATTCATTATTCAATCAGGGAAGCTTTTGTCTGAGAAAATGCCAAAATAGAATAGACACCTGGAAACAGACACATTCTGGGACTGCCCCTAGAAAATTGAGACTGTAGATTTCCCCATGTATGAGCAAATGGGCTGGGAGACATACGTCAGTCATTCAGATATGCATTTTAAATGGGAGGGGTGGCAGAGGATCACATATTCTCCTCCACAAAGGCATAAATTATTTTTTTAAAAAACAAAATCTATGCCTATGAATTGTTCTAGTTGTTTGGTCAAAGACTCAGGACAACAGAAGAATGGGACATGTAGGATGCCCTTATTTTCTTCTGCTTACTTAACCAAACCCTGGGCCATCACTGAAACTCTATGAAGGATCTTTACTGGAATTTGAGATCAGTTAGCTCAACTGAGATGTATGTAGAAAGATGAAATATGGAGTAGAAGAAGTATATTGTCATTCCTGCCCTAAAGAATACATTAGCAGCTCATCTTGGATACCAAACTAAAAGTGAGATTATAATCTTTTCATTTTCACCACCATTATCAAACAAGGCGTTATGAATGAACTCTCACTCCATTCTCCTATTCCTATTTATAGGACTTTAAGATACATCATTAATTTTAAGACACTTTTAAAACTTACTCTATACTTACTATAACCTGTGTTCATAATCTTGAAGTTCTTAGCCTCATTAGAATTTAAGTATGAACATTTGGCTACATGTGCTTTTACTCGCTTTTCCTATTTTTTTGAACTTGTTGGTTGGTTGGTGTTGTTTAACTGACATACAATTCTGGTATTTTAAACAGCTTCTCTTTAACTTCAGTCAGAAACCACTGGCACTGAAAAATCCCTTGATGATAATCCTAACCAGCATTTGAATGTGTCCTATCACCCTTGCCAAGCTTTGGAAATTCTGTGCTCTATTTTGAGTGACTGGTGATTTCCACTACTTGTTTTCGCACTGCCTGGCAGACGACAACCTAATGTGCTTAATAACTTCTCATTTTTCTGCTAGATTATACTAATTTTTAAGGCATTTCAAATGGAAATTAGGGAATCACAATTTTGATTAAAATTCAACCACAGGTGGTACTGCAATTACAAATATCTCAATAGAGGTGATAATACATGGTCTGATACCTTTATACACAGTTAAATTTGCATGTATTCAGGCAGTTACCACAAAGCATAACTTATGGTTTTGGAGCTGACAAATTGCTTTTTATTTAATTATATAATAAACACTTGATTTCTTTTTTTTTTTTTGAGACGGAGTCTCGCTCTGTCGCCCAGGCTGGAGTGCAGTGGCACGATCTCAGCTCACTGCAAGCTCCACCTCCCGGGTTCACACCATTCTCCTGCCTCAGCCTCCCGAGTAGCTGGGACTACAGGCGCCCGCCACCATGCCCGGCTAATTTTTTGTATTTTTAGTAGAGACGGGATTTCACTGTGTTAGCCAGGGTGGTCTCGATTTCCTGACCTCGTGATCCGTCCACCTCGGCCTCCCAAAGTGCTGGGATTACAGGCATGAGCCACCACGCCCAGCCCTGATTTCAAAATTATTAAAATATTGACAAAATATCCCCATAAATCAAGAAAATACAGTAAGGTAGTTGGCTGGTTAATTGTGCACAGAGAATAAAAGCCCCTAAAATGGCCAAATGGCAAAATTTGTCATAGTGACAGAGTAAGCAAGTTACCAAAACAACTCTTCACACATACTCTGGTTGTTTTCATCCCGCTTTATGGAACTCTGAATAATTTTAAGTAAACGCACACATTAATGTTTAAGAAGCTTGTCTGTGACACTGGTTGGTAGTATCTGACTCTATAAGGTAGCCGAATCGGTTTTAAAACAGTGTATTAAAACACAGTAACAACTAACAGTTTATGAAAGATAAAAAGGAGTGATGCATGGGTCTAGGGATATTATGAAGAATATAACAGCCTTGTGAGCTGATTAATCAAGAGAATGGATAAATCTGCTCAGGATCATTACCCTGTCTCTCTCCCAAATGATTACATCAATGAGGTTCTCATCATCCTTGAGGGATTCTGCACAGCCAATTTTTATTAGTTACATCTGGAGCTTCCCCCATCCCATGTTTACAGAGCCTATGTGCTGAGTTTTGCAGGATCACCTCCACCTGATGTATACCTGAGCCTTTTACAAATTTAGAATGGCATTTGGGCTGCTGGGCTCCAATGATCTCTTGGTGATTATGACAACAGAGTTGCTGCTGGAGAACTATTGTGAGCTCCTTGTTTGCAATTGAGTAGGAGGTGGCACCTGCTGGGCAGGACAGCTCAGGGACAGTGAGGATAAGGAGGCACTCCCCCACATTTCTATTTCTAATGAGTCCTTTTCATGCAATGGAGCCGATACTAGTACAGACCTCTCGGCTCCTTGTGATGCTCACCAAGTATTATCTGGATGTTTTAAGAGGAGCCAACTCAGTGCCACCAAAAATAAAAAAGTGGCCACCTATTTAAAATCAATTATCTCTTTAAGCAATCATATGACATCTGTCACTCTGGAACTTAACTGCTCCTGCATACCATGAAGTTACTGAAATAGATTAGGTCTGAATATGTCAAGAGCATTCACCTTAGATTAAAAATGTTCCATGCGTCATGATGTTCTAACCTGCTTCTTAATATCCTACCCCATCTCGAGAAAAGGCACCTCTGAGACAGTATGCACTTTCAGAGACTGGGTGGGGCATGTGTGTGTGCACTGATGGAGTTGAAGAGTGTGCACATCCGAGCAGGATTAAAATGAATGCAACAGTATCTTTGATTCTAAAAGTGAAATAAAAATTAAGTGCAAAAATGAAATGAAGGATCTTGCTCTTATAAAACTGATAAGTTATTCAGCCATTGCCTGAGAGTGGACTGGAGTGAAAGACTGGGTGTAGACAGCGAAAGCAGCAGCCCCATGAAGGGCTGGAAGAAGTTTATGGTCAAGTTGAAAGGAAACCATAATGGTGTGATTTAAATTATCTGTCTGAACCAAAACTCACAGAGCTCTCAGCATTGTGTATAGTCATAACAATAGGCACATGCACACATCCCAGCTGTGAGCAGTCTAGTTCATTATCCTCCTGAACTTTAGATGCTAAAAGTTCTCACAGTTGGAAAAGCAATCAGGACATTTTTACAGGACTCGCCAGAGCTGCCTTTCATTGTCTGGATGTGCACCTATTCAAATGCATTATTTACATAATTCTTGTTTATGCTGCAACAAATTGTATTGCCTCTTCACACCCGTAGAATGCATTTGCCACTTCCATTTTTACAGATGAAGATACCGACAGCCATCTAGCGATCAGCCAATTAAAAACTGTGGAACTACCATGTGGCAATTAGAATCCAAGACCTGACTTTCCTTCCTTTGGCCTTGCCTACACCTTTGGGGCCTTCACAGACCTCACACTTCCAAGATTTGGTAAACTGTGATATCTAAGTCTATAGGAATTTGAAGGGAAAAAACCTTTCTAGTTGATCTTTAGAGATTTATGGCAGATTAAAAATGACCAAGGCCAGAAGTGTTTTATTAGCTCCCAGAACATTACTTTATTGCTGCCATCTGAATGAGAGTGCTTTTGTAGTTTAGGACTCTCTGACTATATTTTTTCTGTTTCCTCCCTTCCTTTATTTGTTCCTTTCCCTAAATTAAACCTAGACATGATATACACTTATGAGAACAGGAAGACAAGGAAGAGGAAATGTCTTTGATGCTTTTTCCTTGGAAAGCCTCTTTGGTGTTATGTTTTTTTTTGTTTGTTTGCTTTGTTTGTTTTTTGTTGTTGAGATGGAGTCTTGAGTTGAGTTGAGATGGAGATGAGTGCACCCCTGCACTGCATCCTCTGTAACCCAGGATGCAGTGCAGGGGTGTGATCTTGGCTCACTGCAAGCTCCAACTCCCTGGTTCAAGAGATTCTTCTGCCTCAGCCTCTCGAGTAGCTGGAATTACAGACACATGCCACCACACCCAGCTAATTTTTGTATTTTTAATAGAGATGGGGTTTCACCATGTTGGCCAGGATGGTCTCGATCTCCTGACCTCATGATCTGCCCACCTCGGCCTTCCAGAGTGCTGGGATTACAGGCATGATCTACCGCGCCCGGCCAATGTTATGTTCTTAGACCCCTGGGATTTGAAGTTCTGTGAAAACAGTCTCCTCGGGAACGACGATCCACAGGGAAGCATCTGCTGGATTCTCTAGTAGTCACTCAACAGGCCATGTAATTATGCTGCAAATCAATATGTCATAGCCCTAACACAGAAAGGCTCACAGCATGAGACAAGTTCCTGTGAAAATATGGTATCTCCAGAGAAATGGAGCTGAACAAGCCCACTGAAAAAGAAGAGTGGGATCGGCCGGGGTATCTTCCTCTGCTGTGAGTGTTAATACCTGGATCTGGCCTTCCCTGAAGGGGAGGGGGGTGTGTAGGATTCTGGACACTTGTCCAGCTGCTCCGCATTTGTGTACTCAGACACTGCCTTTAGTTTGAAGGGGTTTGTGCTGGGTTTTATACTGAATGCCTTATATTTTCTGTTGCTTTCAATGGCTATCCTCTTACATTCTCCCCCAGGGCATCTTCTATTGCTCTCTTGGCATGATTATTTACGTTCCACACTGGCTCTACCCTGAAAATAGGAGATGCTTCAGGCTTTCTTTGTTTAAAAGAGCTTCTTTTTAACTTTCAACATTTCTCAACATTCATTTATTTTTCCATGGGTAACCACAGATTCAGAGGAAAAGAAGTTGTATTTGGATGTGCTAGTTGGTAACATTCAATTAGCAGACTAAATCATTTTTAAAACACTTATTCTGTTACTATACTCTCTACTTTGATTTATTTATTAATATGTAGGTAATTTATTGGCTTTGCTAGCTCCCAACACACTCATAACTCAAATGGGCACCATTCTTCTTACTGTGAGAAAGCTATAAAAGTCAGAGATTGCAGAAACTCAGCAAAAGATAATGAAACAGAAGGTTATACAATGGCTAAGAGATTTGAAGGAAAGGAATCACAAGCAAATGATATGATTGAAAAAACCGGGGGAAGCAGCATATTCAAAAGACTCGGTACGCTTTTCCAAATTATAGCCTTTGAAAGGTCACAGTGGAATTTAACAGACTCATCTCAGATACTAATGCATCACATTGCATGCAGGACTGGTTGGAGTTCTAGCTGGAAAAGAGCTGGTTCAACTTCCAGTTCTGAAGAGAAGTAGTTGGAGGCCAATCCCATGAGCATACAGACAAGTTCTACTGGTATGGACAATGTTGTGATAGCCTACATAAGGTGTATCATAACAGATGAACAGGCAGGTCAATGACAGCAACAAACAATGCCCAATCCCAAGAGTCATGTCTGTTCACAAGAACTTTACAGTGGGAAATTATGGTGGGGTTTTCAATATTCCCCCATAGAAGACGATATTGGCAATCTTCTTAATGTTGGTGTTATTCATAAAAGACACTAAGGGTTAAGATACTACCAAATGACTGTCCTAAAGAGAGTGCATTCCTAAAGTCAGAACCTGTTTCAGAAGGGATTATATGTGATTAAATAATAAAAATAAGGAGTGCTTAATGGAAGCAATATCAGATAGCACTGGGATTTACAATCTGTACCTCAATTTTTCTCATCTCCAAAATGAAAATAATGATAGCATTTTCACATGATCACGATGGATTTAGCAGAGTTTAGGATCCCTGATATGTGCTCAATAAATGATGGTATTTTTAAAGAGCGTATATTCTTACTTATTTCTAAGTGCTTTCTGTGAATTGGATTCAACAAATACTTAGTGAGAACCTTTAACTGCTGTAAGGTATTCTGGATTCTGGAAATGAAGATGAGTAAGACATAGACTTTGCTGTCCATGGTTTACAATGCAGTGCAGTCAGAGAACGATGCAGGAGCTTGATGTGATTCATTCCAAAAGTAAGTATAAACAAAGTTATACTGGCACATGGAACAGAAAGCAGTTAATTCTGTTGGGTGGAATTAGATAAGACTTCTTGAGAAGGTCTTGTATTAGGAACATGTATTTTTCCCTAGTTCAGTTTGCCAGTTCAATTTACTCCTGATGAGTTTGTCATGATAATTACAATGGCAGTGGATGTCACACCCTGGGCTCTATGTCTAATTTGAGACAGGAGGATAAATTGTATTTCTTCTTTTATATATCTTGTCTACTTCATCACTGCAAACTTAATTGATTAAGAAGTAATGTGGAGGTAAAGAGGGAAGACAGTCTGCAGAATCATTTTTGGGAATAGGAAAAGAAAAGAAACAAGAAAAAATTCCTAATTCCTATCCAAGGTTTACTACTACCTAATTCTACATTTCCAGTAGTTAAATACTGAAATTATTTATTTATTTATTTATTTATTTATTTATTTATTTATTTTTGAGACGGAGTCTTGCTGTGTGACCCAGGCTGGAGTGCAGTGGTGCCATCTCAGCTCACTGCAAACTCTGCCTCCTGGGTTCAAGCGATTCATCTGCCTGAGCCTCTGAGGTGGTGGGATTACAGGCACGCACCACCATGCCGGTTAATTTTTGTATTTTTAATAGAGATGGGGTTTCACCATGTTGTCCAGGCTGGTCTCAAACTCCTGACCTCAAGTGATCCGCCCACCTCGACCTCCCAAAGTGTTGGGATTACAGGCATGAGCCACTGCACCCAGCCAAAAACATTAATTTAAAAGGTTTTTAAAGTAGTAAATTAATCGAAAGGCAGTGTAGTAAATAATAATAGCTAATATTAACAGAGTATTTACCGTGTGCCAGGTACTCTCCTTTGCACTTTAAAAACATTAATATATTTAATTCTCACAATAGCCCTATGAATTAGATATTAATATGATATCCATTTTATAGTTGAGGAAACTGAGGCATGAAAATGTTGAATAACTTTGCTTGATAACGCACAGATAAGTAGAAAGAATATTAGCTTAAAACTTGGGAGAGCAAGTCTTAGTTTTAGATCTTCTCTATCTGTGAGATCTTGGTCAGGTCACTTACATTTGCAGAAGGAAATAGGTGAATTCTCCAAGTTTTTCTAGTGCTAAAACTATTTATAACCTTTGGTTTAACTGCTATTAGATGCTTTTAATATTTTCACATTTGTAGATTTAGTATTTTAAAGTAGCTCTCTGGCTGGATCACATTGTAATCCCAGTACTTTGGTAGGCCAAGACAAGAGAATTACTTGAGGCCAGGAATTTAAGACCAACCCTGGGCAACATAGCAAGACACTACCTCTACAAAACAAAATTTTTTAAATTGACATGTGCAGTGGTGCATGCCTGTAAGTCCCAGCTACACAGGAGGCTAAGGTAGGAGAATCACTGGAGCCCAGGAGGTTGAGGCTGCAGTGAGCTAGGATCCTGACACTGCTCTCCAGCCTGTGCAGGACCTTGCTTCAATAAAAAAAAAAAGGAAGAGAGAAAGGGAGGGAGAGGGTGAGGGGGAAGGAGGAAGGAAGGAAGGAAGAGAGGGAGAGAGAAAGAGAGAGAGAGAAGAAGAAAGAAATAAAGAAAGAGAAAAAGAAAGAAAGATACTCTTTAACCTTAACTTCCTGTTTGGTAACAACATCAATTCAAAATAGTTTTGTGTTAAGAAGAATTAACAAGAACTTTAGGTGAGAAATTATGAAAGAAGGATAAAGTGGAGAATGTTCTTTGGCCTGATATGTGTCCTGATAGTCATACTTACTGAGTCTTAACATCTCAGCTTAATATTTGTTTGCCTATATTTCCTCCTGCTTCAAAGTGGACCCTTTGATAAATGTTTATACCCCATCCTTTAGAATTTAAATATAAAACCTTAGTTAACATAGAACAATATGGGCGTTATTTTTGTATCATTATTTTTAACAATCATTTTTATTTTTTTAATTATTATTTTCCCCATCTACATTGGGACCTAAATAGACAACTTAAAACAATTGTATGCTGTTGTTTATAAGAATGAGCAATCAAAACAGAAATCCGAAAAGGACAAATAAAAGATGAACATGGGATTAGGAAACATTAAACAAATACTTTAGTCAAAATGGTGACCTCTCTTCCAGTCACTCATAAAAGGCTTCACTTCGGTGAACTGGAGAGGAAGAGGACAGGGTCACTGGAGTCTTTGGCCAATGCTCCGCTGGAATCCAGCCTTCCTGCAGATTGGGCTGTCTGGGCCACAGGGCCCCTGGCTTCTGCACTCAGGCTGTGTTGCCAAAATGAAGTCCCAGAAAATTGATGGGCCAGATTCTCACTCTGTGTGACTCCAGGGAAGACTTTTTTGGTCTCACTTTGTGAGATGTCAAGCCCATCCCAGAGGCAGTGTTATCCTTAGAAGAACTTGAGAATAGAGCATTGTTTCAAAAGAAAAGGTTGGATTTTACCTGAGATTTGGATCTAAAACTCCCACAGGGCGTGATTTCTTGCCAACCTGTTATTCTGAAAGCCCTCGTTTTTCTTAGCTTTATATAGCCATCTCTCCTTTACCAAGATATAAAGGTTAATACAAATTATTGACCTCTTAGGTTTGGTCTAACAGTCTTCTCCCTAGCCTGACTTAAAATGTGTTTTGCCTTCAAACAATCCGAAATGCAGAGCTCACATCACAATCCTTATGGATTTATTTAATCACATTACTTTCTTTCTGAAATATTGGCTTCCTTAAGACCATTCCCCAAATTTAAATCATGCATATTTAACATTGTCTCTTACTTTCCAGACTGTTTTGAATAGTCAGGACCACTACCCCTTCTTTTTGTGATTTACTCCTACCACCCCTCCCTACTGCTCCATTTCTGGCAAACTTACATTTTACTTCTTAATCTAGGCTGTATTCCATTTCTCACTGCAGTGTGGGGGAGTTCTGTAGTATGCACCTAGTTTCAATTGGTGGCTGCTCATAAATTTGGGGTGATTAGATGAGGAATGCCATCAGTGAGACATCCACAGTCACTTCATGACTTCACTGGTGCCTGGGATTTTATATGGCTGGTTGTAATTTTCCACTCCAGCTGATGGTGTACTATTTGCATATGTACAATGCCCCTGGCCTGTGACCACATCTATAATGAATGGGAAGAAGCACTAACCCAATTGCAGGGCCATTGCATTTCTATAGCCCTAATACCAGTTACATTTATTATGCTTTGGTGAGGGGAGAAGGGAATGGGAAATAAGAAAATCCTCAAATCCTTAATCCAACATCCTCCCTCTACACTCTATGTAGTGTGGGTGGATGCTCTGGAACTCTCCACTGCTGCCACCACATCTGCCTCTCTTCTACTTTTGACCTAATATCTTACAACCTCCCATAACCCCCAGCAGTAGAAATACCAGTCAAACTACCCTGATTCATTTTCTTCCTTCCTCCCTCCTTTCTTTCCTTTCTTCTGTCTTTTCAATTAAGGGAATGTGGAGTCTCTTTTCTTAGTAATAACCAAAAAGTTTATTTTCCGTTATTTAAGATGAACTTGTTTTTAACTGTTTTTATATTTCCAATTTGCAATATACTATTTCACATTACTTTTGAAAGGAATGTGTCTGTGGCTTCCAGGATCATTTCTAGCATTGCTTATTTCTGATAGAATGTGAGTTACATGAAAATTTTGTAAATTCAGGGCAGTGAGACATGAGATACAGTACTGAAGCTTTGTGAAATCCTAGGAAGTATAAAAATACCTGTTTCTGTGGTTACTCATGTCCTTTCACATGTCAAGAATACCTTCCATATTTACAGACTTTAAAGATGGGTGGATCCTGAGGTCAGGAGTTCAAGATCAGCCTGGCCAAGATGGTGAAACCTTGTCTCTACTAAAAATACAAAAAAAATAGCCGGGAGTGGTGGCGGGTGCCTGTAATCCCAGCTACTTGGGAGCCTGAGGCAGAGAATTGCTGGAACCCGGGAGGCAGAGGTTGCAGTGAGTCCACATTGCACCACTGCACTCCAGCCTGGGTGACAGAGCGAGACTCTGTCTCAAAAAAATATATATATATATATTATTCAAAATTGCAATTGTAATACTATCGTCCTTTGGTGTCCTAGAGGGATTGGTTTCAGGACACCCTGAAGATACCAAAATCCCCGGATGCTTAAGTCCCTTATATAAAATGAGGTAGTATTTTGGTGAAACCCCGTCTCTACCAAAAATACAAAAAATTAGCCGGGCGTGGTGGCTGGCGCCTGCAGTCCCAGCTACTCGGGAGCCTGAGGCAGGAGAATGGCGTGAACCCGGGAGGCGGAGCTTGCAGTGAGCCGAGATCGCGCCACTGCACTCCAGCCTGGGCGACAGAGTGAGACTCCGTCTCAAAAAAAAAATAAAAAAATAAAAAATAAAATAAAATAAAAATGAGGTAGTATTTGCATGTAACCTATGAACATCCTCCCATATACTTTAAATTCTCTCTAGATTACTTGTAATATCTAATATAATGTAAATGATTATTATACTGTATTTTTTATTTGTATTGTTTTTATTGTTGTATTTTTATTTTTTATGCTTTTTTTCCCCTCAATATTTTTGATCCACAGTTGGTGGACTGGCAATGCCTTCCTATTGCACCTGTCAAACAAAACAGGGAGCAGCAGAAAGTGAACACACTCCACTCACAATCCCTGCTGACCCATGTCCCTGAGTAATCAATATGAAAGGTTTTGTATTTCTTTTTCCATAATTTTTTTCTACAAATGTTCACAAATATAGGGAGTTTGTTGTTTTTGTCTGAATTTTTATTTTTATAAATATGGAATTATACTATACACATAACTCTGCAACTTTTTTTTTTTATTTAACAATGTATCTTGGCTATTTCTCCCAGTAACCACATACAGATCAATCTCAAAAAGATTTTTTTTTTCAAAAGCTGAATATTATCCCACTGTGTGCGTGTGCATAATTTATCCAACCATTTCCCTACTGATGCATATTGGGTGGTTATTTTTTGTTTTGATTTATTTTTATTGTTGCAAATACAACCAATACTGCAATAAACATTCATCTACAATTGAAGAATTTTAAAAATCTTTTCTTGCCATGTTTCCAGATTTGGAGAATAGATTTTGAAAGTTGGCCTTTTTCCTTACATAAAAAATTAAATAATGCTTAATCTCTGTGATCTTCTTGATAGAAAATTGCAGCAGGAGATAGCATGATATCCAATCATTGTTAAGTTTACCAGATATACCATCTGCATTTTTGGACACATTTCTGCAGACTCCTACTCTCCCACACCAATCCCCTCATTTAAAAAATGTTAATTCTCCTGAAAATAAAAGGAATCAACTTACGAGATGATAATAAAGTATATGTTCAAACTTTTACAATGAAGATAGAATGTTACTAAAATAGGAATGAATATATTAATTCAAGCAGCCTAAAATTGTCCAAAAGCAGATGTCAAAAGTTCATTCAGCCTATAATATATGCCTAATTAAATTTTACCTTATTAAATTTCTTATTGTGTGCTGCATGAGGGCCTGCTGGGTATTATAAACTGAAGAATATGGAACCCAACAGTAGACATAATGACTACTTTATTTCTTCATCTAAACTCAGCTTGAACAAATCAAACAATTGTCAATGTCTCCCAGCTTTGCCATATTTGCAACCAGTGATTAGGTGAACAACTGGGCATTTAATCATTAATACTCAATGGGAATCAGACTAACTCTCCAAGTACTGAATATCCCAGCATAGAGAGGTTGGTACCTTGACCTAAATAACAGCATAATTGTCTATTTCTAATAATCTGTTTAGACACAGTCTGGCCTAGTGTGAAGTTCTTACATATGCTAATCTAAGTCTCAAATATCTGCCAGGAGGGAAGTTCTAAGAATTCAAATAATATTTTTGAATATTCTACTGGAATCTTGTTTAACTTGTCTCACCCTTCCCAACACCTCCTGCTGACTACTATCCCTACCCATAAGTGTATTTCCCATCTCGAAGGAACTTCTACTATATTGTTGCAGGTGGAAAATAAAAATAAATTTGGATGCCATTTTTCTGGACTCTCTTATAGCTTCTTCTTGTCAAGAACTAATCCTAAGCACACACCTGACTGATACTGAACTGATATTCATTGAATGCCCATCAGATATCAGACACTTTTTGAGTGATTACATGCACTTATTTAATTCTCACAACAAACTGATAGAGATAGTTGCTATCATTGTCTAAATTTTACAGATGAGGAAGCTGAGTCTCAGGGAAATTAAGTAACTTGTATAAATCACATAGTTTTGTCACTGTAGTAAGCCAAGGATTAAGCCCAGTTCAATTACTAGTAGCACTAGATTACCATTAGCTGCTATAACAAGTAGACCCATGAATGTGTGTTGGCTTAAAAACAATTGATGTTTATTTCTTGCTGATAGTCCAACACAGGTGTTCCTGATCTATGGACAGCTTCCTCAGCAAGGTGATTTCAGGACCTAAGCTCCTTTCATCATGTGGCTTTGCCAATCCATGAGGATTCATCTTTATCAGAAGAAGAGAACAGAGGCAGAGAGAGAGAAACTGGAAAGGCTTATACGGAATAAGCCTGGAAATGGCACAGTCAGTCAGTAGGCTTCATTTCCCTGCAGAAGAGGCTAGGAAATCCCATCTAGCTCTGTGCCTAAAAAGAACAGAACAAAAATCTCGGTGAACAACTTGGTAATCTCTGCCACAACTTCGTTATTAGTCCACTAGGTAGTGGCAAAATATTTGTGCGAAGTGGTGTGAAGAAATAAAGACTTAAAAAATAATGCCATGTCCTCCAGGAGTTTATTATTTAATTTGGGAACAAATAAATTAATATATAAAGAAATATAACAGGACAAGTTGGCATGACAAGAAGCCCATCGTGTTATAGGAATTCAGAAAACAAAAAATAATTGTGAAGGAGTCCTTTGTACCTGAGGGGCAGACATAAGCGCTTGAAAGTGATGAAACAGTCCATATATGGACTAGAGGCCTTAAATTCAAACTTTACCTACTTCATATATATATATATACACACATATATATAATATATATATATACACATATATATAATATATATATACACATATATATAATATATATATATACACATATATATATATACACACACACATATATATAATATATATGTGTATATATATATATATATATATATATTTTTTTTTTTTTTTTTTTTTTTTTTTCTAGAGACAGGGTCTTGTTCTGTCACCTAGGCTAGAGTGCAGTGGAGTGATCATAGCTCACTGCAGCCTCAACCTCCTGGGCTCAAGTGGTCCTCCACCTCAGCCTCCTGAGCAGCTGGGACTACAGGTGTGCACTGCCACACCTGGCTAATTTTTTTTTATTTTGTGTGGAAATGAGGTCTCACTATGTTATCCAGGCTGGCCTTGAACTCCTAGGTTCAAGTGATCCTCCTCCTGCCTCGGCCTCTCAAAGTTCTGGCATTGCAGGCATGAACCACTTCATGGGGCCTTAATTCACAGTTTTGCCTCAGGCAAGTGTCTGTCTATCACGGTAGCTGCAATATTCTGTGAGTTGTGGGTGTGTTGCTTGCTTTCATGGAATATTTTTATGGGCTCCCCAAATGCACTTTGTTTAAAGCTAAACAGAGAAGCTAAAGTTAATTCTTGTAATTGACCTTAGCCATACTGTATTATAATATTTCATATTCTCATAGCAGAGTAAACAGATAAGGAAGGATGACTGGCAAAAAATAAAAGTATGGAGAAAATTTTGTTTTCGTGTTATTGCTTGATGGCTTGTTTCAGGTAACCTAGACCTAGGGCATCACTCTGAACCACACTCTACTCTTCTAGATCTAGGGTCATCATTATGTCGTCAATAGAGTTGTGCAATTCTGCTGTGGACAGAAATTGTTTTATCTCTTTTTGAAATTGTCCCTTTTTACCCCAATATATAAAGCTCTTTTACCACAGTGTCTAATAACCTCCTTACTTTATCCTGGGAAGTAAGAATAATGCAAAGACTCTTAACTGCACAAATCCCCTAAAGGCTTTTTCACTGGTGACTCAGAAGGTCTGTATTTGTTAGCAAGAAAGTGGGGGGCGGGGGGGAATATCTATTTCATTAAAAACTATGATAAAACCCTTGTTCAGTGTATAAAGAAGTCCACTGATACCAAGCAGACATTGCAGCCCAATACCTCAGGCACAGAACCAGAAAACTAAGGGTAGATATTTCTTAAACATGCCGTCGAGTCAGAAGAGAGGAGAAAGATTGGAGGTAGTGGAGAGTGTGGGAATTGGGATCTGGTTAGATGTAGTGGTAAGGGGTGAGCTTTGGGAACTCTTTCCAATTTGTGAGATTCTACACTTGTGCCTTTTATTTGATCATGGTTCTCCTCCAGGGCCTTCTTAGAAGGAGAACCATCTCCTCAACAACTGTTCATAAGTTGTGTCTACTCTTTTTGGCAAGCATTTAACATATTTGACAATGGCAACAAATGCCCCTTATCTCAGTGAGAGCTGGCATGGTTTAGGCTTCAGAGATAAGACTGAGGGCTGTATATATGAATAAAAATATGAAACCCACATTATGGATCTGAGGTAAGATCAGCCATGTCTAAGTGATTTCTTCTAAAAGCAATGATCCTTCAATGTGTCTGTATTGAACCTCTGCTTTTGCCAGAATGATGACTTCTGATTAACTGGGATTCTGAAGATGGAAGGCTTCCAGGCAACAACAGTAGGGAATGTGTAAGAGCACAGCACTTGGTAAAATGATAGTAACCTCTGATGACATTCACTCCTTTGACAAATATTAATTGAGCTGGTACTATGTGTCAGCCATGGTAATTAAGTCTCAGTATACAGTACTGTACAAATAAAAGCCTCAATGCTCATGGGACACACAGTTCTGTGGGGAAGACAGACAAAACTAGTAAACAGAAAAATGCATCATGTAAATAACAACTTGTGGCAAGTGCAGTGAAGAGGAAGAAGTGGAGTCAGTGATGGAGACTGACCGAGGAGGGACTGACTCAGAGAGGGTAGTGAAGAAAGCTTCCTGTGAGAATGTGACATTTAAGTGGGGTCCTGAAGGATAGGAAGAAAAATGGAGCCCACTCTCTAAAGAGCAAGGTCAGGGGAGGGGTTCCAGGAAGGGCTGATATTTAAAAATACTGAACTACTAATAAGGTGGACAACTGGCAGCTGCTGTGCTGGAACAATGTCTGTTGTGATCAGTTTCATCTGTCAACTTAGGTAGGCTACAAATCCTAATTATTCAAACACTAATCTAGGTATTGCTGTGAAGGTATTTCGTAGATGTGACTCACGTTCATAACCAGTTGGCTTTAAGTAAAGGAGATTATTTTAGATACTCTTGATGTACCTTATTCAATCAGTTGAAAGACCTTAAAAGTTAAGAGGAAGAACAGCATAGAGAAGAAATTCTGCTGTGAATTACCACTTCAGCTGAAACCTGAGACATCCAGCCTCTCCTTACTGCCCTACAGATTTCCCACTTGCCTTGCCAGCCCCAGCAACTGTGAAAAACAATTTCTTGCAACGAATCCTATAATATATATCTTCTGAAGATTTTGTTTCTCTGGTTGAACCCTGACTGATACAGAGTTCTACATGCTTTTCGCAGGGTGAGGCATTATTCCTTTAGTTGCTCAGTAGTTGTGGAGGTCTACGGGATCCTTGGAAATGGGCAAAATGAATGTATGTGGGGTCATGTAGGAACATGGCATTGCATTTACTTATAAATGGGATGGAGAGGTATTTCACTGTTTTCACAACCAATACCATTGTATAGGAGAATACTGGCAGATGTTAGCTCAGTTTCAAGAAAGAGGGAAAAGAGTGTGTGAAGACCCTGGGACCAGAAACTATTTGGGATATGCAAGAGACCAAAGGGAGAACAGGGACACTGAATCCAGAGGTCAGAGGAAGAGTAGGATAAAATGAAGGGAAAACAAGGCCAGATGATGCAGGTTCTGGTGAGTACACTGGATTTTATTGAAAAGCTCCTTGAAGCATTTCAAACAAGTGTGTGGCTGCTCTGTGAAAAATAGATTAGCCTGAGACTATTGTGAAGTCATAGACAGGAGTATATGTAGTAGACTAGACAGGAGATGATGGATAAATATGACAATAGTGGAGATGCATGGAAATGGATAATTATCAATCATTAATAATTAAGGATTACATAATTATTAATAATCATTAATAATTAATGATTAAATGTAATCATTATTTCTGATTGAGTACAATTCTGGACTGAAGGTTAAACTAATGAGCTCCTGATTCTGTGATGGGTGATAAAGAGATGAATGTTTTTGCTGACCATAGGGAGGTTTTTAAAGTTATGGTAGATAATCCACTGAGTAGTGTGAGGCGTTGTGTTATTTGGTCTTTGGGGTGGGGCAAAATTGCCTCTTGGACTGTGATATGCTTTGGCTGTGTCCCAACCCAAATCACATCTTGAATTATAGTTCCCATAATCCCCACAAGTCATGGGAGGGACCAGGAGGAGATAATTGAATCATGGGGATAGTTTCCCCCATCCTGTTCTCTTGATAGTGAGTTAGTTCTCATGAGATCTGATAATTTTATAAGGGAGTTTCCCCCCTTTTTCTTGGCACTTCTCCTTCCTGCTGACTTGTGAAGAAGGACGCGTTTGCTTCCCCTTCCACCATGATTGTAAGTTTCCTGAGGCCTTCCTAGCCATGCGGAACTGTGAGTCAATTAGACCTTTTCCCTTATAAATTACCCAGTCTTGGGCGGTCTTTTATAGCACCATGAGAACAGACTGATACAGACTGTGAGATCAGACACTTGGGATTACAGGACAGAGATTCCACCTTCCCTTCATATTTCTACTGATTCTTGTCCACACCCAATTTCTGCTTCCTCAACCCATTTCCTTCTGCCTTGCATGAAAAGTGGTTGTTTCCCCGTCGTGATTTCCATGTTGTTGTGAAGGAGTGTGCCGCATATATGATTGCTGTGCTTGTTTCATGCATTGGAATTTTCAAAACATGAAGGCTGTTCTTATACAACTGCAGAAATACTGGACTAGTTCCAAGAAATGTGTTTTGTTCATCTTGATAAGATCTGTCTCCATACAAAATGAGTGAGAGACTCTTTGATGTCACTCAGAAGAATGTTGGGCTGGGGTTTTAAGTCTACCTCGACTAATTCTAAAAGAAGAATTAGCTATACATGATTAATTAAATAGAACCTGCTTTAGAAAATATTAATGAGGCCAACAGAAAAGCTTTTGAAAGGTTCTGTGGCTACTTTGGTTTAAACTCAAATATTAAGTGTTATGAATTGTGATCGCCCCTCAAAAAAAGACATGTTAGCATTCTAACCCTCAGCACCCCAGAACGTAACCTTATTTGGAGATAGGGTCTTTATAGAGGTAATAAAATTAAAATAAGTTCATCAAGTTGGACCTAATCCAACATAACTGGGGTCCTTATAAGAAGGGCAATTTGAACACAGAAATGTGCATAGAAGAAAGACCATGTGAAGAGTCATAGAGAGAAGCCCAGGACAGAGGCCTGAAACAGATGCTTCCTTACGGCCCTCAGAAGGAACTAACCCAGGTGACACCTTGATCTTGGACTTCTGGCCTCTAGAACTAGGAGATAGTACATTTCTGTTGTTTAAGCCACTCAGTTTATGGAATTTTAAAGAAGACCTAGAAAACTGCTATATTAAGCCTATCAAAAATTCTAAAATATATGCCAACACTTGGGCAAATCAAAGTCAGCCCATTTACCTTAGGATATCTAGATTACTACTAATTTTGAAGAGAAATTAATTAATATTGTGTCATTTTGCAGAGTGAACTGAATCTAGATAATAACTCACCAATTCTTATAAAATATTGAAATGTTTTTGTCTAGTTGGCCTTTATTTGTGAACTGTAAGTATATAGATCAATTGTATCAATCAGATCAATATAAGCCTTTCTTGTTGTTTTGAGAAGCTTGCTTTATTTAATGTGAAATTATTATGTAATCATTATTTGTGACTGAGTACAATTCTGGATTTTCTGTATTGTCATATGGATCAATTTTGGTAGCAATGCTCTATTACTTTAATACTTATTACTTTACAATATATTATATTTGGAAAGATAACTTTCTTTGATCTTTTTCCTTGTATTATTCTTTGATATAGCCCAGTGAAGTGGGCTAAAAGCTTAGTCTTTGTGTATCTTGACTTCTTCACTTATTAGCCAAGTGATCTTATGAAAATTTCTTGCAATTATATATCTTATTTGGAGAAATGTCTATTCATTTGCCCACTTTTTGACCTAATCTTTTGATTTTTTCTTACTGATTTGTTTTAGTTCCTTGTAGATTCTGGATATTAGTCCTTTGTTGGATGCACAGTTTGCAAGTATTTTCTCTCATTTTGTGGGTTTTCTGTTTAATGATTTTTTTTTTGCTATGTGTAAGCTTTTTAGCTTAATTATATCCCATTCATTTATTTCTATTTTTGTTGCATTCACTTTTGTTGTCTTAGTCATAAATTCTTTACCTAGGCCAATGTGCAGAAGAAATTTTCCTAGGTTTTCTTCTAGATTTTGTATGGTTTCAGGTCTTATATTTAAGTCTTTGATCCACCTTGTGTTGATTTTTGTATATGGTAAGAGATAAGGATCCAGTTTCATTCTTCTACGTGTGGCTATCCAGTTTCCCAGCGCTGTTTATTGAATAAGTGTCCTTTCCCCAAGTTGTTTTTGTATGCTTTCGTCGAAGATCAGTTGGTTGTATTTGGCTTTATTTCTGAATGCTCTATTCTTTTCTATTGATCTATGTATCTACTTTATACCAGTACCATGCTCTTTTCATAACAATAGCCTTATAGTGTAATTTGAAGTCAAGGAATTTGATGACTCCAGATTTGTTCTTTTTGTTAAGGAATGCTTTGGCTATTTGGGTTCTTTTTTTTTGTTTCGTATGAATTTTAGGATTGTTTTTTCTAATTCTATGAAAAATGATATTGGTATTTTAATAGGAATTGCATTGAATGTGTAGATTGCTTTAGGCAGTGTGGTCATTTTCACAATATTGAATCTTCCAATCCATGAGCATGGGATGTATTTACATTTGTTTGTGTCATCTATGCTTTGTGTGTGTCATCTATGTTCTCCTTGTAGAGATCTTTCACCTCCTTGATTAAGATTATTGTTAGGTGTTTTATTTTGTTTTGCAGCTATTGTAAGAGGGATTGAGTTCTTGATTTGATTCTCAGCTTGCTCATTGTTGATGTATAGCAGTGCTACTGATTTGTGTACATCAATTTTATAATCTGAGACTTTAGTGAATTCATTTATCAAATCCAGGAGTATTTTGGAAGAGTCTTTAGAGTTTTCTAGGTATACCATCATATCACTGGCAAACAGCGATAGTTTAACTTCCTTTTTTGGAATACCAACTCTATTTTTTTTGTTGTTTTTTTTTTTTTACCATTTTGTATTTCCTAGTCAGATAATTACATTGAAGGAAAAGATAAATTAATAAATATAAAATCACCTGATATATACATTATATTACATGTTAAATCCCAGTTAATCCTCACATTGGCTAAGTACAGTTCATCACTTACTCTGTGAATACACCTGCATATGCACAGGCTGACTGTGGCTGGAGGGCAGTATACAGTCATTTTACCTCATCCCTCTTCAAACTCACAAGCAATCATCCCCACTGGAATTGTGCTTCTGCCTGGCAATTCTACTATATTTCCTCAATCTACTCCCTCTTCCTACTCTCTCCACACAACTATTTCACATCTTCACTCTTATCAAACCCCCAACACCTTTTCTTCCATTGTCTTTCCCATTTCTATTTCTCTGAGAAAATTAAAGCAATCAAAACAGAGCATCCACATTCTTTCTCACCCATCTACCAACTGCCTGCCTGTGTGCCATGTGCTCTTCCTTCATTCCCGTCACCATGGATGCATTGTCCATGCTCCCACTTAGGCCTACTCTTCCCTCTGTGTACTAGATTCCCTCACCTCTTACCTACTCATAGATACTGCTTCAGCAGGTAATTGTTCCCACTCTGTCCTGCATCATCAGTTTTCCCCTCCCCATTTGATTGTTTCCATCAACATGCAAGCATGCTGCACCTCTCCCATATTGAAACAAACAAACAAACAAATCTCTCTCCATGCCACACTTCTCTTCCAGCAATCACAAAGCTTTTCTTCAAGGTGATTTTCTTTAATGGGATTGTGTATTTTTGTTGTTTACAGTTTTTGTCTTTGCTTTCTCTCCCTTGAATATATGATGAATTCACAGATTTTCAAAGAGTTGGCAGTTTTCAATCTATTGTAGTTGTTACTGTTTTTGATATCCCTATTACCCTCCCTTTCCCTCTCTAGTAAGAGCTCCTTCAATTTGGCTCTCATGTCCTTTTAATATGACCCTATTACTTTTTTCTAGTTTGTTAAAATAAAAATCCTTGGTTCATTTTGTATATTTTTTGCCTCAGATTTATAATGAGTCTTTTCTCCAAAGAACCTGGTTCCTTCATTGGAAATGGGATTTGGAGACCACAGTCTGGGCATTAGGAGTGTTAATTGCTAATAGTGTTTCATAGCTTCTAGGGTTCTTCAGTGAATGAAACTAGAATTTTTTTTTCTTTTTTTTAGGAAGAGAAAAATACATCACGAGCTCATACTACTGTTCTCAATTCAAATTTAAAATTACAAACTTTTCAGTTAAATTATTTGATTCTTTTACTTGTATCTCTTTTCTCTTAAACTAAAAATATTTATTTGCAATAATGTTGACAAATTTATTTTATTGATCCTGATATATATAAATGCTTTGAAAATCATAATATGAATATAAATATTGATTTTAACAATAATACTAATGTAGTTTAAGCTTCTTTTGGCATTTTTATACAATGACTGTATCCCAGCAGGGATGTACAAGTGATGTTTAGTTAAAATATTACATTTTGAAATCAATGGAAACTGATATACGGTTAAAGTTATTCTTTCCCCATTAATTTCCAAGATTGTTACTATCTAAATATATTTCCTTTTAATTTTTCCTGTCCCTCTTTTTTATTTTATTTCTTAATTTATGTAAGACATCTCAATCATTTCAATATTAAATGATAAAGTGACATATGTTCAAATAAGTTTAACTTCAATTCTGTCCCCTCTATGGTGTTACCTGTTTTCATCCTCCAGCTAAGGTAACTATTTTCTAGTTTTTGTTTTTCCCTTCTCTTGTTACTCTTTTTAAAGAATAAATGTACACAAATACACACACACATGCATATACATATATACACACACATCTATATGTACATGCACACATATACACATGTAAATATATAGTATATTATTATATATAATAAATTATATTAAAATATACAATATAATTCACATATTTATTATATATAATTTTATATATCCTTTTAAACCTGCATAGTCATATTAATAGACATTTAAGTTGTTTCTAGTCTGGCTTTTTCAAGTATTGCTGCAATGAATAAACGCTTGCATAGCTATCATTCCATATTTCTGCCAAGTTGTTTTTGAGGCAGTTTTTTAGAAGTGGGATTATTGGGTCAAAGGGTCAATATATGCAAATTTTGTACAATTCCTCTCCAGAAGGCATCTATCATTTTAAATCCCTTCTGACAATGTTTCAGAGTACCTACTTTTTCATAACCTTGCATCGGAGTTTTTGTTTTTAAATGTTTTTGCATTTTTCTTAGTCTAATAAATGAGAACTGGTATTTCAATATTGTATTTTTTATATTATTTTTATTGTAAGATTGAGCATATTTTGTATGGTTTGTATTTTGTTTGTCACATGCATTTCTTTTTCTGTGAGCTCTTTTACATTCAGTTTTGCTCATTTTGCTATTGATAGATTAGGTTTTTTCTTTCCCAAGTTTACCATTATCATTTTAACACATTTCATTTAGGCTTTTTGAACATCATTCTACCAATTGACGTTGCTCATTACCTTCATTTAGCAAAAATCATTGGTTATTCCTAGCCCTTGGTCTATTTTACCTTTCAGTAACATGGGGCACAGCTGACCACTCCCTCTGCTGGAAAGGCATTCTTCACTTAAATTCTTGCTTACCACATACTCCTGCTTATCCTGTCATCTCACTGCCCTTACTTCTCAATTTCTTGTGATTTATACATCTCCCCACCCTCTAAATGTGGGCATACCCCAGGATTCAGTCTAGTTACTCTCCCCCTGAAAGAGTGTGGTCAGTCTTGTGGCCTTAAATATCATCTATTGGCTGGTGAATCTCCAAGGTAGACCTTCTACCCTGAACCTCAACATCAGCTACCTGGCTACTTATTATCTCTGCTTGATGGTCTATAGGCATTTCAAAATTTACATATCTAAAATCCATGTTATTAACATATCTTAGAATCCTCCCTGTACCTGCATCTCCTGAGTCCTTTTCCCTCTTTCTAATAGCATAGGTAAAATATTTTACATTCATGTTTGACTCCCCTTCTTGTTCTCATAGCTATGTCTAATCTCTCAGCAAATTTTGTTGGCTATGTCTTCAAATTATATCCCGAATCTTTCCTCTCTTTATTATAATCTCCCTCCTGGGTTATTGCAAAATTCTCCTACCTGATCTCTTGGACTCTATCCTTCCTGCCCTTATATTTTATTCTAACACAATGGCCAGAGTGATCCTTCTAAAATATATGTCCAGTCATGTCACTCCTCTGTTCAAAGCAATGTAGTGATTTTGCATTTTATTTAAAATAGAATCTAAAACACTTATAATGGCTACAGATCTTATCAGATATGCCTATGTGTCCCCACCCAGGCCATCACTACACCTCACCACCTTTATTCTCGTTCCCTTTGGACCAACCATACCACCTCTGTACTGTTACTCTGGTAGACCAAGTATGTTTCCCCTCAAGGACGGTTGGTTTGCAATAGCAAACCTGAATGTTCTTATCCCTCACTTTCTTCACCAATTTCCTCAACTATCCCTTTATCAATAAGGCCTCCTCAGACTATCTCACTTAGCTATCTTATTTAAAATAACACATACCCATCTACCCATACTTCCATTTGCCTGGTAATCTCTATCCTCATTCTCTACTTTATTTTTCTCCACAGCACTTACAATTATCTGGTGTGCTATATGCTCTATCTGTTTGTTCATTTATTGTCCCTAGGTGCCGAAAAGAATATAAACTCCGTGATGATAAGAATTCTTATCTTGTTCATTATTGTCTTCCCGTTGCCCTAAAGGAATGGTTGGCTCCATGTTACTCCTCAAATACTTGTTGAATAAACCACTATGTGTACTAAACATTAGCATCCTCATTTTCTGCTAAGGAAGCTGAGACTCAGAGCTAAAGTAACTTCCCAAGGCCTTGTAGCTGGTAAATGAAGTCAGAATCTGTGTTCAAATGTATCAAACTCCAAAGCAGTCCCTCTTTCTTTGGTACTGTGTGGTCTCCCAAGAGGAGGGATTTCTATTTCCATTTTAATTTTGAGAAAATGGTTGGAATACAGGACAAATCTTCAGAGAATCTCGATTTTAGTCTTAGTTCCGTCAGTAAATAATGGTGAAATCTTGGGGAAGCAATTTAAGTTTTTTGATTCTCAATGATTGCTTTAATCATTGAAGGCAAGAAAAGTTTCTATAATCTCAGTCTTTCTTTCAGCAACCAAAGTGTATGACCAATGAGATCTACATCATGTTTAAGTGGATGATCTGTAGTATATTCAACTCTGCTTTAGTTATTAAGGTCAAAAAATGTAGAGAGATCTTAGGTTCATTTTGTTTTCTTTTGGCTTAAGTCCTTTGGTAAGTGAGATGTTAACATACCACAAAGGTTTCATTGTTTTTCTCCTGAAGCAAGAGGCATGACTGAGATGCAGCTTTCAAAAAGGATCTTGTTCCATATACTTGCCAATATTTGGTAGTCTTCCTGCCTACCCCAATGAAATAAGACATCATTTTATATTGCTGGCCTTTAGAAAAGCACTTTATGTTTAAGTAATTCTGCCAATAATGTTTGTGTATTGTCAAAAAGAAGCTTTAAATTTTTTTTTTGTTGTTTAAAAGCTAGGCATACAAGCACAGTGTAATAATTATAACCTGAAGAACTTCTCTAAGAATGTGGCATAAAGGTTAATAAAAAAACTGTAGAGTGGTGGGCACATGTAGGAACAGATTTGTTGGTCTATAAACAGTTATTAGATCCTTCCTCTTTCCCCAGGTCTCTACTCCGCTAGTTAAAAACAAAGAGATGCTCACAGAGAAATCTCAGGACTGACAAGCCAGTTCCTGTCACTGTCAGAGAGTGGCTTTTGGAATTGGAGTGCATTATGTGAGTTTTAAAGGAAATCAATCTCATTTGTAGTCTTTCCAGTTCTTTAATTAGAAAAGTAAGGAAAAAGAAAAAAAAACAAAACCAACAACAAACTGTCCTAGGTCCCTGGAACTAATAGTTGGCAGGAAGTAGTTATTGTTCTTGGAGCCAGTGCAAATGCCCGGGGGTCAGGTACAAAGCCAACTCCAAAATTTAACATATGTAGCACTAAGAGATCTTGTGGCAATTGTCACTTTTTTTGCTTTTAGAAAGGCATTTTCTTATTCAGTTTTCTCTTTTCAAGAGGGCTAGATAGGAGGCCATTCCTCACCTTAGTTTCTAAAGTCTTTTGTGTGATTTATCCAGAGTATAACTTTAGTTCTGGAATAATTTCTGGATGGACCTGCAGAGAAAACTTTCTCACTTGTCCACAGCAATGACACAGTAAGTTAGGAGGAGTCATATCACTTAAAATTAAGCTATAATGTTCTGTTTACATGCTGATGTCATTTCAATGTTATCAATGACATAGACTCTAAGGGTTCCAGTGATGGAGTTTTATGGATCACTGGTCAATTTATTTTAATCATTTTCTAGAATCCAAATGCAAACTTTAGTGTGCATCAAGATTGCTGAGTGGCCATTCAGAAACTGGGGCTTGGCCTCCAGAGAGGCTGATTTATTTGGTCTGGTATAGAGCCCAGGATTCTGCATTTAAACTAGCATCCTAGAGCTGAAGATCAAACTGGATGATTCTCATTGTCAGTTTCTTTCCCTGCGCTTGGCTTTTGAATTATTTTAGTGCCTGTGTCTGCTGATTTTTCTACTACCACTATCTATTTGTATGTCTTATAGTCGTTGGCCCTAATGAACAAGAGGTTTGGAAATACCTTTATCTCCCCCACAAATTTTAATAGGTCCAGATTTCTAAAATTTAACTTTCATTTTAAAATTAAAACACACCCAGGAGATTTAAATGCCAGTTGGTTATTATGCCACATTGTGAATTCCCTTTCTCCCTCCTTTTCTCCCTCCCTTCCTCCCATCTTCCCACCTACCAGTGTTTTTGTTGACATGCACATTGTTTCAGGACCCAGAGAAACAGTTCAACAGAATAGAAAGTGTTCCTAACTCCATGAACAACTTTTGAAAATACATGATTAAATAAAATATTTCACATAATTATAACTGATTTTTAAAAAACAAACCAATGGGATAGAGAGACTATCATTTAACTGGGATATACAGAAAGGAGTGCTTTCCTTGAGAAATATCTATTTTGGAGCAATAAGCACATCTAGGGAAGAGAGATGTGGGAAGAGTCATTTATATTTATCCACGTGTTAACAGTTTCTGGCACTCTTCGTTCCTTTGTACACCATTCCTTCGTACACCATTCCTTCATACTTCCATCTGGTATCATTTTCCTTCTGCCTGAAAGCCATCCTTCAGGTTTGTTGACAAATTTTTTAAGCTTTATCACGTTTGAAAAAGTTATTTTCCCTTTATTTTTGATATTTTTACTGGATATAGAATTCCAGGTTGTCATTTTTCCCCTAGTAATTTAAAGACTTTGCTCCACTGTCTTCTGACTTGCACTGCCTCCGATGATAAATCAACCATCATTCCTATCTTTATTTTTTTATGTGATCAACCATCATTCCTATCTTTGTTTTTTTATGTGATGTATCTTTTTTTCTCAAGCTGCTTTTAAGATTTTCTCTTTATTCTTATTTTGAACAATTTAATTATGATTTGCTTTGGTATAGTTTTCTCTAATGTCTTTTGTGCTTGGGGCTTTTTAAGCTTCTTGGATCTGCAGCTTTAAAGTTTCTATCACATCTAGACATTTCTTGGCCATTAATTCTTCAAATATTTTTCTGTCACAACTTCTCCAGTGGGGGTTCCCATGACAGGAAAATATTTGGTTGTTTGAAGATATCTCATAATCAACAGATGCTCTGCTTATTTGTTTTTTTCATCTTTTTTTAACTGTGTATTTTATTTTAAATAGTTTCTATCACTATGTCTTCAAGTTAATCAGTGTTTTATTATTCAAGGTCATTATCATATTTTAATCTCAGATATTATAGTTTTCATTTATTGAAGTTTCATTTGAACCTTTTTTATACCTTCCTTGTCTCTACTTAAATGCTCCCTCTTATCTAGAACATGTGGCATACGGTAATAATAACTTTTAACTTGTTTATTAATTCTGTAACCTGTGGTTTTTTTTTTTTTTTTTTTTTTTTTTTTTTTTTTTTTTTGAGACGGAGTCTCGCTCTGTCGCCCAGGTCGGACTGCGGACTGCAGTGGCGCAATCTCGGCTCACTGCAAGCTCCGCTTCCCGGGTTCACGCCATTCTCCTGCCTCAGCCTCCCGAGTAGCTGGGACTACAGGCGCCCGCCACCGCGCCCGGCTAATTTTTTGTATTTTTAGTAGAGACGGGGTTTCACCTTGTTAGCCAGGATGGTCTCGATCTCCTGACCTCATGATCCACCCGCCTCGGCCTCCCAAAGTGCTGGGATTACAGGCAACCTGTGGTTTTTTATGAGACTGTTTTATGACTCATTTATCTGCTCATTATGAGTTGTATTTTTCTGCTTCTTTGCATATCTGATAATTTTTTATTGGAGACCAAACATTATAAATGTTACTCTGCTGAGTGCTAGATATCTCTGTATTCTTTTATATTCTTAAACTTTTTTTCAGGGATGCAGTTATATAAAAACAGTTTAATTTTTTAATGTTTTGTTTTTAAATTTTGTAAGGTAGGACTAGATCTTTAGTCTATGGCTAATTTGCCCCAATATTGAGGCAATCAGTTCTCATTCATGTAAACCCTAGGTGCCCCCAATTCCCTCATACTCCCAGCTCCGTGTCCCCAGGGAAAGAGACCACCAAACTCTGCCTTTGACTGTGGCCTGTTGATTATAGAACTCACTTATTTGTTTCCCCTCTTTCACTGATGACTGTCCTTCACTGACTGTTATTCAATATCTAAAAATGATTTTATATATTGTGCCTGATTTATTACTTCACACAGAAGAATAAATAATCTGATACATCTTGACCAGAAATAAAAAAGAGTTCCCATACTTTTTATGAAGAGTCACAGGCATGCTTTGCACCCTGGCCATGCACAATTTATTTGACCAGAGACTTGCTGTTGCATCTAAGGTAGCCACCTATAGGCTGGCCAGGGAACAATGACTAATGTTTCCAAACCTCTTGTTTATTAGGGCCAACAACTATAAAACATACAAATAGATAGTGGTAGTAGAAGAATCAGCAGACACAGGCACTAAAATAATTCAAAAGCCAAGCACAGGGAAAGAAAGTGACAATCAGAATCTATGTGTCAGTAGAGGCAGTGGGTAAGAAAGAAGCAAGGAGTAGAGAAAAGGGGATAAGAGTGTTGGCAAGAGGAGCTTGAGTAGAAACAGAGAGAGAAATAAAAATTGAGAGAAGAGTCATGTGGAAGGCAGACTAGGGAGGCTGTCTATTGTGTTTTAAATCATTATCCCATTTTCCATAAAACTGGGCAATATTGCTTTGAAAGTTTTCAATGCTTCCTTATTTCCCTCTGACTCTTTCCAATAATCCTCATTACATCAGTCAGGTACCCTGACTCCCAACTCTGTTTCTAAAAGAGCTTAAAACCCAACTATTTTGTTGTTGTTGTTTTTACAGTGGTTGGTTGAAACATGAGGCAGGGTACCAGGTTTGTGCATACATTGGTTACCTGTTATAAAGCTATATAATAGGATTCATGTAATGGGGGATATAAATATTTACCCATTGCACTAAGTTATGGATGTCACTTCTCCTTTACTACAAACCACAGAGATAATTCTAAGGAAGGAGGGAAGGAAGGAAGGAAGGAAGGGAGGGAGGGAGGGAGGGAGGGAGGGAGGGAGGGAGGAAGGAAGGAACTGTTTCATGACAACTATCAGGATGTGATTGTTCAAGTGCATTAATTTTTCAGCTGGCAGCTCTCATGTCCCCTTCTCAGGGATGCTTCACCTCATCCCTCACTCTAAGTCAGATATCCTGTAATACACTCTGATGGTGCTCTGTACTTTTTCTCTCTGTATTTACCTCAATTATAATTGTATAGTGTTTCTCCCAAACTAGATGATAAGCAATAAAGGTAAGAACTCTATAAACATTTATTGAATTAATGAGTGAGTGCTTTCGTGCCATGGGAAAACGGAAACCATGTGACAGAAAGTGTTAGTTTTTCATCAAAATTTATTTCCATTTTATGATGGAGACACAAGACTTTATTCCTCAAGTCCCTGTAAGCATAGATGTGGCCATGTGAATGAAGCAAGTGAGGTGGGCCATTTCCATGCCTGCCTATTAAAATCTCCCACATGCACTTTTCCAGGTATTTTCCCCTTTTGATTGATTTGGATGATGACCTCTGACCCCACCCGCACTACTCTTACTCTCCTCCACTTTACCCCAAAGTTCAGGCAATGCCTGGATAGTCAGTTACAGACTTGCCAATTTCCAAGGGCTTTAAGTACTCATCTGGCAGACTGCAGGTGAATGAATCTGATAATTTCTTGTTACCTTTTTATCTATTCTGCTATTTGTATCACCACTGTTACTCAGAGGGAAACAATTCATTCTTGTTTGCAAAGGGATACATTGTCATGGCCTCTCAGAAATATGGCATCAGGCCCTCTGGAATAATCAAGCATTCTTTCTATTGGATAAAGTTGTATACTTCATGCCAACAGAGTCCCTGTGAGTATGACTACATAAAAATAAAAGATGGGAGATAACAATACTCATGCACATTCCCCAAATATGTTTTAAAACATAGCTTTGATAAGCTGGAGAGGGAACATTATACAGGAGTTGGTATTTGAGAGGGATTTTGACTTTCGATAGATACTTTATTGGTTAGGAGCTAAGTTTAACTGTATGTAACAGAAAAAAAACCTATGTAAAGTAGCCTCAAACAAGATAGAGTTTTATTTTTGTTTTTGCTGTTTTCCTCTTACACATTGAACATTATACACAAAAGTAATCCAGAGCCAGCCCAGTAGCTCAGGAATATCAGGGCCGAAGTTGCTCTGATGCTCTTGACCTGTCCTTTGTAGTTTGTTGCAATATGTTTAGTGCAGCTCCGGCCATCTCTTCTACATAATAGGTTACTGGATATTTGTGTTAATCTTATGAAACCAGTATTATTATCACTTTTATTTTCTTATGCATAGGAAATTAGTCGTGAAGCAGTTATATATTTTTTCCAAGAAAATATAGATAACAGTAGCAGACTTGGTAATCACTGCAGTTTGCCTTTTTAAACCATGCCATTGACCACTGCACTATATTGTCCTCTTATGTACTAGTCTTGACAAAGATGAAGAGAACTTAAGGTGATATTGAGGCAGGAGAATAGGGTCTGGAGGCAGGGATCGTAAGCCTGTTTCACGCCGACTTCCGATAACTAAATTGAAAGGAAAACCCTAACTTTCCACACCTGAGTAACAAAAGGACCAGAGGCCACCCCCTTTGACCTTTTCTGCCCAGCAGATAGGAAATTGACTGTGTGCAACTAATCAGACTGTTTGAGGGTGGAGTCTTCATTTGCATAAAAGTATAACTTTGTAACTTCACCCTAGCCTCTGATTGGT
The DNA here is from genome assembly GCF_000001405.40 of Homo sapiens. Taxonomy (NCBI): domain Eukaryota; kingdom Metazoa; phylum Chordata; class Mammalia; order Primates; family Hominidae; genus Homo; species Homo sapiens. The sequence continues at coordinate 58,333,251 of NC_000005.10, read as the reverse complement.
TGCTTTCTGCAACCAATCAGATGTTTACACAGGAGTGTGATCTTTGTAACTTCACTTCAGCCTCTGGTTGGCTGCTTTCTGCAACCAATCAGACTGCTTGCAGGCTACCACTTCATTTACATGAGGTGAGCATGAAGTGGCCAATGGGAAAGTTCTAGAGGGTATTTGAACCCAAGAAGATTCTGTATCCAGGCTCCTGAACTGCTGCTCAGGTCGCTCCCACACTGTGGAGTGTACTTTCGTTTTTAATAAATCCCTGCTTTCGTTCTTTTGTTGCTTCATTCTTTCTTTGCTTTGCTTGGTGTTTTGTCCAATTCTTTCTTCAAAATAGCAAGAACCTGGACAACTTGTGGCCACGACCCTTTACTGGTGACAATATTATGACAGAAGGGTGGATTGAAGTGGAAATAAAAGTTTCCACCTCTAACAGGAACACTATCTAGAGGATAGTTCATAGTGTTTGTCATTAAAGAAAACAAGCCAACAATTCAGAGATTAGAGAAAGACCAAAATAGGAAGTACTCAATTAGATTAAGATGTCCCTTTCCTTCAAAGCAAAATAGAGCAAAGATAAAGAAGGGGGACAAAACCCAAACTGTCCAAGGTAGTTAAACATTAGATGAAACACCTTTGCCATCTAATGTAAATGTCCTTTGCAAATTTTGTCTATACTCCCCGTCCAGTTCATAATTATTTATCATCAAAGATTTTTGTTCGTGTTTGTTTTCTCCCCAGCATTATTCAGGTATAATTGACAAATAAAATTGTACAAATTTAAGATGTACAATGTGATGATTTGGTATGTGTATATAATATAAAATGATTACCACCATCAAGTTAGTGAACATATCTGTCACCTCATCTAATACCTTTGTGTGTGTGTGGTGAGAAAATTTAAGATCTACTTTCTTAGCAAATTTCAAGTGCACTATACAATATTGTTACCTACAGTTACCATGCTATAAATTAGATCTCCAGAAAATATTCATCTTATAACCAAAAGTTAGCATCTTTTGATGAACATCTCCTCATTTCCCCACCTCTGCAGGCCCTGACAACCACCCTCTATCCTGTTTCTATGAGTTCAACATTTTTAGATTCCACACATAAGTGAGATAATGCAGTGTTTGCCTGTCTCTGTATGACTTATTTCATTTAGGGAGAGATCCATCTCCCTGGAAACTTGGATAGTCATGATCAATCTGGGTTGGTGCTTCTATTGGAAGTCCCTAGATACCCTGTACATTATTGCTGTGATGTCAGATTGGCACTGATGACACATTTGTTTTCAGTAGACTGGAAACTCTTGGAAAAAGAGTACAGTTGATCTTTGTATCTCTAATCAAGCATAACGCTTGACACACTCATGGGTTATGAAGCTGTTGATATAAAATAAGACAGGATGTTTCAGTTAGCTGTATGCAGGGATAACCCAAAGGGTTAATTTCAAATATTATGCATGGACAAAGTTTATTAGGTCAAAACATAAGTCTAGTACAAGGAAAAATACTGAAGACCAATGGGGAAAAAATTCACTTATTTTAGAATGACCCATTTTAATTATTTTGAAATTTGATCTCGACAATTTCATTGTTAACCTCCTGAGGGTGTCATTTTGATTCTGAAAATTATTATGCTTTGAAGTTAGATCTATTGCCACCTCAAATTCAGTTACTGATGTAAAAGGACAGGAAGAAAATTCAGTAAAATCATAGAAAAAATAAAACCCATTAGCCCCACCTTGCAGCCCATTTTACTGCAAATAGCAAAGTAACTCAAAAACCATGTCTTTTTGAGTATAATTTCATAGTGCATTTAAAGGAAAACTCATATGGAGATTATTCTCAAAATTCAAATTTAACATTTTTGAGAATCTTAACGCCACAAAGAAGAGGAATTTTATCAACTGAAGTAGCCAATCCGGCTTTTCTATTCCTTTATTTCCTATTCTAAACTTCTGTGCTACTTATCGCCTCATTTAACTTGTTAAGAAAAGATGGAGTACACAGTCAAAGAACTCTGCCATCCAAAGTAATTCACAGTTCTGCAGCAAGAGTACTTTCTGATCTCAGCAAGAGGCAAATCTGTGTAGCTGGGTGAATATGGGAGATGAATGATTGCTTAATATATTTTAATAGATCGTTGGTTGGCAACCTCATATACCAGGCTTTCTAAACTGGAGCACTGGAAGACTTGAGGAACAGTAGCTCTAGGTCATTGCAAAAGTAGAGTTGGTACTGAATCCACTTGATTTATAGCCTTTTGATACATTGTGAGAAGTTACTGCAGCAACAGATTGTGTCACCTAAAGTAAAGAACATTTGCAGATGTCAGAGGAAATGAGTAATCCTTACCTGGAGAAGTAAAGCAGGTAGCCAACGCCTCTTACCAGAAAGTGATAGTAGTAATGACATCACTTATTATCTCCATTTTTTATTAAAAAAAAAAAAACCATGGGTATAGCATTTGCTGTTAATGAGCACTCATAAGACAACCCCTAAGAAATATATTTTAGGTGTTCCTATGATGTCTCTTAAAGGACACTTTAAGATCAAATCTGAACATCATTCTTATTTAAAACAAAAATAAATTGGCAATGTTAATCTTTTTTTCTTTATTTTTCATCTGTAGTGACTTTAAAAAACTAGTTTAACTGCCAAAGTAAATACTACAATTTTAATGTGTCAGATAGTATTTTAAGAAGTGGAAACAATTATGTAAACATTTCTTTGTTGGATAAGTAAGGTGAATTAGAATAATTTTTAAAAATTGGAATCAATGATTTCCACTAAATTGTGTGTAAGATAAATAACAATGTAATATTTAAAATACTATCATGACAGTCTTTTTTTTTTTTTAACTGAGTTTTACTCTTGTTGCCCAGGCTGGAGTGCAATGGCACGATCTCAGCTCACGGCAACCTCCACCTCCCGGGTTCAAGCGATTCTTCTGCCTCAGCCTCCCAAGTAGCTGGGATTCAGGCGTGCACCACCAAGCCTGGCTAATTTTGTATTTTTAGTAGAAACAGGGTTTCTCCATGCTGGTCAGGCTCGTCTCAAACTCCCAACCTTGGGTGCTCTGCCCACCTCGGCCTCCCGAAGTGCTGGGATTATAGGTGTGAGCCACTGCACCCGGCCGATAGTCTTGAATAACAGAATTACTTAGGTGATATATATACATACATACATATATATATGCATTTATAGACTTATAGAGTTACAAGAGAAAATTTGTTTTCAAAGTACGTAGCCCTTATTTTCATTTTCTTGAGTTTATAAAGGTGAAAGCCAATGATGCATAATTATTTTTAACTTCCCAATTTTGTATATAATTCTGCCTCAGTTTATTTAGTTTTGAAATTTATCACTGATTAGTAAATATCAAGTAGAACATAAAAATCAGTTTCTTTGGAAAAGTTGGAATGGATAGTGCAGGGTATTTCTGGAGGCCACTAAGCAATTGTATAGTTAGCATCTAGAAAAAAGAGTCTAGTAACTAACTATGGTCACTGATTGCCTATGATTTATACAGAGCATGGGACAGTGTTGGTCAGAACTTGAATTTTCCATAGCTCTACCCACTAGTTAATAGCACCCAGTACTTAACAGTATTTAAAATAATGACTAAGTTTTCATCTGTTTCTGAATTACATACTTTTCAGTAAATTGGTTGGGCTAGAACTGGGGTAGAAGATACTGGAAAAATGTACAACTCAAATGAAAATAGACCCCTTTAATTTTGGCTTTAATCCTGTGCTCCCATTTCTGTCTTTAATTAGAGCTCCAAGTTGCTGCTTCATTGTCTTCCAGATGTAATTGCCCCATATGTGTACAGAGCACTGAAGTGAGGCCTCAAGTAGGGGGTGGTTCAGGACTGGGCTAAAAACCCCATTTTAGATGATTTTTATCAACACCTTCTTGGAAATTGGTTAAAGCTCTAGTTTGTAATTACCTACTATTCATGGTTTAGAATATGATCTATTTCCAGACAAGTGTAAATTAACATGCATTTCAGTATTTTCAAAAGAATGAGATTTGGGAAATATGCAAATGTCCTTGAAAAACATTGAAAGGCTATGGAGTAATCAGAGTATTTCTTCTTTGCCTTTGCCTCATGCTGTTTGTTCACTTGGATTTTTTTTCTCACCTCACTCTTTTCGATTCAAAATTTTATTTGCTTCTTCAGTCCTTTTCCTTTAGTGAGTTTATACTTCCAAATTCTTGCTGCCTAGGCCTAAAAGGGTAGAATCATTGCTAAATTAGCTGTCTTTCTTCAAAAAGTGCTTCCTTGAAGCATACTTCTTTCTCAGATACAAACACTTCTAAAATGTTCAAAAAATACGCATGAAGAGGTGTCAGAAAGGCCAGAGTAGCAGAACTAGAAAGAATTTTAAAGATCAAATAGTCTAGAAGTTGCTGATTCTTAGGATCATACATTATGTTTTTATAGCTTTATTGAAATATAATTTACCCATACCTAAAAATTCACTCTACTCACATTAATTTTTAGTGAATTTAGCTTCAGGAATCATCTAAATTTTTGGCTTATCTTGAAAAACTAAAGCATTTATGAACCCAGGGTCAAAATTTGGCTGAAACTGAGTGGCATTATTCTTTTTTAGGTGGGACATGAATTCTCCAGTTTGATACATATTCCTCCATACCTATCTTCATTTGTGCTGCCATAACAAATATGAGAGACTGGGTAATTTATAAGCAATGGAAATATATTTCTCACAGTGCTGGCGGCTGGAAGTCTAAGGTTCCAAGATGGTGCTTTGAACAGTGTGTAATCCTGAGGGGACAAACACTATGTCCCTCTGTGGCAGAAGTGATGAAAAGGGCAAAAAACGCTGAACACTTTCAGTAGCCTATTTGTAAGGGTATTAATCCACTCATCAGGGCAGAGCTCTCATGACTTAATCACCCCCCCAAGAGGCCCCACCTCTTAATACCATCACTTTAGGGTTTAAGTTCTAACATGAGTTTTAGAGTGACACAAACATTCAAACTATACTAATACCTTACAGTCTTATACTTAGCCTGCTTTATTTTTTGAGCGACTGCCAGAATCCTGTAGGCATTACATCTGTGATACTTGGTCTAGTCCATTTTCCACTTAATAAATGAATACACTTGGGTCCAAGGAGGTGAAAGGATTTGCCCAAGGAAATTAGAAACAATTTATCCACCTAGCACCTACCATAGATTACCTTAAAAATATTTAGTAAAACAAGTTTTAATTATAAGTGTTATTGGCAAAAACATAATTAATATAACAATGCTTATATGCTAAATTGTTTTTATGAAACACTAATGGCTATAAATCTGCAGTTTGAAAAACATTTCCCCTAATAATGCCTATATGTCTGAATTCATCAAAACAGATCCTCAATACATCCTGATAAATGGAAGTTTTGAGGATTAATTTAGGGGAAAAGGTAGGTTCTGTATAAGTAATAATAGCAGTAACAAGAGTAGTGGCTAATGTTTATTGAGTACTTACTACGTGTAAGACACCACTAAGAAATTCAAGTAGGGGGGATGACTTGAAAAGAGTGAATAATAAGATGGAGTCAAGTCACCCTGTCATAAATGAATAATTTCATTTTTGAGACATTAATAAAAAAAGAACAATTTTCATGTGTTTTGAGTTAGCATGAAAGTGAAAGACTCCAGAACTGTGCTTTCCAGTATGTTAGCACTAGCCATATGTAGCTATTTAAATTTGTATTAAAATTAAATAAAACTGAAACTTCAGTTTCTTAGTCATACCCGTCACATTTCACCTACTCACAAGCCATATGTGGCTACTGGCTACCATTTGGACAATACAGATACAGAGCTTTCCATTACCACAGAAAGATTTTTGGACAGTGCTCTTCCAGAATAATATTTTCTTTTTAGGTATTTGAATCATGTTTGAACAAATATTAAAATTGCCCCATGTCAACTGTGTACAAATTAATCCGTGCATATTTTATAGTATTTAATAAAATACTGTAAAGGATAGTTGTCATCAGCCAGCCAACACCTGTTCCCTCTAGAGAAGTTTACAAGCAAACTCACGTGAACTGAATGAGTTGACTGTAGTTATCTTAATTTGACTTTCTTTAAGCTATTTCAAGCTTTCCTCCACCTCAAGTGCAATTGTTTGAAGCTATTAGCTAGCATTAATGTCAAGTGACTCCCATTACGTGAATGGATGAGAAGTAATTAAAGTAAAGGTAAGTGTTGATATCTTTCATGGAATTCTTCTGGAGGCTTAAAGTACTGTATAAACTGCAAAACAATGCAATTCTCTATGGACAACAAAGTACAGGATCTCCTGCAGCAGTTTCTGAAGGCAAAAGAAAATGTGGCAGGTAGATACAGGTGTCTTATTCTGATTTCTAAACCACCACTGCCCTTTTAAAGGAGAAAATATTAATTTGTTGCTAAAGTTGAAAATTGAAGAAATGATTTCATAGCTCCTAGAATTTACCTAAGAAAATTACACAGGGTAACTAATCCTTATCGCCATCTTTTCCCTTACGTGTTATCCTTCTTTGAAGTAGAATGTGTTAGAAGCAATATAATTCTGCAGTTTCTCCGGTTCAGACTTTAGATCCAAAGCCCTTTGTCTCCCCATCTTTGTCCAAACACATCAGAATTCATATTACCAGACCAGTGCTTTTCTGCTTTTGTGATTACAGCTCACAGTAAGAAGTGCATTTTATAATAAAACACAGAAAAAACATACACCCGAAGCAGAAGTCTTACAAACAATATTTATCCTTACTACTGGGTTTCTGCTAATATTTTTTATTTATTCTATTCTATGTCATTATTTTAAAATGCTGGGTAAGACCCACTAAATTGCTTTCATGACTGCCAATGGGTTGCAATCTGCAGTTTGAAAAATATTGCCCTGAGCCATACTGATATAATCTTTGACCATTTTTGGATATGAAGGCTCCTCGAAAATTGACAGAAATATTCATGAACATGATAGCTCATGCAGATATGTTGATATTTCTGAAACATGGGTGGAAATACTTTCCTGCTGCTGCACTTTTGACCTGAGCTTTCCTGATGATATGTCAGGACTGATGTTTCCACTTGCCAGGAGTTCAAAAGCTTCTTCTCAAAACCAGCTTGTTAATGTTTCCACTTGCCAGAGGTAAGTTCAAAGGCCTTTCTTAAACTAGCTCATTATGACTTGGAAGATAAATGGGTTCACTTTTTATAGAGAGCTATAAAATTTTCCCCTCTCTTTATAATAAATTTTCCCCTCTCTTTATAATCTCTTGTAGTACAGCTTTACTAATATTATAAAAACAGAAGCTAATTCTTCAAAGGCAAAGAAAACATACCATCTGAAATATTCTTGCAGAATGTGATGCAAGGAAAATATACCATCTGCATGGTTCTAGAGAATAAAATCATTTCTATGTCAATATGTATTCACAGATTTCGTAGTTAAAATATATTGATTTAATAATAATATCCACGTTAAAGATTACTTTCAAACCTCATTTACCATCTTTTTCTCAATAATTGTAAGAAGTTTTCAATAAAGACAAAAATGTTTATAGGTCTTTGGAATTCATTTTGATATTATTACTCCATTTGTTTATAGTGTCTTGCAGTAATTAATATCTTTTTATTATGTTGATTAATATTACTAATTAATAATAATAATAAAACTCTCACGACAACCCCAAGGCCTCATAGAGCAGGTATATTTTTCTCTACTTTATAAGTGAGCCTAATGGAGTAGAGGAAAGACAGAAATTTACCACAGAAGATGAAGTTCTTGTCTTAACTTTGCTAATTACCCTAAGTAACCAAAAAGGTAATCCTAGGCAAGTCACTTGCTTTCTTTGTTAAATATGCAAGATGTTATATCATTTAAAAAGATAATTTAAATTAAATTGCCTAGCTCCCCAACAGAAACATAGGTAGGTCCTGGGATGTTAGTTTTGTCTGAATCTGAACGAGGGACAAAAGGTTTTTAAGACTTTACTGCCAGTAGCCTTTCCCTTTTTCCAGATGGCTTGTCTTTAACAGAATTTGTAACATACTTAATTTAATAGAGAAGAAAAAACAGAAAAGTCAAGGCTTCATATAAGTTAAGAAATGAGAAATCAATAAAAACTCTACACTAGGGAGGAGACATAGAGGAATTTTTTTTTCATTTATCTCCACTGATTTGGATGATGTAGTTTAATAGTTTTACCAAATTTATTTTTGCTTCAACCTGCTGTCTTGGCTTACGTAATACTGAGAATATATGGCCAAAAGAGCAGATATGAAGGGTTATAGAATTATTTTACTGGAGGAAAATAGCATGACTATTGCCTTCCATAATATATAATTGATTCATGACAAAGAATAAGAAAGGCATATCCCATTAAAATAAAAACCCAAATGTAAGATCGCTTGGGTTTTTCCACAAATATTCAGTGCTTACCTACTTCATACCAGGTATGCTGCTAGGTACTTTTGTGTAATGGCGACAGTGGTGCTGGCAGTAAAGGTAGACAACTAAGTTACTGAGTTCCTTCTGTGCCCAGGAATTCTCTGAAATATGGATGACTGTTAAACAAGTTAAATTCACTGAGAACCTTATGAAGGGCCACTGTTACTATCTCATTTTACTGATGAGGAGACTGAGACACAGAAAGAATAAGTCAATTGTTCATGTTACACAGCAGTAAGTAGAGAGGCTGGAATCAAGTTCCCAAAATGTGACTTTGGAACCAAACTTTTCACATTATATTTTATGTTATCTTGTCTAATGCCCAGAATAGCCCTCTAAAATAAAGGTGAAAGACTATTTTTACCATTCTACAGGTTAGGAAGCAGAAAACTGAGAGGAGATGTGCGTGGAATATTGTTAGAAATACTGTTGCAAAGCTCCTAAGTATGTGAGTTGGGATTTAAGCCATGCTTTCCACCATATTACACACACACACACACACACACACACACATGCACATACACACATACACACACGCATACACATACTATACATATATACACACATATATATAGAGAGAGAGATACACAAACATATATACATATATGGTGTGTGTGTTAGAAGATAGAAGATAGAAGAAACCTGAAGAAAATTAAGTAGTTAGACAAATGGGATGTTTCCTCCTGTTTGGCAAACTTGCTGATTGCATTTTCCTACCTCTTTCATTCAGATGCAGTTTTCTTCACTTTGTTTCTGAGAGACAGGCCTTTTTAGACTATTTTCTCATTATTTACAGTCAAAACAATGCACATTTCTCCCTTTTCTTTATCTTAATATCTAACAGCAAAAATTCTGAAACGCCTTTTATATACCTAGAATACAGACATCAAATACATTTTAAAATATTTTTGAATAACACAATAAAGAGCATAGTTGCCTTTTTTGACAGTTTCACCACAGTTCAGGTCTCAAGCTACTGTGATTTAACCAATCATCTGACTGTAATTTAGAATAATAAAAGCAAGCATTTGTATTTTATCTTCCTTTTTATATACTGCATATACCTGGCATGCATAACACTGAATATGTTGCTCTTCATTTAGCCCTATTTGTCTTAAAGAGAAGCCACAGCTGAATCCGACATTGGGAACACATTCCTACGAAGTAAATAACATCTTGTTTCTAGACGTTTACCTGTGAAAAGGAACGAACTTACAAAAAGGAGCTAAGAAGACAAAGGTATGGGTAACCCCTTCCTTACCTCTAAATATTTTCTGATGGAAAAAATTATTTCTAGTCCAGGAAATTTAACCCCTTCCCTGCCTCATCAACCTTTTGTCTTCGATTTTTTTTCTTAGTTTTTCTTTAAACTCACTTGCTTCAAAGTTGTAACACTTGACGTGCAATGGCAATCATCCTTGCAGAAATGGTTAGTGTATTGAAAAACTCCCATGAAAGGTCACAGTGCTCACCTGGATTTTAACATACTTGCTAAGAAGTTTCTGCTCATTGGTGAGGATCAAAGGAAACATGATGTTCAGAGATTCGTGCTTTGTTCCACTGCTTAGGAGTGTTCATAAAATTAAAGCTGTACAGTTTCCTTGTTTACCACCGCCTGGTAGAATCAGAATCTTTTAGGGAGAGGTCAGAAAAGGGTTTAATCTCTTGCCCATTTTGCTGTCTGCCTGGAAAACTTCTTTTCCTTTTGCTTTGCTTTCAACTTTTCTTTGTTAAAATTCCAAATGTGTCAAATGACCGTGGGGCTGTTTTAGAGTCCTCCCAAAGACTCAAAGCAGTTCCAGTTTTCCTTGGAGTAGACCTTTATCTATATAAGCACACAGGGTAGTGTTGCTAACCAAGTAGCTGGCAAACCCAGAGTGTTTTCTCATGTGAATTAGACTGACCCTTTAGATGGGAGCACAAGGTTAGTTTGAATATCCCATTCAAGTGAAAGGCTAAACTAAGTCGGGCCATTTGTAAAACTAGACTAATCTAATAATGGTCACGAAAACAAACTTCCTCCCTCCCTCTCTTCCTTCTTATCAGTCGGTATCCTCCAACTCTTCCTTCTTTCCTTCTGCCCTCCTTTCCTGTTTCCAGGGAAGAATATGACTAATGAGACAAACTGGCCAGCAAAGAGTTGAGGGCAACATTGGTGGAATGTTAGGTATTCATTTTTAAATACTGTTTTAAAGTATCCTGTCTTAACTTCACAAGGGTGATCACAGCCATGCTTCTCTGATTTAAAAGAAGTAGAATTTCTTTCCCTAGGAATACACAAAATAAAATACTGGTAAATTAGAAACATGTGCCAAACAGAGCTGAGCATATTTTTAATAATTAGATGCAAAACTGTCGAGTAAATATTAAAAGTTCAGTGACATGTCAAACTTCCCTAGCTTTAAGCGAAATGATCAAGCTCTGTTCTTTTAACCTTTCCCTAAATGACTTAAAGTGTCATTATTTGTCAAAAAAAGCAAAGAAAGAAGAAAAGTAAAATATAATATAATCTTCAAATTTATCTTCTAACCTAAAATTTCTTTCTTTACTATGTAGCCTATGGGATAAGAAAGATCTGTATGCAGATAAGAAAAGTTATCTAATGTAAATAATAGTACATTTAAAAAGTAAGTTGTGGGATAGTGTATATATTAAAATTTATAAATAATATCAAGAAGGATCTTGCATCAGACATATCTTATCATCTCAGACACTTCAGATCATCTCAACCTCACTCACCTCTTGCTCTAGCCACTGCTGGATGGATGTCCCAAGGTACAGCTTATATGACTTCTTTTTTTAGATCCTTGAGAGATGAAGCAATTAGTATCATCAAGCTGTCCCCAACCTGATATTCCCTGGGTCAGAAATCACTCCTTTTTGGATTCACCTCTCTTGTTCTCATTCCTGCCCTTTGAATTGCACTCCTTACTAAATTAGAAGAGGTGAGCCTTTACCGAAGACACATGCATATACATCCCCTACACACACACACACACACAGACACACACAGACACACACAGACACACACACACACACAGCTTTTAGAGTGGTCACCTAACAGTGTGGGATGTGGTAAGGATAATTTTTGTACCTATGCTTTTCTGTACTGTTTTCATAAACTAACACTACTTTTTTCCTTAGCAGCTTGAAACAAAATACATTTATTATCTCCATGGGTCAGGAGTCTGGGCAGAGGTTAGCTAGGTGTTCTACAATCAAGGTGTCTGCTGAGCTGTGATCTTTTCTGGAGATTGGGCTCTTCTTTCAGGCTCATGTGGTTGTTGACAAAGTTGAGTCTTTGTAGGTGTAGGACAAAGATTCCTGTTTTCTTGCAGGCTGTTGTCTGGGAGCATTCTAAGCTTTTAGAGGCCACCTGCAGTTCCTTGATACGTGGCCTTTTCACAGACAGACTCACAACATGGCAGGTGACTATTCTAGGTCAGCAAGAAAATTTCTCTAGGTTTTACTTTTATAACTGGAAAAAAAGTCCAATTAATTTAAAAAATCCTCTGTGACTGTGAAATTTTGATTTATCTAAAAATGTTTCTGAGAAGGAAGAGAACCATCTAAGAGATATATTTCTATCATTGTATCTCAGAAAAGCCCATTTGCAAGCATATTTTGCCATGGAAGAATAAATAGGATCCATGTTGCTTTCTCCGAAACACTCTTTTTCTTGCTAACACATTCCAGCTTCCTGTGTGGGACAGGAAGTCCGCTGAGCTTTTTTGTTAAGTGTTATTTGGAGGAAACTTGGAGCACATGCTGCCTTTTGAACTGCTTAGCGTCATTGCCACTCTTCCACCCACCAGGTAGGTGCTGTCATGGTGTCATGGAGTTCCACTATGTGGGAGAGCCATGGTTGAAATGTAACTAGAACTAAAGGGGTTCTGGGTTTTCCTCTTAACCAGTTAGTCTCTTTAAGAGCATAACCGAACTATTTGTGTGTATCTCAAGGGTAGCATTTGCAACTTACAGGGCAGGAAAGAGAACATCAGTGGCTTGCCACTTTTAGGCTTCAAGTACAATCCTGGGATTATTTGCATTACTCCGAGGTAATTACAACTTTAAAACATTAATTGCTTTCATATTTAAAATTATTTGCTTAAAAACTGACACTCCCTTTTAAAATCAAGTGTGTTCTAATGAGATGTAGATGTTTAACTCACTCAAAAAAATAAAGACACAGAGGAAAATGTATAAATTAAGTAAGAGTCTTAAAGTCTCATCCATCAATTTGCAGTCTCTCTGTCAATATTCTTGCGGCAAACAAAGAAAACAGAACAAAACAAAACATATCCCTGTGTCTTTGTTATCATTATTCTTTTGAAGATAATGTAAAATTCTAGAAAATAATCTTTCTGCTTTAAAGAGTAAGTAAACAAAATTGTACATTTCTGGATTTGCATCTGATCCAAATAATGTACATTTTTTTAGATGTAAAAAACTCAACTTTTATTTCAAACTACCTATTGAAACAGGACCATTTTTTGTTAATTATTTAATGTTTCCCATTTTCTTTCACTCTTTCTGAAAAATTCCTACATCTTCCATTTATTGATCTGTGTTCCCTGGATAAAATCTAGATGAGCCTTTAAAAAACTATTTCAACATCAAATAATGAAGGGAAATAAACAAAACAGCTCTCCAGAATGGGAGCTTAGCTCAGTGTGATGATCATTGCATCATTGACTAGTTTTTAGTTTCATCAGTAAAGGGTGTTGCGAGGTAAACATTTTTGATTTCTAATTTTGTAAATGTAAAACACTAAACTATAAATCTGCCAGAAGATAACATGGGAGAAAACCTAGGTGACCTTGGGATGGGATGACATTTTAGAGAGAGCACCATAGGCACAATCCATGAATGAAATCATTGATAAGCTGAAATTTGTTAAAGCTGAAAATCTCTTCCCTGTGAAAGATACTGTCAAGAGAATGAGGATATAACCCACAGATAACGCAAATATATTTGCAAAAAAAAAAAAAGCACACACACATCTAATAAAGGACTGTTATCCCAAATATACAAAGAGCTCTTAAAAGTCAACAATAAGAAAACAATCTGATTAAGAAATGAGCTAAAGACCTGAACATATGCCACACCAGAGATGGTATATAGATGGCAAGCAATTCCAGCAATTTTTCAATTACAGTTTAGTTTTTCCTCTCCTGACTCTAGTTCCTGCAGAGGTTTCTTCTAGTGAGTTTCTGCTCTCATAAAGTGTGATTCTCTGTATTTGCCTATCTCTTTAATTTTTTAGGCAGTGGTTTTCCCTGTGACCTCATTTCTCTTGTGAATCGAAGAAGCGTTGGTTATTTTTTAGTTTGTTCAACTTTTTAATGTTCTTTGGATGCAGTGATGTCTCCAAGCTCCTTACATGCCAGATTGGAAAACCCATGGTTTCTTTTTAGTGAATTTATTTTTAAGTTTTCTAAATAGACCGTAAGTTCCATAGATCAGAACTTGTGGAACTTATACACAGCTCTATCCTCTGGACCTGAAAAAATGTGTTCACCCAATAAATGCTCAACAAGTATCTACCGAGTGAATGACTAAATGAATGGATGGATGAATGAATGAATGAACAGTGGCAAATCTACATCTCCTGTCTTTTTAAACCTGCTCTATCCCACTGTATTAACAGTGCTGAATATGTGTTTGTTGCTTTTTATTTTATTATGAGACATGCTTGCTTCTAGCATCTAATAATCCTCATATCCCTTAAAATGTTTTATAGTAACTTTCTGATTGTATTTTTCTTCCCTCAGATCATTTTCCTCTTAAACACATCTCTTTATGGGTTTTATTCATTACTCTCAATTTTCTACTCTCTGTGGGTATGTCTTAAAGTATAGTTCATATTTCATCTCACTCTCAAGTCTCTACTTTTAAACGTATTTTTTTCCCACTGTTTATCTCATGAACCTCTGGAAATAAGTCTTTTGGTAGTGTGGAATAGTATACTTACAAGTATATTGGGATCACCACTCAGTATGGAATGAAAGTGAGTCACTAAGTATCTGATAAGTGTTTCCTTCTAAGTTAGGTAGTCTGTCAGACATTTAACAATACTCCATGATATCAATGCATTAGATGACTAGGAAAGCATCCATCACCCCACATGCTAAAAAGGAACATAAATCAGTGAATTGTTTTGAAAGCCTCTTAGTAGTCAGTGACTTACACCAAGTTTCCATCCAGAGGGTATTCCGCCTCTTGATTCTGGATAGCCAAACAAGTGAAAAGCCTCCACACATTTCAGAAATAGTCATCTTTACTTCTCATCTGGTGAGCTGCTGAATAAGTGGTTTGTAATCTAAGATCTTAAATGTGGTAAACATTAAGTAATACTCATTCTTTTTATTAAACAATAAAAGGGTTTTCATCCCATTTTATAATTAATTTTTTGAAAGTAATTACTCAAGTTCAGGCTTGCCACATTCAATAAATAAAAATATAGGACACCAAGTTGAATTTTAATTTCAGAGAATTAATAAATACTTTTTTAGTATAAATGAATACTTTGTAGTATATGTATATCCCATGCAATATTTGTCCCAGATAGTACTTGAAACAAATTTATACTAAAAAATTAGTTGTTGTTTATCTGGATTTTAAATTTAACTTGAATTTCAAATTTAATACTTGCCTGACAACCCTACTCAAGTTACACATCTTATAAAACAATTGGAGACATATGGTAGATAGATGTTTAGGGAATTGGTGCTCTTTGTTTTATTTAGATTAAGAGTTTGATTGCATTTTGTGTTAAGAATACTTTTGATGAAAGGATGAGCTAAATTATGTGGAGGCCTAATAAATGAGTCAGAATTGCAGTAGGAAGAATTTTGATTAGGTTTAAGGAAAGCTATTTTGACTAAACAGACAATAGTTTTCAGATATATTTCCTTGGAATAGAAAGTTTCTCAACCTAATATTTTCATGATCCCAGACCCTCTGAGATATTACTGTCTATAAACTTATGACATCTTAGGTACAAAGACCAAATGTTTTGAATAATGGAAAAAAGTAGATTTAATCTTTATGAAAACTTAGATTGTTAATAATTTACTTGTTAAGGCTCAGCGGAATAATTAGTTGAAAGGAACTGAAAACAGTGTTCAGTAGAAATTTTTGTAGGCCTAGATCCTGAGAGAAGAGTTCTAGGGAGAAAGGATTAATATTTGAAAAATAATTTTAAATTTAAGCTTTTACCCAAGGGTTTTCTATTTGAAAGTAGACTGTAAGCTCCTAGATGGCAGATCTTTATCTTATATATTTTGGTATCACCCACAGTACCTTACAAATCAGATGCTCAGTAAATATTTTCCAACGGAGAGATTAACATTTAAAGTTTGTATGGAGGGAAGCATTTGTCCTCGAACGCACTGCTATGTGCCATAACAGCAGATCTTCCAGCAAATAAATATGGAGAGCTTGCTACCCTATTCATAGCACTGCCAAGCTGTCAAATCATCTTTGAGTGTCTTTTGTTGGTGTGTCCCAAGTTATTTTCTTCCCACTGATGTCATCCACATGGTCTTGTTTTTCTGGTTCTCCTTTGAACACTTTGATATCCTCCTGCCTTCCTCTAGCTGCTTCCAGCATCCATCATGTTCCCTTTGCCTTTCTGATTTATCACTCCCATTTCCTGCGTGTGTTCCCAGAGTAGTGTTTGCTCCGTTAGAGGGATTTCCTTGCGGACAGTTCTGCCCAGAATACGTGATGCGATATAGACAATGGAGAGAATCTGTTCAACTGGACACATCATGTTTTTTTTTTTCCTGTGCCTTCAAGTAAATATGTTATTTATTTCCAAGTTGTACTGCTTAAGCACCCCCCATGCTTGGTGCAATTTATTCATGATTGCACTCGTGGAAGTAAGACAATTTTTCTGGAATCTTTGTTTATGAAAAACTATTTTGACAGTTTTTTTTTGAAAGATATTTCCTTTATTTATTTTCCCCATCACCTCTCTCCTTAAAGCACAATCTTTATAAAATGATTTGGAGGTTCCTAAATCATTTTATGAAATTTCATCTAACTTTTTGAATAGGTAATATAAATACATGTTATAAAATCCAAAAGGTACAAATAATTTGAAGAGAAAAAAAACCACCCTGCCCCCTACTCCAGCCAATGAGCAACCCATCTTATAAGCAAATACTATTAGTTGCAGAATCTCTCCACAGATTAACTATACTTACATAAACATATACATTTTTTAATGTAAATGGAAGTATACATTAAATATTCTGCCATTTGCTTTCTTAAAATAATTGATATTTATTAGGAATGTAATCCCATTTTAGTACATATAGAGCTTTCTCTTTTTAAAAATGATTATATAACAACAGACACTGGGGCCTACTTGAGGGTGGAGGGTGGGGGCTCCAGGGAGAGGAGCAAAAAAATAACTATTGGGTATTAGGCTTAGTACCCGGGTGACAAAATAATCTGTACAACAAACCCAGTGACATGAGTTTACCTACATAAAAAAGCTCTACATGTACCCCTGAACTTAAAAGTTAAAAAAAAAACTATAAAATAACTGCATAGTATCCCATTTTATATCTGTATAATAATTTCTTTTACTAGGCACTTACTGATAGACATTTAGAATATTTTTCTCTGACTTTTGCTATTATACACAGTGCTAGAGTAAATATCCTCAAACATATGGCATTTCAGATACATGCAATATCTCTAGGCTAAATTCCCAGGTATTAAATTTTTGCAACAAGTTTGAAATGTTTACTTTAGCTTTAGTCATTATCATAAAAGAATATTCTCAAATAGGTTTTGTTGCTAGTCACAGATTTCTGGAGCAGAGAATCTCTATAGTGTTCCTTCCAACCAGGTGCACCTTATTTTGGCTATTATTTACATTCTGAATACCGATGGAATTAAATTAAATTTTCAGTGTTCTCAGAAAGTTTACTATCCAAAATAATACCAATAGTTGTTATAACTAGAGTGAATAGTAACTAAGGTGGTAACTAAGTACTAACTAAGTTGAATAATAACTGAGGTGGATCTGTACAACATGTAAATAATGGCAGGTAATTAGTTTCCTTTTAACTTTTGATTTACTGAAATTTAAGAATTGAGAATTTTATATAAAGGATTTGCCTGAAATGGATAATTTTATGAGAACTGTTTGCCTTCATATGGCACTTGAAGAGACCACTTGGAGGACACTTCAGACTCTAAAATATAGAGCGCATTGGCCAGGCGCAGCGGCTCACACCTGTAATCCCAGCACTTTGGGAGGCCGAGGTGGGTGGTTCAGTTGAGCCCAAGAGTTTGAGACCAGCCTGGGCAACATGGTGAAACACCACCTCTACTAAAAATACAAAAATTAGCTGGGTGTGGTGGTGGATGCCTGTAGTCCCAGCTACTTGGGAGGCTAAGGTGGGATAATCGCTTGAACCCAAAAAGCAGAAGTTGTATTGAGCCGAGATTGCGGCACTGCACTCCCATCTGGGTGACAGAGTGAGATTCTGCCTCAAAAAAACAAAAAGAGAGAGAGAGTATCAGAGGTAGATCACCTCTAATATGGCCTCAGATAACCCATTTTGTAAGTAATCTCAAATTGTCACCCTCTTTTTGCCTAAAATGAGTAAGCAGCTTGTCTGCTACTACAGAGACACTTAACGAGTGCTGCAGAGGATCTTTTTTTCTCCCTTATTTTCAGATAACACAGCCCAGACATTTGAGGCACAGCTCAGACTCTGTTCCACTCAGATAAATCATCCATGCTCTGCCTTCCAGCAATGAGGCAGAACTGGAAACATTTTAGATGAACAATTCTCTATAACTGATATCGCATTAATCCAGACAAAATGTCATTTCTCTCTTTCCATGCTCAGGGTGTGAAAATAGGCCAAGTCTTTTTATGACTCATGTTTACGCTTACTCTCTAGAATTTGATTTATGGCATTCAGTTGAATAGGTGCTCTGAGCTTCCTTTGGCCAGTTTCTAAGTGTGTGTATCACGCAATTAAGCAATATCAGGCTCACAGTGTAACTGGCTTCACATCAAAGTTCCATTATTTGCCATCATGGGCATGAGCCTTTTGTGTTGGTGTTTGCAAATCACCTGGAGGTGGAAGTATGTTGAAACTTACACTAAGATTTCCTCTTTGTGAGAAATCCAAATTGCTTAAATTTAGTGGCTTCCAGAAGTTCAAAGGCTGAGAAGCACCCTCTTTGTACTCATTCATAGTAAAGGAGAATATTGAGCCACATTCAGTCATACAGTCTTACCATTTGCAGTTGGAGAGTTGGGAAGAGCTGGTTATGCAGTCTTCAAATGGCATTATGTTGAAAAATGGCAATAGAAATGTCCAAGAAGATAGAAGCTTAGCTTCTCAAATAAGACACATAAAATTCTTTTACTCTTTCCCTTAGAAATTCTCATCATTATGATATGTAAAAATTACTGAGTTTAAAATGGGCACCTTTATAGTCATATACAGTTTGGCTAAGGAAAGATATTTAACTGAGTCTACCTGGTAACTGAGTAATCATCATCGTCCATCATGTAGCTTTCCTCTAGTTACCATAGAACTGGTTGTAGAGCAAGTCCTTTTACTCATTGGTGTAATTCTAGTCAGCTTGTTTAAAATATGCTTTGTATCAAATATGGTTACTGATTTCTTAGGATGATTTGGAAGATTAAATGAGATAGCATGTTGCTAAAGCTCTTAGATACATAGTGCTCTCCAAAAAAAATTGTAATGCTAACCACACGTGTGAGCCATATATGTAATTTTAATTTTTTTGTAGCTCAACTTAAAAGATATGAAAACCAGGTTGAAATAATTTTAATAATATTTACTAATATATTATCAATGTAACATTTAATCGATACAAAAATTACTAATAAAATAGTTTACATTATTTTTTCATATTAGGTATTTGAAACCTGATGGGCATTTTCTGTTTACAGTAAAACTCAATTTAGAATGACTACATTTTAAGTGTTCAATAGCCACATGTGGATAATGGATAAGATATTGAAGAGCACAGTCTTAGAACTATGGCAACCATCCCATAAATATTATCTATTATAGCTCTTGCTATTATTCTTTTTCTCTTCTCCCATGGCACTATTCGGCTCTACTCAACATTTATATACTTTTTCCTTGTATTATATCAACTTTTGGTTTTCATCCTTCTAAAGAGAATGCTCATTGAGAAGTACTTTTTTCCTGTAGACAGTTGTTCAACATTTATTGAGAATCTTTCATGTTGCAGGCATTGTGTGGCCTATTTCCAGTTCTGTATTTCCCATAATACCTGACAGAGTGTCTTTTCAATGGTAGGCACTCAATACATACCTGGTGCATGAATTGCCTAGTTTTGTGTACACACACATATTTCTGAGTAGTTTTTTTTCAACAAAAGTTACAATTTTTATAGATTTTTCTTTTTAATAATAAGCAATGGTTTTGAACAGTGACTGTATTTGCTTTGATTGAGTTTGATAATTTAATCTGTCACAGATACTTTTTGTTATTATGCAATCGTGGCGTGATTGCTCCACTAATGTATTCTTCTAAGACATGCATTGACACTTAAAGGCACAAACTTGGCACAAGATCATCATCTTTGCTTTAGAAATAAGCGAGCAAAACTGGACATTTTAATGTAGTGTTTTAAATGATGAACCAAAATAATTTAATATGAACATTCTGTATAAACTGTAAAAGCTGTACACATATCAATTGTTGCTAATGTTATTAATGGTCTATGGTACTTTTTACCATCTGTTCCACAGAATATTGATCCATGACAAACTCTCTGGGAGAAAACAAAATGGATCTATGGTCAAACAAGTATAGGAAATGATATACTGTATTCCACACCCTAGAGTTGAACAGTAGTAATGCACATTAGGATATTCAAAGTTCTAATTCACTTAGTAATGAATCTATTTGACTTCATTATTTGACCAATAAAATAATTTTTCAGGATGATATCTGTAATTTCTACAAAGATGGTATACCATAGAACACACAGAATTTAATTCTGGATCAAAAGAGGCCTCGGTTTTAAGCTTAGCTCCCCACTACCTACATCTGAATCTTCTTCAAGTCTGCTTCTCTCTCTGCACCTCAATTTTTTACTTTGAAAAAATATAAATCAATGATTTCTCAACTCTGATTATATATCATTGTCACTTGAGGAATATTTAAAATAAACAGAAGACTGAGTTTCCATCTCTAAAGGATCTCACTCAATATATTTGGGATGTGGCATGAATATCTGGGGTGTGTGTATGCACATGCGCACATGCGCATGCGTGTACTGGGTTCTAAAGTGAAACGAGCTAGCTGGAAGATGTTCAGGTGAAACTTGTCTCTAAATTTTGGGCAGACACGGGAAGGGAGGAACAATGGCAACACTGAGAAACCAAGCTTGTTTAAGTAAGAAATGCTTGCACAATGAATAACCAGAAGGTGCTGTGGCATCAGCTGGAATTCTGTGGCGGAAGGATTGAAAACATGTCAAATTATGTCAAATTGATACTTTCATCAATTACTATATAGTTAGGATATGGTATAAATCTTTGTTTCAGGCTCTTCTTCCTCAGTGGGAATCATTCTCTGTAAACTGATGAGTCTCTGATATTCTCTCCTCTATTTGTGTGTTCTTAAAAAGAAAGGAGAAAAATCAACCCATGCTATCTAATAAAAAATGCTAACAACTTCCTGTGTCAGTTATATTATAGTTAATTTATTTATAAATCTAACATAGGATATCTTAACATTTTGTAAAATTAATTATAAATGCAAGGTTTTAGTACTGGTATGAAGTTATTAGCATTTGAAAATGTGATACAACCTTATTTTTCTTCTATTATATTAGGTTGATTATCTTATTATTATCTTTATTATTATTTAGGTTCATTACCTTCTATTATCTTAGATTTAGTTGCCTTTTCCTTGCTTCTACAGACACAACTTAATATACCTTAACCAAACAATGACTAAGAAGGCCTTTCCTGTACCATGGGATTTTCTGTCATTCTGACGTGGGTCAGATTGAAACAATTGCTCCCCAATTACGCCTGTGACGCTAATAATTCCAACAAAGTTACTAGCAGGGAGGGCTTTCCAAATTGCTACATGACAGCTCCAACAATCCAGCTGACCCTTTTATAGAAATCTTCTGGGACAGAACTTGGCTCTCTCCACCATTGATGGCATATGACACAGGGAGGAGGGAAAATTTCTGAGCAACAATCTAAGGACAGATTTGAGGGTACTTAACAAGAGATGCTGAACAAGTTTACAGAAGTTACACCTGGGAGGCAACATGCTACATCTGTTTTCAAAGTCAAATGGCAACTTTGTTTCGCTGGTTACCTGATTGTTTCTGACTCCTGCCTTGGACAGTTTAATCCAAGTCTTCAGTGGTAGGATTTTAAAATTTAAATTATTGAATGCTAGTTTCAACTGTTTTCTTCCATTTACACGTACAAAGTCTGAAGAAAAAAATACACAAAGTTTCTAGTTACAAATATATTGACTCTATAATTTTACAAATGTGCAGAAGAACCAAAATATTTTATGAAATTTTTTTCTAATGTCTTGTTCATGGATTTTCACAGTGTTTAAAAACTATATATCTCAAAATATTAGATATTTTTTAATAAGGCATAGACATGATCTATTATTTTGTAATATCACGTTTGTATATACGCATATGTAAAACAAAGAAGATTTTGTATGGATCATCTTCTGATGAGAATAAAGCAGATAAAAAAGAAAATCATATTTTTCACTTCAATAAATAAGATCTTTTCCCATCATAATGTAAATGGTCAAGGAATATAATTCTTTCAGTTTACTATAGGCCTTTAAGGTGCTTTTTGTTCCTAAAATGCAACTAATCCAGTGGAGAAGATCTATAGCAAAAAACTAAGAGTAAAAACATACAATAGAAACAGAACACAGAAGATGTAGATATTGGAGTTTATTAGATGTGACATGAGAATAATTGTGGCTAATATGTTTTTAGAAAACTAAAACCAAATTGAATACTTTCTGCAGAGAATTGGAGTATAAATAAGAAATTTAAAGAAAATTACACAGCTACAGAAACAATAACTCATGTTAACAACTCCTTAGATGGCTGCAGTGGGCTGAATGATGTCCTCCCAAAAGATACGGTCCACATCCTAACATCCAAAACTTACTTGGAGAAAGGGTCTTTACAGATGTTATTAAGCATCTCTAGATGAGATCATCCTGGATTATCTGGGTGGGCCCTAAATCCAATGAAAAGATCTGTATAAGGGACATACAGAGGAGAGAGAAATGGGGTACAGGAGGAGAAAGCCACATGAAGATGAAGGCAGAAATTAGAATTTCACAGCCATAAACCAAAGAATACTTGGAACAACTAGATTATAGAAGGGGCTTCCTGAGAGAACATAGTCCTGTCATCACCTTAATTTCAGACTCCTAGCCTTCTGAACTGTGGGAGAGTAAATTTCTGTTTTTAAGCCACCAAGTTGGTGGTAATTTGTTACAGCATCCCCAAGAAAGTAACTAATGGTTTAATAATAATTAGACACATGTGAAGAAAAGATTTTTGAGGTAGAATATAGGTCAGTAGAAAATGTATAGATTGAAACATCAATAACAAGAACATATACAGAAAACAGCATGCACAACATAGGGGGCATAGTGGAAAATGACATGCTTGTAATTATAGTCCCAGAAGAAGTGAAGAGAAAAAGGGGGGAAGAAACAGTACCTAGAGATAATAGCTAAGAGTTTTTCAAAACCAATGAAAAATGTCAAGCCCAGGATTAAAGAAGTTCTGTAAAACCCAAGTCAGGGAGGGTAGGGAGAAATAAAACAAGTAGACACATTTTTACCTAAACAGATGAAAACCAAAGCTAGAAAGAACTCTGTAGTTCCAGCACTTTAGGAGGCTGAGGCACGCAGATCACTTGAGCCCACAGAGACCGGCTTGGACAACATGGTGAAACCCCATCTCTGCAAAAAAATACAAAAATTAACTGGGTGTGGTGGCACCCATCTGTAGCCCCAGCCACTCAAGAGGCTTGAGTGAAACAGTCACTTGAGACTAGGAGTTGAAGGTTTCAGTGAGTGGAGATCACACCACTCCACTCTAGTCTGGGCAACTGAGTAAGATCCTGTATCAAACAAACAAAAAAACCAAATAAACAAACAGAAAAAGGGAACTAGAGATAAATGTTACATCACTTTCAAAGGAACCCCAATAAATGAGCAGTCAACTTCTCTGAAAAAATGATGGAATTCAAAAGGCAATGAACATATTTCTTTAATTTTTTTAAAGAAAATACACCACCTGGAATTTTATAATTGGTGAATAATTTTATAGACCACCAAAAATTGAGAAGATTTTTCATCAGCAGACCTAAAAAAATTAAAGAGATTTCTTCAAGTAGAAGAAAAATAGTCTCAAGAAAATGCATAGAAATGCAGACAATAATGAAAAACAACAAGGAAGATAAATATAGGAATACATTAGAAAGCATTTCTATTTTATTTTTTAGATTGTTTAAATTTTTATTTTTTTTGTAGAGACAGGGTCTTGCTATGGCCCAGGCTGGTCTTGAACTCCTGGCCTCAAGCAATCCTCTCGTTTTCAAATGAACTTCTAATGTAAAGAACAATAACAGGATTGTGGGGGGTTTGCAAGGAGTGTAGAATGAAAATATATGACAAAATTGGATAAAAGGTGGAAAAGGGGGCAAATAGGTTTAATGTGTTCTAAGGGCCTTGCACTCTCTAGGATGCACATTGTAACCTCTTGAGTTAATCATTAAAGATATATATATATTTTATTATACTTTAAGTTCTAGGGTACATGTGCACAATATGCAGGTTTGTTACAAATGTATACATGTGCCACGTTGGTGTGCTGCACCTGTTAACTCGTTATTTACGTTAGGTATATCTCCTAATGCTATCCCTCCCCCCTCCCCCCATCCCATAACAGGCCCTGGTGTCTGATGTTCCCCACCCTGTGTCCAACTGTTCTCATTGTTCAGTTCTCACCTATGAGTGAGAACATGTGGTGTTTGCTTTTCTGTACTTGCGATAGTTTGCTGAGAATGATGGTTTCCAGCTTCATCCATGTCCCTACAAAGGACATGAACTCATCCTTTTTATGGCTGCATAGTATTCCAACCTTTTTTATGGCTGCATAGTATTTTTTATGGCTGTATATGTGCCACATTTTCTTAATCCAGTCTATCATTGATGGACATTTGGGTTGGTTCCAAGTCTTTGCTATTGCGAATAGTGCTGCAATAAATATACCTGTGCATGTGTCTTTATGGCAGCATGATTTATAATCCTTTGGGTACATGCCCAGTAATGGGATGGCTGGGTCAAATGGTATTTCTAGTTCTAGATCCTTGAGGAATCGCCACACTGTCTTCCACAATGGTTGAACTAGTTTACAGTCCCACCAACAGTGTAAAAGCGTTCCTATTTCTCCACATCCTCTCCAGCACCTGTTGTTTCCTGAATTTTTAATGATCACCATTCTAACTGGTGTGAGATGGTATCTCATTGTGGTTTTGATTTGCATCTCTTTGATGGCCAGTGATGATGAGCATTTTTTCATGTGTCTGTTGGCTGCATAAATGTCTTTTTTTGAGAAGTGTCTGTTCATATCTTTCACCCACTTCTTGATGGGGTTGTTTGATTTTTTCATGTAAATTTGTTTAAGTTCTTTGTAGTTTCTGGATATTAGTCCTTTGTCAGATGGGTAGATTGCAAAAATTTTCTCCCATTCTGTAGGTTGCCTGTTTACATTGATGATAGTTTCTTTTGTTGTGCAGAAGCTCTTTAGTTTAATTAGATCCCATTTGTCTATTTTGGCTTTTGTTGCCATTGCTTTGAGTGTTTTAGTCATGATGTCCTTTCCCATGCCTATGTCCTGAGTGGTATTGCCTAGGTTTTCTTCTAGGGTTTTTATGGTTTTAGGTCTAACATTTAAATCTCTAATCCATCTTGAATTAATTTTTGTATAAGGTGTAAGGAAGGGATCCAGTTTCAGCTTTTTACATGTTTAATATTTAAAATTTAATATTTAATACATTAATACAGGCTTATATGCAGTTCATCATCTATCAAAATATCATTATATGCATGATTGTGTGTGTACATAAGTGTATGTGTCTATACATTATATAGATAATAGAGATGGTAGATTTAAATCTAAATATATCATTAATTGTATTTTATATACATATGTTTATATAACTACATTTTATAAATATAAAATATATAAATATGTATTTTATATTTTATATATTCTATTTTTGTATAAGTTACATATAACATAAATTAAATTATATTATATATAAATATGTCAATTAAAATTATTGTCAGTAGATTTAAAAATCATATCTGCTTACAAAAGAAACACGTTAAAAATAAAAATATAGGAGAAGTAAAAGAAAAAGATAAAAAGATATACAAAGGAAACAGTAACCCAAAGAGTATTGGTATGCCTATGTTAGTATTTGACCAAATTTTAATAAATGTAAAGGAAAGTTTGCATAGATAAAATGTTTAATCCATCAGAAAAATATAGCAATTCAAACTGTATACATAGTGAATAAAATAGTCTCAAAACATGTAAAGCAAAAATGACCAAACTAAATGAAAAAGTAGGCAAACCCACAAATACAGTGAGAGATTTTAAGACACTTCTCTCAGTAACTAACAAAGCAATCAGAAAAAAAAATCAGCAAATACATAGAAGATTTAAACAACTTGATAACTTGATCACAGACTTGACTCAACAGACTTATGTAAAACATAACACTCAATATCTATAGAATACAAATTCTATTCAAGAGCACATGGAGCACTTATCAAACTTGAATACATGCTGGGCCAAAAATTAAGTCTCTACAAATGTGAAAGAATTAAATTCATAGAGGGTAGTTTCTAAAGTATAATAAAGCTAGAAACAAATAACAAGTGATAAATAAGATATCTCTCAAGTTTTTGGAAATTAAACAATACACTTTGGTCCTATAACAAAAATTTGATCAATATTTTTAGAAATGTATTGCTTAATTTCCAAAAAGCGATAAACTTGTTGTATGACTATGACTTACACTATCCCTCAAAACATTTTGAGCTAAATGATAGTGAAGATGTGACATATTAAGAGTTTTGAGGTAATGTGAAAGTATTGCTTAAAGGGAAATATATGTAAAATATAAATATAGAGTATGTCTTAAATGCATATGCTAAGAAAAGAGTTAAAAAACTCAAATGACCTAAATATACAACTCAATATGACAGAAAAAGAACAAAAAATTATGCCCAGAAAAAGTAGAAAGAATAAAATAATAAACATAGAACAGAAATGAATGAAAAATAAACAACACATAATGTTCACGAGAAAATCAAAAAACCAAAATTGATTCTTTAAAAAGATAAAATTTAAAACTTTTTCAAGATTGAAATAAAGGAAAAACACAGAAATATTATAGGAAATATCTCACAGACATTAAAATGTTAGTAAATAAAAGAATGTAATGAATTTAATAACATTTGAAAATCGAGGTGAATGTGAATATTTCCTAATATATACATTTCAAAACTGAAACAAAAATGAGAAGGTTATTGGTATAATTTATACTTATTAAATCTATACTTTAAAAGCTACTCTTACAAACAAAAACCAAGAAAACTCCAGGCTCAGATGGCTTCACCAGGGAATTATTTTTAACATTTAGGGAAAAAGAAATATCTATCTTACACATAGTATTTCTGAAAATAGAAAAAAACCTCAACTTGTTTATGATGTAAACAGAGATGCAATAGGCTAACAAAATATTAGCAAATCAAATTAAATAATATATGCAAAAGTAATACATCATTACCATATTGGGTTTATTGTTTTAAAATTCAAAAGCCAATTTTTACCACATTACCAACAAAAGAATAATCAGATGATCATCTGAATAGATGCAAAAAAATTTGATAAATTTCAGCAGTCATGATAAAACGCAAAACAAAATGCTTGGCAAACCGGGAATAGAAGAAGACTTTCTTACTCTGATCTATACATATCCATATTTGGAAACCTAAAACAAATGCCATTCTTGATGTTGAATTATTGAAACCTTTCACCCTATGATAAGGGGCAAAATAAGATGACCTTATTATCACTTCTATCAGCATTATATTAGAGGTCCTGGCCAGTGTAATGTGGCTACAATAAGAAGTTATAAGTGGACACATAAAGAAGGAAAAGATAAAAACACTGTCATTATTTGCACTCAAATGATAGCTTATATAGAATATCTATTAAACAATTAAAATAAATGAATTAAGCAAATTTGCAGGGTGCAAGGTTAAAATACAAGTATCAGTTAAGATTTTATATTCTATCAACAAGAGTAAAATTAAAATTAAAATATTATAGTATCAACAATATCTAGTGCATAGGAATAAATCTAATAAAAATCATGTAAGATCTCAACACAGAAGAACAATAGTGTTTTTTTGTTTTGTTTTTTTTTTTGAGATGGAGTCTTGCTCTGTTGCCAGGCTGGAGTGCAGTGGTGCAATCTCGGCTCACTGCAACCTCTGCCTCCCAGGTTCAAGCGATTCTCCTGCCTCAGCCTTCAGAGTAGCTGGGATTACAGGCATGTGCCACCATGCACGGCTAATTTTTTTTTTTTTTTTTTTTTGTATTTTTAGTAGAGACAGAGTTTCATCATGTTAGCCAGGACGGTCTTGATCTCCTGACCTCGTGATCCCCCTGCCTCAACCTCCCAAAGTGCTGGGATTACAGGCGTGAGCCACTGCCCCCGGCCAACAATAGAATTTTATTAGGAGAAATTAAAGTATAGCTAAATAAATGAAGGGGTTATCATGCTTATGGATTAAAAGAATTTATATTGTTAGCATGTTAGTTTTTCCAAATTGATCTATAGAATAACTGTAATCTTAAATAAAATCCAAGCAACTTTACAGGGTAAATTTTGGCAAATTTTGATTCTAAAATGTATACAGAAAAGAAAAGGGTCAAAAATTTTAAAGACAATGTTGAAAGAAAAGAATAAAGTGGTATGACTGTGTGACTTACACTATCGGATGTCAAGAATTGCTATGAAGCTACAGTAATTGAGACAATATGCAATTGCCACAGGATACACAAATACACTAATGGGACAAAGTAGTTCAAAACCAGACCGACATCTAAATGGAGATTTGATTTGTGACAAAGGTGGAATTGCAGAGCAGTGAGAAAACAAATCATGCTGGGCCAGTTGAATTACCATGTGGAAAAATAATAACTCTTGACTCCTGCCTCACACCATAGGTAAAATCAATTCTAAGTTAGTTGTAGATTTTTATGTAAAAGATGAAACAAAAAAGCCAGTATACAATAAAATATACAATATCTGTGTGGCCTTGCATTAGGCAAAAATGCCTTAAACAGAGAACATAAGGAATAAATAGAAAAGACTAGAAAACTGGAGTGCATTAAAATTAAGAACTTGTCTTTATTAAAATATACCATTACAAAAATGAAAACACAAGTTACTGAGTAGGGGCATATATTTATTATCTAAAATACCAGTAGAGGGCTGGGCGCAGTGGCTCATATCTGTAGTCCCAGAACACTGGGAGGCGGAGGTGGGTAGATTGCTTGAGCCCAGGAGTTTGAGATCAGCCTGGGAAACATGGCAAAACCCTGTCTCTACAAAAAATACAAAAATTATCCACTCGTGGTGGCACAGCGCCTGTGGTCCTAGCTACTAGGGAGGCTGAGGTAAGAGGATTGATTGAACCCAGCATGTTGAGGCTGCAGTGAGCCATAATCTCACCACTGCACTCCAGCCTGGTTGACAGAGCAAGGTCCTGTCTTTAAAATAAAATATCAGCAGAGAGTTTATGTCAATAAGAAAAGCACAATATGTTGAATAAAAAAAGTATCCAGCATCATTTGGTACCTGGGAATACATATTAAAATCACATTCAGACACCTCTATCGAAACACTTAAAAAGACTAAACTTAGAGAGGGAGAGTATGAGAGAGTCTACTAAGAATTGACAAGGATATGGAGCAACTGAAAATGTCATACACTTTTTCCAGGGAGGTAAAGTGATAAACTGCTTTGAAAAAAAAAAAATTTGGCAGTATATGTTAAAGGTGATCATGTGAGTACTCTATGACCCAGGAATTCCACACCACGAAAGGTGTACATTCGTTCACCAATAGACACTTGACCAAAATATTCGTAATTGTCCTATTGGTAATGATAATATCCAGAAATAGACCATATGTAGATAAAAATATCATGGTATATATGCTCAATAGAACACTATACATCAATGAAGATAAACTATGATTTCATGAAATAACATTATAGCTGTAATGTTAAGCAAATCATTCATACTTGCCTGATTTTATCTATACAAGGTTAAAATACAGGCAAAAGTACTCTATGTGTTGGAAGTCAGGATAGTGAGTATCTTTGGTGGGGAGCTTTGGTGCCTGGAAAGAGAGTTTTCGGGGTGGTAGAAATATTCTCTATCTTAATCTTTGTGATGATTACAGAGGCCTGTTAACTTCGTAAAAACTATTTGAGCTGTTCACTTATGATGTGTGCCATTTTTTTTCTGTATGCTATACTTAAGTAAAAATGTATTTAAGAAAAAATAAAAAGGATGGGAAGCAAGATGGATAATGAGTGGTTGGAGAGTCTGTGCTTTTGAGAGCTACCTTTTTAAAAAATCATAATGCAGCCAGGCGCGGTGGCTCACGCCTGTAATCCCAGCACTTTGGGAGGCCGAGGCGGGCGGATCACGAGGTCAGGAGATCGAGACCATCCTGGCTAACATGGTGAAACCCTGCCTCTACTAAAAATACAAAAAATTAGCCAGGTGTGGTGGTGGGTGCCTGTAGTCCCAGCAACTCGGGAGGCTGAGGCAGGAGAATGGTGTGAACCCGGGAGGTGGAGCTTGCAGTGAGCCGAGATTGTACCACTGCACTCCAGCCCGGGTGACAGAGCAAGACTGCGTCTCAAAAAAAAAAAAAAAAAAAAAATCATAATGCTTGCACTACATTATGGAAGGGCTGCTTGATGCAGCATAAAAAGTGTGAGTTTATCTTTCAGACCACAGTTTTTCAACAGTGGAACTATTGATATCTTGGATAGGATAATCCTGTGCTGTGAGAGGCTGTCCTGTCATTGTAAGATGTTTAGCTGGATCCTTGGCCTCTACCCATAAGATGCTGGTATCATCCCTCTTAGTTGTGACAAACAAAAATATCTCCAGGCATTGCTAAGTGTCTCCTTATGGGGACAAAATTGCCCACAGGAGAACCATTGGTCTCCAGGACATGGACTTCTGGTTCTGTTGGACTTTTGATGAGCATTTCTTCATCTGTAAATGAAAGATAACAACACATAAAGTTTCATTTCCGCTCTCCCTTTTGTAGGCTAGTTTCAGAAGCCAAGTTCAATTTTTTAGAATGTTTTTAAGTGAAAAAAATATATGTATTTTCTACATACAAGGAAATTGGCAGAGGGAAGGATTTAACATGTAGAAAACACATTTTTACCTTGTGACCAGGTTGTGACTGTAGGGAGAATTGCCCAGCCAACACATGCAACAGAGTTCTCATTCATGGGCTAAAGTAAAAATCTATTTAAGAAATTGTCATTTGGGTGTTTAATCAGCTAACCTTAGCTGCAGTATGTTAAAATAAAATAATGCTTGGACCAGAGGCCCTCTGATATTGCTTTTGTTCCTTTTTTGAATATTTTTGTTACGTCCAATGTTTAACTAATGTATTTCACAAATGCTTACTGGAAGTGCCTAGTAGAATACTTAACATATATATATATATATATATTCCTGTGTTTCTATGGGTAGAAATTATATCACTGACTTTGAAAATCCTAATTTTATTATTATTAAATCATTTGCTAATTTTTAAACAATTTTTATTTTAAATTCTCAAAATCTCACAAATGTCATTTTTTATTTCTTTTTTTCATTTTAAGACTTTTAGCAGATAAATCTCATTTTTTGAAATTTGTATCTTTTTGGGAAACTTCACATGTCTTTATTCGGACTTTGACATCTTGCATCATGAATGCCTATGGGGCAAACTTTATTTTCCACTATTAGGAGTTCAGACCTCTGGGGGTAGGAACATATGGCTGTAGGGAGAAACAGCACCAATTACTGGAAATCCTTGGAAATGCCAAGAGTCCTAATATCCTGAGAATTTACTTTGCCTTCTCTGTGAAAGTTGTCCAGTGCTACACGTAATAGACTTCCCCTTTGGAATCAGTGTTGCAATAGAGAGAAAACAGGCTTTAAAATCAGGGTGGGGACCTGGTTTTAAAAGCAATTTCTGCTTAGTATTTTTGTGATCTTAGGAAAGTACTTAATCTCTCTGAACTTTAATTTGCTCATTAATTGATTAAAGACATTATATATTATTTACTTTTTTGAGTTAATGCATGAAAAAATACACAGATCTGGCCGGGCATGGTGGCTCAAGCCTGTAATCCCAACACTTTGGGAGGCCGAGGCAGGCGGATCACCTGATGTTGGGAGATCGATACCAGCCTGACCAACATGGAGAAACCCTGCCTCTACTAAAAATACAAAGTTAGCTGGGCGTGGTGGCACATGGCTGTAATCCCAGCTACTCGGGAGGCTGAGGCAGGAGAATCACTTGAACCAGGGAGGTGGAGGTTGCGGTCAGCCGAGATCGCACCACTGCACTCCAGCCTGGGCAACAGGAGCAAAACTCTGTGTCAAAAAAAAAAAAAAGAAAGAAAGAAAAGAAAAAGAAAAAATACACAGATTTGTACCCGATATATGTAGATATGGAATAAGTATAAACTTTCTCCCTTGCTCAGCACTGTCCATTTGAATAACCCTTGTAGCCCTAGAAGGTGTTTCTGTAGCCTGATCATTCATGTTCTGGCTCTGCTTTTCTCCCTTAATAGTTTTTGCTTAGGTTCCTTTTTTTCATTAGCTCACTGTGGGTGTTGCCATCTGTCTTGGTTCAGCTGCCTTAACAAAGTGCCACATGCTGCTTATAAATAGTAGAAGTTTATTCCTCACAGTCCTAGAGGTTGGAAGTCTAAGATGTGTAAGATGAGGGTGCCAGCAAGGTTGAGTTCTTCCATGTTCTTGCATCTTCTCATTGTATTCTCACAGGGCAGAAAGAGAGCAAACTGGCTTTCTGGCCTCTTCTTATATAGGCACTAATCCCGTTCATGAAGGTTCCACCCTCATGACCCAATTATCTCTCAAAGGCCCCACCTCCAAATACCACCACATCAGGATTAGGGTTGCCACACATGAATTTTTGGAGAGACACAAACATTTAGTCCATTAAACCTTTCTTTTTACTTTTACAGATTAATTAACTTAGATGAAGGGAATCAATGTTGTTTCTGTCAAACTACATGTCCTAATTTCCCTTTCCATTGAGAGGCAACTATATATTCTTTTATTTTGAAATTCACTTTAATTTCCCCTTTTATTTTTCAGTAGTTAACTTGCTCTTACAGACAAGTTGAGTGATATTTTTCCCTCTGCATTTGAGCAGTAGTTTTACCAGATAAGGAAGAGTGCTGCTGTTGCCTATTTTTCCTTCTATGTGGAAGGGGGTTGGGAAGGAATGTAAGGCTCTGAGGGTGACTTCCGGAGACACCTTGTGGTCCCTAGGATAACCCAGACACTTTAGATAAACACTGATGTCTTTGGGTAAAAAACATAGACTCAGCCCAGGGCAATGGCTCACACCTGTAATCCCTGCACTTTGAGAGGCTGAGACAGGAGAATCACTTGAGCTCAGGGGTTCAATACCACCCTGGGCAACATACAGAGACCTTGTCTCTATTAAAATGTATATATATATAAGAGATTAAACTGACATCCCTAGACTTGTGGTTCCAGGATATATTTCTCACAAATCATAATTTTCTTTAGCAACACAAGCTGATGGGTATAGAAGAATGTGTTTGCTATGCAGTGAGACATCAAACCGAAGTATTAGGTGATTAAATAAATATCATATGAAAAATGAATCTTAGGATAACTGCATTTTATTTGTTTGTTGTTGTTTTGTCTTTTTTTGTTTTTGTTTTTTTCCTTTTTATAGAGAACTGCATTTTAAAGCTGATCTTCATGGTTTTAAGGAGACAAATATAGAAGAAAACACTCTTTGCCTGATTACAATTTGCCTGCAGCCTGATGCTATCTCTGTGGGTGTTTGCAGCAATGGTTCCATACCTCCTGGGCTGCCAGCCCTGGTACACTCAGCTTCTTATGCTAAAGCTCTTACTTAAGGCATGCAAGGGAAGCAGTTCCTTAAGGAGCACATGTACTGATTTGAGACATCCATGGAAATGTGTGTGTGTGTTTTTTAAGGTCAAAATATATTTTATTCAAATACTCAAGGTTAGTTATTTTCAAATAAGCAAAATGGAAAAGATAATGACTACACTTCATTATGTAAGAAAAGCAAAAAAAAAAAAAAAAAGATGAGCTAAAAATATAAGTTTTAGAGATTGGAATATATTTCCCAGAGGGATATGACTCAACTGCTTAATTGTTAAAGAAAAAAATTGCATTTAAGTTAATTTGACAGGAATATTTAAAAGCTATTTTGAAGTAAATTTTAAATTGAGCGAATTTTAGAAACAATCTCATTAAAGAAATTCAAGAAAGTATGGAATGAGGCTCTTTTGGTATGAACCTGTACTTTGATGACTGAAGAAGTATGGTGTTTTTTGAAATAATGCAAAGTTTTCTTGCTTTATGAACAATACATCTTTATGGTGATGACAGCCATCTTTGGTTGAGCTGCAGATGGCAAATGCCCCAGAGTGATAGTACAGAGCAAAGTCTGCTACTTACACTCAGAGCTTGAGGTAATGGAATAAAAACCTAGCAAGGGAATGAGGTAATGGGATAAAAACCCAGTGTGCTTTGTGACATTGTTCAATTATCATCATCCTCACCAGTAGTAGTAGTAGTAATAGTAATAGTAGTAGTAGTGGTAGTAGTGGCAGTAGTAGTAACTGCCATTTCTTCAGCTATATGTGTAACCCTTCTTGTTCTCCCAATACCTCTCTAAGGTAAATATTAGAAACCACAGCTTACAGATAATGACCTCCTAGTAGGTGGCATAGCAAGATTTGAACCTAGGTATACCTTCTTTACGCTGAAACTCTGATGTGTGTTCTCTTTCCCCTCTATCATACTTCCTCCATTATATATATATAAATTATATACAATAGCATCTACTCCATATTATCTGTATTATTTAAAAATTCTTTTAAATAAATATCTTTTTCTACTGCCTCAGCCATCTGTAGATCTGGACAGAGCCAATCAAGTTTCTTCAGTGAGATGGCTAGAGTTGGCCATGTTTGAAGGAAAACTGGTCAGCTAATCTTAGATGGACAGCAAGGAAGCTGGGAGCAGGCAGTTAGAAGGTGGAATTCCACCTGGTCTGGCCCACCACTCCTCCCTCTTCTTTCATTTAGAAAGGAATGGAGAAATAGGAGGATTACAATGGAAAGACAGCAAATCACCAGGAAAGACTTTTCGGTTGGCACAAACCCTGAATGATCCTGTGGTTATATATTCAACTGCCTATGAAGGTACTGCTGTACTCACATACATATGCAGGCAGTTATTTTGTCTAATGTTATGCTTTTCAGTTATGGTGGTATTCCACTGGAGACACCATGGTGCTTTTTTGATACTGCCCCAGTAAAATTTTGAATTAATGCAAGTAATCTTCCAGAAGGCTGCCATCCAAGATTAGAGGGAAATTTGATTATTGTTTTCTTTTTTTTTTTTTAACTTGAGTACTAATGGCATATACTGACTCTTAAGTTCAACCAAAGTACATGCTGTATTAGTGATAACTATTTTTTTTAAGAGTAAGCAGATTTCAGACCTTATTTTATTATGTAGGGAGGTTAACAATGATGAGGTAGAAAATTCTGGCTATCTTAAAGGTCAATGTAAAAGAAGAATTATTGTTTTAAAAACTTTCTTTCCTCTAACACAATTATATCCCTGGAAAGATGCTCCAGCAAGTTGTTTGAAAGAGATAAGAAACATATTAATGCAGGGTCACTCTGAGTCCCAAAATCAAGGTGCAGACATCAGGGTGTGTGTTAAACTGTGAATTAGAGGCAGCTTCTCTGTCATTTATCTCATTCCAATATTAGGAAATTCCCAATTTCCTGTTGTTCATTATACTTTTCTCTCATCATTTTGACTATGTCTTCAGCCCTCTGGAGAGGTCTTAATTTGAAGCAAATGATGTACACTTGGTGGAGGGGGAGGTGGTAGCCCATGATAACTGGATTACTTTTATCCCTGTTCAAGTATTTTATTTATGAATTTATGTTTGCCTTCACTTGGAACTGCATTTTTGGGATAACCCCTGTGTTAGAAGTGAAATGGAATAAATGCAGGGTGTTTCGCTGCTATTTCCAATAATTGAAAAAGGTTTTTCTTTTAACTATGTTCCCATTTTCTGTGCAAACTGTAATGCACAATGAGATGAAACAAGAAATATTTTAAGTACCACATTAGGGACTGGGTTCAGTGGCTCATGCCTGTAATCCTAGCACTTTGAGAGGCTGAGGCGAGAGGATCGCTTGAGCCCATGAGTTTGAGACCAGCCTGATTAACACAGTGAGACACAGTCTCTACAAAAACAAAAACAAATACACATAAAAACTCACATTAGTTCTTAGACAAAATATTTAGTTAAATTGCATTTCATGATCTGGCAAAAATAGGTCAAACAACAAGACTCCAAACATAGATTCCATCGAAATATTGCCCTGACCAAAAAATTCCTGATTGTAACTGATGACCCACTTGGAGAGAGAGAAGCAATCAAGAAATGACTGTAGTAGTGGACCCTTTGAATTTGCTGTTAAAGCGTTTGACTAGTTTGCGTCTTTAGCAATTAACGACCCTACGAGTGGATCAGTGTTGTTGTGGAACCTTCAAAAGTATAGATGCCAGTTGTCACATCTCCATCACCCACAAGCAACTGAATACTAATGCTATTTTGGAAGATCTAGGGTGAGACTTGGGAGTTTATTTTATTTTATTTTATTTATTTTATTTTATATTTTATTTTGAAACGGAGTCTCGCTCTGTCGCCAGGCTGGACTGCGGTGGCGCAATCTCACTGCAAGCACCGCCTCCCGGGTTCACGCCATTCTCCTGCCTCAGCCTCCTGAGTAGAGTAGCTGGAACTACAGGTGTCTGCCACCACGCCCCGCTAATTTTTTGTATTTTTTAGTAGAGACGGGGTTTCACCGTGTTAGCCAGGATGGTCTGGATTTCCTGACCTCCCGCCCATCTCGGCCTCCCAAAGTGCTGGGATTACGGATGTGAGCCACCGCGCCCGGCCGGGAGGTCTCTGCTTTAAAGAAATTCATAGGTAATTCTGGTGGTCAGCCACTTTTAATTTTGGTTTCATCACTTATTAGCTGTGTGATTCTGGGCACATGTCTTTTAACCTCTATGTACTATAGTTTCCTCAGCTGATTACATGGAGTAATACCTATTAAACAATAAGCTATTACATTAGAACGTATAAATAAAAGTGGCTTCAAATAGTCCTTTGGTTCGTGGTTTTAAAGTCTCGTCAACATTACACCTAGTATTCACGGTGACAGTTGCAGACTGGATGTGGTTAGTTATCCTTGGGACTAAAAATAATTAACTATTCCCCATCCAGAATGCAATGGTGGGGGAAACTTCCCGAGAGATTTAACTTATTCCAGCCTCCTCAATATTTGTTGATACACAAGACTGCACAGTTCACTAGAGCACAATGGTTAGGCACATAGACAAAACACAGAGTGCCTGGGATTTTTACTTCGATTCCACCGCTTTTTAAATATGTGACTTTGTACAAATAATCTAACCATGCTGCCTGTGAAATGGAAGCTTCCTGGGACAGGGATTTCATTTGCCTTGTTCTCTGATGTATATTCAGCTCCTAGAAAATGCCTAATACAATATATTGATTGAATGGATGTCTCAGTAAATGACAAACCAGGTAATAATTATACTGGCCTAGGACCTAGTAGGTGCTAAAATATGATATACCATAATATCATCAGAAATCATTAAGGTAGCCAAATCTACTGGCCTTGATATGTCAGTATACTGTAATAACAGTTGCATTTATGAGACACAGTAGTTAAGACTTACTATTAACTGCTGTGACAGATGAGCACCTCCTTAATACTTTCCATTGTTAAATACAGTTTTCAAGCACCTTACAAAAGACGAGAGTGCTAGTTTTCTTCTCTTTGGCCCTTCCCTACATCCCATCGCCGCCTATTCATCTTCTTTCTCTACTTTGCTCTGGAGCTGACCATTATGAATTGTTTCCCCCTGGCACCTGTGCCCTTTGCTAACCTTTAAGTTTGGCCAAAGGTATAAGGAAATCAAAAAGTGCCTTCTATAGCCAGAGCTCCTGTCAAGCAGCCCTCTTCCCCATTTTCATCTCTGCAGGATTTGGTAACTATTCAATCCTCTTACTGCTTTCGAACTAGGACTGGTAACAGCTTCCTGTTGGCACTGGTCACTGAGTCATTCATTACATATGACTAGTTCCCTAACCACACCAACATCTCTGTACATGTTCCCTTCACTAGTTATGTTAATTAAACCTTTTAGAGCATGCCATTTGTTTTCTGCTGGACTTGATCAACAATAAACAGTGTCATTGTCCTTCACTAAAAGAACTAGCTGTGCATCATCCTGGGCACTGAACAGGAGATGCTGAGCACATTTCCCCTTCCTTACATTGTCTAAGCTAATACAGCCTTGTGAGTGGTAGAAATTACAACAGCACTGTGCCTTAGCAGCCTCTGGAAATGACTACCTTTTAAATGTGAGAACACACAGAATTTGCAGGAACAGTCAAGAGTGTGTAGGTGGGATAAGGGAGAGGGGGAAATGGTTAACAGATGGTTAGTTCTCTACCCACAAAGGGGTAAGAAAGTCATCACCTATCATCTCCCCTGACACTTCTCTTTTTTGCAACTTGGAAATCACTAAACCATGATGGAAACTGAAAATATGTACTTGTTACATATGCAGACATATGTTCATTTGTTCTTCATTCAGGGGAGTATTTGGGCTATTCACATCCTAAATCTATGACATCTTCAATCTATGTCTGTGTTTATAACGTTATATCAATGAATTGCTTTAGGATATTTAAAACATTATTTTATATATGAGTAATGACTATTTTGGGGGTGATTTAGAAGTGGATTGTATTTTTCATTTTCAACTCTAAAATACATCAGGCCAATAATTATGATTAGGCTCTTTTATATCCATGAAAACACACTGGAGTGATGGAATCTTTGTGTGTATGTTCAATTCCCTTCCAAGTTCACATCACATCTTGTTCTGCATTAGCTGGTCCATATTCAAATGCATGTCACAGCTCTGGGTTTAGATTTGAAGGCATATTCTATTTCTTTTTTTTTTCTGGTTATATTTGTTTTATTTATTTATTTATTTATTTATTATTATTATACTTTAAGTTTTAGGGTACATGTGCACAATATGCAGGTTAGTTACATATGTATACATGTGCCATGCTGGTGCGCTGCACCCACTAACTCGTCATCTAGCATTAGGTATATCTCCCAATGCTATCCCTCCCCCCTCCCCCCACCCCACAACAGTCCCCAGAGTGTGATGTTCCCCTTCCTGTGTCCATGTGTTCTCATTGTTCAATTCCCACCTATGAGTGAGAATATGCGGTGTTTGGTTTTTTGTTCTTGCGATAGTTTACTGAGAATGATGATTTCCAATTTCATCCATGTCCCCACAAAGGACATGAACTCATCATTTTTTATGTCTGCATAGTATTCCATGGTGTATATGTGCCACATTTTCTTAATCCAGTCTATCATTGTTGGACATTTGGGTTGGTTCCAAGTCTTTGCTATTGTGAATAATGCCGCAATAAACATACGTGTGCATGTGTCTTTATAACAGCATGATTTATAGTCCTTTGGGTATATACCCAGTAATGGGATGGCTGGGTCAAATGGTATTTCTAGTTCTAGATCCCTGAGGAATCGCCACACTGACTTCCACAATGGCTGAACTAGTTTACAGTCTCACCAACAGTGTAAAAGTGTTCCTATTTCTCCACATCCTCTCCAGCACCTGTTGTTTCCTGACTTTTTAATGATTGCCATTGTAACTGGTGTGAGATGGTATCTCATTGTGGTTTTGATTTGCATTTCTCTGATGGTCAGTGATGGTGAGCATTTTTTCATGTGTTTTTTGGCTGCATAAATGTCTTCTTTTGAGAAGTGTCTGTTTGTATCCTTCGCCCACTTTTTGATGGGGTTGTTTGTTTTTTCTTGTAAATTTGTTTGAGTTCATTGTAGATTCTGGATATTAGCCCTTTGTCAGATGAGTAGGTTGCAAAAATTTTCTCCCATTTTCTAGGTTGCCTGTTCACTCTGATGGTAATTTCTTTTGCTGTGCAGAAGCTCTTTAGTTTAATTGGATCCCATTTGTCAGTTTTGGCTTTTGTTGCCATTGCTTTTGGTGTTTTAGACATGAAGTCCTTGCCCATGCCTATGTCCTGCATGGTAATGCCTAGGTTTTCTTCTAGGGTTTTTATGGTTTTAGGTCTAACATTTAAGTCTTTAATCCATCCTGAATTGATTTTTGTATAAGGTGTAAGGAAGGGATCCAGTTTCAGCTTTCTACATATGACGAGCCAGTTTTCCCAACACCATTTATTAAATAGGGAATCCTTTCCCCATTTCTTGTTTTTCTCAGGTTTGTCAAAGATCAGATAGTTGTGGATATGCAGCATCATTTCTGAGGGCTCTGTTCTGTTCCATTGATATATATCTCTGTTTTGGTACCAGTACCATGCTGTTTTGGTTACTGTAGCCTTGTAGTATAGTTTGAAGTCAAGTAGTGTGATGTCTCCAGCTTTGCTCTTTTGGCTTAGGATTGACTTGGCGATGCGGGCTCTTTTTTGGTTCCATATGAACTTTGAAGTAGTTTTTTCCAATTCTGTGAAGAAAGTCATTGGTAGCTTGATGGGGATGGCATTGAATCTGTAAATTACCTTGGGCAGTATGGCCATTTTCACGATATTGATTCTTCCTACCCATGAGCATGGAATTTTCTTCCACTTGTTTGTATCCTCTTTTATTTCCTTGAGCAGTGGTTTGTAGTTCTCCTTGAAGAGGTCCTTCACATCCCTTGTAAGTTGGATTCCTAGGTATTTTATTCTCTTTGAAGCAATTGTGAATGGGAGTTCACTCATGATTTGGCTCTCTGTCTGTTGTTGGTGTATAAGAATGCTTGTGATTTTTGCAAATTGATTTTGTATCCTGAGACTTTGCTGAAGTTGCTTATCAGCTTAAGGAGATTTTGGGCTGAGACCATGGGGTTTTCTAGATATACAATCATGTTGTCTGCAAACAGGGACAATTTGACTTCCTCTTTTCCTAATTGAATACCCTTTATTTCCTTCTCCTGCCTGATTGCCCTGGCCAGAACTTCCAACACTATGTTGAATAGGAGTGGTGAGAGAGGGCATCCCTGTCTTTTGCCAGATTTCAAAGGGAATGCTTCCAGTTTTTGCCCATTCAATATGATATTGGCTATGGGTTTGTCATAGATAGCTCTTATTATTTTGAGATACATCCCATCAATACCTAA
This sequence comes from Homo sapiens, assembly GCF_000001405.40. Classification (NCBI taxonomy): domain Eukaryota; kingdom Metazoa; phylum Chordata; class Mammalia; order Primates; family Hominidae; genus Homo; species Homo sapiens. The sequence goes on along the minus strand of NC_000005.10, from coordinate 58,291,984 downwards.
TTTATTGAGAGTTTATAGCATGAGGGGTTGTTGAATTTTGTCAAAGGCCTTTTCTGCATCTATTGAGATAATCATGTGGTTTTTGTCATTGGTTCTGTTTATATGCTGGATTACATTTATTGATTTGTGTATATTGAACCAGCCTTGCATCCCAGGGATGAAGCCCACTTGATCATGGTGGATAAGCTTTTTGATGTGCTGCTGGATTCGGTTTGCCAGTATTTTATTGAGGATTTTTGCATCAATGTTCATCAAGGATATTGGTCTAAAATTGTCTTTTTTGGTTGTGTCTCTGCCAGGCTTTGGTATCAGGATGATGCTGACCTCATAAAATGAGTTAGGGAGGATTCCCTCTTTTTCTATTGATTGGAATAGTTTCAGAAGGAGTTGCTCTTCTCCAGGAGTATCTTTGTGGCATTCTCGTATTTCCTGAATCTGAATATTGGCCTGCCTTGCTAGATTGGGGAAGTTCTCCTGGATAATATCCCTGCCAACCTTGTACCTTTGGTAGAATTCGGCTGTGAATCCATCTGGTCCTGGATTCTTTTTGGTTGCTAAGCTATCGATTATTGCCACAATTTCAGATCCTGTTATTGGTCTATTCAGAGATTCAACTTCTTCCTGGTTTAGTCTTCGGAGAGTGTATGTGTCGAGGAATTTATCCATTTCTTCTAGATTTTCTAGTTTATTTGCATAGAGGTGTTTGTAGTATTCTCTGATGGTAGTTTGTATTTCTGTGGGATCGGTGGTGATGTCCCCTTTAGCATTTTTTATTGCATCTATTTGATTCTTCTCTCTTTTCTTCTTTATTAGTCTTGCTAGTGGTCTATCAATTTTGTTGATCCTTTCAAAAAACCAGCTCCTGGATTCGTTAATTTTTTGAAGGGTTTTTTGTGTCTCTATTTCCTTCAGTTCTGCTCTGATTTTAGTTATTTCTTGCCTTCTGCTAGCTTTTGAATGTGTTTGCTCTTGCTTCTCTGGTTCTTTTAATTGTGATGTTAGGGTGTCAATTTTGGATCTTTCCTGCTTTCTCTTGTGGACATTTAGTGCTATAAATTTCCCTCTACACACTGCTTTGAATGCGTCCCAGAGATTCTGGTATGTTGTGTCTTTGTTCTCGTTGGTTTCAAAGAACATCTTTATTTCTGCCTTCATTTCGTTATGTACCCAGTAGTCATTCAGGAGCAGGTTGTTCAGTTTCCATGTAGTTGAGCGGCTTTGAGTGAGATTCTTAATCCTGAGTTCTAGTTTGATTGCACTGTGGTCTGAGAGATAGTTTGTTATAATTTCTATTCTTTTACATTTGCTGAGGAGAGCTTTACTTCCAAGTATGTGGTCAATTTTGGAATAGGTGTGGTGTGGTGCTGAAAAAAATGTATATTCTGTTGATTTGGGGTGGAGAGTTCTGTAGATGTCTATTAGGTCCACTTGGTGCAGAGCTGAGTTCAATTCCTGGGTATCCTTGTTGAATTTCTGTCACATTGATCTGTCTAATATTGACAGTGGGGTGTTAAAGTCTCCCATTATTAATGTGTGGGAGTCTAAGTCCCTTTGTAGGATGCTCAGGACTTGCTTTATGAATCTGGGTGCTCCTGTATTGGGTGCATATATATTTAGGATAGTTAGATCTTCTTGTTGAATTGATCCCTTTACCATTAAGTAATGGCATTCTTTGTCTCTTTTGATCTTTGTTGGTTTAAAGTCTGTTTTATCTGAGACTAGGATTGCAACCCCTGCCTTTTTTTGTTTTCCATTTGCTTGGTAGATCTTCCTCCATCCCTTTATTTTGAGCCTATGTGTGTCTCTGCACGTGAGATGGGTCTCCTGAATACAGCACACTGATGGGTCTTGACTCTTTATCCAATTTGCCAGTCTGTGTCTTTTAATTGGAGCATTTAGTCCATTTACATTTAAGGTTAATATTGTTATGTGTGAATTTGGTCCTGTCATTATGATGTTAGCTGGTTATTTTGCTCGTTAGTTGATGCAGTTTCTTCCTAGTCTCCATGGTCTTTTCATTTTGGCATGATTTTGCAGCGGCTGATACTGGTTGTTCCTTTCCATGTTTAGCACTTCCTTCAGGAGCTCTCTTAGGGCAGGCCTGGTGGTGACAATATCTCTCAGCATTTGCTTGTCTATAAAGTATTTTATTTCTCCTTCACTTATGAAGCTTAGTTTGGCTGGAAATGAAATTCTGGGTTGAAAATTCTTTTCTTTAAGAATGTTGAATATTGGCCCCCACTCTCTTCTGGCTTGTAGAGTTTCTGCCGAGAGATCTGCTGTTAGTCTGATGTGCTTCCCTTTGAGGGTAACCCGACCTTTCTCTCTGGCTGCCCTTAACATTTTTTCCTTCATTTCAACTTTGGTGAATCTGACAATTATGTGTCTTGGAGTTGCTCTTCTCGAGGAGTATCTTTGTGGCATTCTCGTATTTCCTGAATCTGAATGTTGGCCTGCCTTGCTAGATTGGGGAAGTTCTCCTGGATAATATCCTGCAGAGTGTTTTCCAACTTTGTTCCATTCTCCCTGTCACTTTCAGGTACACCTATCAGACGTAGATTTGGTCTTTTCACATAGTCCCTTATTTCTTGGAGGCTTTGCTCATTTCTTTTTATTCTTTTTTCTGTAAACTTCCCTTCTCGCTTCATTTCATTCATTTCATCTTCCATCGCTGATACCCTTTCTTCCAGTTGATCGCATCAGCTCCTGAGGCTTCTGCATTCTTCACGTAGTTCTCAAGCCTTGGTTTTCAGCTCCATCAGCTCCTTTAAGCACTTCTCTGTATTGGTTATTCTAGTTATACATTCTTCTAAATTTTTTTCAAAGTTTTCAACTTCTTTGCCTTTGGTTTGAATTTCCTCCCGTAGCTCGGGGTAATTTGATCTTCTGAAGCCTTCTTCTCTCAGCTCGTCAAGGTCATTCTCCATCCAGCTTTGTTCCGTTGCTGGTGAGGAACTGCGTTCCTTTGGAGGAGGAGAGGCGCTCTGCTTTTTAGAGTTTCCAGTTTTTCTGCTCTGTTTTTTCCCCATCTTTGTGGTTTTATCTACTTTTGGTCTTTGATGATGGTGATGTACAGATGGGTTTTTGGTGTGGATGTCCTTTCTGTTTGTTGGTTTTCCTTCTGACAGACAGGACCCTCAGCTGCAAGTCTGTTGGAGTACCCGGCCGTGTGAGGTGTCAGTCTGCCCCTGCTGGGGGGTGCCTCCCAGTTAGGCTGCTCGGGGGTCAGGGGTCAGGGACCCACTTGAGGAGGCACTCTGCCCGTTCTCAGATCTCCAGCTGCATGCTGGGAGAACCACTGCTCTCTTCAAAGCTGTCAGACAGGGACATTTAAGTCTGCAGAGGTTACTGCTGTCTTTTTGTTTGTCTGTGCCCTGCCCCCAGTGGTGGAGCCTACAGAGTCAGGCAGGCCTCCTTGAGCTGTGGTGGGCTCCACCCAGTTCGAGCTTCCCAGCTGCTTTGTTTACCTAAGCAAGCCTGGGCAATGGCGGGCACCCCTCCCCCCAGCCTGGCTGCCGCCTTGCAGTTTGATCTCAGACTGCTGTGCTAGCATTCAGCGAGAGTCCGTGGGGGTAGGACCCTCCAAGCCAGGTGTGGGATATAATCTCCTGGTGCCGTTTTTTAAGCCCGTCGGAAAAGCGCAGTATTTGGGTGGGAGTGACCCGATTTTCCATGTGCTGTCTGTCACCACTTTCTTTGACTAGGAAAGGGAACTCCCTGACCCCTTGCGCTTCCCGAGTGAGGCAATGCCTCGCCCTGCTTCGGCTCATGCACAGTGCACGCACCTACTGGCCTGCGCCCACTGTCTGGCACTCTCTAGTGAGATGAACCTGGTACCTCAGATGGAAATGCAGAAATCACCCGTCTTCTGCATCACTCACGCTGGGATCTGTAGACTGGAGCTGTTCCTATTCCGGCATATTCTATTTCAAACACTGAATAAATGTTACTAGAGATTTTTAAGCAAATGCATTTTAGCTGCAAGGTATAGCAGAGACAAACTGCATGGACAGTTGACAGAAAAAAATGTTTGAAAGAAATAATAGTCTAGACAAAGAAGACGTTAGAAATTTGAAGGAAATCAGTGAAATTAAAGCCAATGAGATTAACTGGGAATGATGTGTGAACAGACTTGACTGCTGTTCTTTGTAGTTTCAGATCGTAGTAACAGAGGTAGCCAGCTTTAGCAGAGAAATTGATTAGTAAATTGTATGTACCAATTACTACTTATTTCCTTTTGCTACATATATGAAAACCTCAAAGAGATAAAGAAACAACCAAACAAGATTATATTAACAATGCCAAGAAATGTGACACTTTATTTTTTAGGCAAGAGGGAGCCATTAAATGTTTTTAAACAAGAGAGTGACATGATCTTTGTCGTACTTTAGTATAGAATTATTTGAAATGGTGTATACGATGCATTGAATGGAGGATATTCTGGATGGGCAGTTCAATTAGGGAATTGTTGCAATGATTCAGGCATGAGGTAATGAGGGCCTGCATGAAAATATTTAGCAGAATAAATGGAAAAGGGAGGATTATGTAGAAGGAGAAGTGACCAAATATGAACATAGATGTAAGGAAGTGAGTTTAGGGGTAAGAAAGAGGCCAAAAATATTTCTGGGATACTTTAGTCCCTATAGTGAGAATAATGATGCAATGAAAATAAAGGAAATTGCAAATGGGAGGTGGGAAGATTGGTGAGATGGTGGACTCATTGTAAACCAGCTGCATCTGAGAGGTTGGCAATGTATGTTATCAATGCAACAGTTGGAAGTTTTGATGTGGAATTTGAAAAAGGATTTGGAAGTATAGATGTCAACCTGAGAATTATATGCCTAGAAGTAATATGTTAACCCATAAGTGCTGTTGAAAGCACCAAAGAAATGAATATTATGCAGAAAAAGAATGAAGTAAGAGTGGAAGAAAAATCTTTGGAGAATTCTTATCAGTTGAGAACATGAGAAAAAACAGATGCAAAGAGCTTACATTCCATTTTAAGCTTTAAAAGTACTTCCTCATGCATTTCCTAATTTGACCAACAAGATAACCCAGAGAGGGCAAATGGTAGTAACCCTGAGAAAAGAATGCCTAGATATGTCAAGTGACTTGACTAGGGTCACCCAGTAAGTGGTAAATAGAATCAAAACAAAAGTCCAGGCCTCTTGTCTCTTCAGCCGAGCACACCATGCTGCCTTCACAAGCCAGCATACCTCAAAGAGGCTCTTAAAATGAGAATTCCTGGGCCCTCAGGAGTCTGCAAGCTGTAAGTCTGAATAAAGAAGGCCTGAAGAGGGAGGAGAGGCCAAAGAGGCAGAGCTCCATGCGATTTCAGGAACATTACCTTGCTTACACACCAAACTTTAACCTCATACTTCATTTGCACATGGCGTTCCCCTAGCCAAAACCAGAGCAAAAATCACAGGCTCAAACATTCCTTGATGCCCTTGAGCTATTTCTAAGAGGAACCCACCCTCTCAATAGGATTGAAATGATTCTATAAAAACTTCTTATATTTTACTAAAGAAATCGTACACATTAATAAAAAAAGGAAGTGGGGGGCATTTTGTATATCATTTTTATCTCTTGTGTTGTGCTGTTCTAAAACAGTCTATGGGAGATAGCCTCAAGCCTGAGGGGCAGGATATCAATATTATATTATTCTAAAGAGGGCATAGCATGACATCTTAAGAGTTGAAAGGAGTTACTTTGCTTCTTTTGGCATATAACTTACAGAACATGGCCTCAATATTGAAGCAGAAAGGATCCTTGGATACCGACATCATGCATCCCAAAAAGATTTTCAATAGGATAACAAAACATACGCATACATAGAAATATTAGGTCACTTCCCTGGAATGCATGAGATGCATTTTGAGTTTTGCCAAGTGATATGTTTAGGCTTTGTGTCCCCACCCAAATCTCATCTTGAATTGTAATCCCCATAATCTCCTCATGTCTAGAGAGGGACCTGGTGGAAGGAGATTGGATCATTGAGGCAGTTTCCCCCATGCTGTTCTCATGATAGTTAGTGAGTGAGTTCTCTTGAGGTCTGATGGTTTTATGAGGCAGTTTTTCCTGCTCTTTCTCACTTTCTCTCACCTGCCACCATGTAAGACATGCCTGCTTCCCTTTCTGCTGTGATTTTAAATTTCCTGAGGCCTCCCCAGCCATGCAGAACTGTGAGTCAATTGAACCTCTTTGTTTATAAATTACCCAGTCTCAGGTAGTATCTTTATAGCAGTGTGAGAGCGGACTAATACACCAGGCTTGCCACATTTCCCTTATTTTTTGTCTAATGCATTCTTAGAATTTAGCTTATTCATACTGATGTGAAAAAAAGGAACTATTGTTGAACTTCTGCTCTAGTTTAGAAATTATCATGGAGAGCAACTCTGGATTCCATGGAGACCTAGATGTGAAATATATTCCAATATGCTTAAAAATTAATAAACTGTCTCCCTTAAATGATGTAAAGTTTGTAGAAAAGCTCACTCACTGGAAGGAAGTAGCCAATTAATTATAGAGAAAGACCCCTCAAAGGATCAGCTGCATGAATCCAAGTGTCCAACTGTTTTTCAAAGACCTCAAAGCCCTAGGTGGAAAGAAAGGATGCTAACATTTTCCAAGAGCCAGGGACAGGGCTAATGTCTTTGAGTATAGTATAGAATTTGCTTCTCCAATCAACTTTAAAAAGTAGGAGTTATTACTAGAATTTTATACACGGAGACACTAAGGCTCAGAGAAATTGAGTTACAAACCCAATTTTAAGTAGGGGACTTAGAAATTGATTACTGCAAAGACTGCTATCATGCTGCTTCTAAGCAGAATCTGAGATTGCTGATACACAGGGAAAAGCCTGTCTTCTTGATTGACCTCTGTGACGTCATGGTTTGATCAGACAAGCAGAAAAACTGGGTAGAACATATAACAAGGTGTTTATCATGGGGATTTAAGGTAATGCAGTTGAAGAAGCTGATTTCACAGTCTCTGTGAAGTTGTGTTTGGTGCTGAAACCTAAAGCTCAGAGGGCAGGTAGTGGGGAAGGGCAGACAGACAACAGATGGGGAAGTCAAGGCCAAGGTGGAACCTACAAGACTGAGCTGGAACCCATGCGGATGGCCTGGAACTCCTGTTAGTTTCTCATCACCTCCATGATGAGAGTTGCTGAGGGAGAAGTTGGTGCCCTTTATCACAGGGCTAAACATGTTCCTGATCCTGAAGCAGGAAGTTTAGCAGGAGCATGTAGGAACTGTTAGCCCAGCTGCTGTATTCCGTAGTCACGAGAGTCAGCAAGAAGCGACACTAGGGAGCCACACACAGACCTCCTGAGGATAAAGCCATATAGCTGCTCCTCCACCTGGACTTTCCAACTCTTAGGCAAAATGTTTCCCATGGCCCAGGCTTACGTGGAACCATTGAGCAGAGGGGCTCCTGGAAAAAGATGATAAACTAGGCTGTGCCCTATATTTCTTGTCCTTTCTCTCTTACTCATAAATACATTTTAGAATGCAAGTAAGAATAGAATTATTGTATACAAAGTAAATAATTTGCAGTTATTTGGTAGTTCAGCTGTTATTACTATTAAAATATGACATTCCATAGCTGGGCTAGCTTTCCCACCTAGATCAATCCACATGCTGTCATTGAACAATTTGAATATAATATATAACTTTATTATTCAGATTCCCACCATAATAAATGTATCTTTCCCTCCTTAATAAATATCATACCAATATTAGCCTTTTTTTAAACAAGGAAAACCAAACAACTATAGAAGAAACAGAATTGAATGAAAAATCCGGGGAATTCCAGTAGGACAGATTTTATTCAGTTGATATCCTTAAGGATTCAACTGACTATCATAAAGCTATATCTTTATTATTTTGTCTACTTTTTAGTTTTTCAGTGTTTGCTTAGAAAAATGTTGCTATGAGCATTCTATACAGCTTCTCTCGGGAAACTGTATAGGAGTAGTTATGCTAAGTAATAGAATATGCCAAGTTTTAACTTTGTAAGATGTGTCAAGTTATTTTTCAAAGTGAATATAACAATTTTCACTCCCACCAACAAAGCATATTGGATCCCCTTAGTTTACATTCTGTACAATATTTAAAATGGTCAGACTTCCAAATTTTTGTCATTTGAATGAATACAAAATATCATGCCATTGTGGTATTTGTTTGAGTACTAATGAGATTGAACATATCTTTATATATTTATATTGGCCTCACAAAGCTATTATTTATTTATTCATGTCTTTTGCCCATTTTTGTATTGGGTGGATGGTATTTTTCTTATTGAAATGTATGAATTAGATATTCTTGAAACAATCTTTGATAAATGTGTTGCAAATCGCTTCTTCCAAGTTATGCTTGTATTTTAACTTTCATTTTTCAGTGAAGTGTTAACTTTAATTAAATCACACTCATTAATCTTTTTTCTATAGTTAATACATTCGTGCATCGTTCAAAAATTATTTCCTACTCCCCAGCCAGAAATTTTCATCTAAAATTTGTTTTACCTTTAACCTCTGAATTCTTAATCCATCAGGAAGTCATTTTTATGTATTATTTTATAAAAATAAAGATGTCAACAATGTTTCAGCTTTGTTTGCTAAACAGTTTCTTCTTTTCCTAGGAATCTGTCTTGCCATCTTTTTCATATTAAAGCTATGTTCCCATATGATTCTGTGGGGCTCTGTTCTGTTCTATTGTTCAGTTTGTCTATCCTTGCACCAATACAACGTCTTAATCACTATAGTTTTATAATATGTTTTGTTTAACTGAGTTATTAATTTTCCCTTCTTTTTTGATAATGTCTTAGCTAATTTGGGCTTTTTGGATTTCAATATAAATAGATCAATTTTCCACCAAAAAATTTTTTTTTTGCAATTTTCGGTAGATTGAATTGCTTCTATAGATCCATTTGGAAAACATTGAAATCCTTATGCTCTGACATCTTCTTATTCATGAACAGGAGATAGTGTTCTATTTTCTTAGGGCTTCTTAATATCATTTAGTAAAAAGTATAATTTTCTGCATGTAAGTATTTCATACTTTTTGTTAGATTTACTTTGGGTATTTCTAATTTTTTTTGACTAATTTTTTACAATTGTATTTTCTAATTTCTTACTGGGGCACAAAACTGCAATTGATGAGTATTTTTAAATTAGATCCTATGTCTTGCGACCTTTAAATTTTCATGTTATTTTTATTATTTATCTATGAATTTATACTCAGAATACCATAACTTTTATTTTTCTAGTCATATTGGACTGGTTCTGTAAAATGTGGACTATAAATGGCAATAGTAGACATTCTTATTTTTGTTTTTGTTTTTAAAGTAGATGCTTCTGATATTTTCTGGTTTAGAATGATGTTTATTCTGTTTTCTGTAGATATACATGATCAGGTTAACAAAATTATCTTAGTTTACTGACTTCTTTTTGAAGTAAGGATAGATGCTGGATTTTGTAAAACACTTTTCTACATCTGTTTAGATAACCGTATTTTAAAATCTGTTAATAGTTTGAATAACATGTATAATTATGTTAATTAATATATATATATTTTCTAAAAATTGTTCTTTCTTTCACAGAGTAATCCCAACATGGATATCATATATTATCTTTCTAGGCTTTTCGTACCTATTTTCATGAACAACAGGGTATTATAATTTTTCTTTCTCGTTTTGTCCTTATCTTGTTTTATATCAAAGTTATGCTGGTCTTATAGAATAAGCCATAGATTTCTTTCTTATTTTCTGTTCTAAAATGTTTATTTGAATTTGGCATGATGTGTTCCTTAAAAGTTTTGTGGAACCTACTTATAAAATTCTGGGGGCCTGATATTTAACTACAGGTTCAACTATTTTTAATAGTTTTAGCAACATTCATATTTTATTTCTACTTGAGTTTCTCTTAACAAATTATACTTTTCTTATGTTTTTTTGTTTTGGTTAAATGTTATAATTTATTGGCATAAAATTTTTAATGATGGTCTAATATGCTTTAATCTTGGCCTTACATTTTTGTCCTGACCCCTCCATATTTTGTGTGTTATTTATTTTGTGTTTTCCTCCTCTATCTGTATAACTTTCTCTTTCTTTTTTGCTCAGTCTTACAAGGAGTTTATTTAGAACCAAATTTAGCTCTATTAATTCTCTCTATTTTACCTTTATATTCTATTTCATTGATATCTGCTCTTTTCTATATTATAGCCCTCTTCCTGCTGCATTTGGGTTTATTCTCTCTTTCTATGTCTTTTAATGTTCGAAAACTAACTTTTTAGTCTTTTTTTTTCTTTTGTAATATAACGATTTAAAGGTAAGCAGATTGCAGAACGCTGCTTTCACTGTTTCCCACAAGTTTTAACATGTAGATTCTTTGTTACCTTTCAGTTCTAGCTTTTTGTGTTTTGTTTTTTAATTTCCACTGAAGTTTCTTGTTTGACCTATGGATTCAGTAGAAACAAGTTATTGAAATTCTCAATAGTGGGAAATATTTTTTATGTATCTCTTTGTTATTAACTTCTCATTAATTGCACTTCATCAGAGAAGCTTTTCTGTGGGACACCTTTGAAATGTGTTGAGACTTGCTTTGTGGCTTCATACACAGTCTGGTTTTAAAATATTTCATATGTCCTGGAGCACGACAAGTATTTTCTAACTTTTGGATGCTGGTTTTATATATAGTCATGAGATCGAGCTTGTTGAATGTGTTGTATTCTTCTTTATTTTTGTTGATTTTTTTTTTTTGCCTGTAGCTGTCAATGATTAAGAGAGGTGTTTTGCAGCTTCTCATTATGTGGGTTCATTTGCCAAATTTTCATGTAGTTTTAATGATTTTTCCTACCTACATTTTAAGGTTATTTTGTTTTAGCTATCATTGTCTAGACAGGTCATAGTTTCTTACTAAAGTAAGTCTTTTATCATTGTATAGCTACTGTCAATATCCCAGGAATTTTCTCTTTTCTTAAAGGATATTTGGCCTAGGTACCATATAGTTACTCCAGCTGACTTTTGGTTATGATTTGCCTCATGTGTCTCTTTTATCTGTACATTTTAATCCTGTTAGTTTCCTTATTCTTTATATTATATTTATTGTTTATATTATGTATAATATATATCATTTATATTATATTGCTTATATTTTCTATAAAAGCATCTAACTGGATTTTTAAAACATTCTATCTGATAATAACTGGTGAGATTATATCTACATGTGTGTGTGTGTGTGTGTGTGTGTGTATGCCTATATAATATGCCTATATAATTGGTGGCTTATGTATACTATATTTATTGCGATTGTGATATTTATAGATAACCAAATTTATTATGATTATTGGGAAATCTGGAATTTTTATTACCGTCTTACTTTTAAATTTTATTTGTATTGTTTTTCCTAGGGGTTTTTTTTCCTTTCTTGCCTTTTTTTTTTTTAAATTAAGTTTTTTGCTCTTATGCTAGTTCTTTTCCTCAAGTGATCTAGAATTTATATACCTACTCTAGGAATATATTCCTATTCTTTCAGTCATTGCCGTTGCATTTCACCATACTTATTTAACATAACAAGGTAAGAAATTGAACAATATTTTGACACCTTCTCCCTGAAAAATGTAAGACTTTTATAATACTTTAGCTCCAATTTGCCATCTTCCCATGTACATCCCACTGTTGCCCAATATTTCAGTTCTGCCCCTTTTTAACCACATAATCAGTATTAGTATTATTTCCCATAAATGTTAGTTTATTTACTCACCTTTCCTTCTTTTATTACATACCATCCTTCTTAGACCATTTTATTTTTTTCTTAAAGTACTTCCTAAGTTCTGTTGCAGCAAGTCTCCTGATGGTAATCTGCCTTCCTTTTGGATTATCTGTAAGCATCAAAATTTGCCTTCGTTCTTGAATGATGGTTTTCTGGGTACTCCGTTCTAGATTGAGAATAAGTTTTGGCTTTCCTGATAATTATTCCACTGTCTTCTGCCTTCTGTCTTTGCTCTTATGAATTCTGCATTTACTCTCTCCCTTTGTGTTCTGCCCTCTCTCTGCTTCCTAGAAGTTCTCTTGGTCTGTGGTATTCTGCAGTTTCAGTAGAAAATGAAAATTTCTTTTTATTTATCCTGTTTCAATGTGTTGAGTTTCATTGGTTTATGTTTTTGACCAGACCTAGAGAACTAGATCCATTGTTGTTTTTGTTTTTTTAAATTGCCTCTTTCCATTATGTCTATTTTGTTCTATTGGGATTAGATTAGATGTAGCTTATACCTTCTCACTGATCCCATATGAATTGCAGTCTCGCTTTCATGTTTTCCATCTACCTTGCAGCATTCGTTCTGAATAAATATTTCAGCTGTATATTTCAATTTATTAACTTTCTTCAAATGTTGATTTTTTATTCATTTGCCTGTTCCTCTTTTGAAATTTCAACAATTATATTTTCATTTCTAGAAACTCCATATGAGTGTCTTTTTGTCTATCCATTTTGAAAGTTTCCTATGAGTCATTCATTTTTCTAACTGTATCATTTACTTCCTCTGATATATCCTATATAGTCCTTCTATAGTATGTCTAACAATTCCAATATCTGCAGTCCTTGCATGCTGAACCTGTTTTTTTTTTTATGCTGTCTTTCATTCATAGTGGCTTTCCTTCTAGTATTTCCCATAATCTTTGTCAATTTGTTGATCTCATTTTGTGGTAGTCCTTAAGGATACTTAAGGGGTTGCTTTCTACTTTTGCAGGCAGTGTATGGGTACAACCCTTATGAATTCTGGTTGAGAGCAGGTGTGCCATGTTATAATTCTCTAACACCTAGCTGTTCCAAGGTTCATTGTGCCCACAGCAGTGTTGCTATAGTGATCCATCTCAGGGCAATCCTCCCCAAGTGCCTTGGCTCCCAGCTGTTCCAACTCTCCATTGCTCTGGCCTCTGCCTCCTGCTTCTGGACTTTAACTCTGAGCCTCCTCTCCTTGGCTCAGATAGAGGATACTCCACCTCAAGCTCATTGCCTCCAAAATACTGGTTCCTGGCACCCAGGAGCCAGTCCAACTCCAGGTCCAACTCTGACTAGTTTCTTTGTTCTGGGGAGGCAAGGGTTTCCTGAAGACCTCTTATATATTGTGAGACAGCAACTATCTCAAAGAGTATGTCCTACCCAGGACTTGGTTGCTGCAAAAGGAGAGTCCCTCAGGGTGCCTAGTCATTCATGATACTGAAAACAGAATTCCTGCTTGCTTTTTAAAGTGTCTGGAAACTCTCCGTTTTGTGAATCCTTGTCCTTCACTACAGAAGCCATGAAAACGATATCCCCACTTTCTTGAGACTAGGGAGTAGGCAAGTGATCTAGACTCTCCAAAGCAAACAAATCCAGGCCAATCTTTGAATAGGAAGTGAGTGGCATTAGGAAGAAGAAATCATATGGAATGTAGTCTGGTGTACAGGTGGCAGATACCTCCAGGTTTCAGAGATGATAGTGATGCAGGATATTTTCTTGACCCCTTCACAGGAGTCATGACAGGGGTGCCTTGTTTATTCAGTCCACCCCACTCAACCCCTTGCAGGAAGGAGCATGCCAGTGATTGAATGCAGGAACCGGAGTGAGCAAGTGCAGGAACCGGCCACTTTGGTGCTGGCAGAAGCGAATTCCTTGCGGGCCCTGCGGCAGTGTCCATGTGGGGGTGCCTGTGACCCCAAGGCCCTAGAGGGTGTGTTACAATGCTCTCTTAGCTCTGCTTTTCACAGACAGAAGTGTGTTAACAGCTCCGTGGGCCCTTTATCTCATTGTGTGAGGTGGCTGCCTTCCACCAGCAAAGGCAGAGGGCCAGTGACAGCCTTTTTGGGTACCCGCACCTGATGCATTCCCGCCTGGTGCCCAAGAGGAATGACGTTAAGCAGACAAATTGAAGAATGGTGAATGTGGAGAATTTTATTAAGTGATGAAAGTGGCTCTCAGCAGAGAGGGAAGCTGGAAAAGGGACGGGAAGGGAAGGTCACTCTCCCATGTAGTCAAGCTGGCCTCTCTCCAATGTCCAGGCGCTTCTTCCTGACATCCAGCCACTTCTCTCATCTGACGACTGAGTCTGCGGTCTTTACAGGGATAGGATGGGGGTGGGGCAGGCCGTAGGTAGTTTTAGAAAAGGCAACATTCAATTGGTAAAAAGACATTATTCAGAAAGAACCAAGTAGGAGAGCGTGGGCACACAGGGATGGAAGTTCTCACTTTGAGCTGCAGGTTTCAGGCTTTTTGGCTCGAAGGTGGGGTTTTCCAGGGACCTGCCCCTGTCTGCTTAGAGTTTGTCTGCCTCCTGTTGCTATCAATAGTGTAAGGGAAATAGGGAGGGTGCCCAATGATCAAGGTAAATGGTGTTGGGGGAACAAGATGGGAGTCTACATGGGGTAACTGTGTAATGTGTGTTGAACATGATTTCTGAATATGTACTTCCTACCTGGTTCTCTGGCCTTCTAGGAAATTCTTATGCAACTGAAAATTCTTTCATAAATGACATTTTTAGAACTGATTTCTGTTCTTCACAACTAAGGCCCTTTCAGATACTGTAATGCAACATTTGTTTATAATCTTCAGCTCCATCAGTTATACAATGAAATAATGGGTGAGTTCTCACTGGCTTCTTTGCCATCATGAAGCCATCTGGAATTCTTTTTCAGTATGGAGAGAGAGAGTTCTATCGGGACCACAGAAACCAGGAAGTCTTTATAATATGACCTTCTGTTTCACTGCTTTATTACTTTTGGTGTACGCTATAAAGATTATATTTTAAACTTTCTATGATAATTATTTAAATGGAATAAAGCAGTAAGCACATGGACTATCTCAGATAAGTTGACTAGTTGAGATTAGGAAGTCAACTAGTTGTGACAAAAAAGTTGAAAATTAATTTCAATGACATGGTATTAATTTCTACCTTAACTCCTAATGACAAAACATTAACTCCTCTTAACAATAAACATTTGGTATTGATCAAACATCCAGTTTTTAAATAACTGATTGAGAATGCAAAAACACATTCAAATAGTTATTTGCAAAATTATTTTCATTATATGAATTCATTTTTCTTTTTCCTTTTTTTTCTGCAAACTTGAAAGGGCCTTAGAAAGCATTTGTTCAGCCCCTGCCCTATCTTATTTTGTGTAAGTGGAATCGGACTCAGGTTAAATGACTCGCTCCAATGTTGACATTGGGTGCCTCAAAATATTTTTCAGTAATTCTACCTAACTTGCATTTATTTTTCTTCCACTTTGAAACTGAATTACCCCCAGTTAAAAACAAATAATATAAGCTATTAATTTAAAATATCCTGATATTTTTCAAGGAAACATGAAAAACAGGATGGAATTGTATAGAAGCCAATTGGCTCTCTGCCCATTCATTTATCTTGCCTAATAATGTTCTTATTTTTGGAAAAATATTTTGAGTGACTTTAATTTAGATTATTCTTACAATATTACCTATATGCTTCTCCATTCTGTCATTTTTCAGAAGCCTTTGGAAAACACGCTCATTGGGCCATGTGCATAGCTACATAAGTGATTTGCATTTGTTGACAACACCTGTGGTTCTCACAATCTCATAGAATTACTTGAGAAAAAGCCAAACAATATTTGTTCCCTAAAACTTAACCCAGAAGCCATCTAACTTAATAAACATTTTATTCGATATTCTAAAAACTTGAAAGTTTTCCTGCTAAGCTTTTAAAAATTATATTAAACGGCATGGATTGATTTTGAAATTACAGCCACCTTTTCTGAGAGAGTGGTTATAGGTATAATACAGCAAAATATTATAATTCCCCTAATTTTGAACTTTTTATATTTTGCCTAAAAGAATTAGTTAAGTAAAGTAATAATACACATAAGGGTATAATGAGTCATTTTAATTCTCTAAAGAAAATTATGTTTTAAGGTTATTTTGCATATTACTAGCTTGAGGGTGAAATTTTTAATTTTATTTGTATTCAAAATATATTTAAATATTCCAACACAATCACCTTGATGAATTCTGTTATGTATACTTGGGAATAATGACATATCTTTTATTATTTTGTTTTAACACGGGTGACCCTTAGAGTCATACATTATGCAAATACCTGTTGTTAAAAGAAAAACTTGAGTCGAATTAAATTTAAAGAAGTTTAATTGAGCAATGAACAATTCGTGAATTAGGCAGCCCCCAGAATCACAGCAAATTCAGAAAGACTCCAGCACAGCCATGTGGTGGAGGAAAATTTATAGACGAAAAAGGGAAGTGATGTACAGAAACAACTAGATTGGTTACAGGTTGGCATTTGCCTTATTTGAACACAGTTTGAATACTTAGCAGTGTATGAGTGGTTGAAGTATGGCTGCTGAAATTGGCCAAGACTCAGCTACTTTTACAGGCACATACTCCTAAGTTAAGTTTTCAATCTTGTCTGCTTATTAATTTAGGTATGGTTCTTCCATAGGACTCAAATATAGAAGTACAGAGTCCTTTTCAGGCCATATTTAGTTCACTTTAACACTGTAAATAATGAACTCCGAACATTGAATTTTAAAACAAAATTATTCAAATCAAGTTCTGTGTTCTCTTTTATAGTTTTCTCTTTTTGACACTGTTCTTATTATATTTGGAAGAAAGTTTCAATTGGCTACCAAACTGCCTTTAACACATATTTTGAAGTAAGTTTACAGTACCAACTGAAAATAAGAATTGCTCAGACCCACAAATAATATTTATAACTGCTTCTGAAATTCCAGAGATTGGCAGATTTCTTGTTTTCTGTACCTTAGACTTTTTTATTAATGTAGAATTATTGTCTTATGGAAAAGTATCAATTTTGCCAGACTTCTTTCAATAGAATAGAAATAATATTATAATTAGTTTACTGAGGACTTCTAATATTTTTCAGTACTTTTATGAGGCACAGGGTTTTACATGAGCTCAGCGGAGTTTATTTTAAATTGAAACAAAACCTTTATATATAAATATTTATAAACTGATTGCGAAAAATTTTGGAAGAAGCAGGAACGTTTAAAGAATAATATAAAATATTTCAATTTTGCCACTTAAAAATAATCATTGTTTGTGCTTATTTTCCTTCTAATAACATGTTAGACAAAAACATACCCTTTCATACTATTAGGATAATATATCTCTGTGTGTGTACGCATATTTCCTTTTATACTATTAGGATTACATATACATATCTCTGAATCTTTTATCACTCAACATACTTTTTTGGCATTTCTTCATTTCATTATTTTATTAAAACATGACTTTAAAGGTTGCAATCAATTTCAGAGTATGGCTATTTAAAATTTGGTCATTCTCCTATTTCTAGGTAGTGATTCTGAACTAATACTATGATAGATACTTTTGTCTGCCTTTTTAAATGTTTTCTGGACATGAAATCACTGCAGCAAATTAAAAGATTCTTGATATATTGTTAAACTGATTTTCAGAACAGTTTACCTTGTAACATAGCATGTTGTCACTAGGGTAGCTAACATGATATATTGGGGAGTTGAGACACTGAACAAAGGAATCACAAAATGTACCTTCTTACTTTTGATGAATCACTGTTTAGCCTTGATACAACCCATGAATGGGCTGATTCACCCCTAAATGAAGACAATAGCTTTCCTTATATATCTTGCAGAAATAATAAATGCATCCATTTAGGAAAAAAAGGAATTCAATTTCAATAGCAATAAAAACTATACAAATACCTAGTGCTATAGTTTGGGTATTTGTCCCCAAAACTGCAAGTTAAAATTTGATTGCCAGTATTGGAGGTGGGGGCTCAAAGAGGAGTTTTGGTCATTGGGGCAGTTCCCTCATGAATGGCTTGGTGCAGTCTTCATGGTAATGAGTGAGTTCTCACTCTATTAGTTCTGGGCAAAGCTGGTTGTTAAGAAGAGTCTGGCACCTCTCTCCTCTCTCTCTCTTGCTTGCTGTCTTGCCATGTGCTCTCTGCACATACCAGCTCCCTTAGCCTTCGTCCATGACTAGAAACAGCCTGAAACCCTCACCAGAAGCAGATGCTGGTGCTATGCTTCTTGTACAGCCTGTAGAATTGTGAGCCAAATAAACCTTTTCTTTTTATAAATTACCCAGCCTCAGGTATTTATTTATAGCTACACAAACAGACTAGGACATCTGACATCATGAGTGTTCATATTTTTCCTGTTGGTGTTTCTAATGTTTTTTCTTAGCGGAATATGGAGCTCAAAAAACTTTAAGAGCTCTTTTCTCACTTCATTTAGTAGTTGAAATACAGTGACATGTGATGCCAAAGATCAATTACAAAATGTGAAATTGTGTCCAGATTCAAGTTCGGGCTTCTGAAATCTCATTTTTCTAAGCTCATGGGGACAGTTAATTACTGATAGATAACTATGTCGGCCATAACCAAGGATAAACACATGTGACATAGTGACAAAGGGAATAGAGATATTTTGTGTGGGCTGTTTTCAATAGGATCTTATAATCTGGTTCTGTATGTATTTGATAAGTTTTGCTCAAAATGAAAACATGTATTTAGTAGTATTGACATCAGACTTTCAAGCACAGCTGCAGACATAGTATTGTTTATAATTTCAATGAAACCTAAAATATATTTCCTTTCTGCTGAGGAAGATGGTGAGTGACAAGGGTGGATTCAGACTTCACTCTTTAGTTTCTCAGATTTCTCTGTCTTCTCTCAAGATTGCCAGATAAGGTGTGTGTGTGTGTGTGTGTGTGTGTGTGTGTGTGTGTGTGTAAAGGAAACAGGAATTCCTTTTAAAGGGGTGACAATCAATCTTAGTCTAACACTAGCTTAGAGCAGATGTTCTTAGCAGAAATCTGCTGAAGTAGATTATAAATGCTGTCCGGTTGCCAAAAATCAGGCTCATATTTCTTTTTGCCTTAATTTCAAAATGCTGATCTTGTTTAAGAAGAAAGGAACGATACCCAATTTTTCAACCTTCTTAACTCCTCCACCACCATCTTTTTATAAACAGAGAATAACTTTCCTAGTCTTATTATGCCTGAACTTGCTCATTTACGCAAACTGAGTCTCTTTTTTTTTTTTTTTTTTTTTTGAGACGGAGTCTTGCTTTGTCACCCAGGCTGGAGTGCAGTGGCGCGATCTCAGCTCACTGCAAGCTCCTCCTCCTGGGTTCATGCCATTCTCCTGCCTCAGCCTCCCGAGTAGCTGGGACTACAGGCGCGCGCCACCACGCCCGGCTGATTTTTTTTGTATTTTTAGTAGAGATGGGCTTTCACCGTGTTTCACCAGGATGGTCTCTATCTCCTGACCTTGTGATCCACCCGCCTCGGCCTCTCAGAGTGCTGGGATTACAGGCGTGAGCCACCGTGCCTGACCAAGTCTACTAAAAAATTTCTACAACCATGGTAAATCTTGGAAAGCTAATAAAACTATGAAGATGGAGTATATAATGAAATCCTTTTGAAAGATTTATGCAACATGATTATGTATGTCATCCTGAATTAATAGGCATGCAAATTTTTCTAAATAAAAGCTCATTAAGGCCAGCTCTTCTTATTATCAATTTTGTTTCTTGTTTTATTTGGGCTTTAAAATGAACAGGAATAGGTTTAAAAACACACTATTGGGTAATATACTTAGTAGATGGGTGATGAAATAACCTGTACACCAAATTCTTGAGTCACAAGTCTACCTATAAAACAAACCTGCACATGTACCCATCAATCTAAAAGTTAAAATATTAGAAATATACATATGTTTGGTAAAGATATTTCTCCTATTATTAACAATTTTATTTTTCTGTCGTCTTTGTTACCAATACAGGACATTTGGGAATGTTGGAATTTGGTTATAAAACACCTTGTTTATGCATATATATTTTGTTACTCAAATTATTTAAAATATTGAGTCTCCCCATGCAGAACAGTGATTCCTGTGCATTTTGGGGGGTTTTATTTTAGGTTCTTCATTTTCTTGCAGCATTTCTTCCATATATGTTTAGTGGTTGATTTGTACAATAACATGCATTTCCTTAAGCTATTTTTTCCTCAAAATTTCAAATATGACTGTCTCTAAAAGAAGAATCTGTAAATTATTGTTTACCTAGTGTTTGTGTATTTTCAAAACTCATGAATATTAATAAATATTCCTTTCATTCTAAAAATATTCCACAATTTTTTAGTGTGGGTACAGATTTAATATTTGATACATTTTCTCTTTGAAAGAAAGATTTTCCTATCACTTCTTTCCCCCAGAATTGAGGTTACTTTGCTATAAGAACATATAGCCTTATGCATAGTACACAGTTTGGCTTTTATGACTTTATGTAAAAGTAATTAAAGTTAATTTTCTAAAGCTTGTATTTTTTATTTTCAGAGGATTTAATCTAAATAGTCACAACTCTAGCAATTATATACCTCCTCTTGTGCACAGGATAGAACCAAGCGTTGTGAAATTATAGTAAATTTTATTATAAACAAATTTGAATTTCATTTTTCTCCTATTGTTGAACTTTTTCTTTGAAAATTTGAACTGCCATTTTTGTCCTTAATATAAAATCTGCAAGAAAATGTTTTGCTTCCCTTTTTAGTCATGAGAAAAATGATACTATTTTCAGTAGAGTACCTAAAAGTAAGGTTTTACAGAATATCTCAAGGCAGAATCCTAATACATCACTAACTTCTTCATAGGTTTTTTTTTTAACTTCTCTCACTAAATTCTGAGCAAATGTTTACCCATATAGGCAAATATGCTTCAGCTCTATTTCTGTCCATCCTAAAGGAGTCAGCTGAGTTTCAGGATTCCTTAACTGAAGAAGGAAAAGTAGCAGTGTTGACTTTAGGATAGTATGTGAAAGGATTATTTACCAAAAATAAGTTCTTGACAGTATTTCAGCCTTTACATTACATATACTTACCTTCTGGTGCACTGGACTTCATCAAAGGTAACCAAATGCTCTTTTCAGATGCTCTAAAGAGAGGCATGGGAGTATATGGATAGTTTCAAAATTGGAAATGGTTTGCCCCTTTCTCAGGTCTTCCATGTGTGCTTTCCCCCATGAGCCTGCGGCAGTGTCTGTTGAGTTTCCATTGGAGGGACATGAGAGGTTCTGCAATACTTGTGCAAGACAGGGGAGTATCTCCTATGACTTATAATCCCTGACTTTACATGCTGCCAAACAAACTTTCTTTTCTGTGCATTTGGATTATTGTGCACCACTGTGAATATGGATAAAATACTTTCCCAACCTCAGCTAAGTGTAACGTCATACTTTCAGCAAGCGGATACTAAATAGTATTATCTTTTCTCTGTCAGTATCCTAGACCTTGACTCTACTGATACAAAAATGTACCTCTCTCTGATTTTCTGAATAGTACGTCAACTGTGCTTTGTAAATGTTAAAAATGTTAAATAAAAATTCCTTTATTATATTCTTATATAAAATATATATCAAAATATCATGTTAGGCTAAACAGTAATAGGAAACTCTCATTCTAGTATCAATATAAAGTGAACCCAAACACATATCCAAAGCCTGGTATGTCTTGCAGAGGTAGAACCTTGATAGACCTTGATCTTTGCATGAATACGAATGAATAAAGGAATCCATCAATTAAATAACCATCAATAAATTATACCATTCACTTCTTTCTTATTTACTTGGGCAGTTAGTTGATTAAAAGCAGAAAATGTGTTTAGGCTATTAGAGTAAGCTGAATAGGAAGTTTGAGGCTAGAAGATGCATAAATATGAATTTAAAGATAATCATTACATATATTCAAAATGCCTTTGTAAATTCCCTTAAATCACTCATAGAAAAGTTTTTGGGTGGAGCACGGTGGCTCTTGCCTGTAATCCCAGCACTTTGGGAAGCCAAGGCAGGTGGATAGCTTGAGCCCAGGAGTTGGAGATGAGCCTGGGCAATATGGCAAAACCCCATCTCTACAAAAAATAGAAAAATTATCTGGGTGCGGTGGCATGTACCTGTAGTCCCAGGAGGCTGAGGCAGGGGGATCATCTGTGTCTGGGAGGTTGACAAGGCTGCAGTAAGCTGAGCTCTTGCCATTGTACTCCAGCCTGTGTGACAGAGTAAGACTGTCTCACACACAAAAAAAGTTTTTGGCATTGAAATTACATTAAAGAAAGAGAGGCTGTCACACCATGAAGCAGGAGGGAATGAGACCCACCACAGGAAGAAATGACTATCCCTCATGTGTTCATTGAATGGAATGGATAACTTAATGTCCCAGGTTATTTAAATTATTTCTCCATTTCAAAAATATTTTTTTCCAAATGTATACAATTGAGTTTGTGTAAGTCCAATGTGTGTATAATGGCAGTCCACTGAATTTCCTTTTTAATTACAAGTATTTATTTCCCATGATATCTTGCATCATTATTTCTCTATTATTCTTCCTGTTGTATTCAGAACTATGCATTTTGAAATGCAGTTTACATATAATTATTTCATGTGGTTAATATTATCTTTTCACATAGATTATAAATTCCTTATGAGAAAAATCTGTCATATGTTTCTGTATTGCCCAATTTTGGGCATGCACTAAGGTAAGTTTTGCCCAATAAATGCTGATATGGTTTGGCTCTGTGTCCCCACCCAAATCTCATCTTGAATTGTAATACCCACATGTTGAGGGAGGGACCTGGTGGGAGGATTTTAAGGGCAGTTCCCCCCATGCTGTTCTTGCGATAATAAGTGAGTTCTCACAAGATCTGATGATTTAAAAGTGTGGCACTTCTTCTTCACTCTCTCTCTCTCACCTGCTGCCATATAAGATGTACCTTGCTTCCCGTTTTCGTTCCACCATGATTGTAAGTTTTCTGAGGTCTCCTCAGTCATATGGAACTGTGAGTCAATTAAACCTCTTTTGTTTGTAAATTATCCAGTCTCACATAGGATCTTTATAGCAGTGTGAGAATGGACTAATACAAATGCTTTTATACAGGCAGATTAATCCTCAAATCTTTGGGGGCCTTCACAGGAAAAGATCTACTATGAAAAAAATAAAGTATATTTTATTTACTTATTAAATATTTCTTGCTATTTTTGGTAATCCAGTATTCTATTATTCCCTTTTCTCTGTCTCTCCTATTACTCCATACCTTTCAAACCCCATAGCTTCAGTTTTAGAGATTCATTAATTCAAGAGATTTTTATTAAATGATTTCTAACTGTCAGCAATTGTGCAAAGAACTAGATCGAGGGACATGGTTGTTTTGTATTGTTTCCAATGCATGCAATTGTTAAACAATGGTCAGAAAAGTATTCTTTTATTTCTCATTTTAGACCTCCAGTATTTATGGCAAACTAATTACGATCTATGCCAGATTCAATCTAGGTGCACCTAAGTCCCTATGGGAAAATCAGAGGTCATCTTTGCACCTTTGCTCACTGTGAGTGGGTGGGGAGGAGAGGGGTGGAAGTTGTTGTGAGACATCCACATCCACATGGATGGAGAGTTGCCAAGTGCTTAACTGGGTTCCCGCAGAGGCCAAGGTGAGCAGGAAACAGGCTGCAGTAGTGACGCAGGGGAAGCCTGGTGGAGCTGAGAAACTCCCTCACTTGACACAGAGCTGCAGAATTAATGGCCAATACCATCAAGAAAGAGTTTAAGACCTTGACTGGCCCTTACGAAGTCTAAGTGATCTACTTTCCAGATCAAAACTGCCTTTAATTAATAGAATTATCACCTGCCCTCATAGCCTAAGGGTAGTAGAGTATTGGCCCAGGAGAAATTGAAGGTGTTGTGGGCAAATCAGTTCAAAAAAACTTTTTATTTTTTTCTAGTGACCAGCATAGTTTGCTTCTATGAAGTATTATTTCAAATATGCAAAGAAGGCCCACATATACCCCCAACAGATTGCAAATGAGGTAATTCTACCATTAGGCTACCCTCTAAACCTCTATTTTCCTAATCCATTCCTTATAATTCTAACTTGAAATGCAAATATTTAGATGTGTGTGAATATTTAGTTCATTTGGACATGACATCTACATCTTCCATCTTCCAGTCCCACACACATCTTTGGGACTGGAAGAAACTAGGAAGGAGAGAAAATAATGAGCAAGAATGGGGAAAAGGAAGGAGAGAGATGTGAATCAAGAGTGGATGGGAAACAGAGCTGGAGAAAGAAAAATAAACATAAATGCTGGTTGTATAAGCTTATGAAGACAATCGTGTCAAGATCAACTGAATTAGAAACTATCAGAGAGGGAAGTGGCGTCTTAACATCCTTGGCTGTCTATAAAATGTGAAATAGGTATACAGCTTTATGATGGAGAACACCATGATTCTAAGATTCCTTCAAAGTTTAAAACCTTGAAAAAGTTGTAAAAGTTCTTTGCTTTAATTTTTGCACTAAAAATTTGTTATACAAATTTGACATTGATGTTTATTTTACTTGAGAATCTCAAACCATGGTATGTCCTGTACTTACTGTTATTATTTTACTTTGGTAGCTTCAATAAGTAAGATGAAAAATAATAGAAGTGAAGTGATTGCCAAGATTACATTTACCTTCATTCATTCATGCAACCCTTCCTTCCTTCATTTATTCACTCGGTCATCAAGTATCTATTGAGCTTAGTTCACTATTTGAGGTGAGGTGGTGAGAATGATAGGAAAATCTAGGCAGTGTTCCTTATAAAGCTTTCAGTTTGCCATTAATCACATAATTGTGAAAATAAATAATTACCAGCTTGAGAAGCATCTACAAGGGAATCTTGACATTCTTTGAGGGATCAGGTTGATTTTTATATTTTCGTGTCAGCACTGTGTCAGAAGATGAGAAGTTTTGTTTAGGAACCACCATCAACTTTTATTTTACTTTTTAGGAAAGTACTTATATCTAAATAGGCAAATAAGCCTTTGTTGATATTTAAAGTAGTTTTATTTATTTATATATTTTAAATAAAAACCAGTAACTCACCTATATTAATATCTCTGATACAATGAGATAATTTGAATAAAACCAAGAAAATCAGTTCATTTGACATTTTTTCCTTTGGGCAGTCTAAGCTAACGTTTCTGTGAATATGTTAGAATGTTCTGTATGTCCTAATTAGTACATAGCCACTAATAAATTAATTTATAACATACAATAATGCTACTTACTTTCATTTTTAAAATCTTGTTATCCTTATAAAGATTTGCCAGACCCAACTAGAAACATCTCCTATTTAAGGAGGTGGACTAAAGCAGAGAGGTCTTGATGTTGGAGACTGTGTCCCTTCAAAATAAAATCTGTGATCACTTTTACCTTTCTGTGACATTTTTATGCCATTTATTCTTCCATTTCCTTTTGTTCTTTCTCAGTGCTGTGTGTGACTAATGCAATTCAGCTAGACCTGTAGTCATGGAAACTATAAGAAGGCACAAATATGAGTATATTCACTTGTGGGCATCTATCCCATCACCCATACCTGTCAGTTTCTTGGCCAGTAAAATATACTTTATTAGGAATATGAGATGGAAATGCATGTGATTGTCTTTTATCTTTGTAAACTCCCTGATTCTTTTTAAAATGAAATAGTGGTGTTTTATGAATTATTAATATCCCTGTGCTGCCTTGGGGCTCCCAAGGAGAAGGTGTCATATTCAGAGATAAAGTCAGATTTGCCGTTTCAGTGAAAATGTTGAAGAACTGCACAAGACATATGTAATAGGTATGTATTTATTGAACTCATTCCTGGGACACAGACTGTTATGGAACTATTTCATTCAATCAACACTTTATATAATTAAAGCAGTTTGAAAAACCATTCACTCGTGTATAAGAGATTATATGATAATGTCATTTGATAACAAGAAATTTGCTACCAATCAGTGACTTTGAGAAATTTTGTTTTATCTTATATGAAAACAAAAGATATACCTATCAGAACAATTTTGTTCTTATTCCACTTTAACCAGTTTCTCCTTCCATGCTGGCCAATTACCTTTGCCCTCATTCTAAATGAGTGGTTTCTTTCCTCTCCATTGATAATTTATTTGATTTGCTTTCCTATTCTTTATTTCTTAAGTCTACAATTCCTTTCATTCGCTTTGATTTCTGGTTCATAGAATCATGGAGTATTAGAATTGGAAGGGTCTCATGGATGATTCAATTCAACACATAAATTTTACAACTCAGACAAACAACCCAGCCTCTTGTGGAACAGCTTTCTTACCATCTCCCTTTTGATCATAGGCAATTCAAACATAGTATGTCCCAGAATGAACTCTTACATTTCCCCAAACCTGCTCCTCCCACAGTGTTTCCAATAAAACAAATGTTACAGCATTGCCCAGGCCAAAACTCCTGAGGCCACCCATGACTCCTCTTTTTCCCTCTCAGCCTGACATTCAACCCATCAACCAGTCTTAATTCATTTCTCAGCGCAAATATGAATGCCATCTTTAAAAAGATGCCATCGCTGACTCCCAGTCCACATCCCACTCTATCTCCTCACAAGGACTTACTTGTCTTTGTGGAGCTCCTACCCTGTGTATTGGCTGGCTGAATCATTGTCACCATATTATAATGTAAACTCCTTGAGGGCAGGGACTTTGCATACCTTGTTCACCGCTGATTCCCCTGCTGCAGAATAGTGCTGATGCAGAGGATATGCTCAATAAAGTACAACAGAAAAATTGAATAATTCTGCTAGCTGAGGCTCTGAGCAGTTACATTATGTCACTGTTTAGCAGCAAAGCTGGAAAGAGAATCTGAAAATTCTGTCTCCTCTAGTGCTTTCCCCACTGTAAAATACTGCCTCCCAATGTTCTCTTGCTCCTATCCCCTTAATGTTTTGTTCACAGTATAACTTTTTGCTTTCAAATATAAAGAGCAATTACACTTTATATAGTTTTATGATGCTTCACTGGTTGTTTATTCTTCCTGATCATCACCTTATTTTACAAGATCTAGTGAAGCCATGCTTTCCTGTTCATTCCAAGCATAGTTGACATCCCCTAAAAATTCCCTAAAATCTTAGAACCTTTATAGAACAAATGGTTTTTACATTGCAAACCAGTGTCCTACATTCCATATACAGTCCACTGATATATTATTGGATGGAACTGTTAAGATATTACAATCTGAGGCCGAGCACTGTGGCTCATGCCTGTAATCCCAGCACTTTGGGAGGCCAAGGCAGCTGGATCATCTGAGGCCAGGAGTTCAAGACCAGCCTGGCCAACATGGTGAAACCCCTTTTCTACTAAAAATACAAAAATTAGCTGGGCATGGTGGCGGGTGCCTGTAATCACAGCTAGCTGGGAGGCTGAGGCAGGAGAATCACTTGATCCTGGGAGACAGAGGTTACAGTGAACCAAGATCATGCCATTGCACTCCAGCCTGGGTGACAGAGCGAGACTCTGTCTCAAAAAAAGGATATTACAATCTGAGACTCGGAGCACTCTTCCAAGTTCATTCAAGTTGTTGGCAGAATTCAGTTCCTGTGTTTGTACAGCTAGAGGCTACTTCTCCCTATAGGCAGTTCACAGCATAGCTTTTGTGGAATTCCAGGCCAGCAGGAGCACATGTCTTTGATTACGTCCTCTGCAACCAGCAAGAGAAAACTCTTTTAAGACCTTGACTGATTAGGTCAGGCCCATCCTTGCTATTTTCCCTTTTGCTGTATAACTGTCATGAGAGTGATACCTCATTATATTCATAGGTTCTACCCACACTCAAAAGGATTATATGCAGCATGTACACCAGCGGATGGACTCTTGGGGACCACCTTAGAATTCTGCTTAAGACTTTGCAATTTCCAATGAGTCAGAATTACTGAGGGTAGACAGAGAAATAAATAAGCCAAAAGAGAGAATAAAAGTCCAAGTACTAAAAACAGACATATAGATCATTGTAACAGAATAGAGAGCCCAGAAATAAACCTGCACACCTACAACCATCTGTTCTTTGACAAAATCAATAAAAATAAGCAATGGGAAAAGGACTTCCTATTCAATAAATGATGCCGGGATAACTGGCTGGCCATATGCAAAAGAATGATACTGGACCCCTACCTCTCATCATACATGAAAATTAACTCAAGATGGATTAAAGAGTTAAGTGCAAGACCTCAATCTAGAAAAATACTGGAAGAAAACCCAGGAAATACCCTTTTTGACACTAACCTTGGGAAAGAAACTATAGCTAAGTCCCCAAATGCAATTGCAAAAAAATCAAAAATTGACAAGTGGAACCTAATTAAACTAAAGGGCTTCTGCACAGCAAAATAAATTACTAACAGAATAAATAGACTAAAGAATGGGAGAAAATATTCACAACCTATGCATCTGACAAAGGTCTAATATCCAGAATCTCCAAGTAACTAAAATAAAGCAATGAAAAACATTCAAAAAAAAAAAACAATTAAAACATGGGCAAAGGACATGAACAGATACTTCCCAAAATAAGACATACAAATGGCCAGGAAGCATATAAAAACATATGACTAGTGCTCAACATCATTAGACATCAGAAAAATGCAAATCAAAACCACAGCGAGATACCATGTCACACCAGTCAGAATGGCTATTATTAAAAAGTCAAAAAAAAAAAAACAGCAGATGTTGGTGAGGCTGCAGAGAAAAGAAAATGCTTATACACTGTTGATGGGAACACAAAGTAGTTCAGCCATTGTGGAAAGCAGTTTGGAGATTTGTCAAAGAACTTAAAATATAACTACCATTCAACCCAGCAATCTCACTACTGGGTATATACTCAAAGGAAAATGATTCATTCTATCAAAAAGACACATTCACCTATATGTTCACTGCAGCATTATTTACAGTAGCAAAGACATGGAATCAACCTAGGTTGTCATCAACAGTGGGTTGGATAAAGCAAATGTAGTACATTTACACCATGGAATACTATGCAGCCATAACAAAACAAAATAATGTCTTTTGCAGCAATATGGATGGAGCTGGAAGCCATCATCCTAAGTGACCTCACAAGAACAGAAAACCAAATATTGCATGTTCTCACTTGTAAGTGGAAGTTAAACATTGAATACACTTTAATGTAAAGATGGGAGCAATAGACACTGGGGACCACTAGACAGGGGAGGGAGGAAGAGAAGCATGAGCTGAAGAACCACCTATTGTGTACTATGCTTGCTGCCTCAGTGATGGGATTGTTGGGACCCCAAGCCTCAGTATCACGCAATTTATTCATGTAACAAATCTGCATATGTACTCTTTAATCTATAATAAAAGTTAAAACATTAAAAAAATCCAGCTACTGATTATATTCAAAATCTTTTCAAACTGGAATGTTTCTCTTTCCCTCAGCATCTTCATTAAGTGTGTAAGTTGAGATGCTACTTGGTGTTAACAAAAATATGTCGTATGCTGATTAGTTTGGAAAATTTGCAAACCGGTGTTTGTTTATTTGTTTTAAATTGCATGACCATTCAGGGTCTTGAATAATCCTGTGGAATCTTTAATAAGAAGCATTTTCCAAATTTATTTGACCAAGGAATTTATTTTCATGCCAGAGTGTAGGCTGACATTTAGTTGGCCTTCACAAAATGGTGATATCATTCCTGCCCCAGAGCTGTAGTTCTTAACTTTGCCTTCATATTAGAATCATCCAGGGAAGCTTTTAGAAATGACTAGTGACTATGTCACTGGGTCCCAACACCAGATGTTAGAAAATAGCTCTATCATATACACACAAACTGAAGCAGAGGCTTCTGGTATTTAATGCTTCAAGTATTTAAGAGTAATAGCCACCCCTACACTTGTGGAGGATATACTATATATTAGGCATTATGCTAAATGACTTGAAGCAATGGCATTTTATTTAATTTCACCATAATTCTATGAGGTCAAGATTATTAGATCTATTTACAAAAGAGGAAATTAGAAATTAAAGGACTTAAGGGACTTGTTCAAGGTCCACAGAGTGGAGACAGTATTTGCAACTAGTTTGGCCTGTCTCCAACACACATGCATTTTTTAATTATTCTGCTACATTGTTTAGTATATTGGACTTTTATCAAAAGAGCAAAATATACAATCTGCCATCATTTTTAAGGAGCTCCTCTATTTCTGTGACTGTGGTAACATGATGACACAGAAATAAAAGCACTTTGCCAGAATTTTGGCATTGTTGCTCATCGAAGCAGGAAATCCCAGTCTTGTTGAGTTGACAGCATGGAGCTATCTCAGGATAGAGAGAATGGACAAAACACAGGCCAAGAACGGAGCTCGCCCAATAGACATTTCCAACTGGTTAAAACATGCTTCCTTTTAACACCATGTTGAGCACGCAGTTGTTTTCCAGGCAAGTTCCATTAGTGCCTTCCAGGGAGAGCAGGCTATTCTATCATCTGTAAAAGGGGAACCTTTTAATTTCTGCCCATTCTGACTGATTTCAACATGGTATATACTGATGGAGATTTGGGGTTTCACTTTTGGACATCAAGATCCAATAAAATAAAAAATATTAATGTTTATTGCAGTTATTTTCATTTGCCTTTTAAGAAACTCAGTGACTGCACATGAACACCAGTTTCAGCTACCCAAAGCTGAGACATTACATTAATATTTACATTTCAAAAGTACCTTTTTTTCAGACATCCTTTAGTGTGTCACACATACCTTCTCTCATTAACACTTATACTATCTCTAGGAGATGAAAAATCTTGGGTCCTCCTGGTAGGCACAAAAATGATAACAAAATCACAAAAAGGCTGAGGAAAAGGAAGCCTGAATTCCATTCTCATTGTTTGCAATAATTCACTGTGTTTCTTTTAGCAAATACATAGAATATAATTACAATTTCCCTCTATCTTGCAGAAATGTAGTGAACAAGATGGATTGAAGGTAATCTTGGTTAACCTGAAAAAAGTAAGTGTTCTTGATTCAGTTTAAATCAGTAGACTTTTATTTATTTTATTTTATTTATTCATTTATTTATTTTTTTGAGACGGAGTCTCACTCTGTCGCCCAGGCTGGAGTGCAGTGGCGCAATCTGGGCTCACTGCAAGCTCTGCCTCCCGGGTTCATGCCATTCTCCTGCCTCAGCCTCCCAAGTAGCTGGGACTACAGGCACCCACCACCACGCCCGGCTAAATTTGTATGTGTGTGTGTGTGTGTGTGTGTGTGTGTGTGTGTGTGTCTTTAGTAGAGACGGGGTTTCACTGTGTTAGGCAAGATGATCTTGATCTCCTGACCTTGTGATATGCCTGCCTTGGCCTCCCAAAGTGCTGGGATTACAGGCGTGAGCCACCGCGCCCGGCCTAAATCAAAAGACATTTTATTGAACATCAGGGCATGGTGAGGTTAGTAAAAATAAACAATAATCAATCTCCATTTTCTGGAAGCCCGAAATTTAGGTGAAAGCAAGGTAGATAAACGAGGTATCTGGGAGAATTTCATAAGCTTTATTTTAAAAATAAAGGCACAAAGTGCTTTTGGGAGGCAGTTAAGTTGATACCAGAGCTTTAAATCTAACTGTAACATTTACTTGAATGAATAAATGCCTTAATTTCAGATGAGCCTCTAGTTTTATCAGTCAATTGCCCATAATAATATCAACCTTCAGGAATGTCGTAAAGACAAACTAAAGAGCTGGCTAATGAATGTGAAAAGTGCTCTTGAAAATGGAAGCTCTTTAATATTGGTTGTTGCTTTTATTATTAATGCTTTTGGTACCTCAAGGATCCAGGGAGGCTTCAGAGAAGAGAGAATATCAGAAAGGTAGATGTCTTAACAGTCCACTGATTATTATCAGTTGTTTACTGAAATTCAAATGTAACTGGGCATTCTGTGTTTTATCTGGCAAACCTACCTTGAACCTACTTGAAATCCAACATTGGGCGAGTCTCCCAGCAAGAGTGTGAGCCAGGCTGGGTGCACTGGGGATTTTCTTGTTGTTCATACCTTCCTACTTCTTCATACTTCATACCGTAGCATCATTAGGTCAGTTTCTTTTTCAATAGAGCATTTTGCTGATTCATGCTCGACTTGTACTTCATTGTGGATCCATAGATCACAGGGCAGATGAGTAGGCAAGAATGCACTTCATCACTCTTGCTCTCAGAGAGAAGGAAAGAGAGCTGGAAATGCCCTTGGAAAGCAGCCTCCACAGCTACCTGGGTCATCTAAATTTGCTACATTCCAAAGGAATGACTGCATCCGAGTGTGATTTTCATCCGCGCTTGGGAAAATCCCCCTGAAGGAACCTGACACTTTTAATCTAAACTCTGGGCAAACTAGCTGCTACTGCATCTGAATGATTTGCAAGCAAATGATCCTACTCTCTGAAGCTTATGATTTCATTTTATTTTATGTTTATTTTCCCTCTCTGAATGAAAAGTACCACATTAGGAAGTCAGTGTTTGTGTGTGTGATTTTTGTTTTACTTGGTTTTGTTTTTATTCTCAAATGAAAGTACCCTGCCAGTAATCACTGGTGTTTTGGGAAGACAACCAGTAGCAGTGCTGGCTCCCTATCTTGGAGTGGATGGGCTTTATGTCCAGGCAGCCATCTGTGGGAGTGGTAGCCTGGAGCCAGGTCTTGGAGCTACCTGTGCATGGTAAGGATATGGTTTTTATTTAGCTTAATTGTTACAGAGCAATAAAAATAACAGTTTCTAAAGATGCTTTCATGAATATTATATATACCTGTGAGAAAATTATAATTGGCTCCATGAAGAAGTTTTTAAAAAATATTGTTAAATTTGTGGCAGCATTGAGTGAGATCTTAGTAGAGCATAATGATGAAAGACCTCTGTACTTCTATGGAGCCAGCCTTTGGTGCCCCCATTGAGGAGAAATGAAATGACTACCATGTGTTCAGCAGCTCTCACTAACAAATGGCATTCCAGATCACCTGACTACTCCCCACAGCACTACCTCTCCAAACATTTGCTGTAAATACTCTTGAGAATGTTACAAATAGGGGAGCATTTTCTTGAATAAACTTTATTTGGCATGGCCATAAAAATCACTTGTTTCAGAATTCTGGGAACTTTCTGGAGATGCTGTGTACTGAGGGAATTGTATTTGCTGATCCCTGTAACAATGCTTTCGGAGTTAAGTGCCTTCTGCCAGACACTTGCCATGGCAGGAAACATATATCTTAGAAGTGAACAAGATATGTGCCTGTTCTTATAAGGTGATTTATGCTGGTTCCAACCTTGACCATGAAATCAGTTAAAGAGAGAGCAACCTCATCTGCAAAATGGCTTGCATCAAAACCTATGTAGGTCAAGAACATTGCTAATGGCATAAACTTTTGTAGTTTTTATTTTCAACTCACTCAAGATTTTAGGGACAGAGCAGTGTGATGGCTTAAAAACTGAAAAATTTTCTCTGCATTTCACTAATATGCCCAGTGCCGTAGGCTTACAATCAATTATGGGCATGGGTGTATACATTTTAGGTGGCAACCTAAATGTGTAAAAAGTGTATAAAATGTATAAAAAGTGACTTCATACACATTAAGTTAGTTAATCTAATGTACCAGATTGAAGTAAAGAAAAGCCTCATTTTCCCAATTTTTTTTCAGGTCACTTTTTGTTCATATATGGGACACATGCACACACATACACCCTTTTCTAAAAACAAAGTATTAATCAACAAAGGAAACTTTGAAAATGGAAACAAGTCTCCAGGGTTCTTGATTACTAGTTTGTTTCTAACTTGTTCCCTTAGTACTTCATTAAAAATAGGAACATTTAAATCTAACAATAATAATGTAGCTTTCTCACTGGAAAAAAGTAGGAATCATAATTAGTCATACCAAAGAGTGGTAGCCACCCTGCCTCAGTAAATGCAGAACTAAGTAAATTCCTGAGTGTTCTTTCTCTAAAGACCCTGGAAGGTTGTATATCATTCAATAAACTTATTTCAGATAGTTGCTATAAAGAGTTTTCAGGCTTCTAACCTAAAGCTCTTTTCCTAGAAGGGGAGATAGCACATGCATAAATAATTACAACACAAGTCTGGTGTGAAAGTGATGGGGCCAAGTTACCCATTAGGCGGGGATGGAAGGCCTAGTACCATGATGCATTTAGGAGCCCATAAAATGTTTCCTTTTAATTTTTTTAAATAAGAAAAAATTAAGTATCATAATAATAATGAATGTATAATAAAAAAAAATCAGCCTAGATTTCATTTATGTTCATACCAATCAGTTATAAAATATCATTTTAATATTTTATTATGAAGAGGCTGATAAGGCAAAAAGTTCCAATGGCCTGTGAAAGTCATTCAGCAGACCCCGGGCCACTGCAGACTCGAAATTGGTCAAGCCCCATAGGGGCTCAGAGGAAGGAGATAGTTTATGGTTGGGGAGAACCAGGAAAGTCTCAATAAAGGAGGTGACATCTGAAGCAGATTACGAAGAAAGGGTGGAATCTTACTTGGGGTAATGGGACAAAGACATTCCTGGTGGAAGAAAAATATATTATAGACTAAAGTTTCTTAGAAAATAGTGTATGTGCCTTTTCATTTACTTTAAGAAGAAACTAAAGGACATTTTAAATTGGTGTGTGCATGTGTGTTGGCCGGTTTGCTTATAATGATGTTTAAATTTTTTACATCTCTCTCAATGCTGTTCTTAAATAATATATCACTAGCCTTAATGAGAAATTATTAATGCAGTGTCTTTGAGAAAATTTCAAACATATTAAATAGGAACCTTCTTTGAAATGGCTGACTATAAGTACAAAACAAGACATATCAGTATGATATGCAAAAAGTATTATGCCTCCTTCTTTTGACTTCTTCTTCTCTGTTTACCTGACTTACAAAGAAGTCAGATGTTGAGATGACCTTAAACTTTTTCTTTAAATTTAAATTAAATTTAAGGATTTTTTTTTAAATTCTGGCAGGAAATGAATAATAGGACTTCCCACCTTAGATAGAAGTTGATGCTTCTTTCAGAGCTTTTTAAAACACTTCATACTATTTTACAAAAATCTTGGACTTGGTATTTAGCCAAAAGTGTATTTCTTTTTATCTTGTGAATGAGGTACATCTCAATGGAAATTTGATGTGGATGTTTTAGGCCCATTAGCATTTTTTTTTCAGTCATATCTATTACCAATATTGGATGCTGGGTAATCTTGACAAATACATATAATACATTTTACCTTTTTCCTTTTGATTGCTGAGATAGCTCCATGTCTCAACAGAAAAGTCTGGTAACCTGGACTTCAAGGGGCTTTGCCTTTCCTTTATCCATTCCCCACACCTCACATTGTATATTGAGCTAGACACCTAGATGGTGGTTGCACTGCCGTAGGTCATGAGAGGAAGAGAAAGGAGATAAACTGCAGTGGCCAGCAGCTCTTCCACAGGCAAACAGGTTAAATTAGTGTTTCAGTTTCTGGCCTGTTCTTGGGGAGGAGCAGGAGGTTGGAGTTTGAGATTTTCTTCACTGAGCACTAGTGGGTTGTTAAAGGAAATTGAAGTAGGGACTTGCTAGACCACAACACTATTCTGGAATAAATAATCTGGAGGGTTAGCAAGAATGGATTAGAAGAGTGAGTGAATAGGACACTCTTTTGTAGAAAATAATGATAATAATATCTAACATTTATTGATTATTTAGCATAAGTGAACCCCAAAATAAATGCTTTATGTGGACTCAGTTCCTAAAATATTCTCCAAAATCTTACCTTCTTTGCAGGTGGTAAAATGATGTCCTGAAAGGTTATGTCATGCACTCAGGTTGCATGACTGGCTTTCCTGACTTCCAGGAGTTGTGTGTGGGACAGGAGGCCATGTGTATTAGATTCCCGTGGCTCTATTTAGCCGGAACATCATGATATGAATTGAGTGTATTCAATGGTCCAGACCTTGTTCTCAGTACAATAGAGATACAAGATGAGTCAGACATAGTCCTTGTACTCAGTAAGTTCACAGCCAAATAGGCAAGATGAGTACAGAAGTAGCCACTTTTTATGTGGAATACATTTAGTACCAGAATGGAGGGCTAAGTCATAAGAAATTTCAGATGAAAAAGAAATTACTTTAAAGAAGGAAAGGTTAGTGAAGGCTTAAATGAGAAGAAGGCTTTTAGTTAAGTAAGATTTAATTATGGAAGGAAAGAGAATAGGATATTCCAAACTGAGGGATATCATGGGGAGAATAGGAAAGGTAAGAAATGTGAAGCACACTAGTATTTCAGTTTCATAGGACACCATGGTACAAAAACAGAAAACACTGGAGAGGTAGGAGAGGTAGATTAGTGCTAAGTTTCAGAAAGCATTACAGTTAAGTTTTTATCTTACTTGGTAAGAAATGTGGAATCATATTGTAGATTTTTAAGGAGGGGAATACACTTATTCAATAGAAAATCTGTTCATTACATACTTATTACACGCATTTTGTGTTTAGGCACTGCCTGTAATATGAGTGGATACAATGCTATGGCATGACATCTGATTTTAATTAGCTCAATTTTAGTAGAGGAGGCAAGACAAGCATATATATAGTTAATATGTCTGACTATTCTCCTAATGATAGAGTTGTTTATGAAGTATAATTTAAGCCTCAAGAAGTTAGAATTTTTGAAGAAGCAAGGACCCCTTTCCACAACTGCATTTGGGAAAGTAATGTGGCAAAAGTTGTTAGGAGGGTTTGGGAAAGTCAGGTGATAGAGGCAGAGAACTTGGTTTATAACAAACAGTAATCAAGACAAGGGGTAATCAAGACCTGAGCTACAAGGGTAACTTTTGGAAAGGATGTGAGAGGCACTGAAGAGGTTCACCTCATATGATCTGACAACTATTTACACTGGAGTGAGGGAGGAAAAAAAATGTGATGGAGTTAATGAGATTAGCCACAAGGTTTCCCCTCTTGCTGTCTAGTTAAAAGAGTTTTGCTAATGAAAATGAAACGGCTGAAGGCGTGTATTGGTTGCAAATTGGGTTTGATTTGAACTTGCCAAGTTTATAGTGATATAGAATATCTAGTTGGGGTGTTGACATGTAGTATTGGAGTTAAGAAAGTCAGTCAAGACTACAGATGCAGATTTTGGAGATAGTTCTACGAAGACTTGTTTAAACTTTTGGAGAAGGTCCCTGTCTGACAGCTTTGAAGAGAGCAGTGGTTCTCCCAGCACGCAGCTGGAGATCTGAGAACGGGCAGACTGCCTTCTCAAGTGGGTCCCTGACCCCTGAGCAGCCTAACTGGGAGGCACCCCCCAGTAGGGGCAGACTGACACTTCACGGGGCCGGGTACTCCTCTGAGACAAAACTTCCAGAGGAACGATCAGACAGCAGCATTCGCGGTTCACGAAAAACCGCTGTTCTACAAACACCGCTGCTGATACCCAGGCAAACAGGGTCTGGAGTGGACCTCTAGCAAACTCCAACAGACCTGCAGCTGAGGGTCCTGTCTGTTAGAAGGAAAACTAACAAACAGAAAGGACATCCACACCAAAAACCCATCTGGGCATGATCATGGAGAAAGAAGAAGAGTCAAGGAAAGATCTTGGGTAACACCCACATTTATTCACCTGGAAGAGAAGTCAGAAAGAACTGAAGTAAAAGCCAGGGAGATAAGAGTAGAACCTAGACAGTATGTCATAGAGAGAGGAACTCTGATATGGAAGTGCTCAAAGGAGAGAGATCAAAGAGGTTGAGGACTAAGCACAGGTCACTGCATTTAGTTTCTCTATGCTCCTTGGCTACCTTTAAAACAATAGTCCCAGTAAGTTTTGAGCTAGAGCTGTGTTTTGAGGATTGGCTAACTGCCAATCACTAGAGGAATAAGATAAGACTACTTTCAAGATTTTGATAAGGGATGGCCAGGAGAGAAAAAATGGTAGCTTGGTTTAGCTAAGGATAATAATAAAAATAACAACTGGGTGCTCAGAACATGGCAGACACTCTTATAAGTGTGTTATATGCATTTACTCATGCAAGGCTCATAATTCTATGGTGTAGATTATTTGTGTTACTTTCATATTACTAATCATTCAACTGAGGATTAGAGAGGTAAAGTAACTTGCCCAAGGTAAATTAGCTAGTGACTAATTGACAGAGCTGGGATTCAAATCCATGTAGGATTGATTCCAAAGCTCACTCTCCTAATCACTACACAAACTGCCAGTGCATCTGTGAATTTGGGGAAAAGGGTGAAAATGATGGAAAAAGACAAGACAGAGAGAATAGTTCCAGAGGTGGCCAGCCTTCTCAGTGCCATCCTCATTAACAACAGATCCCAAATTTCCATGCTCTTTTGATGCTCTTCATGTCTGTTATTCTGTATTCCAATCTTATGCCACCCCAACTTTGTTGTTTTTCAATTTCTTCTTCCAATTTTATTGATAAAGCCGGTAAATTATGCAGATGTAGTTCACTGCCTGTTTAGTAATTAACTTAGCTGTTTCCCCATTACCTAGACATTTTTCTTGTTTTCTCCGTGGGTTACCTCATTTATTCCCTGCAACGGCCATGGAACAACTTTATTTTCCAAATAGCAAGAGGTTTACATCTTGACCGTCTCTAGTAAATCCTGTACACTGTTTCCAGATCAATGTTCTTAAAGACAGTCTTAGTGATATCTTGAGGAAACCTGAAGCTTCCTCATTGCCTATGAGACTTCTATTCAAATTCCTCAGCATGTTATTCAAAGCATCCTTAAGTTTATCTCGACCTTTTAATTTCTTCTACTTACTGCTTTCCTACATTCTAAGCCAACCAGGATACTCATCATGTCTGGAAGACTGGCTGGCTTTTCTTCTTCGGGACATTGCTCAAGCCATTCCCTCTGTCCTCTTGCCCATCCTCTCTTTCATTTTCATTTATTGTAATGCTAACTATCCTTCCACTCTAAAGTCAAATGTAACCTCTTTCAGAAACGTGATTACCCCAATTAGAAAACCACTACTCACTTGAACTCAAAATACAATAGGCAAAACATAGATCTTATCCTTATAGAACTCCCATACCATCGCCTTTGCACCTACTTGGGATAATGAGCCAGCTTCGAAGTGTCACAGAGAAAGTGAAACAGGGGAACTTATCTAAATATTCCTAGCCCTTGTATGTCCCCGAGTATTTTGAGAGTGTGTTGTTGGCCTAATTTGGTCTTGAATTTCCTGTGGAATTTAACACAGTGACTTGTCCTTAGAAGACTCAATAATGATTTATCGAGTGAATGGATGATGCTTTTAGATATTGAGTTGCTTATATTTTTTATTTTTATTCTGAATTTTTTTGAGACAGGGTGTTAATCTGTCACCCAGACTGGAGTGCAGTGGCACGATCATGGCTCACTGCACCCTCAACCTCCCCGGGCTTAGGTGATCCTCCCACCTCAGCCTGCTGAGTAGCTGGGACTACAGGTTCATGCCACACACCTGGCTAATTTTTGTATTTTTTATAAAGACAGGGTCTCACTATGTTGCCGAGGCTGGTCTCAAACTCCTGGGCTCAAGCAATTCACCTGCCTCAGCCTCCCAAAGTGCTGGGATTACAAGCGTGAGCCACCACATCAGCTTGAGTTGCTTTTAGATAGAGTTATGAACTAGATCAATAGATTGTTGATTCTATTTTGATGTGCAAAGGAAACTTCAAAAATAAATTTTATCAGTACAGCAGTTTTTTTCTGCAACACATAGTAAGTTGTTCTATGAATGCTGACAACTGCTTGGAGGTAAAGAGTACCAAGTTGCATCACCATTCATGTGATAATAAAGACATAAGCCATTAGACAATGTCAACAAATAGAATACAATTTATTCTTATAAGGAGGAAAAAAATTGGAGAAAAATTTGAACCCCAAACTCATAAAATATGTAATGTCATTTTCTGTCAATCAAGGTTTATACATTTTATGAATTCAGAAATAGTTATTTTTTATTTGTAACTTTATGAACTATAACAAATTGAAAATTATTCTGAATGAAAATATAATAGTTCCAATTGAGTTTTTATCTACCAAGGCCTTTTATTTTTAAAAATGGATAACGTTGGTACCTTACACAAATTAAATTGGACTTTGCACATTTCATCCTGCTGAAGTGCCAAGTGATTTCATTTTGAATCAAAATTATGTAATTATATTGAGTGTTCAAAGTGCATATGAGTGAATTATATAAATTCCATGATGGTTAATTTGTTTGCAGTAAACAATTTTTTCCCATGGTCTCTTTAAAGGAAATAAATCCAAACTGTTAAACTAATTACAATTAAACATCAAGTAATTGGAACCTAAAATTGGGTAATATTTGCTGCAATCAGCTTTTATAAGAAAGAAGCAAATAAGAAAACTCTAAATTGGAAATAATTTATCATTCTTGCTCATGCAACTTTCATGGTATGTCTTGGATCAGGTACCAAGAAATTCAATCTTTATTGCTCTAACTTCTTTTTCTTCAATCTTGTTTGTTCAATAAAAATATATTTATTAAAGGCCGTCATGCACTACAAATTTATGTTGCAAAATTAATATTTGTAATAAACATTCTCAGATTCTGCAAGGACTTCAAAGAAACATTGAATTATATTCAGTGTATGTAGAGAGGCAAGAATATGGATCATGGGAACCATAAAAAAGCACCACTCAGATCTCCTACTTCAGGGAGCATGATTGACTAATGGTACCAGCTGCTGTCCCTCTAGATCCAAGGATATGCTTTTCATGAGCTGCTTTCAGCCAATGGCAGAGCATGACTGGGGTCTTGGTGCAGGCCATTTCTGCTATATGTAAGATTCTTCTGATAGGCATCTTTGGCTCAGGTCTTCCCATTGGCCTCTCTGTGGTGTGAAACTCCTCCAACATACTCCTCCCTTCCCTCTCTTCTGCCCAGGTAAAACTTTCATGGCAGTCTGATG
Source organism: Homo sapiens (assembly GCF_000001405.40). Classification (NCBI taxonomy): domain Eukaryota; kingdom Metazoa; phylum Chordata; class Mammalia; order Primates; family Hominidae; genus Homo; species Homo sapiens. The sequence continues at coordinate 58,251,173 of NC_000005.10, read as the reverse complement.
GCTCTCCCACATTCTCTGTCCCCTTCCTGGTTATCCTCCATAGGCTTTCCTGTAAATCTTTTGCATATCTTTACTATCTTGGAATTCACTTTACAGAGATCTGAACTAACACCTGGATCAACAAATGCTGTGGCTCTCAAAGCCTTGCTCCTTGACATGCAACAGAACTTTGACTTCAACTGAGACCCACCAGAATCTGCATTTTAGCAATGTATCAGGAAATTCCTATGTCCAGCAAGTTTGAGAAGCATTGTGCTAAGTTAATGGACCAATCCAAACAAGATAACCATGTAAATAAATCCCATTATCTTTCTTTTTTTTCTTTTTCATCTTATTCATTTTTTGTTTTGTTTTGTTTTTGTTTTGTTTTTATGATAGAGTCTCATTCAGTTGCCCAGACTGGAGTGTAGTGGCATGATCACAGCTCAGTGCAGCCTCCACCTCCCTGGACTTAGGTGATCCTCCCACCTCAGCCTCCCAAGTAGCTGGAACTATAGGCGTGCATCACCAGGCCCAGCTAATTTTTCTATCTTTTTGTAGAGATGGGGTTTTGCCATGTTGCTCAAACTGGTCTTGAACTCCTTGGACTCAAGCAATCCACCAGTCTCAGCCTTCTAAATTGCTAAGATTACAGGCACGATTCAACATGCCTGGCCTTCATTATCTTTATAATCCCAACACTTACTAGGAATATATATATATAACAAGAACACCTCTGTAATCTGCTTTGTGATGTTTTGTTGCAGTAAATTTAAATAATGGCAGGAAGATTACAATACGTCTTCTTTGTTCAGTGGGTTGAATCCACTCTTCTCAGCCTTCAGTTCTGTAAGGCCAGGTGTGCAGCTTCATGCTATTTATTTTCTTCTGGCTTTATTTGCAGGCTCACCAACTACATAATGATCACCTCCAGTTCATCCCTCAGCTGACCAGAGATTGTTCACCAACATACTACTTTAGAGATTTTTGTATTTTCCATATATTCTCACTAGACTATGGTAGTAATTCTAGATTGCCTATATCAACATGGAGCCACCCTTATCCTTACGAAGAAAATCCAGATTTTTCGTGGCTGCTCACATTACCACCAGCAAAAAACAAATGAACAAACAACAACAAAACAAACCTCAACAACAGCAACAACAAAAAACCCACAAACAAACTATATTTTGTAATGTTCCTGGCTGTTAGTGTGAGTGTAAATGGAAGTGTTGTATGTGATTTCCAGGAAGCATTCTTAAAAGAAGGGGCACACCCTTCTCCTCTTCCTTCTTCCTGCTATGTGGAATGCAGCTATAATAGCTACATTTCCAGCAGCCATCCTGGACACTGAAGCAATGCATCCAGAAACAGCAAAACAGGAGGGGCTTGAATTTCTTATGACCTTGGAGCTGCCAGATCAGTCCTACAAGGGCTCCTCAGGAATTCTTTCGTGAGGTGAAAAGAACCTTCTATTGCTCCTAAACCACTATTATCTTGGTGTTTTTCTACAATGTGCCACTTATCCTAACAAAAATCATACTACTGTTGAGCACATACAATGACTAAATAAACATTTTACTTTTTGCATTAGGAAAATATAGATGGAAATTTTGGTAAGGGAAGATTTAAAACACAAGTAGGGAGCAGTGCTATGGGATTTAGTGCTGTTTTTCCATAAAGTTTGTCTTGCTTTAAGAAAAACAAACATATGGTAGTTAATACTTATTGCTATAGAATGTCCAACAGTATAAACAGAAAGTGTTTTTTTTTTTTTTTTTTTTTTTTGAGATGGAGTCTCACTCTTGTTGCCCAGGCTGGAGTGCAGTGGCACGATCTCAGCCCACTGCAACGTCTGCCTTTCAGGTTCAAGCGATTGTACCGCCTCAGCCTCCCCAGTAGCTGGGATTACAGGCACCCGTCACCACGCCTGACTAATTTTTGTATTTTTGGTAGAGACAGGGTTTTGCCATGTTGATCAGGCTGGTCTCGAACTCCTGACCTCAGGTGACCCACCCACCTCGGCTTCCCAAAGTGCTGGGATTACAGGCATGAGCCACTGCACTTGGCCAGAAACTTTCTTTTATTCAAGACTTTTTTTTATGTGTGTGTGCTCCACTGAAAAATAACTCACAGTAAAAGGAAACAGAGATTTATATTCAGTCATTAAATTATTTGTTCATTAATGTATACATTAAAACAAACATTTATAAGTACCTATTTTGTATCAGGCACTACACAAAATATTGCAAATTTGAAGAAATTTTGACAACATCCTTATCTTTAGGAGCTAATAACACAATGGAGAAGCCAGATACATAAATGTATTGTTAGTACTTTGCAAAAAATGCAATGGCACTAAATGCAAGGACAGGATATTTAGCCTTAGATAAGACTTAAAGGGCACATAGGAAATAGCCAGGCAGACAGGATAGGCAGAGGGAACAGTATCAATACAGGACATAAGGCCTATGTGCAGGGAACTCAAGTAATTTTATGTGATAGATAAAGCTGAAGGGGTTGGCAAGGCTAAGTGCTTTCTATGTCACTCTACAGAAAATGGACTTCAAATCATGGGGGATTAGGAGCCATTGAAAGTTTTTAAAGCAAGAAAGTGATGTGGTCAGACTTGTGTTTTATTTGAAATACTCTGTTGCAGCCTAGTGACTATGGGTTGGAGGAGGACCTGGAAGCAAGGAGACCAGCTTAAGAGATGACTTCAGTAGTCTGCAGTGATGGCCTGGATCCAGGCAGTGGTGACAGGGCTGTGGAAATAGGGAACACAGACTGAAGACACAAAGCCAAGGAAATCATCAAGAGTCCACAGTTTATGGGCTGTGAGAGTGATGAACAGAAAGAGCTAAAAATAATTCCATGATTCCTGGGTTGAATTATGGATAGAGATTGGAATCCCCAAGTCTCTTTACGCAACCCAGAACTTGCACTGGAGTACAGGCTCTGTAGTTAAACTTCCTGGGTTAAAATCCCAAGTCTACTCCTTTTCACTATGGGCAAGGTGTTTAACCACTCTGATGTTTAGTTTTTTCATTTATAAAATGTTTGTTGCAATATACACTGTGTATGATGATTGAGTTAAATGCATGTGAAAGTACTTAGAACAGTGGCTGATGCAAAGTACTCTATAACTATTCGTAATTATTATTACTTCAGTAACAATCTCATGTATCCAGAGTGAGTTCACTATCCAAGAATACATGCCGAATAAGAAGAGAAGTTGTGAATGGAAAGGATCAACATTAGCAGAGGTTTTAAGAAAGAGCTCAGGCAAGATTTAAAAACAAAAAATAAAGAGAGAGGAATAGTAGAAAAACTAAAGAGGTTCAGTTTATGTGAAGTAGCCAAGCAGGGAGAAAGCTCTAAGAACAAAGTGATCAACAATGTCCAATATAAAATAAAGGCCAATAAGATAACACAATAAAAATGTCTATTGTACTGTAGAAGTAGGAAGTTTGCTTACTGATGAACTTAAAGCAATTTGAGTGGAGTGGCAGGGCTGAAACCAGGTGACTGAGAGTCAGGAATTAAAAGAAAAAAAATGGAAATAGCAAACACAGACTCGCTTTTTAAGAAGCTGAAGGGGGTAGAAAGGAAAGTATTGAATGAGCAGGATTTGAGGTCAAGAGAGGAGGGCTGGTTTATAGACTAAATAAAGAATCATGGGAGAGACAGTGAATGATCAGTGACAGGAGGGGTGGGAGGAAAAGAATTAATGAAATATGCAGAGGCATCTGCATTTTGCAAAATATGCTTCATCTTCTTATAATAAGGAAAAAAATAAAGGAGTAGTGCTGATGTTTGCAGGTGTGTAAGAGGAGGGAGACAAAGTTGAAGGAGGTCACACCTAATGGCCACAATTTTCTGTAGAAGATAAGCTTACCAGCCAGCCATTTATACTTCTATTACTGTATTCATTCAAGATACGCTGAGAATTTCTCATGAGTTACACTGATTGTTGCAAAGTAAACTGTTGACCCTTGGAGACTTTTCCAGTCTAGTGGGGTGCCAAGGTACCTACACATAAAAAGCGGCCAAAAATAGAAGGCAGAACATGACCATTGCCAAGTAAGTCCAGCAGGCAGTAAATACTACTGGAATTTGATGGAGAGGAAGATTGGGGCTTTGAAAAACTGGTAGGCTTCAGATAAGCAGAAAGGAAGATGAGCTTGGGACAGACAACAAAAGTCAATGTAAGGAGAGGTGGCACTTTCTAGCTAAAATGCTCTCAGAATAATCTGAAAACAATAGTGAAACATGAGACTAGAATATTCTAAGATGACTAAAAGCTTTAGAGGTATTTGGAAGAGATGTACATCAGGGTGGAGAGTGCTATGAAATCAATCTGAGCAGAAAAGGACACTTAGAAATGTCATTATTTAGATTTTTTTGATCCCCTGACACTGAGTCACTTCAAAGGAAGTGGCCAGTCTCTGGAGAGTGATTGACAACACAGGATATGGTCACTTTTGGTTTGGGGTGTCTTTCACCGTGTCAGGAAGTCTGGAAAAGGATGATCATGTACTACATTCTTGGTTCTCATCAAACGCAGCCATCCTGACTGAGGAAATTCCAAAGTGGAGCTGGATTTTGTACGACTGAGCAATCTATCTTCATGCAAACAGACCTTGTACACTTACACATCCTGCTGTCATGCCATCATCACCAACATAGCTACAGATGCAAGGGGATATGATAGGACAGGACATAATAGCAGACACATTAGAATGCTACTGAGGAGCCAAGGCTCCTTGAATGTAATGATCAGGTTATTTGTCTATGAATTGGTTGTTTTTTGCTCTTTTTCTGTTGAAGGAATTTTTTATGACTATTTCCACTTTCAAAGTCAGGGTTGTAAATAATAAACAATAGATGAGGACACATCTGAGCAAACAACACACTCTCTCCCTGTGTCAAGCCTTAGGCTAAGCATAAAGCGTTATAAGCTCTCAGGGTTGTCTGAGCCACATTTTAAGACCTGGGGAGATGTGCAGATGGGTGAGGAGTGCGACAACTGTTATGTCTGCTGAGACAGATATTGTTGAAGGAAGTGAATGAGTAGGTAGGAGAAAGGACTTGCATGCAGGGAGAATGATTAGTATTGTATTGGTGATACATCTGGGTAGAGGAGACAGGCAGTTTCCTTGTTTTCCATTATTATGTGGGTTTAATAATTTACTGTGTACAAAATAAAGGGGCAGTACCAGGGAAAATCTGCCTGTGCATGAGGCCTTTTAGAAGCTCCTTCTCTTGGAACAATTATTGACATTGGTTTTGAGTGCAAAATGCCTAAATTGTAATTCTAATCATAAGCACCGTTCACAACATCGGGGCATCAGGGTGTAAACCTCCTTGTGCATATGTGGAGAGCAAAGTTACTCTGAAAAGAAATGTAATTTTCCCATCCTCATAACTCATTTATTTTGATAGCTGCAAACGCACAAAAGAGAATAGGCACAGCCTTTGGTTGCAGGTGTTCTTCAGTGAGTGCAGATTGGCTTGATGGTGAAAAACCTGTAGACTTCCTCTCCAAATAGAAGCTGGGAAATCATCCAACACGTCCCACTTTCCTGAGAGGAAGCAAGATGTGGGGACAGGAAGGCTGTGTCAATAAAGCTTTGCAGCAAAGCCTTTTGCGATTGTTTTTGCATCATAAATATTCTGCAGCCAAGTTTATGAAATTTTGATTTTGAACAATTGTAATTTGCTGACATTCTTCAACGAAATTTAAAAGGAGCAGAGTTTGTGGTCCTTTCCCGTGAAATCCTCTGTAAAACAGCAGAGAAAGGAAACTTTAGGGAGGGAGCCACCCTTGTCAAACCAGGAGCGCTAATTAGGATATGGAAGACTGTACTTCCGCATCATGGCCTGCCCAGAAAGAGGAGGATGTGCACTTCTCAGGAGGGGTTTCCTGCTTGGGCCAGAAGCCTCGGTTTCTGGGATACTACTGACCTTGACTTCAGAAATAATCCATTTCATGATTTTAGAGTTAATTCCCCAAATTCCTCCGCAATACTTCCAGCAGACTCTAAGATAGCTCACCTTCACCTTCACCTGCTCCCTCAAACACACACTCTCCTTTCTGACAGTCAGCTATTTTGGGTGATGATTACTCAATCACATTAAACACAGTCCTTCCCTACTCAGTCAGCTCCTCCCCTTCTTCCTCTGATTGTAATGGCCCCAAACCTCCCCCACCTCCTCAATCCCCTCTAGCAGCATCAGCTTCTGGGTGACAGCAGTCAAAACGGAGCAAAGAGAAGTGTCCTGCCTCCCACTGTTGCTGCTACTTAACTCTGTGACCGAGCCTACAAAAGGAGATAAATCAGGTTTTAAAAACTGCTCTCTGGTATGGGTCTTGAAGCTGTAATGACAATACCTGAATCACTTTTAAAAAAAACCCTTAACCAATGTAGCTGGTATCTGTAGCAGATTGTATTTTAAGGATCATGAATTTATGCATCTCATTGCTTCGGAGGGGAAGCTTTGTGTCCTAGCATGGTTATGGGAAGGCAGCTGGATGGGGGACAGAGGGCAGTCCACTGTGCTAGGCAAAGCTGCTGAAGGAACATATCAAGTAGAAAAGTGAGAAGAGAGCTGAGGAAATTGTTCTGTTCAAGGCTTTCTCCTTGAGGGAGACTAGAACCTTGTAGAACTGCTACATATTTTGTGTTCTCCCAGTTCTTCATCTACTCAGCACCTTTCTAACGCACACTCACTATGTGCCATGCACAGTTTTAAGTGATGAGGATATAGGATAAAGTGATGTGAGATGAATAGAGTTTGGATTCCAGAACAGAGCTTGTATTCTCATCAACACATATTTATAGAGCCCATATGTCCATGTTTTTCAGGGATAGCCCTGGTTTACTCCTGCTATCTTGCATAATATAATTACAACTTCACCCTTTCACTCAAAAACATCTTGGTTTTGTCAAGAATTCATATGGTCATCCTAACTCTTATATGCCTGGAGTTCTGTGAGGCACTGGGCCTACAAGAAGAGCTGGTCTTCAGGCGACTCACAGTTCTGAAAGCAAAACAAGCCTAGGAACTAAATGAACACCATCAAGAAAAGCTAAGAAATAATACATATTCCTGAGAAAACTTGCTTAGATCTTGAACAAATAGTAGCAGTTGGCTGAAGGTTAAAGAGAAGAAAGTTGTGGGGTGAAAACAGATCACAATTAATCACTATATTGTTTCTAACTGGAGTAGGCAAAAGAAACAACACATGCCCAAACTAAAGAACCATGAAAGAAAATGATCTCTGTGAGGTGGTGTACACAGTGCAAGTCTCAAAGACTTGAGTATTACAAGAAACCAAGTTTGCTAGAAGGAAAGTACATAGTTAGTAGAAATAGATTTTAATATATACTTTTAAATATCTTTTTTCATTATTTTACACCCTGGACCTCATCTCTCCCACACCTACACACACACACACACACACACACACACACACACACAGTTACACAGCTGAATGGGGCATATATGTACATGTGTATATGTATAGATGTCTCATATATGTCTTCTATTCTTCAGCTGTATGATAATCTATGGTAAGGGGTGTTCTATATAAGAGAAGCCAGAGAGTACAATTTTTTCCTAAATGTTTTTCAAAATTTCTCCCTTTATTTTATTTTTCCTTTGCCTTTTATCTTTCTTTTTACTTCCATTCTGTGATAGAATGCTGGTTTCTTCTCTTCTTAGAAATAGCTAAACCACAGTAAGCAGCCCCTCGATGAAAGAGGGAGGCTTTTTGTTGCTTTCTGGACAGTGGGATGTGAAGGAATTGATGTGCACCATTTCCAGGCTTGTACACTAAACCTTTCCCTATCATCAGTCATGTGCTGCTGGTTGGATATTGACTTGTAGTTCTTGGTATGAAGGGAGAAATCAGACTTACTGTGTCAAGCCATTGAAATGTAAGGGATGTTTGTTACAGCAACTAATGTTAATCATTTTAAATAATACACTTTCTCTTCCTCCTCACTTTTTCCTATGAAGTTCAGTAAAAGCCTGAAAAGATGAATGAATTATTCTAGCTGTTCTCCTGTACATCTTTTCTAACTTTGGAACCAGCTAGGTAGATGAAGAAGACTTCAATTTTTGTTTGGATTTATTTTTTAATTTTTAATTTCATTTGTGGTCTATTAAAGGATTAAAAACTTATCTCCTCAGAAGTGGGCCTGGGCAACTCCTCAGCTTATTTGATTATTCTATCATGCCCAATCTTCCTCCAATGTTTATTGGAGAAACAAAACACATTATGTAAAGATATCAACTTGGACTCCTTCCATATTATTCAATTTTTATGAACAAATGGAAAGAACAGTGAGTTGGGATTTGCTTCCTGGCCTCTCTCTCTGTCTGGCTGCAGTTTTAGGGGCCCTCTACACCACTCCAGTTTGGCTCAAGGTGACTGCTCAGGCTCACTGCCCTCCCTAACCCCTGTTATTTTCTTCACCTTCCACTCAATTACATGTGCCTTGATACGATTTGGCTATGTCCTCACCCCAAATCTCTCTTGAACTGTAGTCCCCATAATTGTGGAGGGACCTGGTGGGAGATAACTGAATCATGGGGTTGGTTACCTCCATGCTGTTCTTGTGATAGTGAGTGAGTTCTTACAGGATCTGCAGGTTTTATAAGGGGCTTCCCCACTCCCCCACCCCCTCAACCCCCCTACTTTTGCTCTGCACTTCTCCTTGCTGCCACCATGTTAAGAAGGACATGTTTGCTTCCTCTTCTGCCATGATTGTAAGTTTCTTGAGGCCTCCCCATGCTAAACTGTGAGTCAATTAAACCTCTTTCTTTTATAAATTACTGAGTCTCGGGTATGTCTTTATTAGCAGCATGAGAACAGACTAATACATGCCCATACTAAAGGCTTCTCTGCTTTGAGGAAGAAGTCAGAATACATTCATTTATTAAACAAACTTTGACCCTCAGGAACCATAAAATTCTAGGGATCCAGAGATAAATAAAACACAGCCTTTTCCCTTAAAGAGCTTGAAATCTGGTGATAAAGAGAAACATGTCAGCAGAGAATCACAATAACTATGGTGGAAATACGAACACCTAGTAAGAGAGAGGACATGACTAACTTATCCAAAGTTATCGGGAGAGGCTTTACAGATAAGTTGACACTTTAGCTAGGCTTCACAGAAGAAGGCTTTGTCAGGTGGAGTAGAAAAATAAAGGCATATGGGCATATGCAACTGTAGGTGTAAAGAAAACAGTTAAGAATAAGCATGCCACAGAATGATAACTATGAGGAATTAATTATTAGAGCATTAAGTTTGTACACATTGAAGAAATGTGTGGGTCTAGATTGAGAAGACCTTGGGAAGCAGCTTAAAGGACTCAGGCTTTATTTGAGGGGCAGGTCTTTACACAGTGCAGCTGTCATGATAAACACATGATTTTGTTTATAGTGTTAATGGTTGACACCATTTTATCATTTAAACAGTGTGTGTCTAGGGCTATCCAGGGTCTCTTTGAAGCTTTCTTAGCTATGATTTCATGTTTGGTGAGTCAGAGGGAGCAAGCAGGATCAGGAAGTACCAAACAATAGGACTGGGAATAACCGTTCTCAGAGGTTGAAGGCAGCGGATAAGGTCAGAGGGTGGAGTCTCCCTCGTCTTCCTTCACTGGTCAGGCAGAGCCCAACTCAGGTCCAACCTTGCTCTTCTATGCAAGAGCAACAGAATTGCTGGGTCTCAGACACAGGGACACCATTTGCTCTCCTTAATACCATCTTCTAAACCTGTATTGATTTCAATGCTATATACATGGTGGATATTCAACATGTGTTTATTGTTGACAACTGTACTGACCTTCCTCAACATCCTTATAAGAGGAATAAAGACAACATGTCATCACGACAATTAGGATACCACCAACTAAAAGATACTATCGTATACAAGGTGCTTCTTATATTGTATATGGAGACAATAAATTGTGTTATTTCTCTAAAAAGTGCACATATATATATATATATACACATATATATACACACATATACAATATATATACATATATACACATATATATGTATATATATGTGCACTTTTTAGAGAAACAACAAAATTTATTGTCAAATAATGTACTTTGTTTTATAAATTTTGAAAATATATAATAATAGACCTAGAATAGTAGAACTGGAAGGAAGCTGATACTTCATCTAACCTCTTATTTTAACAATGATGAAATTAAGGCCCAGAAATACTTTGCCAGCCACTAAATCTCTAATAGGATTTTAATCCAAATGAAGCTAATTCAGAAAAACTTTTATCTATTTCCAATAAAATCTCAGATTCTTATAACCCCACAGCTTTGATTTTGCATCTAAAATATTGTCAACAAGGATTCTTCTTGGTTTATTACAATTTTCCTCAGTTAAGTTTTTCTACAAGACTGTGTCTACATGAAGGTAAGACCTTCCACCCTTCTGAATGGTGCATGGCACATGGTATGTGTTTAAAAATTCTTGTTGAGTAATATTTAGCCATGCTTGCTCATGCTTATACAAAATTTAAATACTTCTATTACATAAACATTAGATATTTTCTTGGAGCATATTATTGAAGGAAGAAACAAAATCATGCCTATCATATCACTATCAAATATCACTTTAAAAACAATCCTTTAGCATTTTCTGAAACATAATGCCAAGTGGATGATTCAGATAGAAACTTCCGGTTCATGTTGATTCTTTTAGGCTTTGTCATGCCTTCGTGATGGCTGGTGATTGCAGGAAACATTATTTTGATCAGAGAAAGCTGCATATGGGTTTGCCTTCCATCCTGAAGGTTCAGATCCTTTGATGCTGAACCTGAGACGGAAACAGTCTTCTTAAACAAACTTGGTCCTTGGGTCTTCTATGGAATGAAAGAATCGTATCTCTGAAGTCAGTCTAAAATCTCTGAGCCAGTGAGTCTCAAATAGTGAAGAATGCACACTATCAAATGGGATAATATGTAATTTTTAAAAATTATAGTAAATACAATAGAAAGCCTATTTATTGTTTTCTGCAATACAATCAATAGAAAAACAAGCTCAAGAGAATCTTTGCTGGTTGAGAGAAGCAAAAGATCGGCTAGAGATGGGGGTGGTGGAGCGTGTGCGACAATATGTGATCCATTAATGCCTAAGGTAGGAACTGGCTCCTGGGAAGAGTCCACAGTGGGGATCAAAACTGTCAATCCTGTGCTAAGCCTTGTTAGTAGCACCCAGCCACTACTGACTGCTATTTATAACAGGTTCTGCTGGAGAATGTGATCCATCTTCAAGGATAAGATCAGATGGCTCAGGAAATGGCTGTCAAATTGTTTACTTTCTCATGACCTTTTCTACCAAGTCACCCAGCAGGTGCTTTCAGAAGAGTTATCCCAGAAGAGAAAATCCCCCAAACAACAACAGTTGGAGATTATTTTCTCTGTTGATAATCCTGAAACGCATCCCCATGGAAAGATTCAGAACACCTTCACGTTCAAGAAACAATGCATTTCTTGCTGATCATAACCTTTGTTCCATCCCTGTACAAAGAACTTGTAAAACTCAAGTCTTGCCTGATTTGTAGGTTCTCATGGTTCACCTGCTGCAACTCAAGTAGAGTAGAAACAAAGCTTTAGGTCAGACATGTCTGTCAAAATAATCTTTATAATTATACATCCTATAGAAATAATTGGGAAGGTAAATTATTCAGCCCTTGTAGGAGAGAAAAATAGAAAGCTAGGCATTGTTTTGGACTTAAACCTTAAGACCATTGTTGGGTGGAGTTGTGACAGTTGTGGGTGGGGGAAGAAAGACTTTCTGTTCCTAAAACTCATTTTCATACTTTGCTGTTTGAGTAAAATAGATTCAAAGTGTCTTCCTTCTGATTAGTACTCTTGCAAACCTTTTGAGTCATTTCTATTAATCATATCACTTTTTTTAAGAAATAAAGTCATATCTTGACAAAAACAAACCTGACTATAAACAAACACTTGCTTAACAGCACAACGTAACCAGGTTCCACCTGTAGTTTACAGAATGTTTTGAATGTTACTTATGGGTAGGGCCAGCCTTCTTCTTTGGTGGAAACTGTTTATGTAATAATAATATCAACTATTGTTTATGAAGTTCACACTTTGCACCAGGCACTATGTAAGCCTGTTACCTTATCTCATTAAAGTCTCATCACAAACCTATGAGGAAGGAAATATTCTTATTCTCACTTTGCCAGTGAGGAAACAAGCTTAGAGAAGTTACATAACTTGCTCAATATCACATAGCTGTTAAGTGGCTTGGGATGGTGGTGGTCAGGGCAGGTTGGTGGGGAGGCACAGTAGGGTTTAAACCCAAATCTACTACTCTAGACTTGATTCTCCTGGCTTTCATCCCTCTTGAACACAGTAAGGCCGAGGAGACGTACACTTTTAAGCTGTGATCAGCTTAATGTGAATGACTTGCAGATCCTTTTCTGAAGGTTATAAAAAGCAAAAACGATCACTAAGAGATCAATAAAGTGAGGAATATATGATGTAGAAAAGAAAAAAAAAGGCTGGAAGTTCAGAATGTGGTTGGTCCTGGGTAGGGATTCTCAAAGGCAAACTGCTAGCTTTGTAATTTTTCTCAAGGCCAATTCTTAGTGGATGCCTTTCTGAATTCATTTGGTGGTTCACCAGAATCTTAAATAAATAAGATAAAATAAAGTTACTATTACATGTTTAAGTTATATCTGTTTGTTCTTAGTAATCATCAGGTATTCTAGCGTCTAAAAAATGCCTATTTGTAGAGCAAATAGCAGATAAGAAACTGTAGAGGCATTGTGGTGATTTGATTGAGTGCTAATTTTTAAAGTCCACGTTGGGGGTAACTTGCTTTCAGGATTCTATAATGCAAATGTGGTAGTAAAGATAGTAAAGAGCAAACATTACACAAATATTTATGATGCATTTTACTTCTACCTTCAGTTTTTAACTATGACAAGCAATTAACATTTATCAAGTTAAAAAATAAATTTATTTCAGTTAAAACTCCAAGTCAACAGTAACTAAAAATATTAAATAAATAACAGTAACTATGGCTTTTGCAACTATGTCAAGCAATGTGATATGTACTCAGTTACTTAAAAAGTGTTCACTAAATACTGCTGAATTAAATGTGACTAACTCTGACCTAGGTAGAAAATTATTTTCTAAATCTTTAAAAATTATCATTAATAAATTCTCTTCTAAGGAAAATTGATCTTTATTTTAAATGACCCAGTTATATAATACCAAACTTAAAATTAAAAAAATACACCAGTACATTAGCAATTGACTGTATTTTTCCTTATAATTATTTTGCTTTTGCATATTATATAAGCATAAGCTAAGAGAAGCCAAATAAGTATGCCCTGGATATTAACAGGAATTGAAATATTATAAATGTCTATATCCACTTAATTTCCTACAATGCCACCTCTCAGAGATTTTGGGCAGTAGATTTTCTCAGTCGATTATTAAGTTTCTATTATTTGACATGAAGATAGTTGCTTCTGAGATAGATAATTTTTAACAGTTTAGAATAATGCACCATCTTAAACCATAAAGGCAAAACATCCACGTAGCTAGCCCCTGTACAACCTCCTCAATTAGCATAGAGGGAAACTGAGGCCAGTTTCTCAAAGTTATACAACTGATATGCAGCACCTTATTAGCCATGCAACGAACATTTTGAAAATCAGAATGATCATCTTGCTAAAATAGAATTCCTTTATTTTGCTTAATTTACTCATCTGCTAAAAAATAAACATGGTGAAAAAAATATAGCCTTGAGAATCAGACAGACTCCTTTTTCTTGTGTGTATTGTATAATCTTTCCATGCCTCAGTTTCTTTACCTCTGTAAGATTTTTTTAAATAATAGATTTGGAGAGATAATTAAGTTGACATGACTATGTAAAGCTCAGAGCACAGTGCCTCTCAAGGAGTTACTTCTATTTCCTCTCCACTTTTAGGGAGTATTTAAGAAAATATTATTTCAAAGGCTAAGAAAAAGGATTGAAGATAATACAATAAGTGACTTTATTTTTCACTGGCAATTAAAATATTATAAATTTAGGCATCTTTACAAGGAAAAATATTAAATTTCATAATTTAATACATAAACATAAAACTATATTTTATAGTTATAATTAATATGTATGTGTTCTTTAGTTTTTGCTTTTTATACATAAAATGACATCCTATATATTTCCATATTGCCACTTAGCCACACTTTTCTAGCTTTCGTCATCTCCAGAATCCTGTCATGTCATAGTGTGCGGGGTCATTTATTCCCTTATTGCCGTCGTCCTTTAAGGTGGAGTCCAGCTTTTCCCAGTACATCCAATAAACATGTGGTGCACCCATTACAGAATTGGCATCTTAAGAGGTAGAAAGATGAATAAGACTTGTTCTCTGGCCCTAAGGCTCTTACAATCTAGGAGTTGAGGGAAATATGCAAAGAAGTATGATGCAACATGTTCAATGCTTTAACAAAGATGCTTGGGAATCACTGGGAACAAGGAAAAGGGACAATCTCCTTCATTAACATATTTGTGCAGATGACTTAGTTTGAAGAGTTGGGAATTTTCTAAAGGGAAACTATGCATCAAGAATATTAGGGGCTCATGGGGTTAATTTTTCAAATTGCCATATTACTCCATAAAATGATGAAAACTTTTACGGTATGTTTAACAACATCACATGGACCGTGTTCCCCATAGTCCTGTTAGTTCACTATGGAGTCTTCACTGTGATATATTTTCTGACTACTCAGGGAAATGGACTGCACCCTTTTTTTATTTCATCAAATACAATACATGCTTCCATCTTAGCATCTCTAACCCTTAGGCACCTGCAAGTTGAATGTCTGCCTTGCTCTGTTAGGTAATAGGCTCCCAGAGGATAGAGACAATGCCTGATTCATTACTAGATCTTCTATGATTAGCATACTGTTTGGGCCATTATAGATATTCATTAAGAATTATTTGATCAGCGCCGGGTGTGGTGGCTCATGCCTGTAATCCCAGCACTTTGGGAGGCCAAGGCGGGTGGATCACTTGAGGTCAGGAGTTTGAGACCAGCCTGGCCAACATGGTGAAACCCCGTCTCTACTAAAAATACAAAAATTAGCCAGGCGTGGTGGCACGCACCTGTAATCCTACCTACTCAGGAAGCTGAGGCAGGAGAATCACTTGAACCTGGGAGGCAGAGGTTGCAGTGAGCTGAGATTGTGCCATTGCACTCCAGCCTGAGCAATAGAGTGAGACTCCGTCTCAAAAAAAAAAAAAAAGAATTATTTTATCATAAGAAAATTTCCAAGGTCAATGAGCATACCATGTTACCCTAGAATTAGAATAATGATCTTTATACTAACTTTTCTAACTTTAAATGTATTTTACATATTAATATCAAGTTGTCTTAATAGTCTCTTTTAAATACACTGTCCTCTTCAGTGTTGTGCAAGTTCTTGGTTGTCAGATATTACATTCTTGCCAAATACTGAGTCCTAAATATGCCAAATACAATATGCCAAATACTGAGTCCTAAATACGAAGATGGACAGTATGCAAAGCTGTGCATCACATATTTAGTCACAAGGCCATCAATTTCCCAGATGTCATTAGCAGGAGGTTTACGTATTTCAGCTGAGACTGGCAAACATGAACGTATGTGGCAATAGCAGCAACAAGTATGAGGAAGTTTGAGGAAATACATGCCTACAAGTAGGGTGGTTGTGAAAGGATTACTGAGAAGTCCTGGGCTTAGCCCAAAGGAGACAGGGATATGTGCAACCCTGTTTGCAAATATTTCATTTATTCCTAGTGATATGGCTGCAGATATGGAAGAAAAGAGAAAAGAAAATAACAATAAAAAGACAGTCTTTAATCATTTCCATTGAATTAATGTGCTGAAAGATCTCTGTTTTACACAACTCAGGTATTAATACTTCTTTACAAAGTATTTACTAGCCATGAACACCATGAGAAAATTTAGACTGGTTTCCATGATATGACAGACTTATTTAAGGGACACTTTGTAGAAAAAATTTGCAGCTTTACTGAGAGGAAAAAAAAACAAAACTGCTTCTCTTTCTCTGTACAATGTCAACTGGCTAGAAACAGTTTATCTAGATTCGACAGAGCTTTTTGTTTTGTTGTGTTTGCTTGTTGTGCTTGTTTGATTTTTGCTCATTACTGATTATTTGCTTTTGCTAAATTATTTTTTAGCTTCATTTAAATGGAGCCCTTTGTTAACTAAAATTTTATTTGACTCTCTATGTTTAGGGAAAGTGCAAACAACAAGAACACAAATATCATAGTTTATTTAGTCCAGTTTCTCTACCTCAGAACTATT